>NC_000005.10:61984807-62609807 GCF_000001405.40 Homo sapiens
AGAGGCAAGGCCTCTTGATCACAGTCTAGTGGTCTCTATACTAACTACCTCCTCTTTGCCAATCCTTTAATCAAGTCTGATTGTGTGGTGTCTAAGTGGTGTTAGTTGGGATGACTTTCTATTTGTTTGTTTGTTTGTTTGTTTTTGAGACAAGGTCTCCCTCTCTCACCTAGGCTGAAGTACAGTGACACAATCTTGGCTGACTACAGCCTCGACCTCTCAGGCTGAAGCGATCCTCCCACCTCAGCCTCCTAAGTAGCTGGAACCACAGACGTGCTACCATGCCCAGCTAATTTTTATATTTTTTTGTAAAGACGGGGTTTATGCTGTGTTGCCCAGGCTGGTCTCAAATTCTTGAATTCAAGTGATCCTCCCACCTTGGCCTCCCAAAGTGCTAGAATTACAGGCGTGAGCTACCATGCTTGGCCTGGTTTTTTTTTGTTGTTGTTTTTATTGTACTCCTGCCTCCATCCATCACTGTACCTCATGAAAAGGGCTTGTCACACGTTTGGAGACAGCAAGAAAACTGCCATATCTTGAGTGCTTAGCATGTCCCAGGCCTTGAGCTAAATGCCTTGCATAAATGTTAATCCTCATGGCATCCCTATAATATATTATTATCTACATAATCATTGCTCACACATTTTGCCAGATATCTCACAGCCAGAAAGATGTGAGGCCAGGATTCCACCCTAGTTCTTTCTCCCCATACCAAGCTCCTTCCACGATGCTAAACGTATGTCCCACATCAGCATGTGGTTATGCCCAGGGCTCCTTGAAAACCCTTGAAATCAAAATCAGTAGACATAATTCTATGTTTCCCACAACTGAACACCAGTTGTGCCCATCTCCGACCAGAGTGGCTGCGGCAGAGTGGTGATCTGTGGCTCCCTCTTCCCTACAACATCCTGGTGAGTACACCCTGGTGATCTGAGCCTTACTCTGATCCATTCAAGCAGCAAGGCTTTTGCCAGATACAATTTACCTCCCACACTTCTGGGTATAAAGAGATTTCATCATAGGCACATTTTAACTTGAGAGAAATCAACTATGCATGCTGGGCCAAACCAAAAATTTGAATGAGGAAGGGAAGGAAGGAGAGACAAAGAGAGAATGAGATTTCTTTCTATAATTCTACTCACTGGTGGGACTGAGAGGGAAGGTAGCAAATTGCAATCCTTCAGGAAGTCTTGGTCCTGGGGTGCTTTTCATAGTGACAGCACGTCACCATATGGAGTTAATTTGAGCATTTAAAAAGATCTTTTTCATACAATATAACCCCTCAATTCAAGCCAACTTCACCGATGCTGAACAGAAGTAGGCTGTTCCAATGCTGGAAGAAACACCAGTTACGTTTTACATATCCACAACATGGTACCTTTCGAAAAAATTTTCAAGGGTAATTTGTGCTATATGACATTTGTTTTGCATTCTGCCTTTAAACCTAACTTAAATTCACTCTGTGTTTAAATGATCATGGAGAGCTCCAACCTGCTTCTCTCATCCCTCCATATAAATTCTCACTTTTTGCTCTCAAAGTCCAAAGCTACAAGGTGTGTGTGGTGGTAGGAAAGTGAGAGTTGGTGAAGGGTTGGCCAGGGTTCAGGATATATGGGTTTTTAAATGGAAAGACGGAAGGAATACCATTCTAGCACCATTCTTCATTTATTCTACTAGCATTCTTTTAGCAGTCTATTTAAGAGCCAGATTCTCTGCTAGCAACTAGATGGAAAGCTGTGACCTTCTGAAAGACTTAGTAAGTTTTATCATAGAAGGAAGTACAAAGTACTTGTTTCTCTACCTCAAAAAATGGGGTGCTGCAGGCTACATTAGCATTTTTCTCACAATACTCTTCATCAGGCAATTAAATTCATTTTAGTCTTAAGTACATTAAAACTATGGAAGATATTACTGAAGAACATGAACTTTGCTCTATGGTATTGTAAGTGCCATCTCAAGTAACTCTAGTGTTGAAATAGCTTTAGAAAAAAAGAAAAAACTCTTGCATTCTTCACATGCTCATTTGTATGAACTGAATGTGTTCTTCCAAAATGCATATTTTGAAGCCCTAACCTCCATGTGATGTTATTTGGAGATGGGGCCTTTGGGAGGCAATTAGGTTTAAATGAGGTCATGAGGGTGGGGCTCCCATGATGGGATTAGTGCCCTTATGAGCAGAGGGAGACACCTAAGTATACTCATGTTTGTTCTCTCTCTCTGTCATGTGAAGACACAGTGAGAAGATGGTTGTCTGCAAGGCAGGAAGAGGGTCCTCACCAGGAAATGAATCTGTCAACACTTTTATCTTAAACTTCTCAGCCTCCAGAACTGTTAGAAATAAATGTGTGTTGCTTAAGCTACCCAGTCTATGGTATTTTGTTACAGCAACCTGAGCTGACTAAGCTATCACTAAATTGAGGGTCTTCCAAAATCTCATGTACTGTGGGGATTGAGGGAGATTGGATCTTAAATTATTGATGCCGGAAACAGGCATTTGAGGGTTATAAGTAGGATTTGAGGGTAGAAATTGAAATTTGTCTTTGGACAAATGATGCTTTGTTTGAAAAGAACCAACTGGATGGTCTGTGGACTAGTCAGTTTCCCTACAGAAGAGAGGTGACACATAGACTCACATTACCAATCTCTCCACTGAAATTCTCTTCCTGATATCTAGCTCTGAACTTCTTTCCTGCCCTCTCCTACTTCTCTTACAGGCTGAATGTGAGTAGTCAGCTAAGTCACAAGGGGGTTCTTGTCCACCTTCTCTGAAAGTCCTCCTTGAGTGGGTCATCACCTTACTTTGGAAGGTTCGGATAAATTTTTATTTTGTACTTATTACAGTACAGAGAGGTCCCATCACCCAGCTTCCCCCAATAGTAGGATATTACACAACTGTGGCATATGAACAAATCCAGGACATTAATACTATCAGCATAATATACTTTACTAGAGTATAGATTGGGTTCTTACTCAACTTGTTATTTCAGCTTAAATATTTAAGGCCAAGATAGTTTGGGCAAGGACCTTCTACCTCATCATGAGCCTGACAGGAGGAAGGAGCCTCCAAGGCCTGGGCAAGTCAGCAGAGACTTGCCACTAAGGCCATGGAGACAGCATGAAGGATTCAGGGTCTGAGGACATACACAGGATACCATGATCCCACATAGCAGTAGAGCAGATACGGCATTTCTGCAATGACATTATGCCTCCACTTCAGGAGAGCACTGCAAAGGAATTATGAGGAACAGACAACAATCACAATTATGGCCTCTTCCCTCCTCCATAAGGTGCATCTGAATCTGCTTCAGGGACATAAAGAACTTAACAGCTGACCAGAAGATGGGCACAAACCTTCCTAGGAGTTCTCTGACAAGCCTTGGGAAAAGAAGGAGGTGTAACAAAACGAAGCATCTTGTGTTGAAATCAGAATAATATCTTCATACTGCCCCTGAGGTCCCCTCGTCCTCTCTCCCCACCAAAATGTCAGAAATCTGAATTTCAGGATAACATACAGCTTTTCCACTTCCTCCTCTTCTACCCCATGCATGAAATGAGATGATTTCTCCTCTCTGGGGAAATTGATGAGCCCTAAAAGAAAGATGTATATTTACTGGCATTTGGTGCCTCCAATAAAATGGCTGGGTCTCTTTCCTATCATCCTGGAGAAGCCATCACTTTATAAGTCCCACATTCACAACGAAAACTTCTAATCAGCTTTTAAGTTCCTTGTTGTTAAATGCATACAAATATCCAAGGACCTTTCAGTATTTAAGGAAAGCTTCTAATATGAAAGATAGAACCTGAAACAACCAGAATAGCCTTGTGACTTTCACAAAAAAGTCAAGGTGGGCAGAAAAGGAAAGCTTGCAGAAGCTGCAATCGATATATTTGAGACAATGAGAAGATAACACATTCATGAAATGGGATACTCAAAAGTCTGAGAATAAGAAAGAGTTTTGGGAAGTTAAAAAATGTTACAGAAGAAATTAAAAATCTGTAGATGGACTGAAAAACAAAGTTGAGAAAATCTCCAAAAAATTAGTATAAAAAAAAGCAAGACTTGGAAAATAAGTGACAAGATAAGAAAATTAAATCAATTCAAGTCCAAAATTCTCCATGTTACTCTCTTGCCCCAAACCCTCCAATGGTTTCCCATCTTACTAATGTAAAAGCCAAACTCTTGCACTCACAATGTCACACATGATTTGGTGCCCATCACTTTCTGATCTCATCTGGTGACTCTGTCCCCACTCACTTCACTGCAGCCTCACTCAAGAGCTCCTGTTAGGTGTGCTCCCACCTCAAGGTACTTGCAACTGAGTGTTTCCTCTGGCTGGAATATTCTTCTAACAGCCAGGAAGAAGGAGGAGAGGTCCTTGGGAATCCACAATTCTGCTGCAAGTAGACCATCAGGGCTGAACACCCCAGGCTGACACCTCAGCTAGAAGACCATAAGCAAAGTGACCTGGGCATAAACTACATCTCTCAGAGGCTCCTGGATGTTTCACCTGGGAATGAAAAAGTAAGCTGCAATCAAGAGGACAAAACAAGTGATTAAAAGTGAACTTAACCTCTGAGTAAGTGACAGACAGTACTGCCTCTCTTATTTTGCTATCTGTTCTTTTAACTTTTCACCTAAGAAAATATTAGGCATCCTATTCTCCAAGTCAGAAAGCACTGATAGCCTCTGTCTACCAAAATAATTGTATAAACTCTTCTCTTTCTAGCATTCAATGTCCTCATAAAGTGCACTCAATCTCCCTTTCTTGCCTTCTTGCCAACAGCTCTCCTGTCTTACACTTGTCTAGTTCCTGCACTCTGAGCATCCCTGCACACCTGCGTTTTTCTACCTCATACCTCCACTCTCCTGGAAAGTTTCTTCCTGGAAAGTCCTCCTGCCCACATCTACCACAATTCTATATTAATTGTCAAGGCTCATCTCAATGCCATTAATCCTTCCCTGGTCTCACCAATCAGACGTGACTTCTCCTTCCTTTGAACTTCACTTGAATATCCCTTTTGGAAGTTATATGACTTCAACCTACATTTTAGTTATGTTTGTCATGTCTTAGACTTCCCTCTAGACTGTGAGTTATTTGAAAAATGAGGGTGAAGCTTGATCACTTTTACCACTTCAGAGTGATGCCACACAATGCTTTGCCCTAAGTGGGCAATTGAAGATTCCTAGAAAAAGGTTCATTTTGTCTGGGTCATTTGAAAGACAATCTCCAACCATGCCTTTCCTTCTTGAATGTTTGGAAGCATCACCCATTCACTGTGAACATAGTACTTGTGTCCAGTTGTATGCTGGACCAGAAATAAGCTAGAGTTAAAAGTCAGAATATTTCATTCAAACATCCCTATTCCCAAATTCCCTTGAAATACTAAAAAACTGAATGACGCTGGACTTTGCCTCATAGCGACCATCAGAAAGGGCAAATGTACAGCTATCATCTATGGATGGGCATGCCTTCCACAGCCTCCACAGTCCTCTGGGCCTGCCTCTGTGACTCATGTCTCCCACTGAGCCCTCCAGGTGTTTGAATTTTGCGAGCCCTGGTCTAAATCATGTTTGGCCTTTGCCATTTTAAAAGAATCTAGCACTTGATGTTGCTCAGAACAGAAATCCTACATGTAAAACTTTGCAAGTCATTAAAAAAATACACTCCTCTGAACACTAACACTGAGAATCCTGAATGATTTCCTGATGTACTTCTTCCTTCTGAAAAGGTGTCTCCAAGCACCTTTAGAAATTGTAAATCAGCAGCACACGATGGCAGCATGAAAGTCACTTCAAGGAATATAAAAATAAAACAAAACTGTAACTTGAAAATGTCAAACCCTCATTAAAATACTAGAAATGTCATTTAATAAAGGAGGCTTGGAGGTTCACATGGTTAAACTGAGATACTGCAGAAACTTATACCCAAATTTTTAACACATAATCAAGAGAAAAAACTGAACTGGGAACTGTAAGGAAAATTATTTTGCCATATGTACCCCAAAATGTAGTAAATAAACAATGAGCAGAGATATGTTTTTATTCTTGCATACAACAGCAGGTCCCCAGAGCTGTGCTACAATTCAGCAGTGTGTATTGTATTGAGAAAAAGAACTCACTTTATTAAGCAGCAAGAACAAAATCCTCCACAAATGTCTTCTCTAATAGAAATCACCTTCACTGCTAATTTGGAATTTGGAGCAATAGCCTTTTATTAAACTATTTACAAACAGCATTTTATACCTCAGAATATATCATCATAAATCAAGCACAAACTATTGCATTAGCCTCAAATAGACTCAGTTAGAGAACCTCAATAGAGATTTTAAATGCCCGTCCTTCCAATTTTACCCATAGTACCTTGCAATGCAACTTAATTTTGGTATTGAGGCTTTCATAAAAGTTCTATCTTTACTAACTCAAATAACGCTATTACAAAATTTAAATGAAAAACAAACCATGGCAAGGGGAAAAAATTAATAGGGATAGTCAAGGGACTGCAGATACATCTTCAAGTGAAAATAGAAAACAGATGAAAAGTCAATAAAGAAGTGAGACAGAAAAGGAGGTTTCTGAGTTTAAGCAGCAAAGCAAGTGAATTTTCACCACCATGGCCTACCAGCTTGAATAAACAGAACAGAGATTATGTAAGAAACATAAACATGAGGGAGTAGCAGGAGGGCATTCAAAACAAAATAGGCATGTATCATTGAATTTTGCAATTATCTTTGAGTGCATATTTCTATCCAGGTGGTATGACTTAACGGATAAGAGCATAGCCTTTGGAGTGGGGTTTCCCGGCGACAGAGGACAAGTTACCCTTTGTTCCTCTGTATCCTTATCTGTAAATTGAACATAACAGCACCTACATCACGGGGCTGTTGTGGAGTTAAAGGAGTTAATGCACCCAACACACTTAGGGAGATGTGGTTACACTACAACCTTTGGATTGAACCAAGTCACAAAACAAAAATTCAATACTGTTAAGCAAAGACATAAAAAGATCTTCCAAGAAACAACAAAAAACAAAAACAAAAACAACTAAATGAACCACTTTAAGCCGTGATTCAGTTGATCTAAATCTATTAGGTCAGAATAAAACCAGAAACTTCAAAATGTTTTCCAAACTAATGTAGCACAATTGTTTCATTAGGATCAGTCCCTGGGAGAGAAATGAGATGGAGAAAGGAGCAAAGTCAAATGATTCATTTGTTATGAATAACAAACTGCTAGTCCCGTTTCAGTGTCTCCACTTTTCACATTCCTAAGTGTTGTTCTCAGCCTCCACATTTTGGCTTTTCCATTCAGCATCTGCCATAGCCATTCTCACTAGGGCTATTTTTACCCTTTGCTCACCTTGGATGACAATGGCTCAGAGGTGACAGCAGAAAATTTGTGATCAGAGGAGATGGGACTTGAAGGCCAAAGCAGTTTTCATAAACCACTTACTGGGGATGAAGATGTCAGGCCAGGCTTGTTAAGCAAAACCAGAGGTTTCTGATCAGAAGCAAGAGGATTAACCAAATCTAACACCCACACAGACAACAAAGATCAGAGACAGCTGAGTCAGATGTCAGACAAACAGACAACAGCCAGAAGGGAAGCAAAACAGGTGCCAAAAATTTCAGGCAATCCTGGAACGATAGCGCATACCTGTGGTCCTGGCTATTCAGGAGGCTGAGGCAGGAGGATTGCTTGAGCCCAGGAGTTCGAGACCTGCGTAGGCAACATGGTGATACTTCCATCTCTTTAAATAAATAAATAAATAAATAAATAAATAAATAAGATAATCCTTTTTTAAAAAGTTCCAGGCAGTCAGTCAAGAATCAGGATGTTCAGAATAGGGCTGGTATATAGTAGGAGTTCAATAAACAATAAATTAATGACCACGAATAAATGAATAAGAAAAAGACTCATGGAAAAGCAAGCAGTAGGACAGGTATAAGGGTAGAGGGGTGTAGTGAGCAGAGAAGACCTTGACAGCAAAAACTTGTTCGTCTCTCTGAGAGCTGCAAGGAGCCTTCTTTGAGACTAGAGAGGGTAATCTAGTGTGGCTAGCTAAATGCAAGTGTGAGCACACACAGGTGCACCTTGCTTGCTTCAGTAAGGAGTAATGAGCAGAAGAAATGGACTGCAGCTTATGACCTACAACCCCTCTTAAACCAAACAGCTCCTTTCTGCCTCCTTTTCTTCTTCTCTTTTTCAAGTGCTCTTTCATTCATGGGACTCTAAGCAGACTTTGGTAACTCCATCTCTGATGTTTCCAGCCTGGTCTCACAGGAAGCACACGCCACAGTTTGATATTCTCCAGGGCCAAAATTCTTCTGGAGTTTACCTGATTGCATTCCTGGGTTTGTTTAGGACAAAGGAAGGAAAGAAGGGAAAGGGAAAAGAAGGGTAATACGTATGTTTTTACAGATTTAAGTTGAGCTTTGTTGAGGGAGAAGAACCGAGACTGTGTATACAAGAAACATTGCTGTTCCTCCTCATCTAGTCTGTCAGTATCCCTCACCGGATATTTTTTAGAATAGGGTAGTGGATAGGCGGTGCTCCAAGATCTCCCCTTAGCACTGAGCTACTCACTTCTCCAGCTGCTGGGAATACCGACTGCGGAGAGTTTGCTGGAAACTGCCTTTGCCACAGGGCCATGCTCCACTCCAGGGAGCCACCCACAGCCAATGACTAGATGATGCGAGGATACATAGGCCCCACCCTCTTGTTTCAATTCAAGACATCTGTGGATGCTGTCCCATCTCCAGCATGCACCAGACAACTGGCTGAGACTCAGTGGCAACAGCATTGCAATTGCACTTGAGCTTGTCCCTCTACCAATCCTGACTTCCTCAAATCCCTACAGGAAGTGTACAATTCTCTGCCTCTGAGTCTGTTCCAAGGAAACCCAGTCTAAGACAAAGCACACCCTGTTTGGGGACACATGTCATATAAATTACATTCAAGGGGGAAAATATACTGACCATATGTGTTTCTTACACCAGCCACTCACTGGCTAGGAATGATGTCAAGAGACGGTTAGCCATCTCTTGGAATGCTTCTCAGCAGCAGTCTTACACTTGGAAAAAATAGACTCGTTCCTTTCCCCATGGGCAAGAATAGATAACAAAAGAAAATAAGCTATCAAAACAAGGGCAAAGTTGCTACCTAGAAATATTTTATGATTTCCCGCATTGCTATGTAATTGGGATGTTCTCTCATTAAATATAGAATAACATATAGTCCCTTATTGAATCCAAACAATTTCAGTAACATTATACCCTCAAAAACTCAGCATAAGTAGTTTATGTAAAGCAGTGGAAAGCTGGGATTTAACGACTATCTTGGGGCTTGGTAAAACTGTGTGGTGTTATTTGGATGATTGTGTCCAGGAATAATTGTTTCATTCATATTGAATACCAGGAAGGCTTTAGGAATTAAATAATTTATATTGAATTAAGTTAAATAATCTAGCCAACAAACCTAATGAATCATGAACTGCATTCTGATTGGTGGAGAAGAGACATTAGCCCCCAGAGAGTAGCTGCTTTCTCTGCATAACCATCCAGGCATACTACACATAAATTTGCAAGTTGGCCAATATAGTTGTAAAAGATGAACTGAGTGTACAAGATAGATACGGAATTCCCTGGAGCCTGAGCTGACCAGTGCAGACTTGGTGGTGAATACTAAAAAAATTATTATAGAAACAATTTAAAGTTAACCCTCAAATTTATGAAATCAATGCAAGTTATGCTGCTTGAGAAATTAACTGTGCTGTTCATTGTAAGACTACTAATTGCTATTAGGGAAAAGTGTGCTTTCAAAGCAATATACATAACGTAGGAATGTTAGATTGGCTTTTGTCAAAATATTGAGCATCTGTTTAAAAAACATAGTCAAGAATAAGACTAGGGAACATCCTATGAAATATACATATGTAAAGTCTCCTTTTATTTGCTGTATCCATTTTAAATAGGAAACAAGGGGTTACTTATCTTCAGGGGATCTTGAAGAACATCTCACAAAAGCTCAAGAATGAATAATGAAACACATTAAGAACCAGGTTCTTAACATGTTTTCAATTAAAAACTAAGTGGTTACATGAGCTCTGCATGATGCATAAGTGGAGATATGATCATTGTCATTATTTTATAAGTTGAATTTTCCAAGGTTTGTCCTTCTGAAGCTTTTTATTTCTTCTTGGAGGTTGTTTTCTCTGAGGAAAATAGAGCATCTGTACCACTGAGTTTGTGGCTATATGGTCTGGGGACACCTTCCTTGGCACCAACAACCAAGACCTATAAAGAAGCACTCTCCCTTATATTTCATTCTATTTTTTTTCTAGAGAGTTGAAATGATGAATAAAAACAATCAAGCATAATATTTACTAATCACTATGTTTACTAAAAGAATATATAACTTGAACAAAGTTTTTAGACATAAAAAGTATTCGGGCCTTTCTAATCTTTATCTAATGGTAGCAATCACTAGGTTTCCTAACCCTGATTTTTTTTCTTGAGGGCAGAACATGACGTTCCGAGTTTTTTAGTATCTAAAAGCTATTACTGTGCATGTCCACAGACTAGACTCTAGGCTTGTAGGCCACTTTTTTTACTGCTCTTTCTTTTTTAATAGAAGCCTTTACCTACTTCTCTACCATTTATCCACAGAATGACTATAATCACGCTTCCAAATGCCTGGCCCAAAGTCCAGGCTATTTCATGTTTAACAATATCTACATCTGTTTTCAGCACACATTTTTCTAATTTCATAGAGTGGATACATTTATCAGAAATTGGGTATGACAGATACATCGCCACAGGGGAAAAAATTTGAGGATGTTTCTGAAAACCACACTTAAGAAATCAGAAAAGCATTTAACATTATTTACTTAGAAACACATTCTAATAAATGTTAGTGATATTACATACTAAAATACTGCACAGTACAGAATCAGGAACTGTTGTAATTACCAGTGTCATGTGGGCAAAGAGAAAAAAAATTTCATCTCACAGGAATGCAAAGAAAAAAAGGCATTTAGTAATGGTTGCTTTGAACAGCTCTTTCTCCTGAGCTTTTCATTCCCACATTCTGGCATCTTTCTAGACAGCCTTAGAAGAGGTAACTACTTTGCAATTCTAATACTTTAGTAGTGCAGCCAAAAAATGATGTCTGTGTTCAAATGGAACCTCTACCATTCACTAGCAATGGGACTTTGGGCAAGTCGTTGTGACTCACTTGCTTCATGAAATCTTCTGCAACCTGACATTGTCTTATTTATTGGTTAATTTGCTTTATTACCTCTCTCTTTTACTAAAATGTGTGTCATTTTTGTTCCCAGCTTTATTCCAAGCACCTATAATGCGCATAGCAGGCACTAAAATCTTTGTTGAATGAATGAAGTTAATAAACCTCCCTAGGCCTCAGTATCTTCATCTGTGAAAGGAAGAAAAATAATACCAGCTACCTTAGATGGAGGAGGCAAGAATTAAGTGAGATAGCTGTACAGAAAAAAGCACAGTGCCTGGTTGACTTTTATTTGGCAAAGGCAAAGCATTCTCTTCCCTAGCTTGCTTTCTCCCCCACTGTAGTGCAAGCTGACCTCATGGGTATGTTTATAATAGTGATCCTCACCCACACCAGACCCTTCTTATGAAAGATATTTTATATAACATCCCCTGTACTATTCCACTATGCCGGTTTATCCCTAGATGGCAAAGAGTCATAAAAAATAAGAGCTAAACAAGGTGAAAGGAAGGACATCAGAACCAGCAAATAACATCAGAAAAAAAAATAAGATCCCATGGGAGGATTACAGCATGGAAGCAGGGAAAGTTATCGTAGCCCCGTGACCAGGAGGTTAGCTCCTAAGTTTTCTTGCTGCCTGGGATGCCTATAGCATAAGCTGTCATCAAACCTAACACCTCCAAATTCAGTGTGTACTCACTGACTCACAAAATGTTAGATATAAAGGGAAATCTGCAGATCATTTGGTTTAACCCCTTTGTTTTATCCACAAAGAAACGGAGCCCCAGTGAGAGTAGATAAGAAGCGCAAGTCTTCCAGTTCACCAGATCTCATCTTAGCAATACAATTAATGATGAATCCATTGAACCAAGGATACTATATTTTATTTGCACATAATTATTGAAATGAAATTTTGTGTTTGTGTTTTTAAACAGTGGTATCCTCATTATCTAAAACATGATACCTTCACACCAACGAAGGACACCAAGCAGAATGGTTCTTGAGAATCTACAAACTGCTAATAAATAAGATATTTCAAGAACATTAGGTGACTTAGCCATAGAGGGAAATTTCATTAAACAAAAAGCAGAGGGCTTCTTCTAAAATAGAATGGTCTACCTATTGACCATAGAAGATGTAATGCTGTTTGTTGAACAAAATATGCATATCTTGGAAAAATATTTTCTCCCCCAACATTCTTTCTCGCAGCCTCCCATTTTGTGCTATAACAGATGTACTTTAATCTTGTAAAAGGATATAAGTGATGAAGTCCTCAACAACATTATAAAATGACCACTTATTTACTGTGTACCATGTAGCAGGCACGCTGCTAACATGCTCATTATATACCAGTGCTTCTCTATCCTGGCTACACATTAGAATCACCTGGGAACTTAGCTTAACAGCAACAAAAGGGCACCCTAATGTGTAGCCAATGGTTGAGAAATGCTGATATACACCATCTCGGTAGAGGTATACTATTATTATACTCGTTCTTCAGATAAGAAAACTGAGATACACAGTCTAGCTATCTTGCCAAAGGTCGCACATTAACTGCCCAAGGTGCAGTCTTAACCCAGAGCAGCTGAGCAGATCCAACTATTTATTTAATAGATACTGCTATTTGCCATCACTGTGATTAATGAATGAAGACAGAGCCTAGGTTGAATAGCCACTTATTCAATAAGTCTGTTTTTAATATATATATAAATTCCCAGCCCCTCCAAAAAAGGTCTTTCAACCTGTGTTTTAAAAACAATTTTCGGCCGGGCGCGGTGGCTCACGCCTGTAATCCCAGCACTTTGGGAGGCCGAGGCGGGTGGATCATGAGGTCAGGAGATCGAGACCATCCTGGCTAACAAGGTGAAACCCCGTCTCTACTAAAAATACAAAAAATTAGCCGGGCGCGGTGGCGGGCGCCTGTAGTCCCAGCTACTCGGGAGGCTGAGGCAGGAGAATGGCGTGAACCCGGGAAGCGGAGCTTGCAGTGAGCCGAGATTGCGCCACTGCAGTCCGCAGTCCGGCCTGGGCGACAGAGCGAGACTCCGTCTCAAAAAAAAAAAAATAAAATAAAAATAAAAACAATTTTCTATTTCTTCATCTTCCAAATAGCTTTGCCCAGCATATATATTTACATATATATAAAATATCAAATGTCTTTTTGCATTTAATTTTTAAATTGAGGTAAAACTTACATAACATAAAATTCACCATTTTAAAGTGTATAATTCGGTGGCTTTTAGTACATTCATAATGTTGTGCGACCATCACCACGTCGTTTTCATCCAACTGCCATATGGTGATATCGCTCCCCTAAAATATTTTCAGCAACCCAAAGCCTGAAAACTCACTGTAAAAATTCATGGTTTAGAATCTTAAAAGTAATTATGGTTTCAAGAATATCTATTAACATTGTGAAAACTTGTATAGCTATTTGCTGTTAGCAGATCTAATCTTAAGGAAGCCTGTCTTTTGAGAACAACCCTCTACGTTCTGCCAGTTCCCATAAATCTTAAGGATAACTAAATAAGAATGGTGTGGCAAAAAGACACTTTCAAAATGGTGGTCCATACAATCAGAAAGGTATATGTATATATGTGTAGTGATGTGATTTTTTTTATCAATAAGTTTATTATGTATAAGCTCATTTTGTGGGTCCTATGTCTACACCAAGCAACATAAGCCTCTACACTTGCCTTCTATTTCCACACATCCCATAAACGGTCAGTGATTAGACACTTGACCCTGAAAAATATTAAAAGTTTGATCACTTCTTGGTCCATGCCATGTAGCAAACTTAAAAGTTCCCTGCCCACATTCTCCTTATTCTCTTCATGGAAGGTGCTAGGGAAACCTTCCTTCTCTTCAGTCTTGAATAAAAACTGGTTAGATGTTTTCCCATCTATTACATGTGTCCCATGGTCAGTGGCAACTAGACCTAGTGCTTCCAAGTGTAGTCTAAATTTCTTATGTAGACCCATAGAATTACCATATGCTAGCTAATCTGGTCATTTTTTTCCCTAAAAACATCATATCAATGACATGTGCCCCACTTGTATCTTGGACTTCCCAAGCATCATAGCATGGACATCAGTTTGGAGTCAAGTAGAATCAAGCTTGAATTCCAATTTCTCCATTCATTAGTTGAATGACCATAGGAAAATGATCTTTGTGTAAGTCTCAGACTTCTCACCTTAAAATGGGGTTGTAATTTCTACTTTATTTGATTATTGGAAAAATTGAGTTAATTTTTGGAAATTGGAAAAATTGACTTAATATATATTTGTTATGTACTTTTAAGGTTAACTTTTTTAAGCCTTTGTCAACTAACACTTTTTAAGAATTTGTTAATTTGTACTTATATAGATGTCTGACATTGAGAGGAAATGGGTGTGGTTGTGAGTGTGTCATTTATTGGTCTTTCAAAATATATTTCCCCCTTGCTAACCTCAACCAGATTTCCATTTGTAGAATTGCTTCTCTGGTATTGTGCAAGGGGTTGGTGAGTTGGTAAATGATGATGCTATCCCCCACTTGGAATCTATAGAGGCCAGATCCTGCCAGGCAGCCAGGAACTGGGCTGGTTGACTTTCAACATGACCAAGCAGATATTCTATTAGAGGATTTAATTTCTGAGCATGAGTGGAAAAGATGGCTGAATTTACCTATTCCTCATGGTAACAAAATTCCTGCCTGCTGCAACTAAAATTATTGGTGTCTCCATTTGTATGCCAGGAAAGAGTGTTGGACCTACAATCATCACACAAAAAAAAATTATTTGGTTTAGGATGGCCTGAAGCTATCTCTGAAACAATCCTTGTGGCAAGAAAGACAGGATGGTCTTTACTGGTTTAGATTAATCAGAGCCCTTTTCTGATGCTGGGGGAGGGGTACATTTCTCCTAACACAAGATTATTCATCATGGTGAAGGGATAAAATAATTGTTGAGGAACTCTCACAGTATCTACCATAGTACACCTTTGCTATCCAACATGCATAAAGACACTCCTTCTCATGCAAAAACTTTTTAAAGTGCTTGTGCATAGTTGAAACACTGTCACTCCTTGTCTAAAAGAAGACAATCCAAAAATCTAATACAGTTATTACATTCAGTTCCCATGTCCCACACCTCTGGATGATGTGCCATCTATTCTGTCAATCCAGATGTGACTTCAATGTGGATTGAAAAAGTTGTCCACCCTCAACACATGCAATATAAAGTGGTGGAGAAGAATAACAGCAATAAAAACTCACATTTGGAGCGGGGGAAGATATTGGGAAGCAATTCACGTGGTCATTAATTCATAGCACATATCAAATCCTGCTGAGACTCCTTGCTTGGACAGTAAAGTGAGAACCCAATATATGTCTTGAATATCTGTAATTAATGGAGTTTACAAGGTCACCTAATCTTGACACTCAGATCTGCTAAGATGAACTCCCTTGACTCTCATCTTTCATGGCCACATCAAAGAGGTACCTATTTTGGAAGTTATACCATTTTAGCAGCTTATTTCTTATTGGTTACATTTCTGGGGCCCAAGGAAAAAGTAAAAATAGTCACTAGCTGTTGTTACCCAAGTTTGAGATTTCTTTGGCAATATGGCTTTCTTAAAAATTTAGTAGGCTTCTGTCTTTTTGCTCCCAGTAAATTCTATGAATCTATATACAAAGAGGTCACATTTCAAGTCCAGGAAGCCTGTCTCTTGATAACAACCCTCTAGGTTCTGCCAGTTCCCATAAACCCATAAACCATGCCATTGTGCAGCATAATGACCATTAAATAACCTAAAACAATCAGATAATGAAAGTCAGATGGCCAAGGGCCATACTTGACCCTTCTATCTATGGTCAACTCTGCTCATTGCTTTTGTTTCTTTACATTGGCACACAATTGCCTGGAATACATGAGATGTGAGTAGAATTGGAGCCCAGACTAGAGAGAATGGTAGAATAAAAGACTGAGCATATCCCCCTCTATCAGTCAGTTTATGGGTACATCTTTGTCACTGCAGTTTATTTTTCTACCATGTACTTGGGCATTTGGGGGAATGTTTTTCACAGAAATGTGGTCATATAAAGCAGGTAGAACCAGGCAGCTAATGAAAATGACTACACAGTTCAGTAGGCCCACAAATGTATATGGTAGAAATAATCAAGAATTATTCAGTCTTTTAAAATTTGCTCTTACAAAGTCTCCTCAACAACAAAGTAAGTTTTCTATACTTTCAATGTATTGTCCTGGAATCCTTAGAGAAACCTCAGGAAGCTAGGCATGCAAGTTTTTTAAAAGTTGTTAATATCTGGTGCTTGAGATGGGTAAG
The DNA here is from genome assembly GCF_000001405.40 of Homo sapiens. Classification (NCBI taxonomy): domain Eukaryota; kingdom Metazoa; phylum Chordata; class Mammalia; order Primates; family Hominidae; genus Homo; species Homo sapiens. Next base: position 62,001,374 of record NC_000005.10, read on the forward strand.
CAATGAGTCAGTGATCATTTGAGGGACTGTATATTCTAAATGTTAATATTACTTGGGAAGGTTACTTTGTGTAGGTCATAGATAAAAGAACAAATCAGTTGGCCTTTTGGAAAAAGGAAGGTAAGAGAAGATATGTCTTGTGTATCTGTAATTAATGGAGTTTACAAATGGCTCAATCTGCTTCCTACCTGAGTCCAGGGCTTGGGGTGCATAATGATAAATGGCTGAAAGGACAATTTTAGCCAATGGCAACTTCAACATGATACAGAGGCCTATTATTGCTTTTAAAAAATTTGCAAAGAATTTAACACTTATCTGGCTTTGAGTACTATTTCTTGGTGGATGGAGGAAGGAGGTCCTGAGCAATGAGCATATCTATTACTTTCTTATCATGAAAGCTCTAGGCATCTATTTGCTGGTGATGAAATGCCTCTGCCATGATTAAGACTGTAGAATTATTAAACCACCCTGAGTCACAAAGATGATTTAGAAATGAGCCTAGGAAGAGTTGTCTAACCAGATGTTTCACAGAGGCAGTGAGATCCAGCCAGGTACACACTTACCCAGCCTTGACCTCTTTGGAATCGGCATCACTTCCCCATTAAACAAATCCTTTCACTCTCTTATTGATTTGCTTTCCAAAATACTTTCCTTTTATTTTCAACTTAGTTCTCATTTTTCGTGAAGCACATGCACACAGAATTTAAAGATACACGTTTCTACAAGACAATCACTATGATCACTCTTCCGGGATTTTTCACCCTCATTACCAAAGAACGTGCTTATATTATACTATCATTTCTTAATTTTTCCATTTTAGACATTATCTATTCACTTCCCCTGTTTCTCACCACCCCCCTCCTCCTCCCCTCTCACCCATGTGCCTTTTCATGCCTCAACACTCCCATCAGTGCTACAGAGCTGTACCACTATTTTGGTTGAAACAGTTTAACAATCACATTATTAAAACATTCACATTATTATAACTATAAAACTTCTGAGCCTTGATTTCTTTATTCTGCATAACTTTCTAACCTCCAGGAAATCAGTAACTATCTTTGTGTGTGTGTATGTGTGCTCACTCAAGTTTTCTATGTATTTACCAGTAAATCAACCCCAAACTCTCTCCAGGAATCTGAGCCTCTCCCAGAATGTTCAAATGCAGCAGATCATCAACCAATTTCATCTTGAAAAGGTCTCTCCCAGCACCTCCTGACTTGCTGCTACCCTGACTTGTTGTCCTCTTATGCCTCGGGCAGTTTTCCTTGGAATTTCTCTCCATGGCAATTGTGAAGATTTCCTTTGTCTCTTTTTCATGTTGGTCTTCTGTTTCTTGGAGCCTATCTCTTCTATCTCAACTTGCTCCCTCATTTTAGTGTTATGCCTTCTCTAGTACCCTCTTAGAAAATTGATGCATGTGAGGAAAATCGAGGCCTTGCACATCCAAAAATGTCTTTATCCTACCTTCATCCTTGATCAATGGTTTGTCTGGATATGTAATTTTCTATCTGGAATTCTTTCCCCTCTGAATTGTAAAGGTATTTCTCCATTTTCTGCTAGTTTCCAGTGTGACTATTGAGAATTCTGAAGCCAATCTAATTCTTAATCTTTTGTAAATAAATTATTTTCCTTTCCTGAAAGCTTTTATCTGTTTTTATCCTCAGTGTTCTGAAATTTTGCAAAAACATGCTTTACTACGGGTCTCGTGTTGGGCACTAGATGTATTCTTTTGATTTGGAAAATTATGTCCTCAATTCTTGGAAATATTCTAAAATTAAAAAAAAAACTTCCCTTTATTTTATTTCTTTCTTTCTAGAATTCCTGTTATTGGGATTTGGACATCCTGAAATAATATTCTGAATGTCTTTTAATTTCTCTTCAATCTTTTCTATTTTTGAAAACTTTCTAGGAGACCTAATTTTATCTGTTATCCTTCTATTGAGTTTTTATTCCTACTGTCATATTTTTTATTTTTAAGAATTCATTTTTGTTCTTTAATTTTTCATTTTTTACCTTGTTTTTCTAGTTTCATAGATACAATATCTTCTTTTAACTTTCTGAAGAGATTAGATATTGTTTCAGGTTTCCAAAACTATGCATGGTCTCTATCCTACAAGTTTCTTTTCTCTAGTGATTTTTGGCCTCTATCATTCACATTACAGACAGTCCTTCTTATGCTCCTTGTGTGTCCTTACATTTAAGGGTTGAGCACAAAAGAGTGATTTAAAGGCACAGCACATGCAAGGGCGACTGTTGGTGGTAGGCCTTCTTATGTGTAGGCTGTTCTGGCTCTGCATTTTTTGGTGAGCCCTCATGTCAGTCTCTTTTCCCTGGACTGGCTGGATTTCCCAGAGAATAATGTTCCAGCATATAAATTCAGTGTTGTCAGTTTGCAATCTCTAGTCTGTATAAAAGTCTGTAGCACAGTGTCAGGCACAAAGCAAACACACAACCAAACATGTTAGACCAGTCTTTTCCCTCACTACCTTAGCACTGTTTTGAAGATGGGACAGTTCCACCAGGTACAGAGAGGCAACAACCAGAAACAGGGACTCTTCCAGACCCTTGCAGAGTGAGATTTCTTCTCTATGGAGCAGGAATGTTGAAGGAATTATTCTCCCTTTTTGAGTTGAATTCTGTAATATCAGGTTTTTTATTTTACAAACATGATCCATATCTTATACCATCCTCTCCACATACTAATTTTTAACAATCTCTTCCACTTTTGGCCTTTACTGTGATCGTCTTTTGGTATTTGCCTTCTTCTTCCATCTCTTGAGTTTGTGATTTCCATTTGAAAAACTCTCTAGCCTTCTTTGGGGAGAGCACCATAAAAATAGAGTTGTAAGTAGTAAATGATAGGTCCCACTGACAATGTCTGTCTGATCTAAAGTGTCAATCCATTTAACAGATGCATTCAGCTATTATACATCCAGAAGATTTCAACAGTGTCAAGGTTTCTGGGGCTAATCTTACTTTTCAGAGCAAGTGTGAAAGTTGGAGTAAAGGATTATCTGGGGGCTGGGTGCGGTGGCTCACGCCTGTAATCCCAGCATTTTGGGAGGCTGAGGTGGGCAGATCATGAGGTCAGGAGTTCGAGACCAGCCTGGCCAATACAGTGAAACCCTGTCTCTACTAAAAATACAAAAATTAGCCGGGCATGGTGTGGCATGTGCCTGTAGTCCCAGCTACTCAGGAGGCTGATGCAGAAGAATTGCTTGAACCTAGGAGGCGGAGGTTGCAGTGAGCCGAGATCGTGCCACTGCCCTCCAGCCTGGGCGACAGAGGGAGACTCTGTTGTAAAAAAAAAAAAAAAAAAAAAGAAAAAAAAGGATTATCTGGGGAATCCAGCCAGCCCTGTAAAGCCTTTATACTAACTGGATTGATATTATTTTGAGAGAAATGGCCCAACAAAATGAAATTCAACATCAGACTCTATAAACCAAAGGGCATCATTATCCTAAATATTCTAATGCTGTGTGAAATCTAAAGATTTCTTAATCAAGATTATCATTCTTTTTTAAGTCTCCCATTCACCTGTCACTGAGAAGTCAACTCAAGCTTAAAATTATATACCTGGGTACAAAGTTTGTGTACACTTAATAGTTGTGCTGAAAAGTTATAATTATGCTGTTCTACCAGTCTTAAATATCTAGCTAGTGACCTTACAACCCAATTTACTTTGCCTGACATCCCCAGTGTCTGTCTCTGTTAAACCTACTCTGATTTCTCTGTTTGAAGAAGTTCAAACGAAATTGTTCTTTCAACAGTATGTTTCACACAATGTACATTGTCATCCAATAAACATACATTCAACAAACACTTATTGAGTGCCTCCACAGGCCAAGCACTGTGACAGACACTATAGCTCCAACAGTGAGCAAAAAAGGAAGAACCAAAATTGCTGTCTTTATGAGCTATCCAGTCTAGGGAAAGACAAGCTTTAGTCAAACACTCACAAAACAAAACATATCATTACAAAAAGTATGTAGCTGCTCAAGGGTGTATCATAAAGGAACCTGACTTAGGTTAGAAGAAGATCATAAAGGCAGAATTGGGGATGTCATCTAAGGAGATATAGGTGTTCACTAGGCTAAGGGAAGGAGAGGGGACTGAAGGAAATACTAGTTCAGAGCCAAATACCATGCTGTGCTGGAGGCAAGCTTGGCAGTTTCAAAGAACCAAAGAAAGAACAGTGTAGCTATAACACAGAATCAGAAAGAAAGTCCTATGAGACAGGAATCTAGTCATGGTCAGGTGGTCACCAAGCAGGACTTTCTGAGTCAAAGAAAGGATTTGGGTCCTATCCTAAAGGCAACAGGAAGTCATTAAAGAGTTTTTGCAGGTAGTGGTGCAAGATTAAAGCATACATTTTGCAGAGATTCCTCTGGCTTGTTGAGACAAGATTGAAGAGTGAATGCAAAGAGGTTGGTTAGTGAGCTACTGCTGTACTCCAAAGAAAAATGCTAAGTGATAATAGGAGCTGGGGGAAGCCCAATGGCAAGGATAGAGCCAATGAAGAGGGCGAAAGGGAGGCGGCATCTGTGTTATTGTGTTGGAGAACCAAATGGGTGCCATTCCCATTCCTGAGGTAGGAAACGCAAAAAGACAACATTTGCTTTTGGATGGGCTGAGTTCGAAGTATCTTTAAGACATTCCTTGGTTTTGATTGACATTTTGATAGATGAATCCAGAACTCAGATACATTTGGGACATAGATAGAAATCTGAGAAACATGCCACCATGAGCAAGGAAGAGATTGGTTAATTCAATGTTTCTCCAGGCATAAGAAATGCCTGCATCAGAATCTCCTGGTGCTCTCTGGTTTAAATGCAGATTTCGGAGAATATCTCAGAATTATGGAATTGTTGTTGGTGGAAGTAGAGCCCAAGAAATCTTTATTTTTTGACAAGTGCCCCAAAGTGATTTCTCAAATACTCTATATTTAAGATCCACTGGCCAGGAACAGAAATGGACCCTGAGGAGCTCCAAGATTTACTGGCTCAGTAAAAGAGGATGCCCCTGCGAAGAAGTATTCACTGGGTTTTATCCTCCTTACTTATTTTTCTTTTTAAAAGTAAAACATGGGTTTCTCTTTAGAGCTGATTAACTGTCTAGATTAATCTCACAATTCACATAAAATTAAAACTCCATCTCCCTGAAGTCCACACAACAGTCATCTCTGTGTCGGGTAACTTGTACTGGTCACCTCAGCTCAGGATCTTGTCCTTTGTCTCACACACTCCCTCCCCTCCCTCTCCTGGGCACTGACCTTTGGGCTCATCCCTTTTCCTAGAAAGACAGCATTTCCAGTGAGCAAAATGTCACATTACCTTTGCTGAACAGGACATTTCAAATAAAATATTAGCAATAACAATTACCTCTAAGCCACTAATCCCTCTGAAGCTACTTTAAACCACCAAAGGATTTAAGGCAATTCCCTGAAAATATCTCAGGCTTAATAGATTATGGTGCTGGGCAATGAAATATATTGGCTCACATGGCCTTAACTTGCATTCTGTGGCATTTTCAACTATAAAAGAAAGTCAAGACACAAACTGTTTCAACTATTATTTAATGTAAAAAAAATCAGGTCATGGAAATATAAATAATAATAATAATCCCACAGCACACATCACATTGTGGGTAAGGATATTTCCATGACTAGAGTATCATTGGCAAGAGAAGCCACTAGAAAACAAAATAAGTATTCAAATATTTATTTCCCCAGGCAGGCTGGCAGTTTGCTATGGCCCACATATACAAGAGAACTCCAAAAGAATGCTTTCCCCAGCGGTGCTGCAGGGACAGAGATTAGAGTGGGGTATTATTGCAAATGATATGCTTTCTAGGGGGAAAAAATGTGGTATGGGAGACACTGCTTATAGAGTGATTTGTGTGTATTCATTTTTTTACTCATTTACAAATAGTTATTGCATGCCCACTATTACCAGGAACTACGCTAGGAACTGGGAATTAAAAGGGAAACAAGAAACAGTGCCTGACTTCCAGAAGCCCACGTTCTAGAAGAGGAGACAGACAAGTGAACAGAAAATAGTGCAACAGGAGAAGAGTGATGAAAAGTCTAAGAAGAGGGACATGAGACCATGGAGGAGGGGCATGGGAAAGCCAGGAAAGGCTTCCCAGAGAAAGTGAAATCTAGACCAAGGTTTCTCAATCTCAACCCCATTGCTACTCAGGGAAAGATAATTCTTTGTGGTAGGAGTCTTTGATGTGAGGGGCATTATAAGATGTTTAGCAACATCCCTGGCCTCTACCGACTACATGCCAGTAGCAACCACCCCACCCTCACTCAGCTGTGACCACACAAAATGTCTCTGGACACGGCCAAATGTCCTCTGAGGGATGACATCAGCCCCAGTTGAGAAACACTGATCTAGACCAAGACTAAAGAGGAAAAGAGGAAACTGGAGTTATCTATGAAAATTAGGTTATGGAGAGGACGGTTAGGGAGGCATGTCAAACAGAGACAAGAGCATACACAAAACCCAGAAGCAAAGATGACATGGTGAGACTATAGAACTGGAAGACACTCGCCAGGGAGGAGAAGCAAAAATGGAGCTGGAAGGTTGGGGAGCCCTGTCCTGCTATGGACTTTGACTTTACCTTGACAGCAGCGGGTGCCAATGAAGAGTTGTAAGTGAAGAGGATGAAGGAGGGTTTGATTGGTTGTCAGGGGTGAGAGAGGGAGAAGTCAAGTAGGACACCTTAGTTTTTACGTGAGTAATACTAAGGGGTTATCTGTTGAGATGATGACGGTAGGAGAAGGAGCAACAGCAGGGGATGGGCAGAGGAGACGAAGTTAAGCTCATGAGAGGGACTAAGGCCATCGAATTGGAGATCCCCAGATACACAGGTTGTTGCTTCAGAGCAAAGTATGCCCGTAGATACAGCATATAAAAAGCATGTGGGTGGGGTGCAGTGGCACACGCCTGTAATCCCAGCATTTTGGGAGGCTGAAGCAGATGGATCACTTGACATCAGGAGTTCAAGACCAGCATGGCCAACATGGTGAAACCCGTCTCTACTAAAAATACAAAAAAGAAATAGCTGGGGGTGGCGGTGGGCACCTGTAATCCCAACTACTCGGGAGGCTGAGGCAGGAGAATCGCTTGAACCTGGGAGGTGGAGGTTGCAGTGAGCCGAGATCACACCAATGGATGAAACAGCCCAGGGAGGGTGGCTGCAGGGTGAGAAAAGAAGAGAATCAGGACACAACTCTGAAAAGTGTCCACATTGGAAGGACGCTCAGTCCTCACACGCAGCCTCTTGGGCCCAAAGGAGTCTTGGACCAAGCTGGGAAGTTGGTCAATCTTGCCTCTGGCGTCTAAAGGCTCTTATTCCCAACCCACTCCATCCCCATTAACACATCCTGACAGTCTTCCTTCCCCGTGCCTAGCACAGTCATGCCTACACCTTTCTGTGCAGCTGAAAGCCCACCCAACAGCCATATTCTAGCCTATAACAGGTCCATGGTCTCTGTCATTTTGGTGTTCAGGAAGCCTAAGTAAACGACATAGCAATAGAATGTTAGAAATGGCGATTAATCCCAGTTCTGCCTTTTGGGAGACGATTAAACCAAGGTTGATAAAGTGAAGAGATTTGCCTTTGGTTCCTAGGCCGTCCTGACTAGTGTCCTTGTCCAGACCTCCTGGCTGCACATCCACCATGCTGCCCAGTGTCCTAGGAAAGTCTCTTTTGATCCACTGAGCCAGGCATAAAAAATGACACATTTGTGTGCTTACACTTTCAAAAAAGAGGCTAAAGGCATTGCAAAAGCCCAGAACCACATCCCCTTGTGGAAGTGCTTCTGCAATCCATTGATCATGGCCCACCTGATGTTCATTTTCTTGGCAGCGTAACATACAAATTAGTATCTCTTGCTACTTATTCTCCAAGGAGAAACTGAATCCAGCGTTTTGTGTTCTCATCACTCACCATGTAGTAAGAGACAGGGTAGATGGTTTAGCTACATTATGTCCTTACATGACAGATGGGCAGCATACATCTTTCCTTGTGTAAAAATGTCACTGCAGCTACAGATATAGTTGGTGGCTGAAAATGGAAAGTGATGCAGATTAGCTTTAACCTTAGAGGACAGACAGGCTATTGAGCGAAATACACGGACCCACATTCGAACAGCAAAGGTCTACCAGCCTGACAAGCAACTGATAAGCAACAGGGGGAAAGTCAGAGCTAAGAATCAGGAGTATTTCCAGGTGGCTGATGTTCAATTTACTCTAATTTTTATTTACCCTAAAGAAATGGGCTTGAAAAGGGAAGGGAGTGCAACTTTTATAACTTTGTATTTAAAACAGGTGGGAGAGACTACAAATGGTTAAAAAACAATTCCACAATAAACCAAAATATATTCCTTAATGATTTTCTAATATAATTTTAAAATATTATAAAGTCCCAAGAAATTTCCCTTCCCCACCAACATAAAAGTAGATACACAGCGCTTTCATATAGTAGGCGATATATTTTGAGTGATAATAATAATGAAGTATCAGTTTTATTCTACTGCTAACAATTAAGGAAATGTAAAAGAAACATTGCACAGACTGGCACTCTCTGGGAAATAACAGGATCTGAATGGAACAAAAAAGACAGGAGGAATGAAGCCAACTAAAAAATTTTTCTACTTTCCTTTGTAAGTACCTGCCTTTTGGTCATTTTCAGTGTTATTTTAAAACAATAATAATTCACATTCACGCTAATATGATTAAGCATTAACATCCTAAAGACAAGGTTTACTCACCTTATGCAGATAATTTCTAGAGAAACTCCACCCAGGGGTGACATTTAATGGTTTGGCAGTGTTATTTCACAATTTTCACTCACATTTTATTGCTTCTTAAAATAACTTGACATATAAAAAGAAGTACTAAATAAATTGCTTCTAAAAAGAACTTGAAATATAAGATATTATTAAATAAAATATAAAAAGCACTAATCCTCCAAGTTTTGAAAGAGACATGAACAGAGAGGGAGAAATAAATAGCATGCCTAAACAAGAAGAAAATATTTAATCGTACTAGAAAAGAAAACCTGAAAACTAAAGCAAGAGCCTAGCAATACACTTTGTGGTGTATTGGTAGAACACATTTATTTGGGCATGGTTTAAAGATGACCACAGTCACTGCTGATGCAGGTTGGGCAACAGGAGCACTCCAGCACACCACTGGAGAAAGACTCAGACACCAAGAGGCAGAGCCAGGTTTCAACCCAGGCAGTCTGACCTAAAAGCCCACACTCACAACTACAGTAGGATGGAAAGATCTGCAAGATACTTGGGAATTCAGGTTAACAGGACTGGGTGAAGAATTAAATAAGGGTGATGAAGAAAGATAGTAATGGAAGAAGAGAGGAGAGGCTGCAGTGATTCCCAGATTCACGATTTAGATCGCAGAGTGGATGGTAGTGTCATTAGGCAAGAAAGGAAGTATAAGCTCTAATTCCCAAAGGCTTTCAGGTATCTTAATAAATACAACCACAATTTTTTAAAAAGATAGCTTTTAAGATGCCAGTGACTTACCACTTGAAGTCTGCACTTGCATTGCTTAGTCACTCATGACTATTGACAATGGTCTCACTTTTTGCAATCTCCAATGTATTTTTGTCACATTTTTGCTCTGTAATGAGTGTTTCCCATTACCCAGCTATTGGGGAAGTCAGCTTCAGATCACTGTAACGATGAGGCGGCTCTCCCTCCCTCCTATGAAGCCAGACTGTCTCCGACATTTCTGGATGACCAAAGGAGGTGGATAACAGGAGTATACACAGGGAAGCAGGCAGGAGCAGGGATGTGAGAATGGAAGTAATCTTCTTTGTCCTGCTCCCATCAACTGGAACAATTGGCTTAACCTTTCTAAACAGGAGTTTCCTCTTCAGTAAAACAGGGGTCTTAATCCTTTCCCCACAGGGAGTTGTGAGAGAGAACAGCACAGTGGAGAACCATTCGGTATGCGCTCTGTTCCAGGGTCAGGGATGACATTTGCCAGAGAAGGTAAGCCAGTGGTTCCCAACCAGTGTGCTGTGTCATATCTGTAAGCTTTAAATCTTCCCTGGTGCTCTGCCAAGTCTTAATCTGGGTATAAAATTGCCTTTTGCTGCAACTCACTATCTGAGCAGACATTCAGGCAGCTAACTACCTGATGGGGCATTTTGCTGAGTGGGTTGTGATGCAAGATGTAGAACTGGGAACAATTTTGCTGCACATTAGACTAGGTATGAGGGAAGGCAAGTCAGCACCAAAAGGAAGGTGATGTCCTGGAAGATGTAAAAGCATGGCTCCGTGAATGGAGAGGTATATATAATCATTAGGGCGCTTCTACTCAAAGAGTAACATTCTGCTCAGGAGAAAACTTTCAAATTAAGGCCACAAAATTCTGGGTGCCAAAAAAAAAAAGAAACACCTCTGGGTATCTTACAGACTTTGGGAAATACTGTTACACATTAGCAACTACTGCATTTTAAATATTACCAACTTTTTCCATTTCATTTTGAGTCTTTCATCTCTTCAGTTCATTGCCCCAGATTCCAATATTTGTAAGTGTACCTTCAACAAAGAGATGGGGCATCACTGTAGGAAGTACTTGCCCCCAGTCACACAGCCCTTAAGTAGCAGAAATGCCATTTCAGCTATGTCTGTCTGACTCTTAACCAGTGTTATTGTTTTTGTTTGTGTGTTTGTTTGTTTTTCTCAGCAATCCCACATGTAAAAAGGGATAGACCGTTTCTCTTGCTGCACAGTGCCTGGAGTTGAGATCCCCTGGACTCTTGGTTCATTCTCTCTAGAGGGCAAATCTGTTTTTTTCTGGACTGTGCCTTTAGGATCTAGCCATGGTATGGTGGGAAGATGTGAAATCTGAACAAAACATGTGTTCTGCCATTTGCTAAGTTTCCTGCCTTAGTTTCCTGGGCCACATACTATGTTTTTCTGCTTTCTTTTCTCCCAATACACATAAAACTCTGTGTGCATTGTCTACAGGTAAATCCTTCCTTGTACCTTCAGAAGGTGTCTCTTCATTCTTTACAATATATTTCATATATTTATATTTTTGCTATATTTATTTATAATGTTTTATAGTACATTAAACAGATTTCATTATAACACAGAAGCTCCACAAATTATCAATGGTCCCATTAGTTACTTGAATGTCATGACCAAATATTAAAGGAATAGATAACAATTGGCTTCTGTCTGGATTCTTTGTACAATTATTTTCTTTTACCCAGCTGATTATATGTATGTATGTGTTTTTAAAAATCAAATACCTCCAAAAGGTTTATGAAAAACAGCAGTCCTCTGCCCTACCCTATCTTACTTTCCATCCATCCCCCAGAGAAAACTCCTTCAATTTCATCCTATGTCAGGAACCTCTATATTTCCAAAATGTATATTTACCACTTTTATAAAGGTTAGTTGTTATTTTTCATCTCCCGTTACAGTAGAGGAGGTTTAGCATACACGCTCTCTCTCCGGTCACCACCTTGCCTCTCTCCCACTTTCCCAAAATAATTATCTACCAATTTAGAATAAATCAAGCATTAGTGTTGCCGGAATTTTGCCTATGTATATATTTTTCACTACAGAGTCAAGTATGCTATGACCGTATTTACTTTCTTGATCATCTTTTTGTTCTTCCTGAAAATTCTAATTGCCCTATTTGTTCACTGCACTACCAGGCATTTACATTCTCATTATGGAATTCTAATCCTGGAGTGCTCTGTCATCCCTGTTTATTTTGAGTTAGTTGCTCTTTAGACGGGTGCTTTCCAGTCAAATTTTCTGAGATGATGGAAATTTCTGTATCTGTACTGTCTGGTGTGATAGCCACTAACCATGTGTAGCTATCAAGTACTTGAAATGTAACAACTACAAGTAGCCATTGGATTTTTCATTTTTTTAAAACTTTAATTGGAACATTTAATTCATTTACATTTGATTTAATTTTTTAAATGTTTGAGTTAAAGTATTTCCTCTTGGTATTTGTTTTCTATTTATCCCATTTATTCTTTGCTTCTCTATTTTTTCTTTGCTGACTTCTTCTAGGTGAATTGATTATGTTTTAGTATCCATTATATTTTTTCTATTGACTTCTTTTATAGAGCTTTTCCTAATTTTATAGTGGATGATCCAGAAATTACAGTATGTATCGTTAAGTCATTAAAGTCTACCTTCAAACAGTATTGTCCTGCTTCGTGAACAGTGTAGAACTTAACAACAGTATGGCCCTCCACAAAGCATATTACTTATTTTTGCTTTAAGCAATCAAAAGTCTTTTAAAGCAATTTACAATTTTATGCAAACACACACAGACACACAAAGTTCTTTTAAAAAAAAAAGCCTTTATGAATATCCTAAATAGTTCCTTTCAGTGATCTTCATTCATTCCTAGAGGTTTGGGGTTCCCTCTCTGAGACCACTGTATTTTCCTAGTCTTGTATGTGTGCGGTGGGGATTGATGATAAACACCTCACTGTGGTATTCTTTGCATGAACTGGGGAAGAGATTGTGAGGACTGACCCTCTATAAACTAAATTTGAACCTATCTCCCTATTTTTGGCCCTATACCTGATGATGTGCTGAAGCCAGTGCTCGCCAGCCCACGTGAACCAATCCTGCACATTTCTTCCCAGTCCCTCATTCAGTGATACCACGTTGGTAGCTCAAAACAGGACACGGTGGTTGTGCTACCACCACGGAAATCAGTAAATACCATTCATAAAGCCTCCCTCCCTCCTTTCCTTCTTTCCTTCCTTCCTTCCTTCCTTCCTTCCTTCCTTCCTTCCGTCTTTCCTTCCTTCCTTCCTTCCCTCCTCCAAGCTGGTTATAAAACATTTACCAGTGGCTAGGCACAGTGGCTCACACCTGTAATCCCAGTACACTTTGAAAGGCCAAGGAAGGTGATTCACCTGAGGTCAGGAGTTCGAGACCAGCCTGGTCAACATGGTGAAACCCCATCTCTACTCAAAATACAAAAATTAGCCAGGCATGGTGGTGTGTGCCTGTAATCTCAGCTACTCGGGAGGCTGGGGCAGGAGAATCACTTGAACCAGGTAGGCGAAGGTTGTAGTGAGCCAAGATCTCGCCATTGCACTCCAGCCTGGGTGACAGAGCAAGACTTTGTCTCAAAAAAAAATTAAATAGTTACCAGCACACCACTGCCTACACCTCACACTCCCCTCTCTACTGTGCCTAATATGACCACACTGTCAGGAGGGAGAATGAATATCTCTGGCCTGTGACTCCCTTGTGATCCAAAACATGCTTCAGACTCTGGCTTCCCTTGCCCTACCATATTTGGCCCCCTCCTCTGTGTGCTGGGGGCTCATGTTCCCTTTTTCTTTGCCCTTGTGTGTTTATATACTTTTTATTGCCTTGAGAGGGGCAAGTGGAGTACATGTAGCTAATCTATCATCTTTAACCAAAAGCCCTATCTCTGTCTTTAAAAGTGGGCATTTCAAAGAAATCAAGCAACTTTAAGAACCCAAGAAGGCTTAATAATAGAATCAGGCCTAACAAAAATTCTAATAATCTCCATGTTGGTCCAGATTACATTTTAATCTTATTCTTAAGCAAAAAATTGAAAACTATAGCTATTTCTTGTCCCTAATGAGAAACAAATTAAGAAGAAAACTGGTGTTTCCCTATGGAATGAGCCATTTAGTTGTCAACAATTTGATTCAAGGCAACATTTATTGAGTGATGACCATGTGCTATACAATATGCCAGATGCAAGAGGGAAAGGAAAGAACAAGACAGAGACAGACACCCCAGCACTCAGAGAACTTACAGTGCAGCAAGGGAGGTAATCGAGTCATCTAAAACACTTAAACACATGTGACACATGCTAGAAGAGGAGAAGTACTGTCTATCCTAAGAGCGTACAGCAATGAGATGTAACGTCATCTCTAGGTCAAAGAAGACTGCTCAAAGAAAATGCGGTTCCTACCGAGACTCGAGGGATGAGGAACTGCACATCATTTGTGGCTGCAAACAACAGGCACCACAGTTTGTTTAAACAAAGATAAAATTTATTAAAGAATATTAAGTAGCCTACACAATATGCAGGAAGGTCAGAGAACCAGGCTGAAGGCTATGAAGCCATAAATAATGCCCAAATTAAACCATCAGACCACTCCAGTAAGGACCTTCCGCTGCAGTGGCTGCTGCTGGCCCAGGCTCCCTACACGAATACTGAGCAGGGCTGTGGCACTTCTCACGCTAGGCTGTTGCCAATGCTGCTTCTAAAAGATGATGCCCCCCTGGCCAGAATGGCCTTTTATTTCTTCACGTTATCTTCTTGCAAATGTAAATGCCAGACAAGGTGCTTTTCTTGTCAGATTTGACTTACCGTGAGTATGCCCTAGTTTCACTGGAGGCCAAGAAATTGAGTTTGTCCTCCATCTGTTTTGAATTATAGAAATCATAAGATGGGAAACTCCAAAACACAGAATGTTGAAAGGTGCTTAGTGTCCCAAATGCATGAAAAATGTCAATCTCAAAATGTTACCATCCCTGGTTTTGTATACTGCTTGGATTTGATCAATGTGTGGCTGGTTGTTATTTCATTGTGTCAGTATATTTGAGGTCTCGCACAGAATCACAGATCTTAAAACTGCGAGGACCTTCCAGCTGTCTGAGCACCCAACTTCTAGAAGGCAAATTGTTATTTATTCCTATAGCAACAAGGGAGGCGAGTGCATCTGTGGGAGGTCGTGTGCCCTGTCTAAGCTCACAGCCAGTAAGTGGCAGAGCCAAGACCAGAACTCATCTCCTGGATGTTCACTGTCTTCTATCTGGTGGTTTGGCACCCTTGGGTGATAGGCAGTGGATGTACACAGGGTTATAAGGACAGCTGGAGCAAGCAAAGTGCAAAACCAGTAGCTTAGACTAGGGTGGTTTCAGTGGAGATGAATCAAGGCACCCAGATGTGAGAGAGATGTAGGAGATAAAAATGGCAGGACTTTGCAATGTGACAAGTGATGGACAGGAAAGGGTAAAGGTTGGCCCCAGTATTGGGCTAAGTGGGTGGTGATGCCTTTTACTTTGATAGGTAACAGAAGTCCAGAGTGGGAGTGGAGGGTGGGCAGAGCAGGTGAGGATGAAGAAAATGATGTGTTCAGTTTGAGACATGTCAAATTTGAGGGACCAAACGTACAGCCACATGAAGATGTGAAGGCAAGAGGCTTGGGCTGGTGATACTGACATTTTGGCATTGTCAACACTTTTAAGGTAATCAAAGCAGGGGAGTGGATAAAGTCACCCAGGGAGACAGCGTCACTGGAAATGAGAAGAGGAACCAGGACATAACCCCGAGGACTAGCAGAATATAAAGGATTGGTGAAGGAAAAAAATGAACATGAAGGAGACAAAGGGGAGTGATCACAGGAGGAGAAAAAGGAGTAGAAATCAAAGAGTAGGCAGAGCAACAAAGAGCATGGTTACATCCCCTTTTCTTGAGATTTTTAACAAGTGTTCAGGATGGGATATGACGTGTCTTCTTACAGTAAGTGGTTATGGTGTATGGGACTGGATATTCTCATGAGGCTGTGCTTTAGGTCTTCAGAGCTATATTTTTAAACCTAATGTTGATATGTGGCTCAATGACCATGTGGTGGTTTGTTTAGCTTCGTTTGGCTTTGCTTTGGGTTTCAATTTTTATTTCAGTTCAGTTAGTTTATTGGTTCCCCCCACCCCAACCCAGAAAATAAATTTTATCCCCATGGCACAAGTTGGTGCTGGCTGTTTCTGATGAATACCAACTAATAGACAAGAAAAATGACACTTAGAGAAGGTATGTGGCTCTGGGGCTCTGTAGGGGCAGAATTAAACTTTGAAAGGGTTTTATACTTTTTGAAAGATTGGAAAGGCCAACAAATCAGCAGGATTGGCTTGACTCCCAGTTTTATCCATGGCTTATGTGAACTGAGAAGAGTTGCTCAACTTTTGTGTAACTCAGTGCCTCACTTTGCAAAATGAAAATAATAGAACTATGTTCTCTTGGTTTAATGAGATAATGTCCACAAATATGAGTTCCTTACAGCCAAATGGAAAAAATATAACAACAAAGTTTTATGATCGCTATCCTTGGAACTGGGGTCTTTATTACAGATCTGTATAAAATACAAAAGTAATAATCCCATGTTATTAGGTTATGTGAGCCAAAGACTGGATATTCAGGGTCAGAGTGAGCTATTTCCCATCTGTCAGACACATTAGGAAGTTCAATTAGAATATGGTCTATACACTAGGAGTATAAGAACTCTGACCTTTTTAAGCAGCTACACATAGAGCACAGAATGTGATATAGCTTATATTCTGACTGTATAATTACATGAAATTTAACATCTCTCACTGTTTTCATGATTGAAGAGGGTGCTAGAATTTTCCAAGCCATAATTTCAAGCTAACACAAACATTAGAGTTGCATGTTTTACTGCACTTTGGGGGACCGTTTCTAGGCTGAGTATTTAGTAAGAAGCATTTGGAAGTGTCTGGTCTTGCAGATCCCAGAGGAGTTTACAGTGTTCTTTCCTGACTTTCTCACCCTGGCACACTATTGCATTTCATATTGATTAATATTAGTAATATCTTATTAATACAATTTTCTTTTACATTATGCCTTTATCCAAAGGGTCATACACACTAGATCAGCAAGTCTCATAATGGCTGGAAGAAAGAGAAACTATATTCTTGATTTATTTGAATAAAGAAAATGAGACAGTGTGAAGACAAGTTCCTGGTATATGTCTTTGAATAAGCACCATCTTGCTGGTTTCTTTACAAAGGAGGAGGCATCTCATAGTGAGAAAAGGATTCAGTAATAGGAGTCTAGAGACTTGACCCCTCATTCTGGCTTGGCCACTGGCTGGCCAAGTTCCAACGGGTCCAAGCCAGACAGATTCATGTAAGTGCTGTGGACAGGTGAAAAAAGGTGATGCCCCTTCAAACCTAGACCCTTTAAATTATTGTCCAAAAGAATGAGCACTAGGTATGGGAAAAGGTAGGAGAAAAATGCACATACTCTAGTGATCATATCAAGATTGTACAGTTTCCTGGTTCCATCCTCCCAGAAGGTGGTTTTGTTACCCTCTGCTTGACCTCACATGTGCCTCTCGAGGTTATCACACCCCAAACTCATCTTCACATTCCTTCACGCAACCATGCAGAGTTCTGGCCAGCATGATTCCCTACACTGGGATACGAGGGCAGTACAGTCTCCCATGGTCTGCAAGGAAAGTTGGAAACCACCAAACTAAACTATCTCTACGTGAATCCAGCTCTCACATTTTAGAATTCTGCTTGAGTATGTTAAGGAACTCAGGGTGGACAGAAGAAAGACAGGAAATAAGTGGAAAGCTACCTAGTGGGTAATACTTCCCCAATCTTTAGTCTGTCTTGGTTGGTGATTGCCTGGAGTCATCCTCTGGCAGGGAGGGGTGAGAAGTGGGTGATGCCCCTCCTCAAAGCCAAGGGAAGAAGAAAAACAGAAAGAAAATTACTCAGACCATCTGAGAGCCTGGGCTTGACCCGCTCTACATTAGGACTGTTCATCTCCACCTGAAACCTGTGGGGCTGCAGAACACTCTAAGCTGCTAGGGTAGAAAATGAAAAGGCCAGAGGATGAATGGCAGCACTCTCATGACCCATGATGGCAAGGATACATGTGTTTCCCCCGCACAGTGTAGACACTGTGGAAGGTGCCTGGGCTTGGGCCATTTTATTGGTGCTGTGGCCTGAATGTGTATGTCCCTAAAATTCCTATGTGGAAACTTAATCCCCAATGCAATGGTAGTAAAAGGTAGGCCTTTAGGAAGTGATTAGGTCTGGAGGGCTCTTCTCTCATGAATGGGATTAGTGCGTGATATGGTTTGAATATTTGTCCCCTCCAAATCTCATGCTGAAATGTAATCCTCAGTGTTGGAGGTGGGGCCTGGCCAGAGGTGTTTGGGTCACAGGGGCAGATCCTTCATGAATGGCTTAGTGCCATCTTCTTGGTGATGAGTGAGTTCACATGAGGTCTGGTTGTTTAAAACTGTGTGGCACCTCCCCCGCTCCCCCACCCCCGCTTTCTCCTGCTCTCCCCATGTGATACACTGGCTCCCATTTTCCTTCCACCATGATTTTAAGTTTCCTGAGAAGCAGGAAGCAGATTGTAAGTTTCCTGAGAACCAGAAGCAGATGCTGATGCCTAGCTTCCTGTACGGCCTGCAGCATCATGAGCCAATTAAACCTCTTTTCTTTATAAATTACCCAGGCTCGCATACTTCTTTATAGCAGTAAAAGAACAGCCTAACACAGTGCCCTTATAAAAGAGCTTCAGAGAGCTTGTTTGTCCCTTTTTGCCCTTCCGCAATGTGAAGACACATAGAAGACATTATCTGTGTAAAATAGACCCTCACCAGACACCAAATCTACTGGCACCTTGATCTTGGACTTCCAGCCTCCAGACTTGTAAGAAATAAATTTCTGGTGTTTATAAATTACCCACTCTAAGGTGTTTTGTTATAGCAGCAGGAATGAACTAAGACAATTGGTATCCCTCAAAAGGACCCTATAAGCAAGACACTACAGACTGAGCCACCGTGGTTTCCAATACTGCCATCAATAATTACTCCCATCTCTGTGAGTACTTCCAGTCAAGAGATGAAGTCTCTTTCCCCTCTCCTTGAATCTGAACTGGCCTTGTGACTTGCTCTGACCAATAATAGAATGTGTTAGAGATGATGCTGTTTCAGACCTAGGCTTTGTCCTTACGAAACCTGGTAGCTCCCGTTTTTGCTGTCTTGGAAGCAAGTTACCACACTACACAAAAGCTCAGGCTGTACTGCTAAAGAATGAGGGGCCACATGGAGAGAACCTGGAGGATGAGAGGCCATTTTGCATGTTTGCCCTCAGCCAGGCTCCCAGCAGAATAGAGCTGCCTGAGTGACATCACCCTGCACCAGCAGAAACACTACCCAAGCCCAATTAACCCACAGAATTGGGAGAAATAATAAATCGTTGGTTTTTCTTGATTTATTTGAATAAGAAAATGAGACAGTGTGAAGACAAGTTCCTGGTGTATGTCCTTTGAAGAAGCATCATCTTGCTGGTTTCTTTACAAAGGAGAAGGCATTTCATATTGAGAAAAGGATGCAGGAATAGGAGTCTAGAGACTTGACCCCTCACTCTGGCTTGGCCACTGGCTGGCCAAGTTCCCGAGGGTACCAACCCAGGCAGATGCAGGATGGTTTTATGCCATTAAGTTTTGGTTGCTTTGTTTCACAGCAATAGATAAGTGAAACAATCAATATCAAGAGTCCAACAGCAACAGGAAAAGAGCCCAAGTCATATCTCCCCTTCTATGGGACTAGACAAAGGGAAGACCCTGTAGGACATACTGTGTAACTGATATTCATGAGAGTGTCAGTTTCCTAAGAGGTACATGTTCTGCCACCAGAACTATAGTGATATCTGAGCATTATGTTAAAATAACAGCATAATGGTAGTGACAACAAATACTTCTACAGCATTTATTATACACCAGGCACTGCTCTGAACTCTTTACATGTATTTTCTCTCTTAATTCACAAGCAACCCTGTAGGAAAAGCTCTATTATCATTTCCATTTTACAGATTAGAAAGCTGAGGCATGGGGAGATTAAATGATTTTTAATCTTTAGAGACTAAAAGACACAATCAGTATGTGGTAGGATAGACTTTCCAGTTCCAAAAACTATACTCACAACTACAAAATAATGTTGTCTCTCATAAGGACCTAAGTGTTTAATAAACATGACTAATTTACTTAAATAACACAGGATAAAATTTTCAAATTTCAATGCAAAATCCAGCTGCACATTAAAAGAAGAAAAACATCATAAACAAATAGGGTTTATTCTAGGCTAAATAATTGAATTATATACATTGTATTCATTTTCTATGGCTGCTGTCAGAAACTAGCACAAATATGGTGGCTTAAAACAACACATATTTTTTTTCTTTTATAGTTTGGGAGACCTGAAGCCTGGAATATGTTTCACTGGGCCAAAATCAATGTGTTAGCAGGGCTGCACCCTCTGGAGGCTCTTGCTTTTTCAGCCTCTAAAACTGCATTCCTTGGTTCACAGCCCCTTCCTTCATCTTCAAAGCCAGGATCATAGTATCTTGCTTAAGTTGTCATATTGCCTCCTTCTCCTTCTCTACACTATGGTATGAGCCACTGTGGTATAGTGGGTCCTCTTCCTTCTTCTTATTCCTCCTTCTCCTCCTCCTCTTCCTTCTCCTTCTTTCCTTTTTTCTTCTTCATCTTTCTCTGCCTCTCTTTTATAAGGACACATAATTACATCTAGCGCCCATCTAGGGCCTGGTAAATTATCCAAAATAATCCACCTATCTTTATATTCTGAACTTAATCACATATGCAAAGTTTCACATGAAGTAACATTCACAGGTTCCAAGAATTAGGATGTGGATATCTTTAGGAGACATTATTCAGCTTGCCACAAATATTAACATTATTAATATAATTTACCACATTAATAAGTCTAAGGAGAAAAAAATTCCTTTATCTACATAGACATTGAAAAAAGCATGGAATAAATTTCAACATCCATTCTTGATTTTTAAAAGTGATTAACACAATGGGTTAGACATATGTTATCCTTATTATGTTTTATCACTGTTAGCCCAAAGGCCAGTGTCATCTTTAATGGGAAAGCCAAGGACATTTCCATTCCCAAATGTCAGGAATAGCTTGTTTGACCACCATTATACCTAATACACCTTAATATTGTTTGGGAGGGACTGGTGAACATAGACGAAAGAAAAGGCTTAAATACTAAAAATTGGAAAAGAAGAGGAAAAAGTATTATTATAAGTATATGATTCTCCACCAGGAAAACTCAAGAGAAGCAACTGGAAAATTATTTGAGAAAATGAAAAATGTTGAGAGGTACAAAACTAATGTAGAGAAATAAGTAGCCTTTATATGTACAAACAATATCAATTAGAAGAAATAAAGGAAAAAAGGCCTTATTAGAATAGCAACAAACAAGAAATGACTATGATCTGTATAAAAACACTTCATGTGCTCCTAAGAGGCACGAAAGAAAAATTGAAAAATAAAAAGACAAGCCATGTTCCTGGAAAGGAAGATTTCACATCATAATGATGTCAAATTTCCCGAAGGTATCCAATAAATATAATGCAGTCTCAGTAAAATTACTGACAGGGTGGTTTTTGCAAGCTAGACAAGGTGGTGTTAAAGTTCAAATGGAAAAGCAAACAAATAAGAATACTCAAAGACATGTTTTAAGTTATTGGTTTCATTAAACAGATTATAAAGCTACAATAATAAGAGGACTGATGTAGTTTAGATCTGTGTCCCCACCCAAATCTCATGTTGAATTGTAATCCCCAGTGTTGGTGGAGCCTGGTAGGAGGTGACTGGATCATAGGGGTGGATTCCTCATTAATGGTTTAGCACCAACCCCTTGATGCTGTCTTCATGGTAGTGAGTGAGCTCTTGTGAGATCTCATTGTTTAAAATTGTGTGGCACTTCTCCTTGAAGAGGTCCTTCAAATCCCTTATAAGTTGTATTCCTAGGTATTTTATTCTCTTAGTAGCAATTGTGAATGGGAGTTCACTCATGATTTGGCTCTCTGTTTGTCTATTGTTGGTGTATAGGAATGCTTGTGATTTTTACACATTGATTTTGTATCCTGAGACTTTGCCGAAGTTGCTTATCAGCTTAAGGAGATTTTGGGTTGAGACAATGGGGTTTTCTAAATATGCAATCATGTCATCTACAAACACAGACAATTTGACTTCCTCTCTTGAATACCCTTTATTTGAATACCCTTTATTTCTTTCCCTTGCCTGATTGCCCTGGCCAGAACTTTCAATACTATGTTGAATAGGAGGGTGAGAGAGGGCATCCTTGTCTTGTGCCGGTTTTCAAAGGGAATGCTTCCAGTTTTTGCCCATTGAGTATAATATTGGCTGTGGGTTTGTCATAAATAGCTCGTATTATTTTGAGATCCATTCCATTGATACCTAGTTTATTGAGAGTTTTGAGCATGAAGGGGTGTTGAATTTTATCAAAGACCTTTTCTGCATCTATCGAAATAATCATGTGTTTTTTTTCCATTGGTTCTGATTATGTGATGAATTACGTTTATTGATTTGCATATGTTGAACCAGCCTTGCATCCCAGGGATGAAGCCAACTTGATCGTGGTAGATAAGCTCTTTGATGTGCTGCTGGATTCAGTTTGCCAGTATTTTATTGAGGATTTTCTCATCGATGTTCATCAGGGATATTGGCCTGAAATTTTCTTTTTTTGTTGAGTCTTTGCCAGGTTTTGGTATCAGGATGACGCTGGTCTTATAAAATGAGTTAGAGAGGATTCCCTCTTTTTCTACTGCTTGGAATAGTTTCAGAAGGAATGGTACCAGCTCCTCTTTGTACCTCTGGTAGAATTTGGCTGTGAATCCATCTGGTCCTGGACTTTTTTTGGTTGGTAAGCTATTAATTACTGCCTCAATTTCAGAACTTGTTATTGGTCTGTTCAGGGATTCGACTTGTTCCTCGTTTAGACTTGGCAGTGTGTATGTATCCAGGAATGTATCCATTTCTTCTAGATTTTCTAGTCTATTTACATAGAGCTGTGTATAGTATTCTCTGATGGTAGTTTGTATTTCTGTGGGATCAGTGGTGATATCCCCTTTATCATTTTTTATTGCATCTATTTGATTCTTCTCTCTTTTCTTCTTTATTAGTCTGGCTAGCAGTCTATCTTGTTAATGTTTTCAAAAAAACCAGCTCCTGGACTCATTGATTTTTTTGAAGGGTTTTTCGTGTCTCTAGCTCCTTAAGTTCTGCTCTGATCTTAGTTATTTCTTGTCTTCTGCTAGCTTCTGAATTTGTTTGCTCTTGCTTCTCTGGTTCTTTTCATTGTGATATTAGGGTGTTGATTTTAGATCTTTCCTGCTTTCTCCTGTGGGCATTTAGTGCTATAAATTTTCCTGTATACACTGCTGTAAATATGTCCCAGAGATTCTGGTACGTTGTGTCTTTGTTCTCATTGGTTTCAAAGAACTTATTTATTTCTGTCTTAATTTTGTTATTGACCCAGTAGTCATTCAGGAGCAGGTTGTTCAGTTTCCGTGTAATTGTGAGGTTTTCAGTGAGTTTCCTAATCCTGAGTTCTAATTTGATTGCATTGTGGTCTGACAGACTGTTTGTTATGATTTCTGTTCTTTTGCATTTGCTGAGGAGTGTTTTACTTCCACCTATGTGGTCAATTTTAGAATAACTGTGATGTAGTGCTGAGAAGAATGTATATTCTGTGGATTTGGGGTAGAGAGTTCTGTAGATGTCTATTAGGTTCGCTTGGTCCAGAGCTGAGTTCAAGTCCTGAATATCCTTGCTAATTTTCTGTTTCGTTGATCTAATATTGACAGTGGGGTGTTAAAGTCTCCCACTATTGTTGTGTGGGAGTCCAAGTCTCTTTGTAGGTCTCTAAGAACTTGCTTTATGAATCTGGATGCTCCTGTATTGGCTGCATATATATTTAGGATAGTTAGCTCTTCTTGTTGCATTGATCCCTTTACCATTATGTAATGCCCTCTTTGTCTTTTTTTAGCTTTGTTGGTTTAAAGTCTGTTTTATCAGAGACTAGCATTGGAACCCCTGCTTTTTTTTTTTGCTTTCCAGTTGCTTGGTAAATATTCCTCCATCCCTTTATTTTGAGCCTATGTGTGTCTTTGCATGTTAGATGGGTCTCCTGAATACAGCACACCAGGGGACTTGACTCTATCCAATTTGCCAGTCTGTGTCTTTCAGTTGGGGCATTTAGCCCGTTTACATTTAAGGTTAATATTGTTATGTGTGAATTTCATCTTGTCATTATGATGCTAGCTGGTTGTTTTGACCGTTAGTTGATGCAGTTTCTTCATAGTGTCGATGGTCTTTACAATTTGATGTGTTTTTGCAGTGACTGGTACCAGTTTCCATTTCCATATTTAGTGCTTCCTTCAGGAGCACAGGCCTGAAGGCAGGCCTGGTGGTGACAAAATCTCTCAGCATTTGCTTGTCTGTAAAGGATTTTATTTCTCCTTTGCTTATGAAGCTTAATTTGGCTGGACATGAAATTCTGGGTTGAAAATTCTTTTCTTTAAGAATGTTAAATATTGGTCCCCACTCTCTTGTGGCTTGTAGGGTTTCTGCAGAGAGATCCACCATTAGTCTCATGGGCTTCCCTTTGTGGGTAACCCGACATTTCTCTCTGGCTGCCCTTAACATTGTTTCCTTGATTTCAACCTTCATGAATCTGATGATTATGTGTCTTGGGGTTGCTCTTCTAGAGGAGTATCTTTGTGGCATTCTCTGTATTTCCTGTATTTGAATGTTGGCCTGTCTTGCTAGGTTGGGGAAGTTCTCCTGGATAATATCCTGAAGAGTGTTTTCCAACTTGGTTCCATTTTCCCTGTCACTTTCAGATACACCAATCAAATGTAGGTTTGGCCTTTTCACATAGTCCCATATTTCTTGGAGGCTTTGTTCGTCCCTCTTTATTCTTTTTTCTCTAATCTTGTCGTCTCGCTTTATTTCATTGTTAATCTTCAATCATTGATACCCTTTCTTCTGCTTGAAGGATTTGGCTATTGATACTTGTGTATGCTTCATGAAGTTCTCATGCTATGTTTTTCAGCTCATCAGGTGATTTATGTTCTTCTCCAAACTGGTTATTCCAGTTAGCGATTTGTCTAACCTTTTTTCAAGGTTCTTAGCTTCCTTGCATTGGGTTAGAACATGCTCCTTGACCTCAGAGGAGTTTGTTATTACCCACCTTCTGAAGCCTACTTCTGACAGTCCGTCAAACTCATTCTCCCTCCAGTTTTGTTCACTTGCTGGCGAGGAGTTGTGATTTTTTGGAGGAGAAGAGGTGTTCCGGTTTTTGGAATTTTCATCCTTTTTGCACTGGTTTTTCCTCATCTTCGTGGATTTATCTACCTTTGGTCTTTGATGTTGGTGACCTTCGGATGGGGTTTCTGTGTGGTTGTTCTTTTTGTTGATGTTGATGTTATTCCTTTCTGTTTGTTAGTTTTCCCTCTAACAGGCCCCTCAGCTGCAGTTCTGCTGGAGTTTGCTGGAGGTCCACTCCAGACCCTGTTTGCCTGCGTATCACTAGCAGATGCTGCAGAACAGCAAAGATTTCTGCCTGTTCCTTCCTCTGGAAGCTTCTTCCCAGAGGGGCACCCACCAGATGACAGCCGGAGCTCTCCTGTATGAGGTGTCTGTCAACCCCTGCTGGGAGGTGTCTCCCAGTCAGGAGGCATGGGGGTCAGGGACCCACTTGAGGAGGCAGTCTGTCCCTTAACAGAGCTTGAGCACTGTGCTGGGAGATCCACTGCTCTCTTCAGAACCAGCAGGCAGGAACTTTTTTTTTTAATTTTATTATTATTATACTTTAAGTTTTAGGGTACACGTGCACAATGTGCAGGTTTGTTACATATGTATACATGTGCCATGTTGGTGTGCTGCACCCATTAACTCATCATTTAGCAACAGGTATATCTAGTAATGCTATCCACCCCCCCCAACCACCCCACAACAGTCCCCAGTGTGTGATGTTCCCCTTCCTGTGTCCATGTGTTCTCATTGTTCAATTCCCACCTATGAGTGAGAACATGCAGTGTTTGGTTTTTTGTCCTTGCGATAGTTTGCTGAGAATGATGGTTTCCAGTTTCATCCATGTCCCTACAAAGGACATAAACTCATCATTTTTTATGGCTGCATAGTATTCCATGGTGTATATGTGCCACATTTTCTTAATCCAGTCTATCGTTGTTGGACATTTGGGTTGGTTCCAAGTCTTTGCTATTGTGAATAGTGCTGCAATAAACATACGTGTGCATGTGTCTTTATAGCAGCATGATTTATAATCCTTTGGGTATATACCCAGTAATGGGATGGCTGGGTCAAATGGTATTTCAAAAGCCAAAATTGACAAATGGGATCTAATTAAACTAAAGAGCTTCTGTACAGCAAAAGAAACTACCATCAGAGTGAACAGGCAACCTACAGAATGGGAGAACATTTTTGCAACCTACTCATCTGACAAAGGGCTAATATCCAGAATCTACAATGAACTCAAACAAATTTACAAGAAAAAAACAAACCCATCAAAAAGTGGGCAAAGGATATGAACAGACACTTCTCAAAAGAAGACACGTATGCAGCCAAAAAACACATGAAAAAATGCTCATCATCACTGGCCATCAGAGAAATGCAAATCAAAACCACAATGAGATACCATCTCACACCAGTTAGAATGGCGATCATTAAAAAGTCAGGAAACAACAGGTGCTGGAGAGGATGTGGAGGAAAAAGGAACACTTTTACACTGTTGGTGGGAGTGTAAACTAGTTCAACCATTGTGGAAGTCAGTGTGGCAATTCCTCAGGGATCTAGAACTAGGCAGGAACTTTTAAGTCTGCTGAAGCTGCACCCACAGTTGCCTCTTCCCCCAGGTGCTCTCAAGATCATTTTTTATTTATCGGTCAGGTAAAGAACAAATCGCTTAATGGTGTACAATGTTGGTGAGAGTGTGAAAAACAGGCATTCCCATACGTTTTTTATTGGAGTGTAAATTGGTACAAACTCTACAGAGTATACATTGGCAGAATATGTCAAAAGAATACACTCACATACCCTTGCTTTAGTATACTACCTCCAATAATTTATTCCACAGATATATGACACATGCAAAATGATGTATATACAAGAGAACTAATTGTAGAATTGCTTGTAAAAGCCAAAAGATTGGTAATTACCTATCAATAGATAAATGGTTAAGTAAAATATGTAATTCCACAAAGATGTATTGCTAAGATATATTGTTTTTTAAAAGGTACTTACTAGTGTATATGGGAAGATATTGTTTGAATGTTTAAAAGCCATTGTAAAAGATGTTTTTATGTATTTATTTGAATATATTTATTATATCTCTAGAATGATGCACAAGAAACTGTTAATTTTGGTTGTTTGGGGAGTTATCTCTGGGTGGCTTAGGATAAGGGTGAAAGGGAGAATTTATACCTTTTGAATTTTGAAAATATATTATAAAAAACTGTTTTAGACATCAATTTTTAAAAATAAAAGTATAGTTAAATGAGATCCTCAGCTTCAATTACAGTTTAGAAACTCGTATAAATCAAATTGAACTGGGAATCTTTCTCCTGAATGTTTCAGTTTTCAGTCGTGGCTTCATCTTTCCAGGTTCTACCTTTGAGCTTGAGAAAGCACACTCTGGTGTGTCATCTTCAACCTTTGCTGGCTTTTTTTGAACCAGCCCATGGAGCAGATCCTTTGCATACAGCGGAGGAGACCTCTATGTGGGTCTCTTCCATTTACCTCCCATCTCTGCTAGTTTCCTGGCTCTTCCTTTCTTTGTTGGTATTAAAATCTTCAAGTTTATTAATAACTCAAATCGTTTTGTCTTAGAATTTTTAACTCCTGCAGCTTCCTTCACAGCCCCCAATATCTCATATCTGTCTACTCCTGCTAATCCTAGAAAAGGGCTTAGATTGCCTTTGCCCTGTCTCCAAGAACCCAAGTTTCCTGCATCTGCCAGAGCAAGAGAAAGACTACAGTGATTAGCAACTTTTCACGTACCTGTGGATTCTCCCAAGACAAGCCCATCCCCATCCCCAAGAATAATTGCTTTCAAGCTCATCATGGTCTCCCTTCTTTCTTCCAGAAAGATGCCTTGGGATTATGTCTCCTTTTTCCCAGACAAACTTTTAAAACATAATCAAAATATAACTAGGTTTTAAGATAGACTTAAGGTAACAAAGCCTGACTTATACATATGTGCTAGAGTTAATTACAGTAGTCCCCACTTATTGGTGGTTCGCTTTCCACAATTTCTGTTACCCTAGGGTCAACAGGAGTCTGAAAATATTAAATGGAAAATTCCAGAAATACACAATTCATAAATTTTAAACTGCATGCTGTTCTAAGTAACATAATGAACTCTTGAGACATCCTGCTCTATCCTGCCTGGGATGTGAGTCATCCATTTGTCCATCAGATCCACACTGTCTGTGCTACCATTAGTCATCTTCATTGTCTGCTCCTGACATCCAACCATTGACATAATCATGGTCAATGATACGGGATCACCCAAGGCAGGTGATCCTCCTTCTGACATATGGTCAGAAGGTCAGTAGTAGCCTAACACTATGTCACAATGGCTACATCATTCACCTCACTTCATCTCACCATGTAATCTTTTCATCATCTCACATCATCACAAGAAGGGAGAGTACAGTACAGTGATACTTCTGAGAGAAAGAAAGAGAGACCACATTCACATAACTTTTATTACAGTACATTGTTACACTTGTTCTGTTACTATTAGTTATTGTTATTAATCTCTTACTGTGCCTAATTTATAAGTTAAGCTTTATGATAGGTATGTATAGGAAAAAACATAGTAAATATTGGGTTTCGTACTATCTGAGGTTTCAAGCATACAATGGGGGTCTTGGAACATATCCCCCTCAGGTAAGGCGGAACTACTGCACATATGTTATCATTTTGAGGGAAAACAGAAAGCTTCTCCACTCTCAAAAAGAACATTTTCCACACTGTTGTCCTAAATCCTAAAATTCTGCCATTATTCATGCACTCTATTGTGTTAGCATTTCCTTCTCTCTGAGGGCACTGTACTTTAACAGGAGTTGCATACTAGGTTCCCAAATGCATTAGTATGAGTGAGTTTATCAATCCTTTTTTTTTTTTTTGGACAAGTGATCAGATGGTTTCAAAGTACAATAACAGACAGTATTTGTTGTCTATTAACTGTCTATTGCTGCATAATGAATTATCCCACATCTTAGCAACCAAAATAGCTATACTTATCTCAGTTTCTGTGGGTTAGGAGCTGTGTGTGGCTTAATTGTCCTTTAGGTTTTCTTGTATGCTACAATCAAGGTCTTGGCTAAGATACAGGTTTCTCAAGGCTCAATTAGGGAAGGATCCACTTCCAAGCTCACGTAGTTGTTGGCTGGATTCAGTTTCTCCAGGTTATTGGGCTGACAGTGTCAGTTCCTCTCTGGCTGTTGGCCAGAGACACATTCATTTCCTCTCCAACAAGGCAGCTTGCTTCATTAAATCATGCAAGATGAAGACAAGAAAGAGATTCTGCCTGTGTGGAAGTCACCATTTTACAACTTAATCATGAAAGTAACATCCACTGGTTAAAATCAAATCACTCAGGGGGAAAGGATTACACAGAACATAAATACCAGGAGGCGGGAGTCATTGGCCACCATCTTGGAAGTTGGTCTACCATACACATTTGATTTACTCAGTACTCACCTACTCATGATAGGATGCTAGAGGTACAGAGTTCCCAGGTGTGAGCAATTCTCAATCTTCTGTGAGGAAACCTATTTTAGAGAAAATCCACAAGCCTCCTTTATTCAATACAATTTCTACTCTTCCCTTATGGAAGAGCCCTACCCCTCATTGACTAAGAGGTAATAATGTGGGGAAGTCTTTGTTCTTCCATTATCCCTATCCTATCTCTGGTAAAAGGTACTAATAAGCAGCAAAATCACTCTAAAATTAACAAGTCAAAGAAAGTAGAAAATAAGGGCTGAATAATCTATTGCCTTGATCATCAACCCTTAAATAGTCTACATTGACTGCAATACATATTAACCCTTCAAAGAAATGACTGAGAGCCAACCAGACCATCTCAGCCCTGCCCAAAGAAACAATACTGTGAGAAAGAAAACAAATAAATAACAAATTGGTGATTTTCATCATCATCAAGTCCTTTATCACATACATACCTAGCTACTAGTGGCACAGACTGTTAAATTTTGAAAGTCAAAATTAAATCTTCGGATCAATCTTCATTCTAGCCAAAAATAATATGTTGTAATTCAGGACTTCCTCTAAGTTTTTATCATTCAAGGTAACACACCCATCAGAAAAATAAGTTGTTGATGTTGTTTCTGATACTTTAATAATTTTAATCAACAGTTTTTCTTTAGATAACAAAAGCCATGCCTCAGATGGGAGTATCAAAAATTTAAAATATATCATATTTGTACTTCAACCCATATAATTTTTAAACTTCTCTGTGTAAATGACATAATCTTCTAAAGTCTTTCTTTTTCTCTACATGTGTTATAACAAGACTGGAATTAGGGTGTTTGTTAATCCTTTTCCCCTAGAAGTCACAAAATGTTCACATACTCTCTTTTTTATTTTTATTATTATACTTTAAGTTCTGGGGTACATGTGCAGAACGTGCAGGTTTGTTACATAGGTATACATGTGCCGTGGTGGTTTGCTGCACCCATCAACCCGTCATCTACATTAGGTATTTCTCCTAATGCTATCCCTCCCCTAGTCCCCCACCCCCGACAGGTCCCAGTGTGTGATGTTCCCCTCCCTGTGTCCATGTGTTCTCATTGTTCAACTCCCACTTACGATTGAGAACATGCAGTGTTTGGTTTTCTGTTCTTGTGATAGTTTGCTGAGAATGATGGTTTCCAGCTTCATCCATGTCCCTACAAAGGACATGAACTCATCTTTTTTATGGCTGCATACTATTCCTTGGTGTATATGTGCCACATAGTCTTTATCCAGTCTATCACTGATGGACATTTGGGTTGGTTCCAAGTCTTTGCCATTGTGAATAGTGCCACAATAAACATACATGTGCATGTGTCTTTATAGTAGAATGATTTATAATCCTTTGGGTATACACTCAGTAACAGAATTGCTGGGTCAAATGGTATTTCTAGTTCTAGATCCTTGAGGAATCACCACACTGTCTTCCACAATGGTTGAACTAATTTACACTCCCACCAACAGTGTAAAAGCATTCCTATTTCTCCACATCCTCTCCAGCATCTGTTGTTTCCTGACTTCAATGATCATCATTGTAACTGGCATGACATGGTATCTCATTGTGGTTTTGATTTGCATTTCTCTAATGACCAGTGATGAAGAGCATTTTTTCATATGTTTGTTGGCCGCTCAAATGTCTTCTTTTGAGAAGTGTCTGTTCATGTCCTTGGCCCACTTTTTGATGGGGTTGGTTTTTTTTCTTGTAAATTTACTTAAGTTCCTTGTAGATTCTGGATATTAGCCCTTTGTCAGATGGATAGATTGTAAAAATTTTCTCCCATTGTGTAGGTTGCCTATTCACTCTGATGATAGTTTGTTTTGCTGTGCAGAAGCTCTTTAGTTTAATTAGATCCCATTTGTCAATTCTGACTTTTGTTGCCATTGCTTTTGGTGTTTTAGTCGTGAAGTCTTTGCCCATGCCTATGTCCTGAATGGTATGGCTCAGGTTTTCTTCTAGGATTTTTATGGTCCTAGGTCTTACATTTAAGTCTTTAATCCATCTTGACCAGATTTTTATATAAGGTGTAAGGAAGGGGTCCAGTGTCAATTTTCTGCATATGACTAGCCACTTTTCCCAACACCATTTATTAAATAGGGAATATTTTCCCCACTGCTTTTTTGTGTCAGGTTTGTCAAAGATCAGATGGTTGTAGATGTGTGGTGTTATTTCTGAAGCCTCTGTTCTGTTCCATTGGTCTATATATCTGTTTTGGTACCAGTACCATTCTGTTTTGGTTACTATAGCCTTGTAGTATAGTTTGAAGTCAGGTAGCATGATGCCTCCAACTTTGTTCTTTTTGCTTAGGACTGACTTGGCTATGTGGGCTCTTTTTTGGTTCCATATGAAGTTTAAAGTAGTTTTTGCAATTCTGTGAAGAAAGCCACTGGCAGCTTGATGGGGATAGCATCGAATCTATAAATTACTTTGGGCAGTATGGCCATTTTCACGATATTGATTCTTCCTATCCATGAGTGTGGAATGTTTTTCCATTTGTTTGTGTCCTCTCTTATTTCCTTGAGCAGTGGTTTGTAGTTCTCCTTGAAGAGGTCCTTCAAATCCCTTGTAAGTTGTATATTTTATTCTCTTAGTAGCAATTGTGAATGGGAGTTCACTCATGATTTGGCTCTCTGTTTGTCTATTATTGGTGTATAGGAATGCTTGTGATTTTTGCACATTGATTTTGTATCCTGAGACTTTGCTGAAGTTGCTTATCAGCTTAAGGAGATTTTAAGCTGCGACAGTGGGGTTTTCTAAACATGCAATCATGTCATCTGCAAACAGAGACAATTTGACTTCCTCTCTTCCTATTTGAATACCCTTTATTTCTTTCTCTTGCCTGATTGCCCTGGCCAGAACTTCCAATACTATGCTGAATAGGAGGGTGAGAGAGGGCGTCCTTGTCTTGTGCCGGTTTTCAAAGGGAATGCTTCCAGTTTTTGCCCATTGAATATAATATTGGCTGTGAGTTTGTCATAAATAGCTCTTATTATTTTGAGATCCATTCCATTGATACCTAGTTTATTGACAGTTTTGAGCATGAAGGAGTGTTGAATTTTATTGAAGGCCTCTTCTGCATCTATTGAAATAATCATGTGGTTTTTGTCATTGGTTCTGTTTATGTGATAGATTGCATTTATTGATTTGCATGTGTTGAACCAGCCTTGCACCTCAGAAATGAAGCCAACTTGATTGTGGTGGATAAGCTCTTTGATGTGCTGCTGGATTTGGTTTGCCAGTATTTTATTGAGGATTTTCTCATCGATATTCATCAGGGATATTGGCCTGAAATTTTTTTGTTGTTGCTGTGTCTCTGCCAGGTTTTGGTATCAGGATGATGCTGGCCTCATAAAGTGAGTTAGGGAGGATTCCCTCTTTTTCTATTGTTTGGAATAGTTTCAGAAGGAATGGTACCAGCTCCTCTTTGTACCTCTGGTAGAATTTGGCTGTGAATCCATCTGGTCCTGGACTTTTTTTGGTTGGTAGGCTATTAATTATTGCTTCAATTCCAGATCTTGTTATTGGTCTATTCAGGGATTCGACTTGTTCCTGATTTAGACTTGGCAGTGTGTATGTATCCAGGAATGTATCCATTTCTTCTAGATTTTCTAGTCTTTTTACATAGAGGTGTGTATAGTATTCTCTGATGATAGTTTGTATTTCTGTGGGATCAGTGGTGATATCCCCTTTATCATTTTTTATTGTGTCTATTTGATTCTTCTCTCATTTCTTATTTATCAGTCTGGCTAACACTCTATCCATTTTGTTGATCTTTTCAAAAACCGGCTCCTAGATTCATTGATTTTTTGAAGGGTTTTTCATGTCTCTATCTCCTTCAATTCTGCTCTGATCTTAGTTATTTCTTGTCTTCTGCTAGCTTTTGAATTTGTTTGCTCTTGCTTCTCTAGTTCTTTTCATTGTTATGTTAAGGTGTCAATTTTAGATCTTTCCTGCTTTCTCTTGTGGGCATTTAGTGCTATAAATGTCTCTCTACACACTGCTTTAAATATGTCATAGAGATTCTGGTACACTGTGTCTTCGTTCTCATTGGTTTCAAAGAACAACTTTATTTCTGCCTTCATTTCGTTATTTACGCAGTAGTCATTCAGGAGCAGGTTGTCCTGTTTCCATGTAGTTGTGCGGTTTTGAGTGAGTTTCCTAATCCTGGGTTCTTATTTGATTGCACTGTGGTCTGAGAGACTGTTTGTTATGATTTCTGTTCTTTTGCATTTGCTGAGGAGTGTTTTACTTCCAATTATGTGGCCAATTTTAGGAAAAGTGTGATGAGGTGCTAAGAAGAATGTATATTCTGTTGATTTGGGGTAGAGAGTTCTGTGGATGTCTATTAGGTCTGCTTCGTCCAGAGGTGAGTTCAAGTCCTGAATATCCTTGTTAATTTTCTGTCTCGTTGATCTGTCTAGTATTGACAGTGGGGTGTTAAATCTCCAACTATTACTGTGTGGTAGTCTAAATCTCTTTGTAGGTCTCTAAGAACTCACTTTATGAATCTTCGTGTTCCTATATTGAGTGCATATATATTTAGGATAGTTAGCTCTTCTTGCTGCATTGATCTCTTTACCATTATGTAATGCCCTTGTCTCTTTTGGTCTTTGTTGGTTTAAAGTCTGTTTTATCAGAGATTAGGATTGCAACTCCTGATTTTTTTGCTTCCCATTTGCTTGGTGAGTATTCCTCCATCCCTTTATTTTGAGCCTATGTGTGTCTTTGCATGTTAGATGGGTCTCCTGAATACAGTACACCATGGGTCTTGACTCTTTATCCAATTTGCCAGTCTGTGTGTTTTAACTGGGGCATTTAGCCCATTTACATTTAAAGTTAATATTGTTATGTGTGAATTTCATCCTGTCATTATGATGCTAGCTGGTTGTTTTGCCCATTAGTTGATGCAGTTTCTTCATAGCGTCGATAGTCTTTACAATTTGGTATGTTTTTGCGGTGGCTGGATCTGGTTGTTTCGTTCCATATTTAGGGCTTCCTTCAGGAGCACAGGCCTGAAGGCAGGCCTGGTGGTGACAAAATCTCTCAGTGTTTGCTCATCTATAAAGGATTTTATTTCTCCTTCACTTATGAAGCTTAATATGGCTGGATAAAAAATTCTGGGTTGAAAATTCTTTTCTTTAAGGATGTTGAATATTGGCCCCCACTCTCTTCTGGCTTGCAGGGTTTCTGCAGAGAGATCTGCTATTAGTCTGATGGGCTTCTCTTTGTGGGTAACCTGACATTTCTCTCTGGCTGCCCTTAACATTTTTTCCTTCATTTCAACCTTCGTGAATCTAATGATTACGTGTCTTGGGGTTGCTCTTCTAGAGGAGTATCTTTGTGGCATTCTCTGTATTTCCTGAATTTGAATGTTGGCCTGTCTTGCCAGGTTGGGGAAGTTCTGGATAATATCCTGAAGAGTGTTTTCCAACTTGGTTCCATTTTCCCTGTCACTTTCAGGTACACCAGTCAAATGCAGATTTGGTCTTTTTGCATAGTCTCATATTTCTCGGGGCTTTGTTCGTCTCTCTTTATTCTTTTTTCTCTAATCTTGTCTTTCCGCTTTATTTCATTAAATTGATCTTCAATCACTGATATCGTTTCTTCTGCTTGATGGATTTGCCTATTGATAATTGTGTATGCTTCATGAAGTTCTTGTGCTGTATTTTTCAGCTCCATCAGGTCATTTATGGTCTTCTCTAAACTGGTTATTCTAGTTAGCAATTCGTCTAACCTTTTTTCCAGGTTCTTAGCTTCCTTGCATTGGGTTAGAACACGCTCCTTTACCTCAGAGGAGTTTGTTATTACCCACCTTCTGAAGCCTACTTCTGTCAATTCAATTAATCAAACTCATTCTCCATCCAGTTTTGTTCCCTTGCTGGCAAGCAATTGTGATCATTTGGAGGAGAAAAGGTGTTCTGGTTTTTGGAATTTTCAGCGTTTTTGTGCTGGTTTCTCCCCATCTTTGTGGATTTATCTACCTTTGGTCTTTGATGTTGGTGACCTTCAGATGGGGTCTTTGAGTGAACGTGGTATTCTTTCTGTTTGTTAGTTTTCCTTCTAATATTCAGGCCCCTCTGCCCCAGGTCTGCTGGAGTTTACTGGAAGTCCACTCTTGACCCTGTTTGCCTGGGTATCACCAGTGGAGGCTGCAGAACAGCAAAGATTGCTGCCTGTTCCTTCCTCTGGAAGCCTCGTCCCAGAGGGGCACCTGCCAGATGCCAGCCAGAGGTCTCCTGTATGAGGTATCTGTCAGCCCCTACTGGGAGGTGTCTCCCAGTCAAGATACACGGGGGTCAGGGACCTACTTGAGGAGGCAGTCTGTCCATTATCAGAGCTTGAACGCTGTGCTAGGAGAACCACTGCTCTCTTCAGAGCCATAAGGCAGGGATGTTTAGGTCCGCTGATGCTGTGCCCACAGCTGCCCCTTCCCCCAGGTGCTCTGTCCCAGGGAGATGGGGGTTTTATCTATAAGTCCCTGACTGTGGCTGCTGCCTTTTTTTCAGAAATGCCCTGCCCATAGAGGAGAAATCTGGCAGTCTGGCCACAGCAGTCTTGCTGAGCTGCAGTGGGCTCTGCCCAGTTCCAACTTCCTGACTGCTTTGTTCATACTGTGAGCATAAAACCACCTACTCAAGCCTCAGCAATGGCGGATGCCCCTCCCCCCACCAGGCTTGAGCATCCCAGGTAGATCTCAGACTATTTTTGTGCTGGCAGTGAGAATTTCAAGCCAGTGAATCTTAGTTTGCTGGACTCCATGGGGGTAGGACCCACCGAACCAGACTACTTGGCTCCCTGGCTTCAGCACCCCTTTCCAGGAGAGTGAACAGTTCTGTCTTGCTGCTGTTCCAGGTGCCACTGGGGTATGGAAAAAAAAAAACAAACCCTCCTGCACCTAGTTTGGTGTCTGCCCAAATGGCTGCCCAGCTTTGTGCTTGAAAGCCAGGGCCCTGGTGGGGTAAGCACCAGAGGGAATCTCCTGGTCTGCGGGTTGCAAAGACCATAGGAAAAGTGCAGTATCTGGGCCGGAGTGTGCATGGTTCCTCAGGCTCAGTCTCTCACGGCTTCCCTTGGGTAGGGGAGAAAATTCTTCCTCCCTTTGTGCTTCCTGGCTGAGGTGACACACCACCCTGCTTTGGCTCACCCTCTGTGGGCTGCACCCACAGTCCAACCAGTCCCAATGAGATGAACCTGGTACCTCAGTTGGAAATGCAGAAATCACTGCCTTCTGCATCAATCTCACCGGGAGCCTCAGACCAGAGCTGTTCCTGTTGGGCCATCTTGCCAGCAATCCCCCACATACTCTCTCTTGCTAGAGGCATACAGTATTATCTTTACTTTTCAGATGAGGAGATAACTAGCTAGTTAAGTGCCTGGAGCAGAGCCATACAGTGAGTGAGGGAGAGAGAAAGGAGGAATTCCATCTGAGTTCAGAACCCAAGGTGTGGGCAGAGATAGGCTGGCTGGCTAACCCAGCCAGCACAGATAAAAACTCAATAAAGGCAGTGTTCATTTTGGATAGCAAAAGTTGTGTCTTGGGGAAATAATTGGACCTACATGATTTCTGCTTCTCCTCTTTGTAGCTTCTGATCATTTCTCCTTCATTCTAATGCTTGGATAACTTGCAATGAGCTCAAATCTTTTAGCTTCAGGTCATCTTTCCACACCCATTACCCCCACATTAGCTCCCTATCACCAAAAGTGTGGCTCTACGTTACCATCCAATAGATGTTTTTGTCCCACAGTCTGATCCCCCAAAGATGTATTATTATTCTAAAAAAGTTATATCAGCCCATTCCAAATTCTATTGAAAGCTGACCCCCAGGTCCCTCAAGCCAAACCACACAAAAAGATTGTTGCAAAACAGTAGCTGCTATTGCCTCCACATTCAGGAGAAAGAGGGGAACAGTATGTTTTAAAACATCAAACCTGGGCACTGCATAAGGTGTGATGGTGTGATCTCATCTAAATAGCTCTCAATTTAACTTGTGACAAGATGAAAATTCAGGAGATTCTTTTCATTTCCCAAAGATATACTTATTCTTTGAGGACATATTCATGGTTTGCTTTTCCATAATCATTTCTGACATATTACTTATCAGACTCCAAGTTCCCTCAAAGAAGGGAATTAAATAGTCAGTCTCT
This sequence comes from Homo sapiens, assembly GCF_000001405.40. Classification (NCBI taxonomy): domain Eukaryota; kingdom Metazoa; phylum Chordata; class Mammalia; order Primates; family Hominidae; genus Homo; species Homo sapiens. The sequence continues at coordinate 62,038,973 of NC_000005.10, forward strand.
ATTAGAAATGCTATGAACGACCAAACAATTTTAAGAGCCTTTCTCTAGATATCACAAAAAAATACGCTATAGAATCATTGCTTCACAGTTTAGAAACTTACAAACTCTAATTATTAACATAACTGAATACATAAATAAGACAATGATTACAAATCAATTATTATCTGTATAAAACAAAAGTTGTGCTATTCCTTGCACATAGACAGCATCTTTTAGTAATAAGAAAAGATCATTTCTATTCACTTTCACACAAAGGTGCACACACACAGACCCAAACACTTACAAATCTCAAGCGGATTGAACAAAAACTCCTTATAGAAACTCTTCAACATACTTTTGCAGAGACACCTCTAAATTGAAACTATGGTTTTATATAGATACCACCTAGTGGCCCAGAAATAAGGTATCCACCAAAAGAGTTATACTAAGAAATAGAGAACAAGTTGTATAATCTAAGTGGTACTAAGAAATAGAGAATACACCATTTGCAGCATTATCAAATCTGTCTTTACCTGAGTAACTCTTCCCTGCCCTGATATTTTCTGCATTCCAGAAGGAAACAGAGAAAAACTGTAGTCTTGTCTCTTAGCAGTTCATTTTACAAAACAGGGGCTCCTCCCCCATTATGTGAAGATAATTTGTGGCAAAGCTAGTTGTAGCCCAGCTCTCCTAGTGTTTTTGTGAACATTTGTGGGACCTAGATTAGGAGGGAATCTTTGTCCAGTGTCATCTTCTCAATGAGGCCAACTTCACAACACTTACATCTAATGCCCCAACATCTAACATCCTATATTTTGCTGTTCTTTCTCTTGCTTTCCATAGCACTTATCTTCTATTAAGCTGGATAATTAACTCATTTATTTGGTTTATTATTTACTGTTTGCCTCTCCCACTAGAATCTAAGACCCACAAGAACAGGGATCTTAGTCTGCTTTCTCTACACATATATCCTGAGTGTCTGGAACAGTACCTGGAAATATCGGCCCCCAGTAAATGCTTGGTGACAGAATAAATGGAAGATGATTTGCAAATGACTTACATTTAGCAGTTCTTATCTTCTAGCTTCTGGTTTGAAACCAAGCACCATGGTCCAGGGTAAAGAAAAGATAATACTGCTGCCACTCTAACTCACTGCTTGCATCTCTTGAAAAAAACTGTAAACTCTTTGATGGGTTAAAATCACTCAACCGAGGGGAAAGTGGAAGGTACACAGAAAAAGTGAGGAAGGAAGTAGCCAGGCAGAGAGGGAGAAGAGAGTCAAATCTAGCTCTCCTACTCCTTATTCCTGCCAGGGGTGAGCTATCTGTACTTCCTATTACTTGGTTGTTTTCCCTTAAGATAAAGAATGTTCGCTTTTGAGAAACCTGTTAGTAGCAACAATCACTATTTTAAAAAATAATTAAAAAAAATAGTAGAACCAAAGAAAAAGTGATGGTGGGGGCTTAAAGGCAGGTAGACATTTTTTTTTCCAATATTTTTCTGTAAATGTGGAGAAGGATAAGCAAGAAATATTAAAATAAATATGAAAGTGAATAAGGTAACATTCTCTTATGGGTGTAGTAATATGAGGTAGACCTGAATAGGCATTTATGATTCCTCAATTTGTGTATCATTTATAGGGTTTTAGAAACATGATCAGGCCAGGCGCAGTGGCTCACACCTGTAATCCCAAAACTTTGTGAGGCACAGGCAGGTGGATCACTTGAGCCCAGGAGTTCCAGACCAGCCAGGGCAACATGGCAAGACCACATCTCTACAGAAAATACAAAAATTATCAGGGCACAGTGGCACATGCCTGTAGCCTAGCTATTCGGGGAGCTGAGGTGGGAGGATCACTTGACCCCAACGAGGTCAATGCTGCAGTGAGCCATGATCATGCCACTGCACTCCAGCCTGGGTGACAGAGTGAGACCTTGTTTCAAAAAATAATAAGAAAAATAAAAACATGATTATGTGTTTTTTTCTTCTTTTATTAAAATAACAAAGATTAGCAAATGCCTCAAATAATATCAAATACAAACTACCCCTTCCTTGCCATGTCCAGTACAGTGCCAACCACAAGTAAGCACTTAGAGTTTGTAGTTGTAATTACTATGAATGAGTTAATAAAGAATAAAAAAACTGTAGGAGAACATAGAAAAAAGGAGAATGTTAAGTAAATGCACTGAGATTCAACTGGGAAATGCAAAGGAAAACAAGAAGAAGGGGAAGAAGTAGGGTGAATTACAGAAATGAGAGGCAAATAAAAGATTATCCAGCAGTTCTTGTTCAAATAGTTCGAAAGACTAAATCCTTCAAACATCACTCTCTATGTGGAGATAATCCTTGAAAGGATGATAAGTGAGCAAGAAAAATGGGGTGAGCCTAGAAAATTCTTTCAAAGCTCAAAAGCCAAATTTTATGGAAGAAAAATCATTTGATGTAGATGGTCTGGGACTTTTTATTAAGTGCTGACAAGAGCTGTTGCCCTTACAGCTAACAACACTCAGTCCATGATTTATTCAAAGAGCTGGTGCAGCAGAGACACCAGCAACATGCACTCCAGGCTGCCCAGCACAGACTCTCAGTCCACACTGGAGGACTACCTCCAGCGCTAATATCATCGTTTATCATTTCCTCCTCACTGAGCTGCCTCCTTGGCTGTAGGGCTAGCAGTGGCTAGGATTAGTCAGCTATCTTGCTTTTGAAAATCTGTAGTTCAAGGTAAAAAGACACGCGCTTTGCAGCTACCTGTGCACAAAGGTGCTAATCTAAAATGACACAGGCTTTCCAGCCACCAAACAACTTTCTGCAGGGAACCCAGGGGCTATCTTGGTCCTGCGAAGGAGAAGGTTACCTGCTAAGTCACTGTGCAATGATCAATTCTCAGTTGTTCCCTAATCTTCCTGAACTTGGCCCTGACCTTTTACCTTATCCAGTCACTTTTAAAGGACAGTTAGAAAATGAGCAGAAAATTGGAGGTAGTACTTCTAGGCCTCAGATGAGCCAATCTTTACTTTTATTTACTCCAAGAACTACTGGTTCTGTGGTTATTTCTTTTCCTTTGTTAAAAAAAAAAAGCACAATATCACTTGTGTGTACTTTTAACTGAAAAACCCAATCGTTTATTTTTCTTCTAACTCTCAGAAATGCATCTTGTGTGTGAATAAATCTGAGCTCTGATCTGACCTTTATCTTTACAATATAACACGAGTACAATAATAATTTATAGGCCTCAGTCCTAAGTGTGACATTTCAATGAGCTGGGTAAATATCATTACCTGAAGCCAGCAGCAGCAAGGATGCAGACCAAGAGGTAGCTGGGTGAGTACATTTTCCAGAAGAGGATCATGAATTTGATGGTAGGTACAGTCCTGAAACCAGCAAAGATTTCACTCTTCAGAGTTGTGTTCCTTAACAATTGACAACGGTAAAAACAAAATCCAAGTTGGGGGTGCAGGAGAAAAGGTTTTCATTTAGCTAAGGAACAAGAAAATCTCTATTCCTAGTTAAGTCAGGTTGATTGACTACTGAACAGCCCAGATGCATGAATAATTGTCCAGGCTTTTCTGCCCTTCTCTGTGCTTGTCTAGGGAAGGTCAAGGAAGCCAGACTTGTTATAAATGGAACAGAATCCCCCAGGGATTTGGGGGTTAGAAAAGGGAAAAATTGAGCAAGAAGGAGCAAGGAAATGGATTGATGGTTCTGCCTGTCTTCAAAGCCCAACAAATATGTAAATCATGGAACATATTTGGCATCCAATCTCACTCTACTCTGGGAAGGCAAAGGTATCCATGGCCATGAGTAAAATTCTTAGTTGCCAAGAGAGCCAAATGCTCTTTCTTCCTACCTTCCCAAATTCCCATCACTACTTGGGTCTAACTTTTTTAGACAATGTATCTTGCAGAGATTTCATGAATAGCCTGAACAGGTATTCATGAAACTTCTCTGAAAAGCAAAGCTTCTAGACTTACAAGAAACGTCTCTGAAAAGCAAAGCTTCTAGACTTATAAGAAATCCCTCATTTATACTTGCAAGAGGTTGCTTACCTGTCCAAAAAAAAAAAAAAAAAAAAAAAATTGTAAGTGCACCCTCTTGGCACAGCTAGCACTCTTCAGATTCTTTTTCATGCAGAAGAAAGTGTGGAAACCTTTCAGCTAGCTGAAACTATTTAACAGCTACATATATATTTTTTTCTCCTACGTTTGCCTATTTTCATTGGATCACAAGAGCCACAGCTACACACCCACACTGCCCACTTCTTGTCAGTTTATTCTGTCCGCAGCATAGAATGACATTTTCCATGTAACTCATCAAAATGAAAAACAGAAAGCAAATTCACAAAATAACCAAAACTCTATTTGAAAAAGAATGAAAAAAAAAAAAAAAGATTGGCTCTGATAGAATTTCACACTTTAATAAGAAAATAAGGAAATTGCTCTCCCAGGGACTAAACCATTTTTATGTTGTAGAAAAACACCCTGGGTTCAGAGGTTTTCTCCTCTAGGCAATCTCTGCCCCCCACAGTTTCAAACATCATGCCTTGCTAAGTTTCAGCAATATCTTGGCCAAGTTCTCCTTTGTATTGGAAGAAAAAGTTTGTTTTTTTGTGAAATGCATTCATACACTTGTCTTGCCCACAACCCATAGATTAAATACACACACATATCACTTGCTGAGAGTTCCAGCTGTTTAGATTTTCACCCAAACATGTGAATAAAAACCGCAGGCAAAACAAGTACTGTCTCTCATACCTTTTAGGGATTAACAAATAGCCCTTACCCTGCTGATGCCCGTTCTTAATTGGACTATGCTGTGAGGAGCAATTAAGCCTAAATGGCCACTTGCTGAGAGCTGGTGAAAGAAATGCTGCAGCTTGAGGCATTTGCATTCTCCAAATAGAGCACATATGCTTTGCTTTGGTGCCCATAAAGAAAGGAGATTTACTTATTTTTTTAGTGCTTTTAAAAGTGAAAAGGGCCATTGTTTCATGCACAACGTGGAAATTATTCAAGGAAATTTTTTAGACATATATAATTTTTGCAACTTTTGTGCAAATCAGAGAAGCAGAGATGGAAGCTTTGTTCCTCTGTAAAACAGGGCAGCAACTGTGCAAGAAAGGCTTCTTCCCTCCCTCCAATCCACTGTGTGTCTCTATCAGGCGTGCAAAGGACAGATCAGTACCAGCAAAATGAAGCAGAAAATGACACAATTCCCTGGACATCAACAAGCCATCACCTGAATGGTATGTAACTGGGGAAGAGAAGTTCTATTAAAAAATATTCAGAGACATTATCTTTTCAAGACATTTCCCTCTTGAAAATGGAGAACAAAAATAAATAGATTAAAATAGGACTGACCTGTCCCTTTCAGCACAGAAAGGTAATTGCTAGCACTCCCCAAGACATTCTTCTACCGCACAGACATGAATTGCTGGCCTCGGCTACTGATATTTGTATTGTTTCTATTATCGTATGGACAAGGGGACAAAGGAGATAAGTTTGAATTTTCTCCTGAGTTACATGAAGAACCATTGAAAAGATTTCATTGTTGGCCGGGCACAGTGGCTCACACCTGTAATCCCAACACTTTGGGAGGCCCAGGTGAGCAGATCACTTGAGGTCAGGAGTTCAAGGCCAGCCTGACCAACATGGTGAAGCCCCATCTCTACTAAGAATACAAAAATTAGCCAGGTGTGGTGGTGGCCTCCTGTAATTCCAGCTACTCAGGAGACTGATGCAGGAGAACTGCTGGAACCCAGGAGGCAGAGGTTGCAGTGAGCCAAGATTGTGCCACTGCACTCCAGCCTGGGCGACAGAGCGAGACTCCATCTCAAAAAAAAAAAAAAAAAAAAAAAATTCATTGTTGCTGTTGCTTTTCATGTAGAAAAGAAAAGCAGATTAATTGCTTTTGTAAATGTTATATTCATCATTATTAAAAAAAAATAAAAAAAATAAAAACCTTAAGTGAACAAGGGGAAAAAAAAAAGAAGAAAAAAAATTACAAAGTCATCTACCCCAAAAGATCCATCATTTATCATTCTGTGAACACCATCTCAAACATCTCTGTATGTACATATATAAATAGAAGAAACAGGGATATTTCATCAAAACCAGAATCATTGTATAAAAGCTACATATTTTTTAAGTGTTCAGTTTTATTTTGCTTCATTTTAACACAAAGAAAACCCGGTAATCATTCAACAGGTTATTCTTGCCAACAGCACAGATAAAGCCAATTAAATGAGATAGTGGTAGTGCAGTAGAGAAAGAGTTTAATAATCACAGGGCCAGCCAAGTCTAAGGGCAGGAGTTATTACTCAAATCAGCTCTCTCCAAAGGTTTAGAGGCTAGGGTTTTTCAAGGACAGTTTCGTGGGCAGGGGCTTAGGAATGGGGAATGTTGATTTCTTTGGTTGAGGTGAAATCATAGGGGGTTGAAGCTGTCTTCTTGTGCTGAGTCAATTCCTGGGTGGGAGTCACAATAGCAGATCAGCCAGTTTCTTGGTATGGGTTACCAGTCCAAGTGGCACCAGCTGTTCCAACAAAATGTAGGGTTTGGAAAATACCTCAAACACCAATCTTAGGTTTAACAACAGTGATGTTATCTATAGGAGCAATTGGAGAGGTTATAAATCTTGTGACCTCTAGCTACATGACTCCTGAACCATAATTCTAACCTTGTGATTAATTTGTTAATTTTACAAAGGCAGTTTTTGTCCCTGAGCAAGGAGGAGTTTAGTTTCAGGAAGGGGCTGTTTTCATCTTTGTTTTAAAGTTTAAACTATAAAATAAATTCTTCCTATAGTTAGCTTGACCTACACCCAGGGATGAATAAGGGCAGCTTGGAGGTTAGAAGCAAGATGGAGTGAGTTAGGTTAGGTTTCTCTCATTGTTATAATTTTTGCAAAGGTGGTTTCAACCCTATAATAATACTGATAAACTGCTGAACTTCAGAATAATTTTTCTCCCCAACAAATTATTCTAAAAGGAACATTGTTTATTTACCATTTTCAAGTGAATTAATTCAGACTTTTATAATGATCAAAAGGCAGTGAGTTCACCTTTCTTCTCTGAACACATGCATAGCAATGACAGATGAAAAATTTTTTAACTTTTATTTTAGGTTCAGGGGTACTTCATGTGCAGGTTTGTTATACAGGTAAATCGCATGTTGCAGGGGTTTGGTGTACAGAATATTTCATCATCCAGATAATAAGCATAGTACCCAATACATAGGTTTTCAATCCTCACTCTTCTACCACCCTCCACCCTCAAGTAGGACCCAGTGTCTGTTGTTTTCATCTTTGTGTCTATGTGTACTCAATGATCAGCTCCCACTTATAAGTGAAAACAGGCAGTATATGCTTTTCTGTTTCTGCATTGGTTTGCTTAGGATAATGGCCTCCAGCTCCATCCATGTTCCTTCAAAGGACATGATCTCATTCTTTTTCATGGCAGTATAGTATTCCACGGTTTGTATCTAACACATTTTCTTTATCTAGCCTAGTATTAATTGGCATCTAGGTTGATTTTATGTCTTTGCTATTGATAGTAGTGCTGCAATAAACATGTATGTGCATGAATCTTTATGTTAGAATGTATATTCCTTTGGGCATATACCCAATAATGGGATTGCAGAGTGGAATGGAAATTTTGTTTCAAGTTCTTTCAGAGATCACCAAACTTCTTTCCACAGTAGCTGAACTAATATTCATTCCCACTAGCAGTATGTAAGTGTTACCTTTTCTCCACAGCCTTGCCAGCATCTGTTATTTTTAGACTTTCTAATAATTGTCATTCTGACTAGTGTGAGATGGTGTCTGGTAGTTTTAATTTCCATTGCTCTAATAATTAGTGATATTGAGCATTTTTTTCATATGCTTCTTGGCTGTTGTTCTTCTAAAACATGTCTGTTTATGCCCTTTGCCAACTTTTTGATGGGGTTGTTTTTTTTCTTATAAATTTGTTTCAGTTCCTTATAGATTGTGGATATCAGACCATTATCGGATGCATAGTTTGCAAATATATTCTCTCATTCTGTATCCTGTCTGTTCCCTCTATTGATAGTTTCTTTTGCTGTGCAGAAGCTCTATAGTTTCATTAGATCCCGTTTGTCAATTTTTGGTTTTGTTGCAATTGGTTTTGGTGTCTTTGTCATGAAATCTTTGCATGATCCTATGTCCAGAATAGTATTGCCTAGGTTATCTTCCAGGGATTTTATCACTTTTGGTTTTACATTTAAGTCTTTAATCCATCTTGAGTTGATTTTTTTTTTATCATGTAAGGAAGAGGTCCAATTTCAATCTTCTGCATATGGCTAAGCACTTACCCCAGCACCAATTATTGAGTAGGGAGTCTTTTCCCCATTGCATGTTTTTGTTGACTTTGTTGAACATCAGATGGCTGTAGGTGTGAGGCATTATTTCTGGGCTCTCTATTCTGTTCCATTGGTCTATGTGTCTGTTTTTATACCAGTAACATGCTGTTCTGGTTACTGTAACCTCGGAGTATAGTTTGAAGTTGGGTAATGTAATGCCTCCAGCTTTGTTCTTTTTGCTTAGGATTGCCTTGACTGTCCAGTCTCTTTTTTGGTTCCATATAAATTTTAAAATACTTTTTTCAAGTTCTGTGAAGAATCTCAGTGGTAGTTTAATTAGAATAGCATTAAATGTATAAATTGCTTTGGGAAGTATGGCCATTTTAACAATATTGACCCTACCTATTCATGAGCATGGACTGTTTTTCCATTTGCTTGTGTCATCTCTGATTTCTTTGAGCGGTGTTTTGTAATTCTTGTAGAAATCCATCACCTCCCTGGTCAGCTGTATTTCCAGGTATTTTAGTCTATTTGTGGCAATTGTGAATAGAATCGCATTCTTGATCTTGCACTCAGCTTGGATGTTGTTGGTGTATAGGAATGCTACTCATTATTGAACATGGATTTTGTGTCCTGAAACTTGGCTGAAGTTGTTTATCAGGTAAAGGAGCTTTTAGGCAGACATTATGGGGCTTTCCAGGTATAGAATTATATCATCTGCAAGCAGGGATAGTTTGACTTCCTCTCTTCTGATTTGGATGCCCTCTATTTCTTTCTCTTGCCTGATTGCTCTGGCAAGGACTTCCAGTACTATGTTGAATAGTAGTGGTGAGTCTTGTTCCAGTTTTCAGGGGAATCCTTTTAGCTTTTCCCCATTCGGTATGATGCTGGCTGTGCGTTTGTCATAGATAGCTCTTACTATTTTGAAGTATGTTTCTTCAATGCCTAGTTTGTTAGGAGTTTTTAACATGAAGGGATGTTGAATGTTATCAAAAGCCTTTTCTACATCTACTGAGACAATCATGTGGTTTTTGTTTTCAGTTCTTTTTATGTGGTGAATCGCATTGATTGATTTGCGTATGTTGAACCAACCTCACGTCCCAGGAATAAAACCTACTTGATCATGGTAGATTAGCTTTTTGATGTGCTGCTAGATTTAGTTTGCTGGTATTTTCTTGAGGATGTTTGCATTTATGTTCATCAAGGATACCGGCCTAAAGCTTTCCTTTTTTGTTACATCTCTGACAGGTTTTGGTATCAGGATGATGTTGGCCTTATAGAATAAGTCATAGAGGAGTCCCTCCTCCTCAATTGTTTGAAATAGTTTTAGTAGGAATGGTACCAGCTCTTCTTTACACATCTGGTAAAATTCAGCTGTGACTCCATCTGGTCTCAGACTCTTTTTGGTTGGCATGCTTTGTATTACTGATTCAATTTTGAAACTCGTTATTGGTCTGTTAACACATTCCAAAATTTCTTCCTGGTTCAGTCTTCAGAGGTTGTTATGTGTCTAGAGATTCATTCATTTCTTCTAGGTTCTGTAGCTTGTGTGCATAGAGGTGTTCAGAATAGTCTCTGAGGTTTTTTGTATTTCTGTGGGGTGAGTGGAAGCATCTTCTTTGTCATTTCTGATTGTGTTCATTTGGATATTCTCTTTTTTCTTTATTAGTCAAACTTGTGATCTATCTAGCTTATTTTTTCAAAAAATCAGCTCCTGGATTTGTTGATTTTTTTTGGTATGGTTTTTGGATCTCATTCAGCTTTGATTTTGGTTATTTCTTGTCTTCTGCTAGCTTTGGGGTTGGACTGCTGTTGGTTCTCTAGTTCCTCTAGTTGTGATGTTAGGTTGCTAATTTGAAGCCTTTTTAGCTGTTTGGTATGTGCTTTTCATGCTATAAACTTCCCTCTTAACACTGCCTTAATCATGTCTCAGAGATGCTGGTATGTTGTATCTTTGTTCTCACTAATTTTAAAGAATTTCTTGAATGTTCTCTGAATTTCAGTCATTCAGAAGCAGGTTGTTTAATTTCCATGTAATTATATGGTTTTGAGCAATTTTCTTAGTATTGATTTTTATTTTTGTTGTGCTGTGTTACAAGAGCATGGTTGATATAATTTTGTTTTGTTTTTTTTTTGAATTTGCTGAATATTGTTTTAGATCCAATTGTGTGGTCAGTTATAGAGTATATGCCATGTGCAGGTAAGAAGAATATATATTCTGGGTGGAGTGCAGTGGCTCACACCTGAAATCCCAGCACTTTGGGAGGCTGAAGCAGGCAGACCACTTGAGGTCAGGAGTTTAAGACCAGCCTGGCAAACATGGCAAAACTCTGTCTCCACTAAAAAATACAAGAATTAGCTGGGTGTGATGGCACATGCCTGTAATCCCAGCTACTTGGGTGGCTAGGGCATGAGAATCACTTGAACCTGGGAGGCAGAGGTTGCAGTGACCAAAATCATGCCACTGCACTCCAGCCTGGGCGACAGAGTGAGACTCTGCCTCAAAAAAAAAAGAAAAAAAGAAAAATAGAAAGAAAACAACAACAACAACAAAAAAAAAACAGTGTATATTCTACTGTTTTGGGGTGGAGTGTTCTGTAGATGTCTATTAGGTTTATTTGGTCAAATGTCAAGTTCAGGTCCTGAGTATCTTTGTTACTTTTCTGCCTCATTGGTCTGTCTAATACTGTCATTGGGATGTTGAGGTCTCCCATTATTATTGTGTGGTTATCTGTCTCTTTGTAGGTCTCTAAGAATTTGCATTATGGGTACAATTTAGGATTCATATATTTAGGATAGTTAAATCTTCTTGTTGAATCAAGCCCTTTACCATTATGTTATGCCCTTCTTTGTCTTTCTTAATCTTTGTTGGTTTAAAGCCTGTTTTGTCTGAAATTAGAATAACAACCCCTGCTTTTATCTGTTTTCCATTTGCTTGGAAGATTTTTCTCCATCCCTTTATTTTGAACCTATGGGTGTCATTGCATGTGAGATGAGTCTTTCAAGACAGCATACCATTGGGTCTTTCTTCTTCATCCAACTTGTTGCTCTGTGCCTTTTAATTGGGGCATTTACCCATTTACATTCAAAGTTAGTATTGAAATGTGCAAATTAGTTCTTGTCATCCTGTTGTTAGCTGGTTATTATGCAGACTTGTTTAGGTGGTTGTTTTATAATGTCACTGATTAGTACTTAAGTGTGTTTCTGTAGTGGCTACTAATGGTCTTTCCTTTCCATGTTTAGCACTCCCTTCAAGACTTCTTGTAAGGTAGGTCTGCTGGTAACAAAATCCCTTAGCATTTGCTTGTCTGAAAAGGATCTTATTTCTTTGTTTATGATGCTTAGTTTGGCTGGATATGATATTGTTGGTTAGAAATTCTTTTCCTGACAAATGCTGAATATAGGCCTTCAATCTCTTCTGGCTTGTAGTGTTTCTGCTGAAAGGTCCACTGTGAACCTGATGAGGTTCCCTTGTAGGTGACCTGCCCTTCTCTCTAGTTGCCTTTAACACTTTTTCTTTCATTTTGACCTTGTAGACTCTGGTGACTATGTGTCTTGGGGATGGTTGTCTTATACGGTGTCTCACAGAGGTTCTCTATATTTCCTGAATTTGAATGTTAGCCTCTCTAGCAAGGGTGGAGAAATTTTCATAAACAGTATCCTCAAATATGTTTTCTAAGGTTCATGCTTTCTTTCCCTGTCTTTCAGGGATGCCAACGAGTCATAGATTTGGTCTCTTTACATAATCCCATATTTCTCAGAGGTTTTGTTCATTCTTCTTTATTGTTTTCTCTTTATGTTTGTCTGACTGAGTTATATCAGGCAGCTGGTCTTTAGGCTTTGAGATTCTTTCCTCAGCTTTGTTGACTCTGCTGTTAATATATGCAATTGTATTCTGAAATTCTTGAAGTGAGTTTTAAGGTTTTATCACCTCAGTTTGGTTCTTTCCTAAAATAGCCATTTCTTCTTTCATCTCCTGTATCATTTTATTGTGTTCCTAAGAATCCTTGGATTGGATTTCAACTTTCTCCTAAATGTGGATGATCTTCTTTCCTATCCATGTTGTGAAATCTATTTCTGTCGTTTTAGCCATTTCAGCCCAGTTAACAGTTATTGCTTAGGAACTAGTGTGGTCATTTGGAGGTAGGAAGAGAACTTTTGGAGTTGCCAGAGTTCTTGTGCTGATTCTTTCTCATCTGTGTGGGCTGATGTTCCTTCAGTCATTGAAGTTGCTCTTCTTTAGATCTTTTTAAATCTTTTATCTTCTTTGATGTCCTTGGGGTCTTGATTGTGATATAAGATAGCTTCTGTCGACTGCTTCATTTCTGGCAGGTTTTAGAAGGTGAAGGCTCAGCTCAGCACTCCTGAGCTGTATGTTCTAACACTCAAGGGCTGGTATCAGGCCCCTGGCTTTGTTCTCTGGCCCCTCGAGGTTGGGAACCTGCTGCACTGGAGGGGCTGAGGTGTTCCTGAACCACTGGCCACAACACTCCAAAGGGTAGTACCAACCAAAATGCTTCATTGGGCAGTAGCAGCAGGAGCCATGCTCATCAGCTCATGCCAGCAGCAGAAACAGCACAGTGGGGTACATGCTTGTCAGCTGAGGCAGGTCACTGGGGGGCCCAGGGCTGGCAACCTCCATGCACATGTTCACTGTATTGGTGGGGGAACAAGGCAGGGAGTGAGCCCACTGGTGTCCCTGCACATGTTCACACCAGTGGTGGTGGCAGCACAGGAGGAGGGGGCTGTGGGGCTGCTGGTGTCCATGCGTGTGTTCACACTGGCAATGGGGGAACAGAAGTGTGACAATGAGTAGGGGGAGGTGGGTGTACTCACACTGGCAGTAATGGCATGATAAAGTGCACATTTACCCATGTACCAGTGGGGAGGGGGCACGAGGTCCATCTGTGCATGTGAACACTGGCAAAGCAATGGGGTGTGGCCATGGGCAGTAAGTGCCAGCAAATTGGCACGAGGGAGGCTACAATGAGGGGTGGGTGTGGGTGGGCCGGTGTGTGTCAGTGAGGGCCACTCTGCTGGAGCTCTCTGATGGTCAGGCATTTTCCATCAGTGGAGGACCTATGAGGGGGGCCCTGGGAGGTACCCCAGTTGGGTGTCTGAAACTGCACTGCAAGCAGGCCAAGCCGGAGTCCCAGGAGAGGCCAGCAGACAGAAGAGCACTCATGTCAGACTGGCCCCATCTCACAGGCAAGATCAACCTGCTCTGTTCAAGTCCAACAGTTCTCCCAAGGCTAGAGTCTTCTAGGGGAGCAAAGTGAGCCTTGGGGGATGGGCATCACTGGCCATGCACCCCTACAGACATTCCTGATGGGCTCCACACAGGCTGGAGTCCTGCCCCTACTACCTCTCTAAGCAGCTCTCTCTGCCAGCTCAAGAGTCCATGGGAGTTATGGGGTCTCTTGCTGCCAGGATTCCAGAGGTCCATGGTGAGAGTGGGCTGCTCCATGCCTGCTCAATTCACTCCTTCCCTAGGAGTCGTTGGGGGCCAGGAATGAATCCTGGTGCACAATAGCCCCATGTAGGGTTGCCATCTTCCCCTTCTTCAGCCCAGCATCTGCGTCTTCCCTTTGTCCACTATCAATGCCTTCCTTCTGAGACCTGTTCAGAGGGTACTAGTCTTCCCAATGTCCCAGTCCCTCAGTGGCAGATGTTCCGCATAGCTATATCTAGTCAGCCATCTTGCCTTGACAGATCAACAAATTATTTTAATATTTAAGACTTGCCTATTTGTTGTGGAAGGGGCTTTCCTGTGCATTGTAGGCATTGGGAGGAAAACTTTTCCTCTACCTACTTAGGTTCAACTATTCAGGAGTCTGCATATTCAGTGACAATAGATAGACTCACAAGAGAAAACTAGGTTTATTTATAGATGCACCCAGGAGCACTCAATAAACAGTAATTCACTGCATAGCCAGAAGTAAAAGCTTATATACCAGCTTAACAAAAAGGGAGGGGAGCTTCCACAGTGAAGTATGGAAGGTTCTATTGGGCTTTTAAATTTTTTTTAATTTTTAATTCTTATGGGTACATAACATGTGTATATATTTATGGGTTACATATGATATTTTGATACAGGCAGACAATATGTAATAATTACATCAGGGTAAATGGAGTATCCATCACCTCAAGAATTTATCATTTCTTTGTGTTGCAAACATTCCAATTATACCTTTTTAGTTATTTTAAAATGTACAATAATTATTGTTGACTGTAGTCACCCTGTTGTGGCACCACATACTTGATCTTATTCATTCTATCTAACTGTATTTCATACTCATTAATCATCTCTGCTCCCCTTGCTCCCTACTACCCTTACCAGCCTCTGGTAGCCATATTTCTACTCTCTATCTCTATGAGTTCGATTGTTTAAATTTTGCATCCCACAAATGAATGAGAACATGCAAAGTTTGTCGTTCTGTGCCAGGCTTAATTCACTTAACATTATTTCACGTAATAGTTCCATCCATGTTGTTGCAAATGACAGGATCTCATTCCTTTGTATGGCTGAATAGTACTCCATTGTGTATATGTACCACATTTTCTTTATCGATTCATCTGTTGATGGACACTTAGGTTACTTCCAAATCTTAGCTATGTAAACAGTGTGGCAATAAACATGGGACAGCAGATATCTCTTTGATATACTGATTTCCTTTCCTTTGGATAAATACCCAGTAGTGGAGTTGCTGGATCATATGGCCATTCTATGTTTAGTTTCTTGAGGAACTTCCATACTGTTCTCCATAGAAGCTGTACTAATTTACATTCCTACCAACAGTGTACGAGCATTCCCTTTACTCCACATCCTTGCCAGCATTTGTTATTGCCTATCTTCTGTGGGGGAAAAAAGCCATTGTTAGTGAGTTGAGATAATATCTCACTGCAGTTTTGGTTTGCATTTCTCTGAGGATCAGTGATGTTGTGTACCTTTTATATGTCTGTTTGCCATTTGTATGTCTTCTTCTAAGAAGTGTCTATTCAGATCTTTTGCAAATGTGTTAATCAGATTATTAGATTTTTTCCTACTGAGTTGTCTGAGCTCCTTATATACTCTGGTTATTAATCCTTTGTCAGATGGATAGTTTGCAAATTTTTTTCCTATTATGTGGTTGTCAGTTCACTTTGTTCATTGTTTCCTTTGCTGTGCAGAAGGTTTTAAACTTTATGTAATCTTATTTGTTCATTTTTGTTTTGGTTGCCTGTGCTTTTGGGGTATTATTCAAAAAATCTTTGCCCAAACCAATGTGCTAGAGAGTTTCCCAATTTTTTCTTTATGTTGTTTCATAGTCTTCAAGTCTTAGATTTAAGTCTTTAATCCATTTTTTTATTTGATTTTGTATATGATGAGAGATAGGGCCACATAATTTCATTCTTCTGCATATGCATATCCAGTTTTCCCAGTACCACTTATTTAAGAGACTATCCTTTCTACAATGTATGTTCTTGGCACCTTTGTCAAAAATGAGTTCACTGTAGATGTATGGATTTATTTTTGCGTTCTCTATTCTGTTCTATTGGTTTATGTATCTGTTTCTATGCCAGTACCATGCTGTTTTGGTTACTATAGCTCTGTAGCACAACTGGAAGTCAGGTAATATGATTCCTCTAGCCTTATGCTTTTAGCTCAGCATAGGTTTCACTATTCTGGGTCTTTTGTGGTTTGATGTAAATTTTAGGATTTTTTTCTATTTCTGTGAAGAATGTTATTGGTATTTTGATAGGGATTGCCTTAAATCTGTAGATTGCTACAAGTAGTATGGGCATTTTAATAATATTGGTTCTTCCCATCCATGAACATGGAATATCATTGCATTTTTTGTGTCCTCTTCAATTTCTTGCATCATTATTTTCATTGCAGAGATCTTTCACTTCTTTGGTTAAGTTTATTCCTAGTTATCATATTTTATTTGTACCTATTGTAAATGGGATTCGTTTCTTTATTTTTTTCCAGATTGTTCAATGTTGGCATACAGAAATGCTGCTGCTTTTTGAATACTGATTTCGCATCCTGCAACTTTACTGAATTTGTTTATTAGCTCTAATAGTTTTTTGGTGGAGTCTTTAGATTTTTCCTAATATAATGTCATATCATCTGTAAACAAGGATAATTTGACTTCTTCCTTTCCAATTCAGATACCCTTTCTTTTTCTCATCTGATTGCTCTAGCTGGGACTTACAGTACTGTGTTGAATAACAGTGGTGACAGTAAGCATCTTTGTTGTGTTCCAGATCTTGGAGGAAAGGCTTTTAGTTTTTCCCCATTCAGTATGATACTAGCTGGGGGTCTGTTGTACATGGCTTTTCTTGTGTTGAGGTATGTTCCCTCTATACCCAGATTTTTAGTGTTTTTATCATGAAGGGATGTTGAATTTTACCAAATGCTTTGTCAGCATCAATTGAAATGATCATATCATTTTTGTCTTTCATTTATTGATATGATGTGTCAAATTGATTGATTTGCATATATTGAACCATCCTTGCACCCCTTGGATAAATCCCACTTAGTCATGACTAATGATCTTTTTAATGTGTTGTCAAGTTCAGTTTGCTAGTATTTTGTTGAGGATTTTTGCATCAATATTCATTAGAGAAGTTGGCCTATAGCTTTTTTTTTTTAATGTTTCTTTGTCTGGTTTTGGTATCAGAGTAGTACTGGCCTCATAGAATGAATTTGAAGGTGTTCCCTACCCCTCTATGTTTTGGGATAATTTGGGTAGAATTACTATTAGCTCTTCTTTAAATGTCTGGCAAAATTCAGCAGTGAAGCCATTAGGTCACAGGCTTTACTTTGCTGGGAGACTTTTTATTACAGCTTTTATATCTATTCAGATATTGATCCATTCAGATATTGGATTTCTTCATGGTTCAATCTTGGTAGTTGTATGTTTCCAGAAATTTATCCATTTCTTCAAGATTTTCCAATTTATCGACATACAGTTGCTCATAGTAGTTGCCAATGGTCCTTTGAATTTCTGTGGTATCAGCTGTAATGTCTCCTTTTTTAGCTCTGATTTTATTTATCTGAGTCTTCTTTCTTTTTTTTTTAGGTAGTCTGGCTAAAAGTTGTTGATTTTATGTTTCCAAATAACCAACTTTTTGTTTCATTGATGTTTTGTATTATTTTTTGTTTCAATTTTATTTACTTTTCATCTGATATTTATTATTTCTTTTCTTCTGCTAATTTCAGTTTCGGTTTGCTCTTGCTTTCCTAATTCTTTAAGAAGCATCATTGGGCTGTTTATTTGAAGTATTTTTAGGTTTTTTGTTTTTTTGGTTTTTTTTTTTTTTTTTGGTTTGGTTTGGTTTTTCTTGTAGGTGCTTATTGCCACAAACTTTCCTCTTAGTATTGCTTTTGCTGTGTCTCATAGGTTTTGGTATATTGTATTTGGGGTTTCATTTTTTTTTGAGACTTTTTAAATTTTCTTCTTAATTTCTTCATTGACCTGCTATTCGTTCTGGAGCATATTGTTTAATTTCCATGTGTTTGTACAGTTTCCAAAATTTCTCTTATAATTAATTTCTGGTTTCATTCCATTGTAGTCAGAGAAGATACTTGATATAATTACAGTTCTTTTGAATTTTTTAAGACTTGTTTTGTGGCCTAACATACGATATATTCTTGAGAATAATCCATGTCCTGAGAAGACGTACATTCTGTAGCTGTTGGATAAAATGTTCTGTAAATATCTATTAGATCCATTTGGTCTATAGTGCAGATTACGTTCAATGTTCCTTTGTTGATTTTCTGCCTGGCTGATCTGTCCATTGCTGAAAGTGGGGTGTAGAAGTCTCCAGCTATTATTGTATTGGAGTCTATCTCTGTCTTTAGCTCTAATAATATTTGCCTTAGATATCTGGGTGTTCCAGTATTGGGTGCATATATATTTATAATTGTTATATTCTCTTGCTGAATTGACCCCTTCATCATTATATAACGACCTTCTTTGTCTCTTTTTATACTTTTTGTCTTAAAACCTATTTTGTCTGATATAAGTATAGCTACTCCTGCTTTTTTCTGTTTCCATTTGCATAAAGTATCTTTTTCTTTTAGTCTATGTGTGTCTTTCTAGGTGAAGTGTGTTTCTTGTAGACGACAGATCAATGGGTCTTATTTTTTAATCTATTCAGGCACTCTGTGTCTTTTGATTGGGGAATTTGGTCTATTTATATTCAATGTTACTGCTTATAAGTAAGGACTTACTGCTGCCATTTTGTTATTTATTTCCTAATTGTTTTTTGGTCTCTTCCTTTCTTCTTCTTTTCTGTCTTCCTTTGTCAAGGTGGTTTTCTCCAATGGTATGTTTTAATTTCTCATTTTTTATTTATTTGTTATCTGTTGTAGGTTTTTAGATTTGAGGCTACCAAGAGGTTTGCAAATAACATCTTATAACCCATTATTTTAAACTCTGTTGGGCTTTCTGATGCTAATCGCAGCTGAGTTTTCACTTTCAGTGCTAAGGATAAGTTCTCTCACAAACAGGCAACTTCCTCTGAGAGGGGCCAATGGCAGTTATATTTTCAGGAGGCTCTGCTTCATGTTTCTGTAGCTACTGAATGTTCAGATGTTTTCATGTAACATGATTATCATGCCACTTTGGTGGGGCTGTTAATCCCTTCATAGGATTTTTAGCTGCATCTCTGGCCTCTACCCACTAGACACTAGTAGAAACACCATCTTCCCTCAGCGTAACAACTAAAATGTCTCCAGCGAGGCCAAATGTCCCCTGGGGAAGGTGGAGCAAAATTGTCTCTGATTAAGAACCACTACTCTGAGATTTTTAAAAGTAGAATTAAGGAGAGAAAACACTGATAGATTGAAACCATAATTCTCAATCATACAATTTAATTCTGAACAATTATCTCTTGACTCCATGCCACGAAAAATGAAAAAAACTGATGCTTTTGATCCCTTCCACATTCCTTACCTCCAACTCCCAAAACTGGTTACCCATTATTTTTATATTTTCAAGATTTTAAACCCTTACATTTTATTCTGTAACTCTAATTCCAACAATTAGTAACCTAATAAAATAAATTCAGGTTCACCCCGTGTATTAGTATGATCTCGCATTGCTATAAAGAAATACCTAAGACTGGATAATTTATTTTTTAAAAAGAGGTTTAATTTGCTTTTGGTTCTGCCAGCTGTACAGGAAGCATAGCAACATCTGCTTCTAGGGAAGCCTCAGGAAGCTTCCAATTGTAGCAGAAGGCAAAGGGGGA
The DNA here is from genome assembly GCF_000001405.40 of Homo sapiens. NCBI lineage: Eukaryota > Metazoa > Chordata > Mammalia > Primates > Hominidae > Homo > Homo sapiens. The sequence goes on from NC_000005.10 coordinate 62,058,514, forward strand.
GCTGTGAAATCACATGGTGAAAGAAGGCACAAGAGAGCAAAGGGGGAGGTGCTACACATTTTTAAAAGACCAGATCTCATGAGCACTCACTCACTATCACAAGGACAGCACTACGAGGGATGACGTTAAGCCATTCATGAGAAATCCATCCCCATGATCCAATCACCTCCCACTAGTCCCCACCATCAACATTAGGGGTTACATTTCAATATGAGATTTGAGTGGGGTCACAGATCCAAACTATATCACTGCATGTCCTTTACCACACTTCTCTATTTATTGCTGTGTTCATGAAGCCGATGTTCAATGGGATGTGTCCTGCTATCTCAGAGTTAGAAAAGCCTCCAAATTGTACAACAATATGAAATACTCCCACATTCTAAAGAGAATTACTGTACCAAGGAACCCAGATACTCCCTCTAGCACTGACAAGAGAGATGGCAGTTCCAGCCCTGCCCCAGTCTCTTGCTCCAGTCTACATATGCCAAAGATAAAGAACTCAAGGAAGATTGTGGGATCAGCTAGGAGGATTGTATTGTGCTCTTTCTCCTCAACACTCAGCCCCAGATACACACATAAGCAGGAAGCCAAAGTAGGGGATGATGCAAGAATCATAGATAGATATTTGTGATGCCTGAAAAAATCTGAAACAAGCCTCTTATTCCCTTTTGAGCATCTACTTCTACTGTGCACTTGCTGATCTTCTGCTCTGGGTCTAACTGAGGTTGAGAAAAAGAGATCTGGAAAAAGAAAGCAAGGCAGAAAGCTCAGGTGGTGCTGCAGCAACTTGTACTCCAGAGATTTAAGTAGCAAGATTCATGAGTTTTCTAGGAGTCAGCCCATGAAGTAGTCAGTTTGTGCCATCTCAGTAGTACCCTGTCTAAAGGGACAGCCTGCCAGGCAAAAGAATTCCAGAAGCAAGAGGCTGTGGAGTAGACCACCAGAGGTAGTAGCTCAGCTGAAATCAGAAGAGGTCTTGCCAGAGCATCATTTGTCTGTGCAGGAGGAGGTCCTTAAAGGACCTTCCCCAAAAATCCACACATGCACCTCTCCAGAATGCCAGCATGTGGACCTCAGTCACACAGAGTGAATCAAAGGCAATAGCAACCTAAAAGACATCCAAAGCCACTGCCTAAGTGATGTTCACCCCATTTCCTCCATCTTTCCTTCTCACCACAACACACTAGAGGAGAAAGAGACTCAGAAAAAAAGAATGTACAAGGGAAGGAAGACACAAGAAGGAAAAGGAAAGAAGGAAAAAGAACCTTTGCCATGAGTGCCAAACCTTAGAGTAAGAAGAAAGAAAATGAGAGTTAAATTGAATATATGAGATTGAAGAAACTCCACGGGATTTTGGATAATTGAAGTTATTGGAAAAGTGGTAGGATCAGACCAAGATATTCTTAAAAGAACAAGAAAGAAAGATTTGACTGGGACAGTTGAAGACAGTTTTGAAGAATGTGAGGAAAGATTTTGTCCTTGGAAATTGCAAGCTCAAACTAGTCAATAATCTGGTTATATTTATTTTGTATCATCTCTTGATCCACTGGATTTCTTTTTTCTGAGGACTTCTATGTACTCCATTGCCTAAGTACTTGCATTGCTGAGATATCTGTTGCCTTCACGTTTGAACTTGCATGGTTAATAAATTAATTCATAACACTTTGTTTTCTTCAGAACATTGCTGGCATTTCTTCACCATCTTTTGGCATTGAACACTGCTGTGAAGAAGCCTGACGTCAGCCAGACTTTCCCCTTATTTGTGGTATAATTTCTTTTCTTCATACCACATAAATCTTTATCTTGTATTCAGTAACTTTTCAGGATATGACTTGGTGTTCATTGTGTTCTATCGATCTTTACTGGCTCATGCTGTTACCCTTCATTGTGCTGATTCAACTTTTTATTGCAAGAAATGTCATCTTTTATATAATTGAAATCATTTCTGTTCCATCTGTTTCATTCTCTTTCTCAGAAATGTCAACTCATTCATATTGGATTTCCTTTGTGTTTCTTCCATATCCAGTACTTTGTCTATAATCTTTGTATGTCTTTGTTTTTTTTCCATTTCATTTTGGGTGTTGTCAAACCTGCTGCTATATACATAACTGTATTATCAGTCAAATTTATTCTTTCTGTATTGTTTTTCCTTCTATTTGTCTTAGTTCATTGCCCATCTTTTTCTCTTGCCTTTCCATTTTTCTCTGAATCTTTCTATTTCTTCGTTGAAATATTTTTCTCTGGCTATAATTTTTGTTATGGACAATTTCTTTGAGACTCTATAGAAAAACTTATCTGTACCTTTTCTTTAATTCTATAGGCAATTCCTCTTGTGGCATGCTTTACAACCAGCCTTTTAAAATTTGTTTATCTCCTTCCCATTCCATTCTTTTTTCTTCTCCTTGGTATAATTATAATTATCATAACAATAATAATTATTATTTGGCAGAGTCTCTCCATAGGGCTCCATTCTTTGAATGGCTTGCTGGTTCATGCGTGATTTTGCTGAAGAAAATGTGGTGTGGGTGACATGCTAAATCTTCCTATCCTGTGCCTTGGGCACTGCTCCCCTAAGTTTTACACCGACAGAAACTTCTAATGGACATTGCTCTCTTTACTTCACCTCTGAGGATTTCCCTCAACCTAAAGTTTAGAGCGTCCATTGAAGCTTTTTAAAGAGAAGAATACTGACAACTGTATCTGGAAATGAGTGACCTAAGAGGCAAGGTACAGAATGTAGAAGAGGAATGAAGGCAGGGAAAATAATGACTTTAGTGACTATCAGTTTTAGTGTGCCATCCCCATCCCTAACATATCTCAGCAACACATAAAACTGCATTCTCATACAAAGTTTTAGCCTTTTTTTAGGAATAAAAAAGAGTGAAATGAAAGCATTACACTGAGGAATTCATACATATAGACAATGCTCTCTGTCTGCCCACAGCACAGCTCAGTCACTGCATCAAAGATTGGAGGAGTAGAAGCAGTATACATGTAGCAGGCTTAGAAGAAAGCCAACCAAACTAGGCCCCTCTGCAGATGACATCAGAGGCATCCTATTGCTTAATATTGGCTAATGCAGTTCAAAGCATTCCCCAGATCTCCCTCCCCAATTTGTACCTCTGACTTTTCTTCAACTTATAAGAAATCGAATGGGTGGAATTTTCCATGCCAGTTTATACTTCCTAGAAGTACACTTAGAAAGGTTGGGGTCAGGCAGAGGAGGGAGAATTATATGCCATGCTTCTCATGGCCAGTTTTCCATTTCATAAATACGTTGGAATTAGGAGGATGGAGGGACATTATAACTTCCTCAATGGAAATGAAACATTTCACTTATTGAATGCCATTTCTTATCCAAGATTCAAAAATTCCTAAAAGTCAAAGTCGCTAGGACAATGATAAGATGATGAAGATCATCATGTCCAATAATTCAGTTTATCAATAACCCAAGGAAAGGTAAGAACCCAGACCAACTAGGATCCCTAGGCTTATGTTCTACTACATCAGATGCTATTCCTTGCCTACAGGAAAATATGAATACATGAAAGAACAAGCTACTATCCTTATTAAAGGATAGGAAAAACACATTAGCAGAGGAGCCCTTCCTGAATTTTCAGGAAAGGAAAGCCCATGGCTATTGCAGCTTGCTTCAATCAGGTATTTTTCAGAGGAGTAGAGCTTGGCAGAGTGACTGTGATCTTCTCATGCAGAGGTGTGGGCAGCCCAGTTCACCTCCTCAGCTGCTTTAAGCTGAGCTGGGCCCACCTCAAATGTTACTCCTTCTAGGAATCTTCTCAGATGCACCAAGCTGTGATTAATTCTGTGTCCCTGAAACCAAGTAGCCTGTTGTTTACACCTGTACAGCAGCCTATGTCAGTGCTTGCCTAAGCACTATTTATGCATCTAGTGACATGATTATGTTAATCACTGAAAGGCAAGAGTCAGGCCAGTTTTTCAATGGCTATTTAACATATCATATAATGCACACTAGTGAAGTGCTAGACTGTATTCCACTTCTAAGACTTCTTGACCGTTTCTTTGCCATGGACACATTTGGCAGTCTGATGAAGCTATGAACCCCTTCTCATAATGATGTGTTTAAATCAACAAAATAAAAACATAGGACAACAGAGTAAACTAATTTTTAAAAATACAGTTATCAAAATATTTTTTGTGATTCAGCAATGTGTTTTCTTTAGCAACATGTTAAATAACATGTTTACACATTAACATGTTACATAAACCTAGCAACAGGTTTAATAACATAATTTCTTTTTTATTATTATTATACTTTAAGTTCTAGGGTACATGTGCACAACCTGCAGGTTTGTTACATATGTATACATGTGCCATGTTGGTGTGCTGCACCCATTAACTCGTCATTTACATTAGGTATATCTCCTAATGCTATCCCTCCCTAATAACATGATTTCTAAGAAGCATGGAATGTAAATAATTTTTCAAGATATTTGCAACAATAATAATGTATATGAAAAGAATTGATTTCTATCGTTGACAAGATTACAGGTACTGCTAATACTACCGTGGGTTTTTTTTTTTCTTTGCTTACATTTATAACTGAAAGATCTGATAAATTTTGGTTAGAGACTAGTGAATATAGACATGTCATTTTTCCCCTCCAAGTTCATTGACCCCCCTCCCTGAATTCTCTCCATGAGCCTTGGATTAAGAACCCTGGGTGTACTACAAAACCACCAGTCCCAATTCAGAATGCTGGGAATGTATCTTTCTGCTGAAACATCAATCTGCTGGAGGGGAGGTGTCCCCAGCAGCTAGGCAGAAGTTTCTCATTGTAGGAAGAAGCAGAGAAAGCTTGGTTGGGCTTCCAGGAGGCTGGAGTCTGAAGCAAGAATGGGGTTTCGAGGGCAAGAGCTAGGAATAGCCGAGTGCAAAAGGGAAAAATGAACTGAGAATGAAGAATGAACCTAGGCTGGCAAAAAAGTCTGGTGATGATGATGGTAAAGGGATTTTTTCCTATTGCTCACATTTCTTTCTCCTTTTTTTCCTGTTTTTCTTTTGATCCCTCTGTTTCTCCTTGCAGTAGCAAGAACAGGAGGTAGGGCAAAAGATTCTTACAGAGGTTTCCCTCTTGTAGCCCTGAAAAAGTATAGCAAGTCCTTCTCTTGGAATAATTCAAAAGAAATGACATAAAGCATAGACAATGATTTGGTCAGAGTTGTGTATCACAGATGTATTTAAAGTTATGAAATATTTATATATAATTAAAACGTAATCAATGAGGAAATGACAGTGAATTGAGGTAGCACACAACACAACGAAGATCAGATTGTCAAATAAGACTCACACACATCAGAGATCTTACTCAGTACCAAGCTTTACTAGTAATTTCAAGGATGCGTACAATAAGGAGACATAGGTTACAGCAGGGAGAGGTCTAGAAGCCCTGGTGGCACTCCCTGGGTCTCTTCTTCCTGCATCTGAGGTACTCTGGCCCAAGACAATTGATGAGGCCTCTAAGAATGGTATCAGCCACCTTACTTACCCAGAAGGGGCTGCTTAGTTCAGGAACATCTGAAACATCTCTATTTTATACTCAGATATTTACATAATTTACATCACATTTTCCTGAGAGCCATGCCCCATAAATTTGTAGATTCTAGGCTTGTCTACCTAAGAAATCCTATACACCAAAGCACATTCTGTTAAAAGCATTCCATGGATAAGGACTTTCCTGCTAGCAAAAAACATGTAGTTGGCCAGGAGGTCTGTCATCAGTGTCTTTACAAGATTAAACCAGTTTACTTGCCTTCTTTCTTACCTCGGAACATACTGCCACCCCAGCAAAGGAAACAAATGGATCACAGACCTGCTGCTTCCAAAGTATATAAAACTATATCTGGGTATAGAGGCATAAAAGTTTATATGACATAGGATAATACTCTTGAAATAGTAATCAATGACAAGAGCATAATAAGCTATAGTATTTGCATTATCTTAACTATGAAAAAATATTACAGAAAAACTGAAAGATTATATGCTAGAAAAATTGTAATGATTATTTCTGGGTCTACAGATTGTGGATGATTATTTTGTTTTTTATATTTTCTGCAAGAACTATGTGTTACTTTCACTGACTTTTTTTGTTATTTGTTTGTTTGTTTGTTTGTTTGTTTGAATTAAAGCCTACAGGAGAATCTATGTAGCATGCTGGACAGAAAACTCAAATCAGTTTGAAAGCAAACCGATTTGAGTTCAAACTCTGGCTTAGCTGCTCACTGCTATGAGATCTTGGGCAAACAGCCTGTTTCCTCAGCTATAAAGTGGGAAACATAAGACTCACCTCTCAGGGTTGTTGTGCATCCCAAGTAGATACAACCACCACAGATGTTATGCACCTCCTTAGATACCCTCTGCCTGGTAGCCTCCCAAGCCACACTGCTTCAATGGGGACCCAGCAGTTACTTGCCCTTGGAAAGCCTCCCCCTGGGCTACAGCTGCACAACTGGGCCAAGTAGCCACATGCCAGGAATTGCTCAATTGTGCTGCCATTTTCAGATTTGAATGAAACACACCACTACAGGGCCTGGGATCTCATGTTCCAGCAGCTGCAAAAGTGCAAGAGAATTAACCTTCAGTCAGACAAACTTTGACCCATACGAAAAAGGAGATGGGAAGGATACAGCAATGTCCCGACCTTCCACACTCTAATCAACTACTCTGAGACATGAGTCTGTAGACTCTTCCTGGAAAAGCCCACACAATCTTGCATCACCCCTGTGGTGTGTCCTGCCCCAGTTCTCTATGGCGATTACAAAGCACTCATCAGTACAGAACTCTGCATTGCTTCTCATCTTCTCTCCCTCACTTTACGTTTGTTTTTTATTTTTTTATACTTTTGCTGCCTTGGGTTTGTACTTTCCAAATAAATCATCAGGGCTTTATTTATTGCCTCAGGTTCTGCTTAGCTTTCTGGGAAACCTGATCTAAGACAGAAGATAATTTATATAAAGTGCTCAGCATATAAGTGCTCAGAATAGTAAACATATGTATAAACATAGGAGAAGGGTGTGTGTGCACACACAGGTTCTAGATAATACATGAGCTAGTCCTGTTGTATTTTTGGGGAAGCTTTATAAATGCCCCTGTACAATAAGATTTAAACAAAGTAACTCCTGCTTTTCGTTAACACATTTTTAAGTGTTACTATAGCTTTATTTGGAATATATATTATAAATGGCATTTTTATGATTATAATAATAATTTTACTTATGTAAAGATCCTCTAACATTTTCGCATGTGCTAATGAAGAGTGGGAATTAGAGTGGAAGTGGACTAACTCATTCATAGGTTATAGACTAAACCTTGTGTGTGGTCCAGGGATGACCACAAGTCCTGAGGCACTCATGAGAACTGTCATGGAGTGGATGTATGGCATGCTGACACACAACACACAGGAAGGCTGGAAAAGCAGAGCAACAAGGGCAGGCTGGGCAAGGCCACCTGGGGCCTGAGGAAATCGATCCAGATCTATGCCTGGTGCTCTGAAAACATCTGTGGAGGCTGGTAGAGGGAGCAGAATCTACCTCTCTCCCCTAGGACATCAAAACCCCAGCCAAGTTGAACGGGATTCCAGTCTCAGTTTATATAGTACAGTACCAGAGAGGGGAACTGAGACAGTAACCCACTCTTTAACAGGAAGCCACCATTCCTGAGCTCAAGGTGCTCTGTAATGTCCCTCCAGCCACCACCTACCAGGTCTCAAGCAGCACATCTAACCACAGAGCTCAGTGGTCTGAGGCTGGTAAGATACATTCCCTACTTGTCTGGATTAACTCAGAGTAGGGGTTAGTTTGCAGACAGAAGGTATATAATGATTCAGGTAAGACATCCAAGAGCCACAGAGGGCAACAAACAGACCCATGGCAGGTGACAGAAGCCAGCACAACTGCTGAAGGGGATGAGGAAAGCCAGAGGCCTCAGTATATCCATGATCAACTAACCTAGGATGCCTACATCCCTCAGGTCATGCATAAGATAGAGCAACCCTAAGCAAGGACCCTGAGCTGAGCCTCCAAGGGCATTGGGTCCTAACCCATGCTAGTGCCAACTTTCCACAGGGACATGTTAAACCCAAATCTTACTGAATTCTTGTCCAAAATAAACCTCTTAGGAAACTGTGGCTTAGAATCCCATTTTTTAAACAAAGTGTCTATGGATTCTTCATTTTTTTCATGCAGAAGCAGTATATTATAGAACAAAACTTTAGCCTCTCTCCCACTCCCAACAAATACTTCAAAACTCAGTATCATTTGCATCTTTTCACATCAGGATATCATCCATCTCATAGCTTAACATGATGAGATGATGCTGGAGGACATTATTATTTCATGTTTCTATTCTGAGAAAGATGTCTCTCTTCAACTTAACTACTAGCTGACAAAAATAATGTTGAACATCTGCAAGAGATAAAACAACTTGAATCCAATTTCCTTTCACATAGATTAACAGCCCCATTCTCCTGTCACTTATGTAGCATATAACTCAATTCTTTGCAATATTTAAATGAGAGGCTAGTTTTTCAGGTCTGTCATGTAGATGACATAAATTTTTTATTTTGTCCCTTCCACTGATATAGTGGATATATGAGACCCTGTCAGAATGTGGCAGCTTAGAAAAGAGGAGTCACACATTAGAAGACAGAAAGACCAATAAAAGGCAGAAGCTGTAAGAAAATCTCCTCTTTTAAGAATACACATAAGTAAATCACACCAAGGAGATAAGCCCTGTTGGGAAATGTGACTTTCAAATAGAACTTAAGTCACCTTCATGGATCAAGGAGTTAATGATCTATAATTTGTACGTAGTTCAACAGTCATGATGCTGAAACACAGATGTACAGATGTAACAATTAGGACCTTTTTTTAAAAAATATGAGATGGAGTCTCGCTCTGCTGCCCAGGCTGGAGTGCAGTGGTATGATCTCGGCTCACTGCAAGCTCCGCCTCCCAGGTTCACACCATTCTCCTGCCTCAGCCTCCCAAGTAGCTGGGACTACAGGTGCCCGCCACCACACCTGGCTAATTTTTTGTATTTTTAGTAGAGACGGGATTTCACCATGTTAGCTAGGATGGTCTCGATCTCCTGGCCTCGTGATCCGCCTGCCTCGGCCTCACAAAGTGCTGGGATTACAGGCGTGAGCCACCACGCCTGGCCAGGACTTTTTTTAAAAGTGGTTTTATTGATTCAAGTAACTGAAAAGTTCAAGGGTCATCCTAGCCTTAGGTAATGGCTGATCAACGGCTCATTCGAAGTTACCAAGATCTAGTTCTTTATCTTTTGGCTCCATTTAACTTTGTGTTGTTTCATTCTCAGACAGGTTTTCTCAAATGGGAGAGAGTTGGCTACAACAGCTCCAGGCTCATATAACAAGTAAGGCGAGTCAGCTTGTTGGGCCATTTTTCTGGGTCAGGTTAGGAAAACATTAAACAGTCTAGGTGCTTAACGCAGAGGGAATTTAATTCAGAAAATTGGTTATACAGGTGATAGAGAAACTGAAAATGAAAAAGGAAGGAATAGAGAAATTAGACATAGTATAGGAAGCCACTATCACTCTTGGAGCTGGAAACAAAAGGAGAAGGTGGTATGATTGGAACCCAGAAGAATCTAGAACCATGACAAGTCTGTTACACAGAAGCTAATCATAAAGGGGAAATAGCCACTGATGGAGACACTGCTGCAGATAGAAGAGAACGGGGAAACTACCAGTCTCTTCTGACTGCCTCCCATTGGACAAGCCTAGCTGGAAGCCAGCTGGCAAGGCAGCCCAGGATATATACTTGCCTATAACGTAGAGCAGGCAATAGATCTGAGAGCGAGAAGGCAAGTGACCAAACAAAGATTTAAATATAAATGATTGTATTTCTCTGTCATAATTACCTTCAACCATAATCTGTTGAATTTCCTTTCCCCGATAAACAAAGGATTCCTTAACAACATCTTGGGCAGATTCCCTTAACTTACTGATCAGTTTCAGTTTTTAAACCTCTGTCCAGTGCCTGGGCAGAGTTAGCAGAATTAGCACACTGCTGGGGCTGAGTTTGGCTCGGCCAGTTGGGAGCCACTGAGACCATGGGGAATTTAGGCAGGTGAGATCCCACTTCTTGTTGGATGCACCACTGGAGCTGAAGGGAACTTCAGTCCTGTGTGCAACCAGGGGGGCGGAGAACTGTCCACCTGGGAGGCTGGTGTGAGTCACATGCTGGAACAGTGGGGAACTGTAGATCTGTGAAAACCCAGGCCCAGGAGAGGGGTAGCTCTTGGCCTAAGTACCCCTGGGGCCACAGCAGGGGAACTTTTTATATGTATATGGTGAGAATGATAATTCTCAACTGGTGTAGACAAGCGTGAGTTGGCAGCACAGGGGTGAGGAGATGGCACATGTAATCAGGAGATTGATCCATACAAGGGACTAAGCAAATGAACATACTAAGGATAGTGGGAGACAGGATTCTCACTATCTTCAAATATGGAAAAGGGAAAAGCCAGAACAAACCATGTGATGAGGGATTGAAATTAGAAGTAGCTATATAGAGAGATAGAAAACTGTAGAAATAACTACAGATGTGTGTGTGTGTGTGTGTGTGTGTGTGTGTGTGTGCATACATACATGCATTTATTTCTAGCTCCCTGTCTGTTGAGAAGGCCTAGAAGCAACACTTCATAACAATGAGTGCAACTAGCCCTCTGGTCTTGGTTTTTAAATACTATTATCCACTAAAAGGAACCAATGGTCTTGGAAAAAATGGCTAATTCCAGGACTGGGACAAGCAAAGTACAAGATAAGCCTCAGACACCTTGTGCCAGAATATAATGAAGTTTTCAAAGCATGATAGGGACATATTAAAAGGATATAGTAGTCAAACTAAAGGTGCTATCACTGGCCAAATCTGGAACAAATTGGGCATTAAAATAAATAATGATAGTATTGGACTATACCACATTGAATAAAATAACAATCTATGGATCCATACAAGTATAAATACATATATACATTAGCAAATGGGGTAAAGAAAAAAGTCTGCCTTTTAGTAGATTGTCAACTAGTAAATGTAGAAGAAATGATGGAATTAGAAAATTGTTATTTGGTAACTAGTATAGTAATAATTGGTTTAGGCAAAATTCATCAATGAATGCTTAAAGAAGTGTGTGAAAATCTGAAGAGGAACAGGCTATTTACTTAGTCTCAGAGCACCCCACAAAACACTGGTTAATTTTACAACAGAAAATCTAGCAGATAGTATCTTTAACCAAGTGAAAGAAAGTTAACATCACCAGCAATAGAACAAATCATCATCATGTGTATCCTGTCACTTCTGTGGTATTTCTGGAAAAAATTCATTATGCTAATCTAATCCTGAGGAAACATCAGACAAACCCAAATTTAGGGACATTCTACAAAGTAACGGGCTTGGATAATTCAAAAATATCAAGGCCTTGAAGGGCAAGGGAAGACTGAAGAACTGTCTCAAGTTGAAATAAATTAAAAGAAATGATGACTAGATGCAACACAAGATTCTAGTTTGGATTCTCAACCTGTAAAGAATATTGTTGTAAAAATGGGTAGAATTTTAATGGGATCTCTGAATTATATGGTGGTATAAAATCAGTGTTGTTCTCCTGATTTTGATGGGTATACTGTGGCTTCATCAGAGGATGTCTTTTGTTTAATAAATACATACTGAAGTGTTTAGGGGTAATGGATCATTTCTCTGCTACCCAATCTCAAGTGGTTAAGGGGAAAAAAAAAGTACATGCATGTGTGTATGTGTGTAAAGAAAAAGAGAGAAAGAGAATGAATGATAAGACAAATGTGTAGAATGTTAACAACGGAGGAATCTGGATGAAAGATACACAGAAGTTCTCTATACCACTTTTGCAACTATTCATCCTTCTCTATGTTATACTTTTTAAAGGATTCTATAGTAAAATTGCCAGACTCCTAATCCTGGCATTACAGATATTCTGTTGTTATACCCACAGCTTACTCTTTCGCCGGGTGCCTACATGTCTTCAAGGGGCTGAGCTTCAGTGACTTCATGTGGCAGCCACACTGGTATGCAGGAGCAGGCCCCTGCTTTGTGGGACCTAAATCTTACACAGTTTGGGGAATACCTTAAGAAAAAGAATATAAAATTGCAAATTCAAAATTGGCTATGAAAGTGAATATTTATTTAGAAGGGGCTCAAACAACTGAAGGACACTGAAACTCAAACTGCATTTGTAGCACAATAAATCTGTGTCTGCTGAAATGGTGAGATGGGCCAACTCCACTGTCTTAGGAGCTGTCCACCTGGAAGGAGCACGGGCTGAGCAAATGTGACTAGCTCTACGCTGGGCCTTTAAATGGAAATGCTCCTTCTCTTTCTCTATTGCTTGGAACTTTCTCACCAAGAGAGTAAAAACTACAGAGGTTTGGGTTTGGGCCTGGGGAAGAAAACGCCAAGAAGACTACTCAGCCTAACTCTAGTGTTGTTAAGTCACGAAAGCCTGCCTCCAGCCTTAGCAAATAGACTAGAAAAAGTACAGTCTTATTACAGGCTGAATAGAAATAAAATGCAATGAGAAGCAAGTAAAAGGCTACCATATGGCCCAGTCTGGCTCTCCAGGGGACCATATCAGTTTTTGGTTGAACATCTTATGGTAATAAAGATTATGCATTGGCCTGGCCTTTTCGTCTATGTCTTTGAAAGCTCATGGGGTAGGGGTGGGGGCCAAGGGGAAGTTGTGTGTTGCCCGAAAAGCTCTCCATCTCTTTCCATTAGCCACATAGCATCCCATAAATATCTACTTCCCATACTAGCCTGTGTGCCAAGACTGGGAAAATGGATGTCAATACCCCTTCCTCTCCAACCCTCCCTCTTATGTGGCAGCAACAAACCAACAGAGGTCTTCATTCTTACTAAGAGGGTATGTTGTTTGTACTTAGCTGGGCATGAAGGAAATAAACAGAACTGAAAAACAGAAAAAATGTAATTCGATAGTTGGACTGGAAATACTGCTCCCTCCACTAGGCATTTCACCAAGATGAAACTTGCTTCACTTTTATAACACAACCCATCAAGGAACTGAGAGAGCTCATAATATTATCCATCATGCTATGGTAGTGTCCTTGGATGCTACAAAGGAACACACATGGGTAGATTGCCAATTTGTTATTTTTAGTTCTTGAAAAATTTGACTATGGGGGGAAATTTCAAGAAAATCACCCAGTCCCCAGCCTGTATATACAGCACTTAAAGCACATCTATCAGTAAGAACCGCCAATTACAGCTGCAGGCATTTGCGGGTGACCAAAGGATATTTGCCGGCCTTCTCTCATCCATTCTCTCACGTGGGCTTGTAGAAGAGATTTTATAGGAGTGTGGAGCCTGGCGGCTATGAGGAACACACTTTCTACCTCAAACCTCTGCATTTGTTCCCCTCTGGTGAAAGCATTCATCTCCCTGGTTTTCACAGGGCTGGCTCCTTCTCATGCTGCAGAACTCACCTCAGATTGCACCTCCATGAAAGAGTCTTTTCCATCGCCATATGGGAAGTTGTGCCCATCCCCGACAATCACCCTGTCACCTCACCCTGTCAGTCCAGCTTTATAACTTACCACCATGCATGGCGGTTTACTGTCTGTTGTGTTTATTTGTCCCATTCATCACTGTATTTCAGCCCAGCACAGGGCCAGGCACATAGTGGGTGCTTGATACCTTGTTAATTCAACAGCCATGAAAAAAGAGAAAAGCAGAGGAAAACAGAGATCCCCCAGATGGGTGGATGAAGAGTCAGGTACGTCATTTCTTTCAATAAGTTTTTTTCATACTGTTGGAAACTTTTCAAAATGTTGGAAACTTTTCAAACTGTTGGAATTTTTAAAGGGACTTATGATTCAAGAATGAATTCCAAAATAATTCTCAAAATGAGAGGGCACAGTTTCAACTTACTCATTCTCTCTCCAATTTGTTCAACTAATGTGAAATCTCCATGCACACACACACACACAAAAGAGTTGAGAGAGGATCAAAAACACTTTGCCCTGGTGCCTAAGAGGCTCAGTCAATTGTCAATAAGAACTCATGATGGACAATCTGTGGTGGAAAAGTTGAACTCATAATACAGAACTTCTGCCCAACTCCAGATACTCAAATCAACACCTGCTATGTGGCAGACATGCTGCTAAACACTCTAACCCTAACTCAATTTTAATTCTGATAACCATAATGAGTGACTGAAGCAAAGTCTCAATCAATCAAGGTTTATTAAGCTAGCTTTAGGCCGAGTCCAGGAAAGACACTAGCCACAGACACATCTGTGGCTGTTTTTCTGAAAAGGTTTTCAGGAGGTTTAGTATTTATACATTTCCTTAAAGAGGGGAAGATATGTAGGAAGAGGGATAGGTAGCCAGTAAGGCAAACAGTTACATTCTTGTGAGACTAGTTATTGCCCAGAATTTACATAAAATAAGGTGAATGTTTGAAGAGAAAAAAGGGAGTAAAGGAAGAATCAATTATGCCAACATCTCTGGGTAGGGGAAGGAATGACTGATCTCATCTTGTTTTTGTTCTGCACCTGGGGAAATAAGCTTGTAATGCACACTATCAGTGTGGAAACAAATGGACTTTAGTTTTAGGAGCTAGACTTAGATTTAAACCTAAAGTTACAATTGGCATATCCTTGTTTAGGGGCGGGGCGGTGGGGCCAACAACAAATATACTTATGAATGATTTGTGGGGGCAGTCCTTTGTAGATGACTGAGGCCTTTTACCTTTCTGTGGGGATCTGGCTAATGAATAATGCTAGTAACAGCTATTCATTTGGAAGAGGATATTGCATAACTCAGCCTCCAGGATCAACCTCCCCTTTTGCATAAGGAGTCTAGGGGTCCTGGGATTTTTTTTACTGTCCTTTACAATTCCATTCTAGATTTTGCACATGGATTGTTAGAACTGACACCTACAATTCTGAGACTAGAGTTTAAAGTGATAGAATCCTGGGACTAGAGGCTACAATATACAATACAAAGGCCCTTTATTAAACAAGTATCTGCTCAACTCTGGAAGACTTGAGCAGGGAGTTATGAGACAGGTTACTTCAGGTTCTGGACACACTAACCTAAATGGAAACGGGCTACCCCGAGCAGTGGTCACTCCAGTTGGGTCTCAATGGGATGATCAGCTGATCTGAGGTTACAGTAGAGGGAGAGGGCTCCCTCAGGATATGAGGCCTCTAAACTCAGATTAGGACTTCCCAAGCCAGGGGAAGGCAATTACAAATCCAGATCCAAAAATTCATAACCAACAGGGGTGCAGGAGGACAAAGAACTACATCAAGATCCAACCTCTCCATGATCTCTGTTTAAGGACCTATGTCCTCTTGTTCCCCTTCCTAAAATCTCATTTTGTATGTTATGTGGGTTCACAATACTCAGACAAGCTTTTGGATAACTGCTTGTTTTGGAGGCTTCACTACCCTAATTTTTTTTTGTTTTATACAGCACACTTACACTTTTATCCAAAAGGCCTAAAAACCATTGTTGCTTTAGAACTGTTGACAAAAAAAAAATCAAACTCCATAAAATATTTAAAAAGGTTTATTCTAAGACAATATAAGTGACCATGGCCCAGGGAACAGTCTGAAGAGGCCCTGAGAAAGTGTGCCTGAGGTGGTCAGGTTACATTTTGGTTTTATACATTTTAGGGAGAGTGAAGTTACAGGCAAAGACATAAACCAGTACATGTAAGGAATACATTGCTTCAACCCAGGAAGGCAGGACATCTCAAAGTGGACGCTTATAAGTCATAGGTGGATTGAAAGATTTTTTGATTGGCAACTGGTTGAGAGAGTTGAGCTTTGTCCAAAGACTTGAAGTCAGTAGAAAAAAAAAAATGCTTGAGTTAAGGTGTGCTGTGGAAGCCAAGGTTCTTATTATGTCGATGAAGCCTCCAGGTAGCAACCCTGAGAGAGAATAAATGGTAAATGTTTCTCTTAAACCTTAAAAGGTGTCAGACTCTTGGTTTATCTCTCCTAGATCCCAAAAAGTCCTGGCTGTATCAATGGGGATTCTCTGCAGATGTAAATTTCCCCCATAAAAGACAACTGTGGGGTCATTTCAGAATATGTCAAAGAAATACATTTGGGGGTAAAATATTTTGATTTCCTTCAAGGTCTGCTATCTGTCATATGATGATATACCAGAGTCATGTTGGAATTTGATATCTTATTGCCACAATGTGTGTTTTGTCAGTCTTAAGATCTCTATTTTAATGTTAATGTTGGTCAGTTGTGCCTAAACTCCAAAAGGGAGGGGGGATAAGGAGGGGTGTCTGACCTCCCTTCCTGTCATGATGGGTGATTCAGTTTTCCTGGTTTCTCTTGGGTCCCCTTGGCCCAGAGGGGGTCCGTTTAGTCAGTTGTTGGGGGAGGGGAAGGCAGAGCTTAGGATTTTATTTTTGGTTTACATAACCTAGAGCCGCAACAGAAAATTCATATAATAAATGAGATAACCTGACTGTCACTAAAACTTTACTACATCTCCAGATATATTATCCTGGTCCCAAAGATGGGGATATGACACTAAAAACTGCCAATGCAGAGAGCAGTGTACTACTTATCGTGTGTGTGTGTGTGTGTGTGTGTGTGTGTGTGTGTATGCAGAGGAAGGCAGCACAATAATGATAACAATCACTGAGATCCATTTTAAAAGGCACAGCCACAGTCTCAGGTGAGGTGCATTAAGATGCAGATTACTCTCTACAGGGGGTACAGTGCTACTAGCTATAGCTGAAACCAAGTTCTTATTATCTCATTACACCTTTGTTTCTTACTGCCTTGGTTGCAGGAACTCTAGCTAAACACATTGGGGCATCTGTTATTACCCCATGGAAAGTTAGAATGCTGTGGGAACCTAGGGTGTGCTTGAGAAGGTCATACTTTTTTAAAAGCTGCTGCTGCTGCCAATGTCCAAAACTTTACCTTATGACACCCAGATTTGTACAACACATTATTCAGAACAGTCCTTTAGCAAGAGAGCAGCAGTCTCCATTCTGCAAACTCTGTTGCTAGAATTTTCCATATCAATAAAGTTCCTAGTAGAAATCTCTGCCTTGGAACTCAGGACCCACCATCAATGAGAAAGCTTGCAATTATGAGGTATTCAGGCAAATACTAGATTTTAATTGCATTTAGTCAATAACATAAAATAAATCAATTAAATATTATTTGATCAATAATAGGTAATTTCCATTTTAGATTTAAATTTGATCAGTAATAGGTATTTAATCAATAATGGGGCAAAAATCTGTGGCCTAAACAAACTTTGTATACTGATTATTTACACAGCTTAAATTCACTGGTGAATTAGCAACTATCCATTTACTCCATCTTATGAATAACTGGGCTCAAATAAGATCTAGAAGTTTGATGAAAACACCATTGCAAAATTATAACTGAGACAGTGAAAGAGATCTGACCTAACCAACTCCATCTTGCTTCTAACCTCCAAGCTGTCTTTGTTCATTCCTGGGTGTAGGGCTGAACTAACTTTGGGAGGAACTTAGTTTATAGTTTAGCTTTGAAACAAAGATGATAACAGCCCTTTCCCAAAACAAAACCCCTTCCTGCCTGGGGACTAGACTGCCTTTGTTGGACTGACAAATTGGCTAGAAGATTAGAAGTTATGGTTTAGGAGTCATACAGCTAGAAGCTACAAGATTCTGACCCTCCCCAAATTGCTCCTGGCGATAACATCACTATTGCAAAACCTAAGATCAGTGTTTGAGATATTTTGCAGACCCTACACTCGATGGATCAGCTGGCACCCAGATCAGTAAACTGGCTCATCTGCTCTTGTGGCCCCCAACCAGGAACTGACTCAGCCCAAGAGGACAGCTTCGACTCCTTAATTTCATCTCCAACCTGACCAATTAGGACTCCTGATTCACTGGCTCCCCTCTACCCACCAAATTATCCTTAAAAACTTCAATCCCCAAACTCTTGGGGAGACTGATTTGAGTAATGATAGAACTCTGGTCTCCTGCACAGCTGGCTCTGCGTGAATTACCCTTTCTCTTTTAAAATTCCCCTGTCCTAATAAATAGGCTCTGTCTAGGCAGCAGGCAAGGTGAACCCGTTGGATGGTTACATTGATGTCTAAGTTAACCTTAAGGAAAGTTAAACAGCTGTAGTAGAAATATTACATTTCCTAACAAACTCTCAAGTGTTTCTAAACAAATTTATTTTCCCTTTCTACTTTTTTCTCTTTATTATTTCATATAAATATTTTTGGTGGTGAATACCTTTGTAATTTAGTCTTTTGTTACAAAATATTCAGATGGGTCCATGACTGAATTTGAGGAATAATTAACATTCCCCAGAGATGATTCAAAGGACTTTGTGGCACCCCTTCTGAAAGATAAAATGGGAACATCTTTATTAGTGGAAGAATATTTGCATCTTGTTAGGCAAAAGCATAGAGTTGTTATTGTTGTTCTAAAGGGTATATACGGATGTTAAGCAGCTAAAGGAATAGCTGTGACAAAAATCCAGCTATTATATTATTGCATATAATATATATGTATTAGTGTTGTTGTTGTTACCACTACTGTTATTATTATTACTATTATTATTATTTGAGCTCCACATCCACATTTCTGTACTGAGGTGGAGACTGCAAGCTACATTTCTCCTTCATCAGAGCTCCATGTTTGATCCTGCCAATAGCAGTACTAGTGTTACAGCAGGTATCTAGCCAGGCATAAGCAACCCCCACCAGAGATGTCAGGTGGCCATCAGGTGATGGTCAGGCGGTTGTTACACTATTTCCCAGCACCAGGGAAAAGCAGTCTCCCAATATAGAAAAAACCTGAAACTGGTGATTAGCAGCTTCCTAGTAAGATCTCAGGAGCTGGGCAAGTGGGCTCAGGCATGCACACTAAGAGGCAAAATGGCAAAGTTTAACCGGTACATCACCTTCTAGGTACATGCAGCTGGTAAGGAAAGAACGCCTCAAGTAAGCATCCATACAACTCCAGTAAACACACTGCGCATGCTCCCCTCCCAGGTGCTAGCAGGCCACTGTGCATGCAGACGGCCCACCCCATGAGAGCAACCAGGGGAGAAGGGATGCAAGTCCCCAGAAATATGCCAACATATAAAACCCCAAGTCAAAGGTCAAATAGTGCACTTGATCTCTCAAGTCACCCACTTGGCACTCTTCCAAGTGTACTTTATTTCCTTTCCTTCCTGCTCTAAAGCTTTTTAATAAACTTTCACTCCTGCTGTAAAACTTTTCTCCATCTTTCATTTTGCCTTATGCTCCTTGGTCAAATTCTTTCTTCTGAGACAAGAACTGAGGTTGCTGCAAACCCGTATGGATTCACCATCAGTAACATACTTTGATGCCACGTTGCTCAGATATTCCCCCTAAGCGCTAACATACTTTAGTGCCACGTGACTCAGGTACATTCCGCTGCTAACATTAGGGAGGAATTGGAAGGCAGGAGGCACTTGCTCATCCCTGCTTGCCCACTGGCTGTTCCTGCCAGCATTGCTCTGTCTGTCACCCTGCACCCCGGGCAGCAGAGGTTCGCTCCAGCTGCAGTTGTTTTCAGTTTTTTGCTTCTTCCCATACTTCCAGAATCAGCCTCATCACACCCCACTCAGTGGTGCCAGCAGCAACAGGGCAGAGCCACTGCTTCAGAGATCTGCACCCCAGCTACCTAGTGCCCCCCCTCTGAGCCCTTGAGATGTAGACAGCTGCCAGACAGCTTCACCTCTGAGGCCCTGAACTAAAGCAGCAGCCCCCTCCTCAGAGGTGAAGTCTCAACTCTGCAGGGCCTCTCCTCAAAGTTCTAGGTTCTGATAACCGCAAACATCTCCCTTCTTGCGATCATTATCTCTGAATACATCAGTGTCCTCTTTCATGTTTTTTCAATACTGTAACAACTGTTAACCACTTTCTTATATTACATTTTCTCCCCTAAAATAGCTAGTGTGGTTTCTACTAAAAAAGGGTCATCTTTTTGACTGACCCTTGAATGTAATAGGTGTCTGCTAGGGGGAACAAAGACGAGGAGGCCATAAAGATTGCTTGTGATCAAATAACTTTAGGAAGCACTGAGTTAAGCAAAGTTTACAAAGGTTTCTCTGCAACAAGTCTCACCAGGGCCTGTGCATATGCTACTGGGCATTGTAAATTTCCAATGAGAAACATTTCTCAAACTTAATTAAGCAAGGAATCCATTTAGTGTGAAATATGTTATGAGATTAATGTTTCACAGAGCAACAGTCAGAAATGCTGGACTCAAGTAATAGGTCCTCGAAAAACTTCCAGAAAAACTTGCCTATTACCATTAGGAAAACACACGATATCTTACATTATCCTATAAAATAGAAGGTACTTCCTTTAAAACAGACAGAAAAACCTGGTGGACCCACTATGATACATTCATTCCAGGCTAGGTCTCTGCAGACATAGCAAAGTGGAGAATAGAGGCAATTCTTTTAAAAAGAAAGTGCCAACATTTTAGTGAATATTCCAGATAGAAAGCTAAAAATTTGATCTTAAAGTATAGTGCTACACTCTGATAACAGTTTCAACTTAAGGATTAATATTTAATTTTCTTTATATTAATTTATTATTGCTAACTTCTTATTATGGGAATTCTATCCAGTCCTCTTATCAAGTTAACCATAGCATTAATCATCCAATCTCCTATAATTATGAGTTTCACAGGCTGAGAAAATGCCATTCTCCTTTTTGTAAGTCAAACACACAAAGGTTTACATGTTTAACATCAAAAGCAACTTGAGGCACAAAGGATCATTATACAAAGCCCTTTGTTGCCAGGTCCAGAGCCAAAATTAAGTAGGAAGTATAAGAAATAGTTCAGTGAATGTGGACATTGGGAAGAGGACTACTCATTGTCCTCTCTCATACCTGCATTCTTATCATAACTCTCTCCTTCTTCCACATTCATTCAAGGCGTTGGGGCTCAGAAATCAATACCCCAACAATACGGCATTTTGACATGCTAAACTGAAGATGAACCTTCAAGGTCTCTCTGACCTCCTCTCAAATCCTGTATCTCAATCCTCTGTCTCTCCCAGATCCCAGAATGAAGTTATTTCTGAAATTCCCTTATCTGCCTAAAGTGCAGAACTGCCAAAGAAGAAAATAATCACCTCTGGTCCTTTCCCTGAGAGTTCATTAACCGAATTTGTGTTGCAGAAGAAAGACCAAAGTCTGTCAACACACCTGGATAGACTTTTGTCACAAACCATTGTCTGCTTTGCAGGCCCAAGAGACTTTGTTCCAGGCCACTGTATGTTCTTCAAGCCCACTGAATTCTCCTAAAGATCATTTACAATCTCCTTAAAATCATTCACATTTCCTTATTTCCCTTTTCCCTAAGAAAAAGAGTATATAACCATCTGTACCCCTATTGCATGGTGGAGTAATCACTCTGATTTTCCCTTCATGCATGTTGATAAATATGTATACCTTTTCTCCTATTAATCTGCCTTTTGTGAGTTGATTTTCCAGCAAACTTTCAGAGGGCAAAGGGGAATTTTTCCCTTGGGCCCTACAGAGGCCCATTTTACAGACCCAACTCAGGTGGCATTTCCACTGTGAAACCCTCTCCAACTGCTCTGGTCCATTAAGCTCTTCCTTTTCGGAACTCTGGTGGTGTTTATTGTTTACACCCCTGATTTGAGCACGTTATAAATGCCTTTACATTGTTGTTTACTTATAGACATAAATGCCATGTCTCCACATTAACATAGACACTTTTATAGCAGGGACCATGGTATATGTCTACAGCAACTACATCACCTGAACAACATCTGAAAAGATATTTGTTTCTAGTTTTCAAATATATCCATATGAAAAATAATATACACTTAATGCATAGCATTCACAGAGAAGGAAGAAATTAACATGGAATCCAGATTTCCGGGTCCTCAGTGGGTTATGAAGTTTATAGGAACACCTGTTTTAGAAGAATTTCATGCCTTCTTCGTAATAAGTGCTGAGTAGATGGAAGTTGATGATAATGATTATTATAGAATTGGAATAGTTGGGATTCCCTGTGGGATCGCAAATGGAACCAGCTAAAGGTATGCTCATTAGAACAGTATTTATTAAGTTCCAGTCATAGAAAGTATTGACAGAATTGTGACATGGAAAGAGCACTGATTCGGAATCAGAACTTGATTCTTTAAAACCTCCACTTACTCGTGTGGCCTTGAACAAGTACTTTACTTTCCTCGGCATCAATTTCTCTATTTATAAAACAAAGATAATAATGACCTCAAGCAGTTACTGTGGTGATTACATAAAATAAAGTGTTGGTTCATTACACATTTGACATATAGTAAGAGCTTAATAACTGGTAGTAGTAGCTGTTGCTAATATTTGTAGAGAAAGCTTGCACCCAGGTGAGTAGAGTGGACAATCACCTATCCAAAGTGAAGTTATTCACCTGCCTATTCCAGTGTTTAAATTCCAAACCAGAATTCATTCCCATGGGTTTAAGGATTATTCCCTATTAAAATGTCCAACACATTAATCTTCTATCTACTATCAGTGTTTACTGCTTCGTAGGAATTTATCACCCCGAGAGCTAACCTTGATTCACTCTTTTTTTTTTTTTTTTGAGATGGAGTCTTGCTCTGTTGCCCAGGCTGGAGCGCAGTGACTCCCTCTTGGCTCACTGCAGCCTCCGCCTCCCAGGTTCAAGAGATTCTTCTGTCTCAGCCTCCCAAGTAGCTGGGATTATAGGCATCCACCACCATGCCCAGCTAATTTTTGTATTTTTAGTAGAGACAGGTTTTCACCAATGTTGGCCAGGCTGGTCTCGAATGCCTGATCTCAGGTGACCCATCCGCCTCAGGCTCCCAAAGTGCTGGGATTACAGGCATGAGTCACCACACCTGGCCCTTGATTCACTCTTGTAGCCATGTACTAAGGCATTACTATGTCCCAGATCCTCTGCAGGACAAGAGGGAGATGAATAAAATGCTCATAAGTCTTTCTCTTGGTTGGTGGAAGTCTCACTGTGCACTTGCTTGAGAGAAAGTAGAGAAGACGAAGGGGAATGAAAGGCCCAGCAAGGCAACTAAACTGCTGAAAGGAGGGGCTGAAGGATTCCCGCGAGGGCCCTGTCTAATCTACCATGTGGCCTAGAAACTGCCCTGGCTGACTTAGAAGGTGAGAAAACAATGTATAAAAAAGATTTAGATGAATTATAAGGTATTTTAAAGCAAACTAATATCTGGCTTTATTGTCCAGAATTGTGGATGGTTTTGAATTCGTCAACAAGCTGTGCAGCCTCTGCCTGCAGCACATGGAACAGCGAGGCCAGAAGGAATGTGGGGACAGACATTTTGGCTTCCAGATGTCTTCTAGCTGTACAGGCACATCAGAAATTTGGGGTATCCCCTCCTCAATATGGTGAAATTTTCTTCTGAACAATAAAAAAATGGCTTGCTACATGAATTTTTTTTTTTAGTAAAAGCTAAATAGTAGACCTATTTTTTTAAATGAACTGCTTTAGCAATTACTCTAAATGATGCTAATCATTTGCATGCAAACAATAATTAGATAATTAAGCAAGCTGGGATGGACCTGTATTTGGCCCCACTTTCCCATCCATTTGTTTTGCATTTCTGTATATTTGAAAAAATACACAAGTGGATATCTTTAAAACAGTCTATAATTCAGATTTTCACTAGTGCACTCTGACTTTAATCCCCAATTCATCCAAATTAGTAAGGCTTAACCATAGTTTCTCAAAGCCTTTGGGATCTTACTTCAGTGTATCCACATCATTTTCTCCTGAATTATCTGGATTCATCCCCAAGTCCACCGTATAACTACAGTCCTCTTCCCTGCCCCCACTTCACTCAGGCTGCAGTTACATATTAAGAAATTTGGTACCACTGCTCCTACCCAAAGCCATTTCCTCCTTTCACCCAGAAGCTAATCAAGTTACGGCCTCAAATTAGAGTTAATCGCCTGATATATTTTATAATTTATGAGAGTGTTACATCTGATGTGAAGTAATCAAGTTTTATGATCTATGACTGCATTTGTGGTTTATTGACTCAGAGTTTGGGTATTTCGCTTCTAAAAATGGATTTAATATGGCCAGATTAGTTGGCCCTTTCTGCGAAGGCCATCCTGAGTCACTCCCCAATAGTCACAGAGTTCCTCCTAATCCCTTAAATATCCCCTCAATATTAAGGCTGATCCAGAGCTGCATGTGTGCTTCATCAGAATAATAACAGCAACAATTCCTCCTATTTGTATAATGCTTAATATTTTTCAAAGCACTGTTGTTAAATGTCATCCCCTCCCAAACCGGGTCCAGTGATAGGAAACTGAGAAGAATCTCATTTTCCTCATTAAAATAAAGTAAAAAAATGTTAATATCAGAGGAAATGGAGCTGCCAGTCCCTTGGTTCCACATTCATTAGTAGACTCCTGCTAAAAGTTGCTGAGCTTCCCATTGTGCCGAGCAGTCGTGGATGGTCACATCAGTCTTCTTCCCTCTCCTCGGTTGCTCCAGAGAGTCCCACTGCTTTCTCTTTAGCTCTCCCTCACTGATGGAGGGGTCATCTGTCTGGGGCAGGTGATGAGAAGCATCATGTCGGCTGCCTCTCCTCAAGCGGCCCCTGCCAGCTGTGATCAGTGTTACCAGGCAAAGCCCTCTCAACTGCCCTCTGAATCTGAAATCCTCCTTTGGGTTTTTCCTGTGCTCAGTGCAATCAGTCCAGAGACGTTAGGCCCTCGAAGTTGGCATAGACACAGTCATGATTTTTCACCTGCTAAGTGGCTCTGGGACTTTTTCCAGTCCTCAAGATCTAACAAACCGCACTCTGCAATCACAGCTTTGCTGAAGTTCCGCCACCAGCAAAAGAAGTCAGAACAGGCTCGCCTAGTAGGAGCAGAGCCCACTGGGCTGCTGGGAAGCCTAGCAGAGACAGCAGGAAGCAGGGCAGCTCCTGAAAGGCTGGAGCAGCATTCTACTGGCGTTCACATTTGTTCCATTCTGGACATTACACTGTGTGTGTGACCGTGGCCCAGCTCCAGAGACTTAAAGTGGAGCACACATCTATGTGTTTTTGTGTTTTCCATCTTACTATCCCTAATCCAAGTTTCTTTAAGCTGTGACAATGCTTTAAAAATCTAAGCATTGTTTCAAGACGGTGCTACTCTATGAGATGCCTTTACAGAAGAGCTTTAACCTTATATGTCTTGCTCTCTTCCCTCTACAGCACCATTGGTGCACCTAAAATGTACCTGGGTGCCTTAACAATAGCATGAGCAATTGCCCACTCATCAGATTTCTGGCAGGAGATGTGGTAATCACTAGTGTCAATAGCAAAAGCCTTCTAGCTATCTGCCTTTCAGGTACATGGTGGGGCATACTTAACTGTTTGCTCTGATGTTAGGCATAGCATGGACCTACTTGGTTCAATAAAGAGACAGCAGAAGTGATGTGTGTCATTTCCAAGGGAAAGTCTCACAGCCAGACAATACTTTATCAGCCTGGGCCTGGGTGACTATGAGGAGCAGAGCCTCTGCCCACTGACAATGGACACATCCCATGAATAGGAAAGACACACATATTGTGTTATGCCACTAAGAGCTTTGAGCTGTTAGTTATTGCAGCATAAACTGACCTAACCTGACTACTATCTGGGTGGAGGAGGGACCAACAGGATCTGAAAACCAGCGCCCATCAACTCAGGCAGATGGTTCAGCATTGCAGGAATTTACCTGACCTCCATTGAAGAGGGGGTACAAATGAGCTCAGCAACCCTAATCTGACCAGACAAAGCAGCGGACAGTCACTGCTACCACTATTGCCACACGTCAAAATAATATGCAAAATGTGTGGCTTGCTGTCAAGATAATTCCATTTCCTGAAAGTCTCTCTCGTTTTGGAGCGGGCATACGTTACACATTTTCTTCACTATATTTTTCAGAAACAAAGGAAGAGAAAAAAGGATCCTGCCAAACAGCATTTATATTTAGCATGCACCATATGCACATGTGCGTTACAGAGTACAAAGACATGTGGCAGTCCCGCCAGATTGAAGTCAGCAGGATAGAGAGCAGGAGATATAATATACAAGTGCGAGACTCTCAGTAGCATAAATGGAGGCATTTCTGAGAACAAAATGGCTCTTTGTGTCTTGACTTCACAAGATTCTTCAGTAGCCACTTCAGAATATTCTAGGGGAGCCTAATCTTTAGATGCAAGGCCATGAGTGAAAGGAGGGCTTGGTGGGCAAAAGGTCTTTGAAGTGGAGTGCAGTTACTTAGGGCCCCTGCAGGTTCTTGCTAATCCACTTTACTACATCCTCCACTACAGAGCTCCATTTGGAACAGGAGGTTTTCTCCTCAGAGTCAAGGAGGGAGAAAATATTTTGAGGGAAAGATGGTGTCTACCAGCATCAAAGTCACGCTTAGGAAAACCGAGCACTTCGTGATTACGAAGGGAGCATGAGAATGAACTGCTCAGGCCCTGAAGGGGGAACTGAATCTAGGACACTGCAAATAAGGTAGGAAAAGCAAGCATGTGAATACACAACTGTGTGTGGGAGGGTATTATTGCCATCCCATCAGCTTTAAACCAGCGGGTGAGTGAGAGAAGGAAAGGCCACTGCCCACTCCTGGGTGCCACAAGGAAGGGTTTTCCCTGAACATGTGAATGGCTGTTCATGGCCCTTTACTCACACCACCCCTAGTGAGTTGGGGTGATTTATCAGGTTGCTGTATTTGGGAGGAAAACTGGCATGCTTAGCTCAGCAACACCATTCCTCCTCCTGGCCTGCCCCAGCCCAGCAGTATGGTGACTTGGGTGGGTAAGTCTGCCTATCAGTCTTGTTTCATAGCCATAAAGTCGCATCCTACCATCTCATAGAGGTAATATTTTGGTTCCAGATCTGCCTCTCCTATTCCTCAAATGATTGTTATTCCTTTTCTATTTTTTCTTCTTTAAATTATTCAGAATCATTGGTGGGTAACAGGTGAGACTAAGTGGATTTTCCCACCACTACCAACACACGCACCCCCAAATGGAGTAACCAAGGTGGATTATTTCTTTCCAGGGCCTTAGTCCTGTTAATGGTGCATGTTTTGTGGTCAGAACTCAGCTATTCAAAGGTTACATCTTAGTGAAAACATGGCATGTTCTTGTTACAATCTGAATATTTGTGTCCCCCCACCTAAAATATATTGTTGAAATCTTAAGCCCAAAGTGGATGTCTTTGGGAGGTGATTAGGTCATGAGGGCAGAGCGGTCATAGATATAATTAGTGTCCTTATAAAAGATGTCTAAGGGATCTTATTTCCTCCTTCTACCACGTGAGGAC
This sequence comes from Homo sapiens, assembly GCF_000001405.40. Classification (NCBI taxonomy): domain Eukaryota; kingdom Metazoa; phylum Chordata; class Mammalia; order Primates; family Hominidae; genus Homo; species Homo sapiens. The sequence goes on from NC_000005.10 coordinate 62,085,931, forward strand.
ACAGCAAGAAGGTGCCATCTGGCAGAAAGTGAGCCCTCACCAGACATCAAATCTGCTGGTTACCTTGATCTTGAACTTCCTCTAGAACTATAAGAAATAAATTTATGTTGTTTAACAATTTCCCATTCTAAGGGGTTTTGCTTTAGCAGCCTGAACAAGTTAAGACAGTTCTAAAGCAAAATTATCTACTCTTAGCTTTGGGGTGTTTTTTCAGTTTTAAGTATAAGAGTTATACCCATTTACATCTGATCTATAGGGTCTCTAATGAGCCTCTACCGAAAAAAAAAGACTCCACCCCAGATCACCATCACAGATCAGACTTACATATAGACATGTGTGGGCTTATCCAATGCAGATCAGGTAAAAACAACTTCCTGAGAGAATATATCGCGACAGAAGAAGAGAAGTTAGAGCCAGCAATCGATCCTGATTGCGGATGGTGAGTGCTGTTCTTCCAAAACATACAGTGGCTGATATTGGAACACTTCTAGAAATAGCCTGCCTGGAGGCTTAGATTCACATTAGCAGAAAGGGGCTATGTGTGCAACTTTAAAGAATATATTAATTTCTGTAGTTTGGGAAGGGGGATCCTAAGATACCTTGATCTGGAGCTTCCTACAGCTGAGCATAGCACATAGGAAGCATTTTTTCATCTCAATTTGCAAATAGAATAATAAGAATCTCCAGCCTTGAGGCATAGTAAGTATGATCCGCTTTCACAGACATAGAGATTTCCAGTTCCATTGATATCTAGATGGTAGACTGGCACTATCCAAAGTGATGGGCAGAGGTGTATTTAGCCCAGAGAAGCACTCTGTGGAAGAGTGACTCCTGAAGTTATGGAGTTGCAGCCCACCTAGACTGCATCATGCAACAGCCAGAGGTCATCTGTGGAGATATGAGAGCCTCCCTGGGGAGTCCCAGAAGAACCTGGGACGACAGCACTTCCTGTCCCAGTTCCTGTATTCCTTGGAACCAGCCCAGTGGCACAACCTTAGCCTTTTGTAACAGTTTATAGGAAATTCACTGGTATCTATTTAGATCCAGTTTAATGATTCCTTCTCTACTGATATTTTTCTCCCTTATACATTTTATTCCATCTTTGCTAAGAGTGGCCCACCTGCGCCACCCCCATGTTTGACTCACATGGTCTATAAAGCAGAAACCAAAACCACAAAGAGTCACCCCTTCCCCTCCCGCAGCCCTCTTTCCCCCACCTCCTCCATGCATCTCTCAACCCCAGAGGTGAAGCAGCATACGTATCTACTCAAAAGATAAACCATTTCAGGTCACACATTCATTCTTGTTCATACCTTTATAGAGGACTGACCTAAGAGAAAATATAATAAGCTCTTGCCCACATTATGAGAATTTAGAGACCCCAGTAAAAGCACCACTCACAACGCTTCCTTCCCCTTTACAAATGCCTAAAATTCGACTGCAAAAGAATCATTCATTTGGCCTTAAGCTTGATCCCCTAGTAGAATGCAAACAAGAGAATATGTATGGCAGAGACAACTGATAGCCTACCCAATATCCATTCTTTTCCACCTTCACATAACAAACTCCCAGTTTTATTCTGGATGGCAAGGTGCCCACATAACAAAACTAGGAAACCAGCCTCCTTTACAGCCATGGATGTCACATGACACAGTTCTGACCCATGTAGAAAGAATTCTTAAGAAGGGCTTCTAGAAAAACTCTTTAGGGTGGGCCGACTTAGCTGACCTCCTCCCTTTCCAACCTTCCTGCTTTCTCATGCATGAAATATAGATATAATGGTAGGAGCAGGGATAGTCATCTTATGGCCACAAGGGAAAGGTCAAGGCCATTAGAGACCTTGAGCCACTGTACCACAGCCATCAGCTATTAGTTCCCAAACCTCTCATTACATGAGAAAAATAAACCCTCATATACTGTGAAGTCCTCTTAGTTACGTCTCTTTTATTAGTAGTAACCGAATGCAATTTATGAGATGCATACGTAAAGCATTACCAGAAGCAAGTTTCACCCTTCAGTGAGTAAATTTATCAAATCTTTTCCTTTAAGAAGAAAATATCCAAAGTAAAGGTTGGAAGGAGAAAGGAACTAGGCAGTAAATGCAATGGGTAAACTCTCCCCCTTCACATCCTTGGTAAATACTCAAATTAAGGCAGAATATTATTAGAATAAAAAAAGCAAGGTAAACATAAAATTACAGAACATGAATATACCCTCAAGGAAGCAAAAAATAGCCATGCAAATATACATTAAAGATAGGCCGGGTGCAGTGGCTCATACCTGTAATCCCAGCACTTTGGGAGGCCGAGGCGGGTGGATCACTTGAAGTCAGGAGTTCGAGACCAGCCTGGACAACATGGCAAAACTCTGTCTCTACTAAAAATACAAAATTAGCCAGGCGTGGTGGCACTCGCCTATAATCGCAGCTACTTAGGAGGCTGAGGCATGAAAATCGCTTGAACCCAGGATGTGGAGGTTGCAGTGAGCCAAGATCATGCCACTGCATTCACACTTGGGTGACAGAAGGAGACTCTGTCTCAAAAAAACATTAAAGGAAATTAAGAGGAGTAAGCCTCCTAGGCAAAATGACACGGATTCCTCCAACCCATCTATACTGCTTCTGCCAACCCTTTTTCAAGGAGACAGGAAAGGGTTTTCAATCTCCAAGGAATCTTCCTTAGTCAATAATAGAACCTTTCTATATCCTATTATTTTAAAACCTTTCATCCTTGTATTTTTTAGTTGGCTGTTCTTATTATCAAATTATTCAAAACAGAGTTTTATTTGGCCATTTGGCCAGAATCCTCAAACTCTTGGTGATTTCTTGCGGCATTTGACCTGAAGTTACGTGGCCATTTAATATCATCACCATAATCCTCTCAAAAGCACATTTTTGGCTGGCTGTAGTGGCACACCTGGAATCCCAACACTTTGGGAGGCCAAGGCAGGAGGATCACTTGAGCCCAGGAGTTTGAAACCAGTCTCGGCAACATAGCAAAATCCTGTTTCTACAAAAAATAATAATAAAAAATTAGCCCAGGGTTGTGGCACATGCCTTTAGTCCCACCTACTCGGGAGGCCGAGGCAGGAGGATCACTTAAGTCCAGGAATTTGAGGTTACAGTGAGCTATAATTGCACCAGATGGTGAATTTCAGTCCTGGTGCCAGAGTGAAACCCAGCCTCAAAAAAGAAAAAAAAGTAGTGAGGGGGCAATTTTTTTAAGGTAAACTTCCTTTAATCTACATCCAAGGTCATTTCCTCTGATCAATCTATGCCTTACCTTTTTTTTTTTTTTTTTTTGAGACAGAGTCTCGCTCTGTCGCCCAGGCTGGAGTGCAGTGGCGCAATCTCCGCTCACTGCAAGCTCCGCCTCCCGGGTTGACACCATTCTCCTGCCTCCGCCTCCCAAGTAGCTGGGACTACAGGTGCCCCCCACTATGCCCGGCTAATTTTTTTGTATTTTTAGTAGAGACGGGGTTTCACCGTGTTAGCCAACATGGTCTCCATCTCCTGACCTCGTGATCCGCCTGTCTCAGCCTCCCAAACTGCTGGGATTACAGGCATGAGCCGCCGCGCCCGGCCCTTTTTTTTTTTTTTTTTTTTTCTGATGCTGATTCTGAGTTAGGTTCCAGCTATTAGACGTATAGTAAAATAACCATTAGGCACAAAACAACCCAGGTACATATTTCCGCCCTTCTCACGCTGGAAGCCAAAAATAACACCCAAGTAGAATTTATACTTTGTAGCTGAAAAACAAGTCTATTCCTGAGAGGAATATTTGGCTAAGTGAGTATGGTCAACACTCCAATAAAGATCATTGGTTAGATCTATGGATTATCCATTTAATGAATTAAAAACCAAATCCTCAATTAATTTAATTTAATTCAAAATACTTTGGTTAGCATATATACACACTTTTGTTGAGTTTATTCCTATGTGTGAAATTTCTGGGCTATCAGATATGCATACATTAAATATTAGATACTAATAACAGGTTTCCAAGTATTTATACCAGTTTACATTCCCACAGCAACAGTAATAAATTTTTAGTTGCTCTATAGCCTCATCAATAATTGGGATGGTCACTGATTTTTTTGTTCGCTTGTTTTGCTTTGTTTTAGTACTTCTGGTGAACATGTTGTGGTCTCATAGTTTTAATTTGTGATTATGTTACACACTTTTTTAGTGTGTAATGATGTAAAACACCTTTTTCTTATGCTCATTCAGCATTAAGGTATCTCCTTAATACCTGTTCAGTCTTTTTCCATGTTCAATCTTTTTCCATTTTCCTATTAGATCACATATCTTTTCCTCTTTTATTTTAGGAGTTCTTTTGATATTCTAGAAATGAGTCCTTTGCAGTATATATGTATTGCAATTATCTTCTATTCTGTGGCTTGCATTTTTATGTCCTTAGTGATGCCTTTTGATGAACAGAGGTTCTTGATTTTAATGAAGAGCAATTTGTCAAATTTTTTCTTTCATGGTTACTGCATATTGTCCTAAGAAATATTTGCCTATCCACTAAGACCATGAAGATTTTCTCCTATGTTTTCCTTTAAAAGCTTAATTTTTTAGCTTTCACTTTCAAGTCTATGATTGACTTGGAATTAATTTTGTGCACAATGTGTGGTAGTGGGTCAATTTTCTTTTTTTCCTATATAAACATCTAATTTTCTCAACATCCTTTATTATAAACACATTCTTTTCTCCCACAGAATTGCAGTGGCACCTTTGTCCTAATCAACTGACTGTATATGTATGGGTCTGTTCTGCACTCTGTGTGCTCTTCTTTTGGTCTATTTGTCCATTCTTGTATCATACCACACTGTCTTAATTACTGTCGTTTATTAACACGTCTTGAAATCTGGTAGTATATATATCCTTCAACTTTGTTCTTTGTCAAGTATGTCTTTGCTATTCTTGACTCTGAGTTTCCTATAAACTTTAGAATCAGTTTTTCAAGTTCCTCAACCAAACCTTCTGAAATTTTGATAGGGATTGTACTGGATCTATAAATTAATATAGTAAAAACTGACATGCTAACAATATTGAATTGTCAAACCCACAAACATAGTATAACCCTGAATTTATTTAGGCTTATTTATCTCAGTATATTTTGTAGTTTTTTGTAGCAGTCTAACATATCTTTTATTTGACTAATTTCTAATGATTTGATATTTTTATTTTATTATAAATTAAATAATTCCTAATTAAAATAGTTAATTATCTGTTGTCAGCATAAATACAACTGACCTCTATATATTGACTTTAGTAAATTCACTTATTAATTGCCATAGTTTATCTGTACTCTTTTGTTTCCTATATGCAAATTGTGTAATCTACAAATAATGACAATTTCATTATTTCCTCTCTCATCCTTATGCATTTTACACCTACTTTTAGGTATTTTTATTGACTAGACTCTCTAGTAAAATATTGAAAAGAAGTGATGATATTATGCATCGTTATCTCATTCCTGATCTCACAGGAAAAGCTTTCAATACTTCACCATTAAATATTATATTTACTGTAGATACTTTGTAGATACCTTATCATCAGATTAATTATATAGTTGTACCACAAACACAGTCACAGAACTGTTCAGCACATCAGTATTCTTTAGAACCAAAAACTAGAAGCAAACTGAGGACTCATCAACAGTAGAATGGACAGATAAATGTGATATATCCATACAATAGAATACTATACAGCAATATAAAAGGATTCTGTACCCAACAGAATCAATGGTGATTCTTACAGACATAATGCTCAGTGAAAGGATGTGTGTACCTGCTTCATGTAAACCAGCGTCCTTCTGAACCAGGGCACAGCTGTCCTCCTGGGATTCCCCATAGTCCCTAGATCCCTTTGCCTTCTTATTCTCTTTCCCCATGTATTCTTCTTTCTTGGTTTACTCCCCTCTCTTAGTGGCCCATGTTCTTCAATAGTTTTCTTAGAAAATACGTGTGGAAATTACATTTTTTTAGATCTTACATATATGAAATGTATTTATTCTATATTTTTATGTGATTGGTAGTTGGGCAGGATATAGAATTCTAGATTGGAAATCATTTTGAAGGCATTATCCCAACAGGGTTGCTTCTGAGACATCAGAAGAAATTCTGATTCCTGATACTTTGTACATGACCTATTTGTTTTCCTCTTCTCTGGAGATATTTAAGATTCTCTCCTTACCCTCAGTGCACTGAATTTCCCAGTAATATGTCCCTTGCAATCTGGAAGAGCCTACCTAGCACATCCTACAATAGGCAACATAGAGCAAATAGCGTAAATTAGAATTTCAGCACAGATTTTTGCCACCCTCTACAGGTATTTAGGAATATACCAACTTCTGATTTTTACTGCATTTTTACTAGTCTTGTTTCTTTTGATCATTTCCTGGTTGTAGTAGCTTCTAAGCCCCCTTTCCTTCCTCACAAATCATTGAATTGCAAGGAAAGAAAAACTTTGCAATTACTTTTCACTCCTGCTTTTATTTCCCACAATGTGTTTTCTGTCCAAGTGGTTGTTCCATTTTCTTCCTTTTATCATGTTTTTTAGGGAATTTGGGGAGAGGATGTTACATTAGTTAGGACTCAGTTGCAAGAGGTAGAAATCCAGCTTGAGCTAGCTTGAGCCAAAAAACAGAGAGGGAGGAATTTACTAGGAGGATATATAATCAAGCCACAGGAAATACAGATTCTGTTGGGCTTTAGAAACAACTAGACCAGGGGCTGAACATCATCTAAATCAAGTATCTACCTCCTGTCTCTGATTTTCTCTGATATCTTTATTATTTTCTCTTGAAGTTTTATCTACATAACAAAAAAATATGGTCACTAATAACTCCAGAGTTCTACAACTAATGACTTTGACTAGCAAAGCACAACTTAGGTGCCCAGTTTTAGATCAATTGACTATAGACAGGGAATTAGGGTCACAGCACAATAATGCCAACATGTAGATAGTAGGGAAGGAGGACAGTCCCTAATTACAGGTGCTGGTGCTCAGCAGGCAATCCCATAGATGTTTCTTATAATAAACCTTCTTTTCAAGATGTAGGATATAGATGTTGAGATGATGCTTACTGAAGAAGTATCACGCTTCTCTGAGATACTGTGGCCAAATCCTCCATGTGACTAAATGATATTTTGGCATCCAGATCCTACTGGACACAATGCATAGAGAATAGACATCCCAGGCCAGGAACTAGGTTAAATCACTAATATCTGTTTTCCAAATTCATATTGAAAACTCAGTAAATATTATATTTGTGATAGTAAGTGCCCTACTTAGTAAAGACTAGATACAAACATACAGATTTACCTTAATGGACTTGATTAGTAACTAACCAATACCCAAATCCGCAGATAATTTCCCCCCAAACTTCTGTTTCACTGGTTGTGTAGAGTTGACTCAAAAGGCCCGGATAGAAAAGAATGTCTATTCCTTAGTGGACACTGAGCTCCCTGAATATGTTATAATTTCATGCAGGACAACAGAGACCTTCAAAAACTTTAACTCCAACATTAATAAAAGCAGAAGGAATACGATTTTGTGTCACACTTCTTTTACTCATTGTAATTGGAATGCTGGGTTCTTAGATCTTTCTGAATTCTTTTCTGCTTCTCTTAGCATTTCACTCACCTTTTGCTTTGTTCTTGATTCTCTTTTAAATATTGCTTTCTCTTTTTCACTGCTAGCTCTCTTCAACTTTTTGTTGAGATGGTTATCTAAGTGAAAAACAGAATTTCTTCTAAAGAAAGCAAAACTCCAACTTGCAGTTGTGAAAAGTATTTTACACTATTTTTGTATAATTACTTTCGTTTTCTGTAGTGGAGCAGCTGAGAAAAATTGCTCTAATTGTGTAATTTTCTGCAACTACTCTGGGACAAAAATCTTGGTAATTGGATTTTTTTAACTAACAAGTTGTCACAATTGGATAGTTCTTAAACTATTTTGTGCTTATGCTTCAGAAATTTTCAGTGGATGTACAGTATATTTTAAATGTTTTGCATCAGCTCGTGGTCTCAAATTTGATTTATTTTAACTTCAAATTTTAAAATAGATTGACAACTCTGATTATACATTGTCTTCACTAAACGGACCTTTGCTAAGTTTCCTAGCATGTTCGTCCCCACCCCACACTCTCCTGTTGCCATGGGAGCAGAAATCCTGGCATGTGCAGCTCCAGCTCCCGAGTGGCTCTGTTTCCCAGAGTGCTTTGCTGTTACTATGGAAATGACTGCCCATTAATCTTGCTGTCCTTTTACTACCAAAGCACCTTTAACTGTCTCAAGCAATCAAGTGATGTTACCTACAGCAGGGAAAGGAAGGAGAAGACTGCTTCCCATTCTACAACTGCAGCACTGATTTTAATCAAGATTTAATCAGGGAGCAGAGAGAACTAAAGCTACTCTAACAGCTCTTTTAAAAATATACAAAGCAGGATCCTTCTTGATACGCAGACAGGTGCCCTTGTTCATTCCCTTGTTTGAGACCTCTGAGAAAACATACTATGTATTTTTAAAGCTACATTTGTGTTTCATAGATATTGCAAAACAGCACAATGGAATCAGAACAAGTGGCCACACATTTTTACTGATGAAAAGAATGTAATGCTTACTACAAATTTTCTGAAGAATGTGTTTTTAGGAATAGTCATGAAAACTACCCCCAAAAAATCGCCCTGCTGACTTAAATGAAACCTTATCATCCTATGGAACTTGAGGAGCAGTAAACATGAGTCAAGAGAAAATTAGTTAATGAGTTAAAGATACTTTTATAAACTTTGCATTTTTCTTCTATTACAGGTTAGGCATCTATGAAATTTTAAATTTGACTGTATGGTAATTTGTGCAAAATGAAAGTAGGACTTACTGGTAATTCTAGAAGAATTTTCCAAGTCACCAGAAAGAGTATTGAAAACAAATCTTGGCTGGCCCACCCTGAATCTGAGAGTATCACTGGAAAGATTAGACTGGTTCCGAAACATGACAGATGCCCAATAGCTGATTTTGGAAAATAGGAATATTTAAGTGGTATCAATATATGGGGCATGTGGGGGAAGGATCTAGTTGATGCCTGCAGCACAAAAAGAGGCTGCTTTTGCTCTGAAAATAATCAAATGGTATTGATGTTGGGTGAAGAAGAGGGAAAAATCTTGGTGGGGAAATCAACACAAAAGACCAGGAGTATCCCTACCTTTCTAAAGAGCCATAGAAGGCCAGGTACAGTGGCTCATGCCTGTAATCCCAGCACTTTGGGAGGCCGAGGCATGGATCACTTGAGGCCAGGAGATCGAGAGCAGACTGGCCAACATGGTGAAACACAGTCTCTACTAAAAATACAAAAATTAGCTAGGCATGGTGGCAGGCACCTGTAATCCCAGCTACTCTGGAGGCTGAGACAGGAGAATTGCTTGAACCCAGCAGGTGGAGGTTGCAGTGAGCCGAGATGGCACCATTGCACTCCAGCCTGGGTGGCAGAGCGAGACTCTGCTTCAAAATAAAATAAAATAAAAAGCCACAGAAGAGGAGTGATCATGACTTTGAGCAATCTACACAAGGTTGCCTATTGCTTTGGCCCTCTGCCCTGCTGGAAGGAAGAAAGGGAGGGAAGGAGAGAGAAGGGAAGAAAGGAGGGAGGGAGGACAGGAAGGAAGGAAGAAAGAAAGAAAGGGAGGGAGAAACAGAGAAGGGAAGGAGAGAGGGAAAGAAGGAAGGAAGGGAGGAAAGGAGGAAATTTTAGGAGATTTGTTCAAATGTCTGATAGGAAAGAATGTATGTCCATAAGCTCACCACTTATACAAAGGTTAGGAAAGTTTTCCCAGAATAACAGATCATGGAGATAGATTAAAATGAGAGGGGAAAAAAATCAGATTGGTTTAAAACCATCAAAAAAATGTAAAGTGGAAGCTTTTAGCATTTGAACATCATACTATCATCAATCAGCAGCCTGATTGGTTAAGCCTGAGTGCTCTGTCATCCCCTCAATGGTATGTTTCCACTCCGTTTTGGATTAGTTCTAGGATTGCTGTGACAAAGTACCACAAACAGGGTGTCTTACAACAACAGAAATTTATTGGTTCACAGTTCTGGAAGTTAGAAGTCTGAAATCCAGATATGCACAGGGCCGTGCTGCCTCTGAAACCTGTAGGAGAGAATCCTTCCTTGCTCCTTTAGTTGATGATATTGCCAGCAGCCAATGGCATTGCTTGGCATGGAGATGTATCACTCCAATATCTGCCCCCATTATCGCATGGCTGACTTCTCTCGTGTTTCTCCACATCTGCTTCCCTCTGTGTATTCTTGTGTCCAAATTTCCTTCTACCAAAAAATACACCAGTCACATGGGATTAAAAGCCCATCCTTCTACAAAAAACTCAAACAAATTTACAAGAAAAAAACAAACAACCCCATCAACAAGTGGGTTAAGGATATAAACAGGCACTTTTCAAAAGAAGACATTTATGCAGCCAACAGACACATGAAAAAATGCTCACCATCACTGGCCATCAGAGAAATGCAAATCAAAACCACAAGGAGATACCATCTCACACCAGTTAGAGTGGTGATCATTAAAAAGTCAGGAAACAGGTGCTGGAGAGGATGTGGAGAAATAGGAACACTTTTACACTGTTGATGGGACTGTAAACTAGTTCAACCATTGTGGAAGACAGTATGGCGATTCCTCAAGGATCTAAAACTAGAAATACCATTTGACCCAGCCATCCCATTACTGGGTATATACCCAAAGGATTATAAATCATGCTGCTATAAAGACACATGCACACGTATGTTTATTGTGGCACTATTCACAATAGCAAAGACTTGGAACCAACCCAAATGTCCAACAATGATAGACTGGATTAAGAAAATGTGGCACATATACACCATGGAATACTATGCAGCCATAAAAAATGATGAGTTCATGTCCTTTGTAGGGACATGGGTGAAGCTGGAAACCATCATTCTCAGCAAACTATCGCAAGGTGAAAAAACCAAACACTGCATGTTCTCACTCATAGGTGGGAATTGAACAATGAGAACACTTGGACACAGGAAGGGGAACACCACTCACCGGGGCCTGTTATGGGGTGGGGGGAGGGGGCAGGGATAGAATTACTAGATATACCTAATGCTAAATGACGAGTTAATGGGTGCAGCACACCAACATGGCACATGTATACATATGTAACTAACCTGCACGCTGTGCACATGTACCCTAGAACTTAAAGTATAATAAATATATATAATATATAAAAAATTGTAAAAAGCCCATCCTACTCCAACATGATCTTAGCTTCACTAACCACATCAGTAACCACCCTATTTCCAAATAAGATCAAATTCTGAGGTACAGGTGATTGGACTTCAGTATATCTTTTAGGGGGGCACAATTCATGCCATAATACCTTATCTCATAAAGATTATCAGGAGAGTTATACAGAAAAATTAGCGAACAATTATAAAAGTCAGCTATCGGGTATCTTAATTACTTTTTGTCACCTGAATTCCTTCAGTTTGTTGGGGTACAAGTTAATAGAGTCATGTTTATTAAAGCTTAATTTAGTCTCACATCCAGGAGTCTACCCATGACATGACGATGATGATGGTGATGATGATGATGGGGATGGTGAGGATGGTAATCACGGTGGCAGCTAACGCTTACTGAGTGCTCATTATGAGCCAGGTGGTATTCTAAATTCTTTATCTGTATTAATTCATTTATTCCTTATGACCACCCATGAGGAAGTTTCCTATTATTTTCCCCATTTTACAGATGAGGAAAGTGAAGCACAGAGAGGTTAGATGAAGCAGGTCAGCCCGCAGAAATTCCACTACAGCATCTCTATAAGTATAGCCTCCTACTCTGAAGACCTCAATATGATCACACTGTGATACGGTTTGGCTCTGTATCCCCACCCAAATCTCACCTTGGATTGTAATAATCTCCACTTGTCAAGGGTGGGACCACGTGGAGACAACTGAATCATGGGGGGCAGTTTCACCCATGCTGTTCTCATGATAGTGAGTGAGTTCTCACGAGATCTGATGGTTTTATAAGGGGCTTCCCCCCTTAGCTCAGCACACATTTTCTCTCCTGCTGTCCTGTGAAGAGGTAGTGTCCACCATGATTGTAAGTTTCCTCAGACCTCCCCAGCCATGCAGAACTGAGTCAATTAAACCTCTTTTCTTTATCAATTACCCAGTCTTGGGTATTTCTTCATAGCACCATGAAAACAGACTATTACACACTGAAACCTAGAGCTTCCTGACTTAGAGAACAATTTTCACCCACACAACCCCCTAAAATTAATGCAGGATGGAACTACCTAGATGGTCTTTTATATCTTTACATCAGCCCCCATTTCCCTTCCTATATGAAAATGAATATGTACACACCTGCCTACATGTGAGGCAATACACAAGGCATCTTGACTTACACAGGCTGAACCTCAAATGCTATCTCAATGTTATTTTTATACCTGTAGAATGGATCCACTTCATACTAAGTTTAGATATAGGAGTGTGAATTCCTTCCCCAATAGGAAAAAAAAAATTTTGAAGTTACTAGCCTAGGAACAATACATTTAAAAGTGTGTATTGTTGTGGATTATTTAGATCTTGAAGAGCCAGAGTGATTTACAGCAATTAAGATATCAAGAGAGACAGATATCATTCTCTTGAGATTTCTTGGATGAATTAGAGGAGCATCCTGATTTCACTTGTTTGTCTGTCCGTGTATTTAATTAGTTCCACCAGGCAACAAAACAAATGCTTTATTGTATACTCATCAGATCTTCAATGTCCTAGGATGACTTTATGTAAAAACAGCCATCTTGAAAAATACAAAATAACATAAATGCACTTGTCTGAGCCTGAATGTTAGGAACAGAAACCCATGTGTAATGTAAACATTTTTTCATAAAATTTAAAAGTTTAACATCATGTGCATTCAATCATAATTAAAAAACAAGTAAGTTGATAAATTATGCAGAAAGCCACCAAATATCCAGAAAGATCAGCCAGAAAGGAATATCAACCATGAGACCCAACCTCCTTTTCCTCTTTTACCCTCAAACTTGGTCTTTTAGGAAAAGGAGGCTGATTGACCAGTAGCGATCTCAACCTTAACTTGACCCATCTCTTTCCCTGGCATCTTACAAATTATGGTAGCAATAAATAAGTATCCACACTTGCTCATATTCTCTCTCTCTCTCTCTCACTCTCCCTCTCTCTCTCTCTCACACACACACACGCACACACAAAATAACCAAACACACCTGCCCCTGTACAAATACCCTGTTGTAGACTCACGCATGTAGACGAGTATATTTTCAGGTAACAACGAAAAAAAATGGTGCTCCTGAACTTAACTTGGAAATAATGTCCACGATTGCAATTGCAGATAATCTTAGACAGCTAAAAAACTGGAAATTGAAAACAATTCATCAATTTCTCAGACCAGGCCTGAATAAATCTCTATAAACCTAAGTAATGTTTAGTCTCATCTTCAAGGGTTTGATGCCTGAATTTCCTTTTTATCCATAAAATGATAGTCTTGTTAAATTAAGACTATCTTTTTTTTTTTTTTTTGAGACGTGTTCTCACTCTGTCACCCAAGTTGGAGTGCAGTGGTACAACCTCAGCTCACCGCAGTCTCAACCTCCCCAGGCTCAGGTGATTCTCCCACCTCAGCCTCCCAAGTAACTGGGACTACAAGGTGTGTGCCACCACACCCAGCTAAATCTCCACCCTTCTTAATGGGGAAAACCATCATACAGCATTTCTGGGTTGGAAGCCCCTTATAGATCCCTCCTTGTCCCTTCCCTTCCACCTTTATCTCTCACCACACAGCCTGCAAATAATAAAGTTTCTCAATTACCTCAAATTTCTAATTGACCTCAAGTAGCCCAGCCCTAATCTAACTTTACTCATCTCCTATTCAAAGGTTCCCATTCCATATAATAAATACACAATCTCTCAGAGTAAATTATAAACATTTCATGCTTAAAAGTGATGGCAGTCAGAATCAAGAACCTTAATGGAAGGGCAAAATATGGAAGAAAGTCATTAGATTATAGAGAAAGAGAAAACCATCTTTTCCCTATCATTTTTCATTTTTTCATCTAAAGCAGGATTTCTCAAATAATCCTCTACAGTATTTTAAATAATGCTAATATATATCAGAATTTCAACTTTTAGAGATAGAAAACCCCACTACAGTGGCTTAAATGAATAAGGAATTTATTATCTCAATATTTTTTAAATTTATTTTTCTTTTTTTTTAAGAGACAAGGTCACCCGGGCTGGAGTGCCATGGTGTGAGTATAACTCACTGCAGCCTCGAACTCCTGGGCTCAAGTCATCTTCCCACCTTGGCCTCCCAAGGCACTGGGATTACAGATGCATGTCACCACACCCAGCTATTGTCTCAATGAACAAGAAGCCCTGGGGCAGTCAACACAGGCAAGGCAAGACTTGTACAGGGTTGCAGTGCTGCAATCATCACCCTGATTTCACCCAACATTCTGCTCCAACCTTCTTGTAGCAGACGATTTTGGTGTCCCATATCTGTAATTTCAGCCACAGTTGTAGTGGACAGTTTCATGTGAGCTCATGACAGAATCTCGTTTCAAAAATAAGCCACATGGCTTTTTAGTTTCTGCCTCAGGCCTTTCTCCAACTCTGAGAGGAACTTCTTAATCTTCATGCATGCACTATGTGCAGGGAGGTAAAGTCCCCAGGAGCAACCAACAGTCAAAGAGAAGCAAGTGGACTGGCAATTTTAGGGGGAATTCTGTATGTGTCTTGGGGGTCCTGGTAGAACCTAATCCCATTAGTTACAGCATTGACCTCAATGAATGCACCCTGATATTGGCTTTTCCTCCCTTTCTGCCTCACTCTATTTGCTCACATTTGCTTCTGGGATTACCTCCCAAATAAACTACCTGAACTCGAAGTTCTTTTCTCAGGCTCTGTTTCTGAGGGAACAGGAAATAAATTGCTACTGAAATTGGCCCCAGAGAGGCAGAGTTTGAGGACTGGAATTCTTGAACTGGATCGTTCACAGGTGTATAGCCACAGGACCCAATGCTAGTGGTAAGTGGGGTAGAAATAAGCTGTAGCAGAGTGTAACCTGCCAATTATGAAAAGTCTCACCTTTTGTGTATTGGAATAAGAACCAGGTGGAAGGGAAAGTATTTGGTGATGCAGAAGCCCTACATTTAAATGGTGTGGGGGCAGTGGTAATAACTAGGATTGTGGAGTTGGCTGGGTTTTGTTACCTGCCTTGGAAGCCTTAGAGAAAGATAATGACAGATTTGAGAGGCCAATTACTAACTTAGGGCTTGCTGAAAAAAGTCAGAAGGCCTCCATGGCAGCACTTTAAGGGTTCATCTGCTGCAACTGGATGGTTCATTAAGCTAAAATCAGGTTCAGGTTTTATCATATGGGTTCAGCATTGACAGGTCTTCCATGCTAATGTCAGGGTCCTGAGAGAGAAGTGGGACTCTGGGACCTTGGATGGGGACATTGGAGCACCTGAAAAACATGGCACCTCCCCACCAGATTCCCCTGAAATCAAGCGTCTCTGCCCCTTGCTAGAGGAAAGCAATTGCACCTTGCCTGGAGAATATGCAAAGCTTTGCCTGGGATGAATGCTTTGCAAAATTATGTTTGTCCTCCTTAAGATGAGCCCATGCCTCCCCTCACTGCTTCTGGACCAATAACTGGTCACACAGCCCCAGCAGAGAAATAGTCTCAGCTGTGGGAAGAAACAGCTTGCTCATCAAGAGAACTGCAAGACCACCTGGAGCCAGGGGAACACGTGTGAGAAGGGAACTTAAGATTTTCAGGGAGGGGCAGCGAAGAAAAGGAGAGGGGTCTGAATATAAAACTGAAAGAGAGGTTATAGACACAGGAGCACTCTTACTATGCCTTTATTTTTTTTTAGAGGTGGGGAGCAATGAGATTTTTTTTTTTTAAACAGTCTGGCTCTATCACTCAGGTTGGAGTGCTGTGGTGTGATCTTGGCTCCCTGCAGCCTCAACCTCCCTGGGCTCCTGCCATCCTCCCACCTCAGTCTCCCAAGTAGCTGGGACTACAGGCATGCATCACCATGCCCAGCTAATTTTTAAATTTTTGTAGAAGTGGGGTTTCGCCATGTTGCCCAGGCTGGTCTCCAACTCCTGAGCTCAACCAGTCTACCACCTCAGCCTCCCAAAGTGCTGGGATTACAGGTGTGAGCCATCATGCCCGGTCATGCCTTTGATCTTAATATACCACTGAGTTGGCCCTTAAAGCTTAGAGATGATATGACCTGTAAGTAAAATGAAATGCCAAAACTGCCTTTCAGAGTATTGAGGAAGGTGTTAGTTCTGTCCCTCTAAAGAACCCTGACTAATACAGATTCTGGTACCAGGAGTGGTTCTAGAAGAACAGAATATTAAGGATGGAGTTCTTTCATTGGTTTTGGAGTTTCTGGAGTTGGCTGCTTAATATGATTAGACCCAAAAATGCTAAGAACTCTACTACTTTTTTGTTTGTTTGTTTGTTTTTGAGATGGACTCTCGCCCTGTCACCCAGGCTGGAGTGTAATGGTGTGATCGTGGCTCACTGTAAACCCTGCCTCCTGGGTTCAAACCATTCTTCTGCCTCAGCCTCCCAGGTAGCTGGGATAACAGGCACCTGCCACCATGCCCAGCTAATTTTTGTATTTTTAATAGAGATAGGATTTCACCATGTTGGCCAGGCTGGTCTCAAACTCCTGACCTCGTTATCCGCCCGCCTCAGCCTCCCAAAGTGCTGGGATTACTACAGGTGTGAGCCACTGTGCCCGGCCCAGGACTCTACTTCTAATAGTTGGCATAAACTGTCTAGGAAGTTATGCAAAATAAATGCATTTGACATTCCTGATTCCCTGCTTGTGAGAGGCAAGGAGTTTAGTGACTCTATACATAATACTTTTGACCATATGTGGAGAACCAAAGAACATAATGAAGATGGTTGGTTGCTCCTAAGTTCAGTGGACAAAGTGACGAAAGAAAATTATGAACTCAGGGATTCTGTCTCCTGGCTTCAGAAGCAGATACTGAGCCTCAAATCTGCTAAGATTGCCTTGAGTGAGAGTCTTATCTCCTGTAGAGAAAAAGCTGGAATTGTGGAAAAACAGATACAAGCTCTTATGTGAGTGGCTGACCTGCAACAAAAGGTGCATGCACAGCCTCACCAGCTGTCTACTTGTTAAGGGCACTGATTAGAAAAGAATGGGACCCTGCAACTGGAATGGGGACATGTGGGAGGATCATGATGAAGCTGGGGACACTGAGTATGTCAACTCTGATGGTCTTTTTGCCAGAAGGAACAGCTTCCCTATCCCCAGTAGTGGCAACATCCCCTCCCTGACCCATGCTGCCATCAGCCTTTCCAACTTTCAGGAAATAAACCCTGTGCTGCCTGAGGCAACAGTGATGGCCTCCCCTGAGGTAGTTGCCAGGCAAAATAATGTTGATTCTCCTCAGGAGCCACCACCAACACCCCCATTTGCTTCTAGACCTATAACTAGACTAAAGTCCTGGTGGGCCCCTAGAGGTGAGGTTAAGTGTGACCCATGAGGAGATCTGCCACACTCGAAAAGAACTGTTTGAGTTCTCTATATAAACAGCAATCTGGAGAACAGGCATGGGAACAGATATTAAGGGTATGAGATAATGGTGGAAGGAATATAGAGTTGGATCAGGCTGAATTTATTTGGGCCCGCTAAGTAGGGACTCTGCTTTTAATGTTGCAGCTTGGGGAGTTAAAAAAGGTTCTAATAGTTTATTTACTTGGTTAGCTGAAACATGGATTAAAAGATGGCCCATTGTGAGCAAGCTGGAAATGCCTGATCTCCCTTGGTTTAATGTAGAAGAAGAGACCCAAAGGCTTAGGGAGATCGGGGTGGTAGAGTGGATTAGTCACTTTAGGCCTATTCATCCCAGCTGGGAGGGTCCAGAAGCTATATCCTTGACCAATGCCTTGTGAAGTAGATTTGTGAGGGCAGCACCTGCATCTTTGAAGAGCCCTGTGATTGCTCTTCTCTGTATGTCAGATCTAACAGTGGAAACCACAGTCACTCAACTACACAACTTAAATACAGTGGGAATAATTGAGTCGCGAGGTGGCAGGGGCCATGTGGCAGCACTCAACAGTCAAAGGCAAGGTGGGCATACCTACTGTAATGGACAGCAGAGGCAAAGCAGCAATCAGAATAGTCTGACTCGTGTAGAGCTGTGGCATTGTGTAGAGCTGTGGCATTGGCTAATTAATCACAGTGTTCCTAGAAGTGAAATTGATAGACAGCCTACTGCATTCCGACTTAATTTATACAAACAGAAAACTTATAGGTCAAATGGACAAAAGAATAATTTGAATTATAAAACCAGAGAACCACAGTCCCTCAATCAGTTTCCAGACTTGAGCCAGGTTACAGACCCAGAAGCCCTTGAATAAAGGGGAAGCGGGTCCCCTTGAGGAAGGACCCTACTACATTACTGACAATTTGTGCTGTGAATCTTTCTCCCATCTTTCCCCACGGAAACCTCCGGCCTTTTACCAAGGTAACTGTGCACTGGAGAAAGAAATGATCAGACATTTCAGGGACTACTGAACACTGGCTCTGAGCTGATGTTAATTCCAGGAAATCCAAAATGTCATGGTAGTCCTCCAGTTAAAGTAGGGGCTTATGGAGGTCAGGTAATTGATGGAGTTTTAGCTCAGGTCTGACTTACAGTGGGTCCAGCAGGTCTCTGGTCTCATCCTGTGGTAATTTCCCCAGTGCCAGAATGCATAATCGGCATAGACATACTTAGCAGCTGGCAGAACTGCCACATTGGCTCCCTGACTGGTTGGTTGAGGGCTACTATAGTGGGAAAGGTCAAATGAAAGCCATTAAGGTTGCCTCTACCTACAAAAATAGTAAATGAAAAACAATATCGCATCCCTGGAAGGACTGCAGAGATTAGTGCCCATCAAGGGCCTGAAAGACTCAGGGGTGGTGAGTCCCACCACATCCCCATTCAACTCTCCCATTTGGCCTGTGCAGAAGAAAAATGGATCTTGGAGGATGACAGTGGATTATTGTAGGCTTAACCAAGTGGTGACTCCAATTGCAGCTGCTGTACCAGATGTAGTTTCCTTGCTTGAGCAAATTAACATATCTCATGGTACCTGGTATGCAGCATTGACTTGGCAAATGCCTTTTTCTCCATTCCTGTCCATAAGGCCCACCAGAAGCAATTTGCCTTCAGCTGGCAAGGCCAACAATATACCTTTACTGTCCTACCTCAGGGGTATATCAGCTCTCCAGCTTTGTGTCATAATCTTATTCGGAGAGACCTTGGTTGCTTTTTGCTTCTGTAAGATATCACACTGATCTATTACATTGATGACATTATGCTGATTGGATCTGGTGAGCAAGAAGTAGCAAACACACTGGACTTATTAGTGACATATTTGAGTGGCAGATGATGGGAAATAAATCTGACTAAAATTCAGGGACCTTCTACCTCAGTAAAATTTCTAGGGGTCCAGTGATGTGGGGCCTGTTAAGATATTCCTTCTAAGGTGAAGAGTATGTTGCTGCATTTGACCCCTCCTACAACCAAGAAAGAGGCACAACACCTAGTGGGCCTATTTAGACTTTGGAGGCAACATTCCTCACTGGGCCATGTTACTCTGCCTATTTATTGAGTGACCTGAAAGGCTGCCTGTTTTGAGTGGGGTCCAGAACAGGAGAAGGCTCTGCAACAGGTCCAGGCTACTGTGCAAGCCACTCTGCCACTTGGGCCATATGACCCAGCAGATCCAATGGTGCTTGAGGTTTCAGTGACAGATAGGTATGCTGTTTGGAGCCTTTGGCGGGTCCCCCATAGGTGAATCACAGCAGAGGCTTCTGGGATTTTGGAGCAAGGCCCTGCCATTTTCTGCAGATAACTACTCTTCTTTTGAGAGACAGCTCTTGGCCTGTTACTGGGCTTTGGTGGAAACTGAACATTTAACTATGGGTCATCAAGTCACCATGCAGTCTGAACTGCCTATCATGAACTGGGTGATTTCTGACCCATCTAGCCATAAAGTGAGTCATGCACAGCAGCATTCTATCACCAAATGGAAGTGGTATATACGTGATCGGGCTTGAGCAGATCCTGAAGGCACAAGTAAGTTACATGAGGAAAGGGCTCAAATGCCCAAGGTCTCCACTCCTGCCACCCTTCCTTCTCTCCCCCAGCCTGCACCAATGGCCTCGTGGGGAGTTCCCTATGATCAGCTGACAGAGGAAGAGAAGACTAGGGCCTGGTTCACAGGTGATTCTGCATGATAGGCAAGCACCACCCGAAAGTGGTCGGCTGCAGTACTACAGCCCCTTTCTAGTACATCCCTGAAGGACAGTGGTGAAAGGAAATCTTCCCAGTGGGCAGAATTTCAACCAGTGCACCTGGCTGTGCACTTTGCAAGGAAGGAGAAATGGCCAGATGTGTGATTATAAACTGATTCATGGGGTGTAGCCAATGGTTTGGCTGTATGGTCAGGGACTTGGAAGAAGCATGATTGGAAAACTGGTTACACAGAAATTTGGGGAAGAGGTATGTGGCTGGACTTCTCTGAGTGGCCAAAAACTGTGAAGATATTTGTATCCCATGTGAGTGCTCACCAATGGTTGACCTCAGCAGAGGAAGATTTTAATAATCAAGTCGATAGGATGACCTGTACTGTGGACGCCACTCAGCCTTTTTCCCCAGCCACCCCTGTCATCGCACAATGGGCCCATGAACAAAGTGGCCATGGTGGCAGGGGCGGAGGTTATGCCTGGGCTCAGCAACATGGACTTCACTTACCAAGGCTGACCTGGCTACAGCCACTGATGAGTGCCCAATTTGCCAGCAGCAGAGACCAATACTAAGCACTCGATATGGCAGCATTCCTTGGGGTGATCAGCTACCTGGTGGCAGGTTGATTATATTGGACCTCTTCCATCAATGAAAGGGCAGAGGTTTGTCCTCACTGGAATAGACGCTTACTCTGGATGTGGGTTTGCCTATCCAGCACACAATGCTTCTGCCGAAACTACCATCAGTGGACTCACAGAATGCCTTATCCACCGTCATGGTATTCCACACAGCATTGCCTCTGACCAAGGCACTCACTTTATGGCTAAAGAAGTGTGGCAGTGGGCTCATGCTCATGGAATTCACTGGTGTTACCTTGTTCCCCATCATCCTGAAGCAGCTGGATTGATAGAATGGTGGAATGGCCTTTTGGAGTCACGATTATAACGCCAATTAGGTGACAATACTTTGCAGGGCTGGGCTAGAATTCTCCAGAAGGCCATGTATGCTCTGAATCAGCGTCCAATGTATGGTACTGTTTCTCCCATAGCCAGGATTCACGGGTCCAGGAATCAAGGGGTAGAAGTAAAAGTGGCATCACTCACCGTCACCCCTAGTGATCCACTAGCAAAATTTTGCTTCCTGTTTCCACGACATTACGTTCTGCTGGCCTAGAGGTCTTAGTTCCACAGGGAGGAACACTGCCCCCAGGAGACACAACAATGATTCCATTAAACTGGAAGTTAAGATTGCCACCTGAACACTTTGGGCTCCTCTTACCTTTAAGTCAACAGGCTAAGAAGGGTGTTACAGTGTTGGCTGGGGTGACTGACCCAACTATCAAGATGAAATCAGTCTACTACTCATGACAGATGTAAGGAAGAGCATGCATGGAATACAGGAGACTCATTGGGGCATCTCTTAATATTACCATGTCCTGTGATTGAGGGCAATGGGAAACTACAACAGCCCAATCCAGGCAGGACTACAAATCGCCCAGACCCCTCAGGAATGAAGGTTTGGGTCACTCCACCAGGAAAAAAACCATGACCTGCTGAGGTGTTTGCTGAAGGCAAAGGGAATACAGAATGGGTAGTAGAAGAAGGTAGTCATCAATACCAGCTATGACCACGTGACCAGCTGCAGAAACGAGGACTGTAACTGTCATGAGTATTTCCTCCTTCTTTTGTTAAAAACATGTTTGTGTATATATACCTTTGCACTAAGAAAATATCTTCATTTTATTTCATTTTCCTTTATCATGTGGCGTAAGATTTATTTACTTCACATCAGCATTTAAGTATTGGTAACTTTATATAACAGTATTTAGGTTGGAGATTGGTGCATTTCTGGATGTATGAAGGATAGTTGTATCATGTTAGGCATAATTATGACCTTATTATTGTCTTTATTTGAAGATTGTGATCTCAGGAGATATGCATGGGTTCAAGTTGACAAGGGGTGGACTTGTGATGGTTAATACTGTCAACTTGATTGGATTGAAGGATGCAAAATACTGATCCTGGCTGTGTCTGTGAGGGTGTTGCCAAAGGATATTAACATTTGAGTCAGTGGACTGGGGAAGGCAGACCCACCCTTAATCTGGTGGGCACAATCTAATCGGCTGCCAGCGAATATAAAGCAGGCAGAAAAACTTGAAGAGGTGAGACTGGCCTAGCCTCCCAGCCTACATCTTTCTCCCATGCTGGATGCTTCCTGCCCTCAAACATCGGGCTCCAGGTTCTTCAGTTTTGAGACTCAGACTGGCTCTCCTTGCTCCTCAAGCTTGCAGACAGCCTATTGTGGGACCTTGTGATCGTGTAAGTTAAAACTTAATAAATTCATATATATGCATAGATATTCTATTAGAGAACCCAGACTAATATAGTGGCATACCCAAACATTTCACTTTGAGGAATGATGAATAAAGGGATGATAAATATAGAGTCTGAGCTGGCAGTGGCACCAGGGAACATTAACGAAGTGTGGACTCTCAGAGGTCAGGTGGTAAATGGAGTCCTAACCTAAGTGAATTTTATACTGCGTCCCACGAGTCCAAGGACCCAGCCCATGGCTCTTCCCCAGATCCTGAGTACATAATTAGTATAGATATCTTAGCAGCTACAGAACCTTATATTGGCTTCATGACTTGTGGAATAAGAGTAACTATGGCAGGAAAGGCCAGAAGGATGCCCCTGATATTGCCCTCCAAATGAAAATAGTAAATTAGAAGCAATCCCACACCTTAGGGTGAGTTACAGAAGTTAGTGCCACCCTCAATGTCTTGAGACATTCCACCCTGGAAGGAGAAGAGATTTGCTCTTAGCAGAAATAAAACCTACTCTATATGTGTTTGCCTTCCCTACCCACTATCAAGGGCTTTTAGAATTCCCGATTTACCTCTTCACACCATTGCCTTTGATGAAAGGACACATTTTCTAGCAAAGGATGTGTGTCAGCGAGAAGGGTATGTGACTGTAACATCCGTGTATCCTACCATAAACCACCTCACCCAGAAGCAGCAGATCTGATAGAATGTTTGAACAGACTATTAAAACATTCGAATAAGATGTCCGTCCAGAGACAAAACCCTCTAGGTTGGAGAGCTCTCTCGGATGCACCGAACCAACCACTGATACACGGTGCTGCATCTACCATCGCTAAAATACACAGTGTGATGGTTAATATTGAGTGTCAACTTGATTGGATTGAAGGATGCAAAGTATTGTTCCTGCGTGTGTCTGTGAGGGTGTTGCTAAAGGAGATTAACATTTGAGTCAGTGGACTGGGAGAGGCAGACCCACCCTCAATCTGGGTGGGCACCACCTAATCAGCTGCCAGCATGGCTAGAATAAAAGCAGGCAGAGGAACATGGAAGGACTAGACTAGTTAAGTCTTCTGGCCTCCATCTTTCTCCCGTGCTGGATGCCTCCTGCCCTCAAACATCAGACATCAGGTTTTTCAGCTTTTGGACTTGTGGATCCACACTAGAGGTTTGCCAGGGGCTCTCGAACCTTTGACCACAGACTCAAGGCTGTACCATCAGCTTCCTTACTTTTGAGGTTTTGGGACTCAGACTGGCTTCCTTGCTCCTCAGCTGGCCTATTGTGGGACTTTACCTTGTGATCATGTGAGTCAATACTCCTTTATAAACTCATATATATACATACATATATATATACACACATATATACACATATATATACACATATGTATATATATATGGGAGTTTGTTGTAAATTTTATATATATATATATATATATATATATATATATATATATATATAGGACTTTATTAATATCTCCTATTAGTTCTCCTCTAGAGAAGCCTAATATACACAGGCTCAGGGATGAAGAGATGGAAGTAAAATTGGCCCTTCTCACCATTGCTCCCAGTAATTCACTTAATTCACTTAATATTTGTGCTTCCCAGTCCTACAACTTAGGTTCTACTGGACTAGAGGTCCTGGTTGCCAGTGGGGCTACCCTCGCACTGGGGAACCTGATAAGGATTCCAGTGAACCGAAAACCAAAACTGCCACCTGATCACTCTGGGCTTCATGCTTGAGGACCAGCAGCCAAAAGAAGGACTCATTCTGGTGGGGGAAATCTTCCTTGATCATCAGGAGGAACTAGGGTTGCTGCTCCCTAATAGGGGCAGGGAGGAGCATGCCTGGAACTCAGGAAATTCACTGAGGTGTCTCTTGGTGTTTCCATTGCTAATGATAATGGTGAACCAGAAATTGCAGCAATCATGGCCTCACAAGGGCATGGTAAGCAGGGAGTAAGACCTGCAGGGATAAGTGTCTCAGTTACTGTATCACACAAGCAATCTAAAGCAGCAAAAGTGATGGCCAAGGGTAGAGGAAATCTAAAATGGGTGGAGAAGCAAGATGATAAATATCAACTATAGCCTGGAGACCAGCTTGGAGCTGTAGGTACCATGGCTTGTTCTGCTAATTTTCTGATAGTGTCTTTATGAGATTGTGGCCATCCATGATCTTGAAGACATGGTGGTAGAATTAATGGGCTTTAAGTAGGGCTCAAGCAGATATGAGAGGGGAATACAACAGTCAGGATGTCTGAAATTTCTTTCAAGCAGTGCCTTGAAGAATCAGTGATCCACAGAATGTACTTTGGGAAATGCTATTTTTTACTAGAATTTTAGATGATTTTGTTTTATTAAAAGATGTATCTTTAAGCTAACCATAGGCAGACCCTTTCATTTTTATTGTCAGAATTTTCAAAAATAGAAGAAAAGAGAGAGCAAAGAGAAAAATTTTGAAAATAGCAAAAATTCACTGCCAAAATTATTGTCCCACTGTGAGCACTCAGTAAACTTGAATAACTGCATCAGTATATCTAGAAGCCACATTGCTGGCAAAATATTAGTGTCCACATTTTGAAAACAAACTTGCTCTGGCCTAGTAGAATATTATCATTTAGAACCTAGTGTTTTCTTAGAAAGTGTTGCTATATTTTTAGTCATTACAGGGATTACTCTACAGTGATGGGACCACTTAGCTGAAAAGCCTAGCTTTCTCCGGTGAATTCTAACAGTTGAAGAGATCACCATGACTAAAGGGATTGCAAGGATGTCTGTCTTTCACTTAAGATTTCTATGTCTCAGAATAATTTAGCTTTAGCTTGTAAATACAAGCTTGCTTCATAAAGGTAGATTGAAAAGATATATGCATTTGTTCAAGTACAGAGCCAAAGACTTCTGAAAAGGGGGCAATAAAAGAAAAAGGACAGTGCAGTCTCTCTTTCTCTCTCAACTTTAAAAACCTCCATAGCAACAATATATGTATGACTGTCACTAGTCTTCATATTGCTCTGACTCAGAGCTTAGTGGTTTAGTAATTGTGAGTTGTTTTCAGAACATTACTTCTTCATTTGGCTTTTCTGGCATCAAACTGTATGACATGTATCCATAAATATATTCATCTATCTGTGTCATTTTTCAGTTTTGCTTTCTTCCTAGATGTTAACTCCCTAATTTTTTCCTATTCCTTGCTCATAATAAATTCCAGAGCAGTGCAATATATTACATCTTCCACACAACTTAGAATTCACTGTTTCGTATCTGTCATTTGAAGATAATCAGGATCTTTCACTACAAAATGACTAAACAGTGTATCCTGAAACAAGTAAATGATAGATTTCTTCTCAAGATGCAAAGAGAAAAGTGTTGAAAACTCAACATTTAAAACAGTGCTTGAAAAGTAACAGTAATTAAATGTCTATGTACAGATGATAGTTGGCTCATCCTACCTAATTTGCTCTGAACTCAGTAATATTCTTAAAACCACTGTTATGTTGGTCCATTACTTGGTCCAGTTTCATTTTACCAGCCAATAGTAGTAATGATGATGATGATAGCAGCTAGAGTTTATTGAATATTTATCATGTGTCAGGCCTGGGACCAAGTAGTTTGCACATATATCTGCAATCAGCCACTTCTCTTCATCCGCACACCTCAGTCCAAGCCACCACTGTCTATAGCTCCGACTACTGGAGTAACTTCCTAATTAGTTCCCCTGCTTTCATTCTTTTCTCTCTTTTTTTTTTTTTTTTTTTTTTTTTTTGAGACAGGGTCTCATGCTGTTGCCCAGGCTGAACTGCAGTGGTTCAATCACAGCTTACTGCAGCCTTGACTTCCCCAGGCCCAGGTGATCCTCCCACCTTAGCCTTCAGAGTAGCTGGGAATACAGGCACAAGCCACCACACCCGGCTAATTTTTGTATTGTTTGTAGAAATGGGGTCTCACCATGTTGCCCAGGCTGATCTAAAACTCCTGGGCTCAAGCAATCCACCCACCTCAGCCTTCCAAAGTACTGGGATTACAGGCATGAGCCACCTCATGCCTGGCCCTCATTCTTCACTCTTTACAATTCATGCCCACACAACATGAATCTGCAATGATCTTTTATAAAGTATTTTACAGCACATCCGTCTCCTGCTTAAAATGCTTTTAAAGGCCTCTCACTGTACTTAAAACCCATTCCAAACCTACTTACCATGACTTTCAAAGCCATATCTGCCCACCCACACTGGCATTCCTCAGACACATGGAATTCATCACCACCCTGGCTGTGGCACTAACTACCTCCTCTGCCCTGATCTTCACATCTGAAATGTTACTGCAAAGGGGCACTCCATGATGACCCAGTCTAATCTAGTCCCCAGTCACTTTCAATGACATCATTTATATTGAATGCTCTACGTACCACTCATCAGCATCTGATACTGTATTCTGTTTTTCTATTTGCTCATTGTCTGACTCCTTCCCCTAGGATATTTGTTCTGTGAGAATAGAGATCCATCTGTCCTATTCACCATTAGCCCAGTACCCAGTGCATAATAGGCCTTCCATAAATATGTGCTGAGTGAATAAATGAATGCATGAGCAACATTCTAAGCCAAGAACATTATACGAAGAGGTGAGGAACATTATATTTAGATATGAAGAAAACAAGCCTTAGAAAGACTAGGCAGGCTGTGAAAGTACAAAGCTTCTATGTGTAAAAGCAGGATTTTACATTCTACTTTTGGATAGGCAAGTTGATAGTAGGGCATAGGTGGGGTAGGACAGATAAGCAAGCCATTGATCTGTATTGTAAATGGAGGAAAAAAGTTGACTTATACCCTCTAGAGTCCTCTCTGGCAAAGACAACATCATCAGGCACAGAAATGGCACCGATGCCTAAAGGGAAAGGAAACATTCCTATGGTGGGGCATCTTCAGTGCTTTTTACCTGGTGACAGTGTCAAAAGGGTCTCTCATCTTAAGAAAGGCTGGCCCATATTTAAAAAGGCTCTGGAGCAATGATCCTTCTTCTCTGAGGAATCAGAGACAACCTTGAGAATCTGAGTAAAATTAAGCACTCTTTCTCTGGGGGTATGGGAAAAAAAGCCATTTTATATAGAGTTTCAGAAGATCTCAAATCCAAAATGTAGTTCTGATACAGAAAGTTTTCTTTTGTTTCTCTGCAACATTAGAAGGTGATTTTTGGCCCACTCTTCTGGGAAGGACAAGCAGACACCCCCTGCTCCCTGAAGGGGATTGAGCAATGATAATGTCCTAAAGGCTGAGCCTTCCCTAACCTTAAAGATAAGGAAGCCAGCTCTCAATGTCCCCTAACTTGGGCTCAGGTTTAAAGTATCATCCAGACCCTAACTGATGAATTCTTCATTCTTTTATTCAACAAATGTTTGTGAGCATCTACCATGTGATAGGTGCTGTACTGGGTTCAGAGGCTATGAGACAGCAAGGTGTGGCCCTTGCTTTCAAGGAACTCACATACCCATAGGGAAGGCAGATACACAAACAAGCAATTTCATTCCAGAGCACCACGGAACTACCTGCTACTCTCATTGCAGGAGGCAGTAAGTGAGTGTCATTTAATCATCAGTAGAGTAAGAGAAATCCAAATCATCAGCCTTCTTCTGACCAAAGAGTTTCTAGGTAAGGTACATAAAACACATTTTCAGATACACTTTTTAGGTTTTGTTATATGACACGCCCGACTTAGTCTGATTATACAGACCATCTGGAAACTGCACTGCCGTTGGACTCAAAGGCCGACTTCTGAAAAAGTGGGAATCAGGCTTGATGAAACTGCCTGGAACATTTTGATCTTATCTATTTTTGAGCTGCAGAAGTTACATCTTACTAAAAACTGAGAGGCACCTGGGACTTTGGGAGAGGAGAATCTTTTTTTAGCTAACAGCACTTTTATTCCAATGTTTATGGTATAAATGTATAAACAGTTTATACTGTTCCGCCACATTCCTTCTGTTTAGCCTCCACAAATTAGGAAAGGGTAGCATGAACTAAAGAATAAAATGTTGTGAAGATACATAGGAGAGGCTCCTAAACCAAGGTTTGAGGGACCAGAGAAACCCACTTGAAGGATAAACAGGGGTTGGCCGGATTTTTTAGCAGAAAGTGGTAGTGATACAGGTTGTATCCAGGCAGAGAAGAGCATGTACAAAGGCATGGAGTCAAGAAAATATTCCAGATTCTGCAGTCCACCTCTGCATTGGTGCAATAGTCTTTCATCCGGGCAATAACATTGGTTGAGCTTATAAATTTCCAAATAGCTCATCTAGTACCCAGTAGATACATCTTCTGTCTTACCTTCATCTGCAACATAAATAAATGCTGTAAAATCTCATTAGAGTGTAACCTCAAATTGTCTTCTTATTTTAAGACTAAAGTTTAGAAATAAAATCTTCTCAAGTTAAAAGATAACAAAAATGCTCTGAGGGAGGCTGAGCTTCCTTGACTGTCTAATAGGTTATGGATTCAGGGTGTTTATGTTCAAGTACTTAATGCTTACTCATTAAGAGCTTAGCATCATTCTTCTGTTGATATCAGCCCAACCACGATTTTAAACACTGCTCTGGTAGGGTTTGCAGCAAATTCAAATTGCCACACTTTCCAGCCAATTCTGGCTCTTAAGTAATCCAATAGCAAGCTATGAGGAAGTCACCTCACTTATTCTCTGCCTATAACAGTAGCTGCTATGATTGTCTAAGCACATTTCTTATGCCAGAAATTATATTACATACGTATCTCATTTAATCCTTACAATAACTCTGTGCCATGGGAATCATTTTGCCTATGGTGCAGATGAGAAAACTGAAGCTCAAAGACATCAAGTAACTTACCCAAGGTCACACAGCTGGACAGTGGCAGAATTTGACATCTATTCTCTTAATTACTGTTCTCTAAGACTTCCAGTAATGTGTTCTGATTACATGTTTACACTGACTCTCATGGATCACCAAAAAAAAGAAAGTTTCTGAACATTACTACTAGGTGTTCCCTTTACTGGAATAACTTAAGAAAAGAGATCTCACTTATATACACATTTTGAAAAGTCAAACTCATAAAAGCTGAGTAGAATGGTGTTTACCTGGTCCAGGGGTTTGGTGTGGGGGATGAGTTGTGAGATCTTGGTCAAAAGACACAAAATTTCAGCTAGACAAGAAGAAAAAACTCAAGAGATCTATTGTATGACATGGTGACTATAGTTTATAATAATACATTGCATACTTGAAAATCACTGAGAGTAGATATTAACTGTTCTCATCACAAAAAATGTTAATTAGCTCAAAGTAGCCATTCTACAATGTGTAACCATCCTGCTATACACCAAAAATATATATAGTTTTATTTGTCCATTTAAAAAATAAATTTTAAAATATATAAATAAAAAACATTTTGAAGGCAAAAAGAACACTGCAAGTTCAAAATTAAATTGTGTGACTAGGTTACAGTGATCCTTGTCATAGATTGTGGATTTCAATAAGTCCATGGGTGAAAATCACTCTTACTCCTTTTAGAAAATAAGACCGTGTTACAAACAAAGGCTCATTCATTAAAACTGCTGGCATCTAGGTTTAAAAGAGAAACTTAATCTTTTGTAACCTAGGAATGCACAATACAGAAGAAGTGCTGGCCTTGGACTCCTCTGGATGAACTTTTTGTTCCACCCTAATCTCCCAACACCTGTGCTATCTCCTGTTCACCTTCCATGGTCCTGGTCCTCAGAAACTTTTTTTTTTTAATATACTTTAAGTTTTAGGGTCCAGGGGCCTTTGGCTGAGGTGCTCTGTCATCTCACTCACTGCTTGCCTTCCAGATCCCTTCCACCCTAAAGGACCCACCTTGAAAACCACCGCTTCAGTCAAGTGCTCCTTATGGCCTCAACTCATGATAAGTGTTCCCTCCTCTGACTTCCTAAAATATTAATTATTTGTGACTGTGGTTTCCTTCTTACTGTATTGTGTGTAAGTCATGTCCTTTGTCTTCCATGGCACTGTGAGGGCCTTGAAGACAGAATCCAGGTACTTACTCCTTTGCATCCACAGCTCTGTTATTTGACACAGGACTGGTCACATCATAATTTCTCAATAAGTACTCCTTGCTTTAAATTGAACATTTATTTTCCTTGACACCTTCCTTGGATCACAATAAGCTCTTTAAGGCTAGGAATGGGTCTCCTTTATGTTTACTAATGCTTTACACTGCAGAGATTCAATGAGTGTCCAGCAAAAGTTAAATCACAAACTTACAGTGGAGGCTCAACCTAGCTTCTTAACATAAGGATTTCCATTGTATGTTCAAATTAATTCCTTTTAATTAAAATAATAACAATGATAATTTGTATACACTGCAAAATGAATGGAAGAAATTATACCAAACTATGAATAATCATTCTCTCTGGTGACAGAATTGTGGGTAATTTATTTTGTTTGTTTTTTTTCTATATTTTTATATAGCTATACTTTAAATTTTTCTACAATAACTAGGCACTACTTATAATTGGAATAAATAACATTAAAATATTTAAAAACCTAAGTCAACTAAAAAGATTTCAAAAACTTAAAAAGATTCTGTTGCCCTCCCGATGTCATTGCCTTTTGTTTGGGGAAGTTCAACTTCACAGGGCTCTTCATTCAGTTCAACTACTAATGGTGCACAACAATTTTCTCTTGAGTACTTTACACATCGCTTTATTGTCCTTTCTCCTTGGTGACTAGTATCCAGCACCTCTTGAATTCCTTCAAATTCTACTGTGCTAGAGAAAGGAAAGTCACCTGAATCAAATGTGTCACTTTCAAATTGGACAATTTTGCAAATAGATTACTGATGCAGAGCTGAATATATCAAACATATCGAATGACACTTCTGTCCAAGGCAACGGGCTTTCCAAGTTGATGAATGCAGCAACTAAAGTTGACACTAAAATGAGTTGGATAATTTTAAAAGCAAAACAAAGATTAAAATAAGAGATGTGGGTGTCCAGAAAATATCAAGAACAAATAAGTTTGCAGTGTTTGTTATTGTCGGGGTAAGCTTGCTGTCGTTGTTATTGTTGTGGTTACTGTTTATCATTAACAATGATGAATAACATTATTTAACTTTTCTTGCAAAGTGCTTTTCTATCTCTTTTGGTAAGTGTAATTTCTATTATGAGAGGAGAAAAGTCAGGGCTAATGTATGTCACCACAGGCTGTAAAGTACTCTTCTAATATTCATTATATTTGTAGCTTAAATGTCCCACTTCACCAGCTAAGTCACAAAATAAGGTCATATTTCTTTGCATA
Source organism: Homo sapiens (assembly GCF_000001405.40). Taxonomy (NCBI): domain Eukaryota; kingdom Metazoa; phylum Chordata; class Mammalia; order Primates; family Hominidae; genus Homo; species Homo sapiens. The sequence goes on from NC_000005.10 coordinate 62,117,927, forward strand.
TCCTAGCCATAGCACCTTTAGGCTCCCAAATCCCCACAAGGAAAGGAAGTCAAAACTTTCTGTAGGTTTTCTCCAACCCAAGTAATTTCTGGGACTCTGGAGCAGTCTACTACATGTTCTGCTAATCAATCTGCTAAAGTGACCCTTTTACCCACTCTGGCTTCCTAATCCTGGCATACCAGACCTCTATGCCTAATGCTCCCATCTTGGAACTTACTCCTGTGGGCTGCTCACGCTGTGCAGATTTCATCCAAACATGGACTCTGATTGCTCCCTGATTTCCATAAAAACACAGTTAAGTCAGTGGCGTTAGCCAAAGATAAAGTGAAAGTTTGGCATTTAGAGAACTCAGTGCTAAAAATGAGTTACTCTTCCTCTGCTGTTGGCCCTCTTAGAGTTCACAAACCCTACAGCCAATTTTAGAGTCCCTACCTTGCTCTCAAATAACTCCATGTAACAACATGATCGATTCATCTTGTACTTTTCTTTCCACTACCATTGATCAGACTCGCTTGACCACTTTATCCCATAGTCATGAGATCCTAAATCCTCTGGTCCAGATGGTGAAAAATGGCAGTTTTCTTCCCCAAATTCAAGACCCACCTTTTTCCCCAAGCATGACTGAGAGCAGAAACAGCCAGGACCTTCAGAGGAATCATTCACACCACTCACAGGTTGAAATTCAACTTTCATGGCATAAACAGGGCTATTACAATACAAACAATGCATTTCCCAAAGTCTAGGTTGTTCATTCTTAATTAACTCTTATGGCAGACAAAATGCTATAATCGATAGTTCCATTTCCTATTACTGGGCACGCAAGAAGATAGCATTTCCCAGACTTCCTTACAGTCAGGTCAGCACTATTTCTTCAGTCTGTTTGATGGCTTAAAAGTGTGGTCTTCTTGGCTGAAATAGTAAACCAACCTTGTGCAACCCTCCAGCTCTTTTCCTCTGCCACAGTGATCAGAGAAATTACATTTTCCAAATGTAAATGGTCTGGATGCTGAAGTCACTTTCTGTGAGGGAGCCACCCTAGAGAGCTAAAGTCACCTTGGATATGACAGGGGCTAAAAATAAAAATTCACTGAGTCTTACTATTTAATAGTCAGTGGTCAGTGTGCTGGGTATGAAGACATGGGGTGCAAAGACAGACATGCATTCTGCCCTCATGATCTTAAGAATGTTTGTTGTTGGATGCAAGGAGTTTGCAATTTGTCTTAAGAACAACCATGAGAGCTTGAAGGATTTCAAGCAAGGATGTTTTATTAGTTGGGGTTCTCCAAAGAAAGCCTATGGTGTAGTTCAAAGATCTGAGAACCTGAAAGCCAATGGTGTAGATTTCAGCCTGAGTCTACAGGCCTGAGAAGCAGGAAGGCCAAGCGTGGGAGATCAGGGTTCTATTCAAACAGTCAAGCAGAAAGAGAGAGAGAGAGAAAGTGAATTCTCCCTTCTTCCATCCTTTCGTTCTCTTCAGGCCCTCAAGGGATTGGATGATGCCCACCCACTTTGGGGAGGGAAATCAGCTTTACTCAATCTACTGATTCAAATGCTAATCTCTTCCAGAAACACCTTCACAGACACACCCCAAAATAAAGTTTAACTAGATATGTGGACATCTTGTTGAGAGGTGAAGCTGGCTGGGCTTCTGAGTCGGGTGGGGACTTGGAGAACTTTTCTGTCTAGCTAAAGGATTGTAAACACAGCAATCAGTGCTCCATGTCTAGCTAAAGGTTTGTAAACACACCAATCAGCACTCTGTAAAAACGCACCAATCAGTGCTCTGTGTCTAGATAAAGGTTTGTAAACGCACCAACCAGCACTCTGTAAAAACAGACCAATCAGCACTCTGTAAAATGGACCAATCAGCAGGACGTGGACCAGGCTAAATAAGGGAATAAAAGTTGGCCACCCGAGCCAGCAGCGGCAACCCACTCGGGTCCCCTTCCACACTGTGGAAGCTTTGTTCTTTCGCTCTTCACAATAAATCTTGCTGCTGCTCACTCTCTGGGTCCACACTACCTTTATGAGCTGTAACACTCACTGCAAAGGTCTGCGGCTTCACTCCTCAAGTCAGCAAGACCACGATCCCACCAGAAGGAAGAAACTCCGGATACATATGAACATCAGAGGAACAAACTCCGGACACACCATCTTTAAGAACTGTAACACTCACCTCGAGGGTCCGTGGCTTCATTCTTGAAGTCAGCGAGACCAAGAACCCACCAGAAGGAACCAATTCCGGACACATTGTGATCCAGTTAAGTGGACACATAAAATTAACTCTCACAAATATACCATGATCCAATATTCTTCTTGGAAAGATCTCTGTAAAAGACATGTGAGAAATACAGGCAAGAGAGAAAGACTAGAGGTAGTGACCCAGGGCAGAGCTGGTGATGGCCTGTACTGTGGTGGCCGTGAAATGAATGCAGATCGGTGTCGCTCTGGGAGTGAACAGAAACAGATGGGTGCGATGAGTACCATCCCCACACACAGGAACATTTTAATTTCTGTTAAATATTTTTTGGAAGACTGATTTATAGAAATTTGTACCCATTTTTACAATTTACAAAAAATTTCAAAATTACCTAAAAATAGCCTTTATTCTTAATTGGTACCCTGGCGCTCTGGCAGCATGTGGCCCCAGTGAGGACGGCATTGTGTGTGCAGTGTCACCTGCCACATACTTCCTTCTTCACAAGGTAGGGAAACCCCTGCCTCTGACATGAGAAAACCTAAAAACTCAAAATGGTGTGAAGATGTGAAGAACGGCATGCTGCGCTATCAAGGATTGTGATGATCTTAAAAGAGAAAAAACTATCAATTCTCTTCCTTTCCCCACGTCTGTTGTATCAAACCCAAAGTCCTTTATCTCTTCTAGCAAACCAACCACAGCTCTCCACCTTAGCCCGTTATCCTTCTCCAAAATATCCATGTAATAGGTTTCCTTTGGCCTCATGGGAGGAGTCAGACTCAGACCTCAATGCCTGTGATACAGAGGAGGTTCAGGATCCACTTCTCACCTGTAATTCCCTCACCTTGTCCTCACGGTCTCAGGATAGCTGAGTCTCCCCATCTCCTGCCTCTTATCACACCAGCACACCTCGGTCTTTCTCATTACACAGTAACTGTATTTAAGTATGTTTCTGAATTAACTTGTTTTTGAAATGTTACTTTGTTTTCTTTCTCTTTTCTAAATAGTATATAAAATAGGATCATAGAAAGTAAAATATACAGTTACCTTTAAGGTTTACTTTGCGATATTTTATTCCTTAATTACTTTTTAATTTTGACATTAAAGATAGAAATGACCTATGGTTTAACAGTTAGGAATTGATTAGGAAATTTTTAGAAAAGCACCAAAGTAGAGCAGAACACTAACAAACCACACATGTTCTTCATTACCTCATAGTCAGATAGGGTGTATTTTAGGCCAGAGTTCAGGACAAGCTTAAGGCTCATTGTTTCTACTTCCGTATTTGTCCATGCTGCATTTCTGTGGCCCATCTCTGATTTCAGCCACAGCTGTGGTGGACGGTCCCTACTGTGGTGGACAGTTCCCACGATGATAGAGAGTTCCCACTCTGGTAGTCAGTCCCCATTGTGATGGTGAGTCCCCACTGCGGTGGACAGTCCCCACTGTGGTGGACAGTTCCCACTCTGGTGGTCAGTCCACACTATGATGGTCAGTCCCCACTGTGGTGGCCAGTCCCCAATGTGGTGGTCAGTCCCCACTGTGGTGGCCAGTCCCCACTGTGGTGGTCAGTCCCCAATGTGGTGTTCAGTCCCCACTGTGGTGGTCAGTTCCCACTGTGGTGGTCAGTCCCCACTGTGGTGCACAGTTCCCACTCTGGTGGTCAGTCCACACTATGATGGTCAGTCTCCACTGTGGTGGTCAGTTCCCAATCTGGTGGACAGTCCCCACTGTGATGGTCAGTCCCCACTGTGGTGGTCAGTCCCCACTTTGGTGGTCAGTTCCCACTATCATAATCAGTCCCCACTATGATGGTCAGTCCCCACTGTGGTGGTCAGTCCATACTATAATGGCATGTCCCCAGTGTGGTGGTCAGTTCCCCCTGAGGTAGTCAGTCCCCACAGTGATGGTCAGTCACCACTGTGGTGGACAGTTCCTGCTATGATGGTCAGTTCCCACTGTGGTGGGCAGGCCCTGCTGTGATGAACGGTGCTTACTGTGGTGGATGGTCCCTGCTGTGGTGGGTGGTTTTCACCATGGTGAATGGTTTCTGCCAGACACCAGACTCACCTCACCCTGGTAGCATCCCATCTCAACACACCATGTGTATATCTTTCATCTTTTTGCTTCAGGGCCTTGTGCAATGCCTTGGGAACCGTTCAGCCTCACAACCCATGTGAGCCTTGGGTGAATGTCTCTAGAGACAACCTGCAACCCGTAAGAGACAGGAGCTGGTGGATACATTCCTCAGCCACCCATCCTGTAAGTGGACAGTTCCAGGAGGCATAAGCTTCTCAGAGGCCCCGGGGGTATTGTGTGGGAAATCTCAGTAACGCATACTCATATTGGCTTTTCATCCTTCCCTCTATCACTCCCCCTACTCCCTTGCTGCTGTTTCTGACAACTATTCCTTCACTCAAGTCCTTCACTCAGGTTCTGTTTTTCCAGGGAACCCAAATTAATACAGTTGACTTGTTTTTAAGAATAAAGGTCACTAACAGAGGAAGTGGTGATTTTAGGAGGTATAATCCACAGGGTTTAGTGAGTGATTGGCTTGGAAGGGGAAAGGTGTGGGAAAGGAAGAACAAAATGCAGTGCCCCATCATCCATATCGATTATCATCCTACAGTATAGGCAGTTCCTAATCACCTATGCTCAGCTATTCTGCACTCCTCATGTATAAAGGCTGACCAGCCCCGGGCAGGGTGCTAAAGAACGTAAGACCATTTACCTTCTAGGTACTGCTAGAGGTCTCCATACCCTCCATCCTCACCTTCCCAATTGCCATTGCAGAAATTCAAGGACCATCTTAAAAGTTCTGTATCCAGCTCTTTACTTGGCTTCTGAGAAGTTCTAGTGATACCAAGGGAAGAGAGAAGGGAAAGGAAAAAGACTGGGGGCAGGGTAGAGAGGAAAGCAAGAGGAGGAAAGAGAAAGAAAAGGGAAAAAAGTGGAGAAGATCAGGATGGAGGGGAGAAGGGGAGTAAGCAGCTATGAGAACTTTTGTGCCCCTCAGCACTTCAGATCCTGTCATCCCCTGTGCTTTTCTGACCAGCCTCCTCACCCCTGAAAATGCACAACATGTTTCAAAGATTTTTCCTGCCAGTGAAGACAGGGGAATGTCAAGGATCAATCAGCTCCCTCCTGTGTTGGTTTAACTTTTCATTTTCATTTACATACTAGGGTCAAAAACAAAGTCAATGCCAGTATGATTTGATAAACTAGAACCTACGTTGACCTTATGTTGGAGGTAAGGGGAGATTTGAAATAATAAATAATATAGTCAGAATTGGAACCATTGGGTGGGAAAGAAAAAGCCATTTAGAGATAGTCTAGTGACCCATGAAAACATCAAATGTTCCTTAGCACAATAATGCCAGGGGTTATTGGTTTTGAAATGGAAAAGGTCAAAGTCATGCCAACAAGAAAAATATGATTTATTCATATGGGACTAAACTGTGTGGACATCAAAAAAAATCAATGCTAGGCTTGGTAAGTTGAGCTGGATTCTTAGGAAAACTAGTAAGGAAGCTCTTGCTCATGAGAAAGCTAACCTGGAACTGGGGTACCCTCAATGCAGAGGACAGGAGCCAACACCCCAACCCTGAGCAGTTAACGACCAAATGAAGAAGAGATGCCATTTGCATCCAACCAAAGCCTGAGGCTCTCAACTGTGCCAGACACAAAGGCAACTGAGGGGGATACAGCTGAAAGCTCTTCTGCTGTGTGGGGTGGGATAAAATTGCCCAGATGGGGTTGTTGGGGGCACCGGCCTTGGAAATTCCAAAGAGAAAGCTCTCTGGGAAGGAAGAATGACTTAGGGGAGAGAAACAGCATCCAAAGGCCATCTACAGGTCCTTCCATTACATGGTACAAAAGACGGATTAAGTTACTACCTCTCTTCCTCCCACAATTGTGCTGGGCTTTGGAGATCCGCACTGCTCTTCGAGAAAGGGCCATTCTATGCCTCTATCACAGCTTGAATTGTGTTGGTCTGGAAAGGCCTGGCAGATGCTCTGGTGGAGACAGTGCTGGAGGGCATCAGCCCCTCTTGTGCATTCCTAAGCCAGATCTCCAGTTCACAGCAGCAGTGGCAGGGCCTCCACTAGCCATTCTAGAGCCTTGGTGCAAACTAAAAAGCAGCACCTTGATTTTTATGGACAGCTGAGCCAACAAAAACAGGTGTCTTTATTGGGTAAATAAGGCACCCTCCTTGTTCTACCAGACACGTGCCAAGGCACACAGCTTGGGGAGCACATTACAGGCTAGATGTTAGCTTCTACTTGCTCCCTTTGTCCAGGGCCTTTATGCAAAGCACAGATAGCACAGCGTGGGGGCCCTGAGCAACGGAGGGATTCAGGTTACCACAGCATCCCCATCCTACACTCAAGCACAAGAGGAGAGAAAAAGGGAGCCTGCGGAGGCAGAGAAGGACCAGCCCGCAGCATCACCATTGCTCAGGGCCCTGACTGATATTCCGGATTGTACTCAAAGGGTACACATTTGAGTACACCTTTGAGCCTCACCTGCCTTTCAGAGAAACAAGCACAAGTACCAGGCACACCACTGGAGAAGTTTAAGTGTGTGCTGGAGAAAATGGAGAGTGGACCCGAGAAGGCAGGACATGTAGAGGAAGTGAACTCATGAGGGAGGATGGAGCAGGGAGCATAGACGCCTGTGGAAAGGAGTCCCCTGTGGGGACCAAGGGGTGGCACATCAGGGTTCACCTTCACCTCACTCTGCTCTGCTTGTGCCCTTCCCAAAACCTGCTCTCATCTCAGCACAGGGGTGAGGTGGGAAACAAGGGAGAGGCCTGGGCTACTGTGGAAAAGCAAGTAAAATCCCAAGGGGTGGATAAAGACAAAAATGATAATGTTTAATTAACAAAATATATATTTTTTCATTTTTAAAGAAATCCCAAGAGGTGGGAGCAGAAAGGGAAAGAGCTTCCCAGGGCCCTCAAGCTGGCTGAGACACAGAGCGGTAGGAATACTCCAGAGCCTAAGTCTGCAGGTCCCCATCACACGTTCCTCTCTTTTCTCTAGACATGTTGGGGTTAGGTGGACTTTTAGGAACCAGCTGGTGAACAACCACCATTCTAAACACTCTTTCTATTAAAAAAAAATCACTAACCTCAAATTTGATTCCTACTGCAGTTGTAAAAGCTTGGAGGAGAGGATTGAGCTGAATGTGCATACAGCCTGTGGCATTACCTGGGAAGTTTTAAAAATCAATTTCATGAGTACTCATCAACTCGTCATTTTTCTCTCCTCCATAAAAGTAAAAACAAGCCAAAAAGAAGGGCAGTAACTTAAACTAGTAGAGTTCCGTGTAAAGATGAGTTTCCTCTACATATGCAAATTTTAAGAATGCTGATAAGTTAGAAAATGACTAAGTTCTTTTTTTTTTTTTTTTTTGCTTTTCAAGGGGAAAATGGGATTCCTTTAGCTATTAGCTGAAACATAGCTAAAATATATTTACAAAATTTAATATTTATAAATAATTTTTCAGGAATGTACTTTCTGAGCAAGGTACAAAAGCCAAGCGTTCCTGGGTGTAGCTCATCTGGAGGAACATTGATCACTTCCCGAGACAGCACAGAGGGAAGATTGCATCTGACTTCTGTGTTTAGATGACAGAGAACTTTCCCTTGACTTTTTTTTTTTTGACAAGTCTGGGCCAAAATGTGGAGAAGCTCATTGTGTGAGTCTGGATTACCTGACGATGAGCATTCCTCATAGTGTTTATCTGACAATTTGTACCACACTTTTATATAACAGGATCTGTGCAAGGTGACAGATTACAAAGCAAGTAAGACCTACCCTCAAGAAACTACCATCTAATCAAGGAGTCAGCCTTTTAAAAATAATAATAATTACAGAGCCTCTCAGTAAGATCATTTCTAAAGGTACAAAATAGACCAGTACTGTATGAGTTGTCATGTTTTGGGCTACAAACAGGAGAAAACCTGACTGAGAAAGCCTTAAATGATAAAAATTTATTATTTTATCTAAAAGAAGTCCAGAGGTCGGCTAGGTGAGGTGGTTTATGCCTGTAATCCAAGCGTTTTGTGAGGCTGAGGCAAGAGGATGGCTTGATGCCAGGAGTTTTGAGACCAACCAGGGCAACATAGTGAGACCCCCAACTCTACAAGAAATGAAAACAATTAGCTGGATGCATGCCTGTAGTCCTGGCTACTCAAGAGGCAGAGATGGGAGGATTGCTTGAGTCCAGGAGTTGGAGGCTGCAGTGAGCTATGACTGCACCTACAGTCTAGCCTGGGCAACAGAGCAAGACCCTGTCTCAAAAAAAAAAAAAAAAAAAAGAAGAAGAAAAAGAGGCAGCCCAAAGGTAGAAAGATTTTAAGGTAGGCTAATTCAGTGACTCAACAACACATCAAAAATGTAGATTATTGGCTGGGCATGGTGGCTTATGCCTGTAATCCCAGCACTTTGGGAGGCCAAGGCAGGCGGATCATGAGGTCAAGAGATCAAGACCATCCTGGCCAACATGGTGAAACCCTGTCTCTACTAAAAATACAAAAATTAGCTGGGCGTGGTGGTGTGTGCCTGTAGTCCCAGCTATTCAGGAGGCTGAGGCAGGAGAATTGCTTGAATCCGGGAGGCAGAGGTTGCAGTGAGCCGAGATTGCGCCACTGCTCTCCAGCCTGGCGACAGAGCAAGACTCCGTCTCAAAAAAAAAAAAAAAAAAAATCTAGATTAGTTCTATTTTTCCACTAGACCATTCTCAAGCATGTTGAATATTGTCTTCATGGTTGACTCTAATTGTCACAAGATTGCTGCCACAGCTCTGGACGTCACAGCCTCATGCAGCAGCAGAAAAAGAATGGTTTCTCTTAACATGCCTTTCTTTTAACAAGAGAGAAAAACTCTTCCAGAGTCCCCCAGCAAACTTCCCCTCAAGGTTCATTGGCCAGAACTGTATCTCAAGCCCATGCCTAACTGAATTACTTAGAGGAGGAACTTTGATTCCCTGATAAACTTAAACCAATGATGAAGCATCACCTCTTAGAACTAAGACGGGATCATTCCCGGGGCACAAAGCTACAGATTTTATCAGGAAGGAAGTAGAAAAGAAAAAGGAGGAGGAGGAGGAGCAAGAAGCAGAAATTAGAATGGCTTTTGGGAAGACACTCAACAGGTATATACCACAAGTGGCCTAGAGGGCAGAGTAACCATTTCTCCCTGGAGGCATCAGAAAAAGCTTCCCAGAATAATGAAAATGAACACTATAGGCCAAGTATCAATGACAAACATAGGCACAACCCTGTGCCTCCACATAAAAGAACCAGTCCAACCAAATCCAGGCCCTCTTTTTCTTCATGGCTCAGTGAAGAACTGTATCTATGTCTCTTATCTCAAAGAAGCAGCTGGTGCTGTCAATCCCATCTAGGCTAATCCAACATTGACTGAGTAGCCTTAATCCATCATTGACTGAGTAGCCTTCTGCAGCTTGCAGCAATGGCCCCACCTCAAATTCTTCTACAGAGAGTGATGTTAAATTGTTTTCTTTTTAACATAGAGCTATTAATAATGACCCATAAGGGTTTTTTTTAACCTTATACAAAATTCAATACTCTAATTGTTGAAAAAAGGCAATAAAGAAGAATAAAAAGGCCAAAAAACCCACAATGATATCAGAGTGAACATTTGGTGATGCTATCTTTGACCCTTCTTTAGAGAAACGTGAGCTCCTCGGAGGGCAAAATAACCCAGGGCTCCCTGAGCCTACTGAGTGCTGAGGAAGAGCCAATCAGAAAAAATAAATAAAATCCACACAAAGTCCTCATGCTGTTCCACTTGAATAGAAAATGATACAGAGATGAGAATAGAGAAAGCACATGGCAAAGCCTAGTAACCTCCAGCCCCACTAAACAGAAAATGCAGAGATTCACCACAGGGCAACTCCATATAGCCACTCTGGATGCCATTTTGCTAATTGTGTTTGCTATGACACCAAGCACCGCTTAGCTGGGCTCCCAGAGTGTCTCCATAATGCAATCACTTGCCAGGAGCGAGAGTGATTTTTATTTGATATCCATACAAAGCAGAAGCAAATGAATTACCATAATGAGAAGCAACATAATGATGTGGAGATGTACAAACTGCCATTGTGTTTAATAACAACAAAGCCTTCCCTTTTGAATTAGATTTGCAGAAAGATTCTTATTGAAGCATCATTGTACTGAAACCAAGTTGTTTGGAAAACACACACACACACACACACACACACACACACACACTCGAAAGCATTTCAGCCCTATGATTACTGGAAAGGTTGTTAGGAGAATTTTTTTTCTTCAATTTTTATTCTCAGTAAAATCAACTTAGTTTTAGCACTACCCAGCTGCAATTTGTGAAGTAAATGGCAAAGCTAAATGTGCCGAAACCCAACATGTTCCCTGAGCAACAAAGGGATTGAAGGCAAATGTTACAGTGTTATTGACAACACTAGTAATGCTTGTATAAGCATCTGCTTCATAAAGGGGAGAAAAACCTACGTTATAAACAAAAGGAGTTTCCAAATGAGCCCTACCTCCTGAAATTCTGGCTTGAATTTGAATTTTCACTTCGTTTAGAACAAACTTCCTCTTTTTAACTTTTCCGTCCAAAATAAAAAATTCTCTGATTTACATTCTGGAAACTTCCCCATAACCAACTCCTCTATGTTTTCTTCTCTCTCTTAAATGATTGCCTATATTTTCTGGTATTTACCCTTTGTCCACCATTTGATTTCCAACAATAGATGAAGACACCACTGAATAAACATGCCATTAATTTAAACCTGTTTCCATGATTATCATGAGCAACTTGTCGTCTTCTCAGACTGAGAGTCCACTGTGTGATTAGCATGTGTCTCACTCCCACCCAGTCCCACCCTAGGCCTTTCAATGTCACCATTTATATCTATTCAAATACAACATCCTGGTTTCACTGATGCACAAACCCAGAGCCAAACTGTGGCCTGCATTAGATTGAACTACACTTGGGAAAAATCTGAAGTGGAAAATTAACAGAGCTAGAAGTCAGGAGCCTTAGGCCCTGGGTCCAACCCATCACTGTCTGTGATGGTAGGTCATAAATTTCTTTGTGTATGTCTTAGTTTTCCCAGCTGTAAAATAGGCGTAATATCTGCTCCATCCATGGAAGTGTCTTGAGAATCACATCATAGAGGTGGTCTCAAGAATCAAATCATATTCAAGTGTTTTTTCATCTGTTATTACTATGCTCATGAGAGAAAAGAAATCTTTTAGTAAACCCAAAATCATCCAGAGAATCATATCATTTCTAATGATCTATATTTTGGTTTTTGTCATTTTATCATCCAACAAATATTCATTGAGTTCCTGTTTGATCCAAGGTATAAGCCTCAGTTCTGTTGAAATATGTATATATCATGATGTCTGAAGGAGGCTATAAACAGAGAGAGAAGGAACACCCATAGAAAAAAAACCAGCTAGAAATAGAGTCCACACCTAAATAACAAATGGGAGGCAGAATAACATAGTGATTTAAGGCGCAGGCCTTAATATCATACTTTCTGGGTCTAAATCCTAGTTCAGTCGTGCTAGGATGACATGAATAGCAATGTGAACATGAGCAAGTTACTTCACCTATTTATGCTTCAGTTTCCTCATCTGTAAAATGGCGATAATAATAGTATTTATCTAATAAGCTTGTTGTGGGGAGTAAATGTGTTAATATACTTTGTTCTGTCATTCTTAGAACAAACAATGCCTGGCACATACATAGGACATACTTAATGTTAGCTGAAAATATAGAAAACACCTTGAGGTACAATAACTGAGAGGGAAAGAGAGCACTAAAGGTCAAGAGTGGCTCAGGATTCCTGATCTAGGATTTGAAGGTTAGAAAGTGGGGGAACTGTAACCAGTTTCTCCAGATGGGGTAGGAGCTTGTCTCTGTGTACCTCTTCATGGCCAAAAACTGGAGTGGGCAAAGAGGCCATATTTCAAAGCTGCCTGCAGATTTTCTGTTTCTCTAGAGACTGAGGTTTGAATTTACCTTTGAAAGCATATTGCCTTTTTTGGAGGGAAAAAAACACTTAATGAGCTTTTGGGTCCTACAAAGATGTCTGAATATATTATTACTGAAATTACGAAGTTCTTGACGATCAGCAGCTAAGCTGCCTTGCGCAATAATGCTGAGACCATCTAGTCAGGCTTGCATGAAATGCACAGGACTCTACCTATAGACAACTAGAGAGGAAGGGAGGGAGAAAGGGGGGCAGGGACAGAGTGAGAAACTACCTTAGTCAAAAAGTGTGGGCACTTAGGCCTCAGGAGAGGCTAGGAACTGAGATTCTGCTCTTCTCTCCTCAGCTTCCAGTCTCCATGCCTTAAACAGCATGAGCATCTCTCGGTGGCCACTGGAATTCTGAAGTGAAAATAAACTTTAGACCCAGGACAGCTACTTCATCTGATGTTCTGCTAAGGAAATGGGAATCTACTCCAGACTTGAAGGGTCAGCAGGTTTGGGTAGGCTTGCTGAGAAAGCTACATCCATCTGCAATGTAGCTCTCCTCCAAGTGGTTTCCAAGGTTAATTTCTTGCACAGATTTTGCCTTACACTTAGCACCTAATCCCCAGGAAAGATCTGGCTCCACTATATAAAGATATTTTTTATTGTGGGTAGAATTTGTCCGAGCATATTACATTTATGGAGGGAGAGGGGCCAGGGAGACTAGGCATGAGAGTAATAGAAGAAGCTTTCCTTGACCCCATCTTTTGGGAGCTCGTGGGCTGTAACCTGAACTCCAGATAGGGAAGAGACACTAAACTTCTGTCTTCAGGAGCGTAGGTACCAGGCCCCTGCAAAAAGGCTGCAGACTAGGAGCCAAGGAGAGAAACTGAATCAGGATTCTGTAGGAGACCTTGGCCTCTGGGCTCCAGAAAGATTCATATCTAGTATCCAAAGTTAAGAGGGAAGAGGAGAACTGTATTTTAATTTCTTCTGAGATCCTTTACTTTTCAGTGCAGTATTTGTTTTTAATCATGAGGTATTTTCTAGACTATATTTTGGGCCAAGCAGAAAAGGGGATGAGGAAGGGAACAGAGCAGTCACCTAGGAAAACCAAGGTCAAGAAGATGACAGTATTCATTAGGAAGAGAATAGTTGACTGGGTCTGGCCCCAGTGCTATAACCCTTGGTTAGGAAGCTTTACATTAAAAATACTGTACTTTGGTTAGCACATGTCCTTTGCAAACACATGTTAAATGGAAGTCAGTATACATTATCCCTAAGCAGAGGAATGAGGACACCCCTCCCAGGGAAGGCAGGGCTGGGCCCTGAGAAAGGCTGTTCCCAGGGTTTGCTCTTAGCCCCCTATCCTCCCACTCTCCTGGGCAATCTTATCCTCTCATAGCTTCCAGTTCCATCAACATGATGGTGACTCAACTCTCCAGCTTTGAACCTCTCTCCAGAGCTGCATTGCTCTTTTAGTCTCTTGACTTGGAAGTTCCATAAATACCTCAATGCTCCTATTGATTCTGCTGCCTAAATCTCTCTCACACCCACTCCACTTCTCTCCACCCCCACTTCCCTCTGCTAGCCAGGTCGCCATTTCTCTCTACAAGATTATCAGTTCCAAATTTGATCTTTTCCAATTCATCTTCCAAACAATGGAGGAGTTGTTCATAAAGTAGAAGGTGCATCAGGTCACTGTCCCCTTCAATACTGTCCCATTTCCTAAAAGGTGAAGTCCACATGCCTTTAAAAGGCCTATGTGAACCCCTGTGACCTGATCCCTGCATGCACCTCCACTCTAAGGCCTTGCCATCCCCCTTCTCCTGCTCCCTACACCCTTCTCCACCACACACACATACATTTCACTCCAATCAAACTGAACTTATCATGTTCATGTTCTCTCTCCCTCTAGCTTTTTACATATCCTGTTTCTTCTTCCTGGAAGATCCTAGGCAAAGCATCTGTTCACCCGGCTAACACTCCTCCTCGTTCCTCAGATGCCAGCTAAAACATCACTTCCACCAGGAAGCCTTCCAACACCACCCAGAGTCTGTCTTGTCATCAAGCAGCACACACGTGCATCCCCTTACTGCACTGATCACTCATTTTTGTAATGACATTTGATTCCTAGGAAAGAAGAACCAGTGACAGACACTAAACAACAGACAGGACTTGAGGACGGATGGGATGACTGTAGAGAGAATTGTTGAACCTTCCCATTTCCTATTTTGTTTCCTTTTCCATCCCCCACACTATTTCAGGGAAATCTGTCATTATTGCCTAACTCAGATTTCATGTCCATCAGAAGATAAGATCTACTTTATAAGCACTGTTCCTATCATGCCAGGCAATTGGCAAGAAGCTACAGAGAATGGAGCCTCTACTTGGTTTTTATTGCAGAACAGCACATTCCTGGAGACCATGTCATAAAGTGGATCATTGAAAAGCAAATTACATTTTCCCATAGGAACAATGTTATAATTAGAGGTTGTATTCCTGAAAAAGGACTTGGCTTCATGTAAATAGTAGACATGAACAAAAATATTTCACAAAAGCAAAGATTCAGTAGCTATAAATCCATATAATTGTTTAAAATAATAAAATTTTCTCCAAGTATTATAAACCAGGCAGGATTAGAGGGGCATGTGTTGATTATTGAGGGACTCCAATGTACCATAAAGTGTACATTAAAATACAACTATTGTGTCATAAATTAGAATCTGGAACTAACTTTAATATAGACATTACACACTTAATTAACAATGGGAAGGCAGTGCAGTACCATGGTTAAAATGCAGCCTTGGGTACCAGGAGATCAAAACTGCAGGTTTGCCTTCTAGACTAGTGAGCTCTGTGAGGGCAGAGGCTACACCTGCCCAGGGTAGGGACAATGCCTGCACACAGCATGGTTCAAAATAGTTTTTACAATGAACAGCCCAGGTTTGAGTTGCCACTTTGGGCAAGTAAATCACCTTCTCTGGGTCTATGTCTCTTTGTTGGTAAAACAAAGAAGCTGAACTGTGAAGCCTCTGAGGTCCCTCCCAATTCCAAAATTCTAAGACTGCCATTTTGTTGTCTTGGAATTCAGAAGTTCCTGGATGTGGTTAACTGTCACTTTGGGGAAACTCAGTGAATAAAGCCTCCAGTATTCACATCCTTGTTCAGTCCCCACAAACATTCTGGGCTTTACCATGTGAATGGATTTAGCTAATAGGACTTTACCAAGCAAGATAAAGTAGAGGCTTAAAAAGTACTTGCACACTAGGGCTTGTTCCCGTGGAGCACTCTCAGCCCCAGGTGCCATTCTGTGAGAAGGCCAAGCCTCATGGGAAGGCCAAAGGGAGGAGAACCAAGGCATTCTTGTGAACAGCCCCAGCTAAGCTCCCAACCTACTGCCAGCACCAACTGAGAGTCATATGAGTAAGGATTTTAGACATTGTAAACCAGGTGAGCCTTTAGATGACAGCAGCCCCAGCTGACACCATGTGGAGTAGAAGAACCTCCCAACTGAGCCTAGTCAGCCAATAGGTAATGAAAGGTAATAAAATAACTGTTTAAAAGCACTACATCTGGGGTGGTTCATTGTGCAGCAGTAACTAACTGAAACACTTAAATGACTTAAATGGTTTTCGACTTTTGCAAAAAAATGAACTTTCCAAGGAATACTGAATAAAGTCTGTTTTTCTCTGTGTTAATTTTCCTATACCGAGAAATATTTAAAATATTTTAACTATCTTTAAATAGACTCAAA
Organism: Homo sapiens; assembly: GCF_000001405.40. Lineage (NCBI taxonomy): Eukaryota > Metazoa > Chordata > Mammalia > Primates > Hominidae > Homo > Homo sapiens. The sequence continues at coordinate 62,133,882 of NC_000005.10, forward strand.
ATTCTGTAGTAGTGTTCAATAAATATTTGTAGAAGATAAAGATGTTTCCTCTTCCTGAAAAATATTTTTCCTCTTTACCTTCTCTTGAGAAAGTAGAGTTGTTCAAATGCACAATCAAATAAAGGTCACAAGGAAATAATATGTGCTATTCAGTCATTCTACTTGACACTTTGTCGACAGCTCTCAGAACATTCCCTCACTACTGATAATCCACAAAAGCAATTATCAAGCAAAGCAAAGACTTTAAAATAAGAGTGTAACAGAGTATCTGGTAAGGCAGAATTTTGTTTTTTCCTGATAAAGAAATTGTTGACATTCAGAGCTAGGGAGAAGTAGGCAAATGTGTATGATACTATGGGCTTTCTTAAATAAAAGGGAGGCGTCTTGGTACTTTGGGGCTGCTAAAACAAAACACCAAAGCCTGGGTGGCTTATAAACAATAGAAATTTATTTCTCACAGTTATGGAGGCTGGGAAGTCCAAGATCAAGGCATTGGCAGATTTGGTATCTGGTGAGGGCCTATTTCTCACATGGTGAAAGGGGCAAGGCAGCTCTCTGGGGCCTCTTTTATAAGGGGACGAATCCCATCCATGAGGGTTTTACCCTCCTGACCTCATCACCTCCCAAAGGGCCCCACCTTCTAAGACCTTCACTTTGTGGGTTAAAATGTCAACATATTAATGTTAGCAGGAGACATAAACATCCAGACCATAGCAGGATGAGACCCCCAACCTCCCTCTAGGAGATTCAAAGTCATTAAAACCCGTCAGGATATACCTGATCAAGGATCAGTGGCAAACACAATGAGACTACTCAACTAAAATCAACATGGGAATAGAAAGAGACTGAGTCAGGGGCCATCCCCTGTATGAAGTCAGTCAGTCAAAGGAAGAGTGGCTCTGGACACCTATATTGTGCTCTGAGAAAGTGACTGGGTGGGTGAATTTTTTTTTCAATCCGTGAAGTTGAAGTGCCTGCTCAAATTTGATGTGAAATTCCCCTGACCAGTCATGGATGAGAGGTGGAGAATGATCTTTCCTCAGACCTTGAAGGACTAAGCTGGGAGAGAGACTCCACTGGAGCTCCAGGCATCAGCCACTTCCCCTAGACATTGCCACACTGAGATCTCAGGAACGATGAGTCAAGGGGCCCTTTGACTACTCTGGTTTCTCTGTGTCTGCATTTTTGTGATGCATTAACCCAAGCAGAAGCAAATTTCCAGTGGCAGTTATAACACGCTCTCACCCATAGGATCACATCTGAGCTCTAGATATAACAGCAAAGATCCAGCCTTAGAAAATCAAGGCTCCTAAAGATTATCATAGAAGGGTGAAGCCAGGGAAGCGGGACATTCTGATGGATGAGGCAGCTTAAGACATTTAATAGGAATCCTAAAAACAGATGTGGTCTGATTGCATATCAAGCAGGTAAAGCAGATTGTGTCCATTTGGGGCACTTCAAAACATCTCTCAGAATATCTAAGATGGGCATAAGACATAGGTGATATTTAGTGAATGTTTCTATGTGCCAAGCACTGTTCTAGGTTTTTAAATATATTATTCATTTAATTCTCACAAATAATTATGAGATATGTATTTTACAGAAAGAAAGCTGAGGCAAAAAAAGTAACATAACTTTCTCCAGGTTACCAACTACTTAGCAGTGAAGCCAGAATTCAGACCCAACCATGCCCTGAAATACTAATCCATGTTTCCTCTCTCTTGACATCCCAAAGGTTGCTGCTTTGCCCCACTGAATTTTAGAGCAGAGGTCCCCAACCTTTTTGGCACCAGGGACTGGTTTCGTGGAAGACAACTTTTCCATAGACGGGGGAGAAGGAGATGGTTTTGGGATGAAATTGTTCCACCTCACATCATCAGGCATTAGTCTCATAAGGAGCATGCAACCTACATCCCTTGCATGTGCAGTTCACAATAAAGTTCGGGCTCCCATGAGAATCAGAATCTCCCCTGATCTGACAAGAGGCGGAGCTCAGGCGGTAATGCTCACTCCCCTACCGCTCACCTCCTGCTCTGTGGCCCAGTTCCTAACAGGCCATAGACCGGTATAGGTCCATGGCCTGGAGGTTGGGGACCCCTGTTTTAGAGGGCATATCACTAAGGAAGCTTTCAATGGACAAGAAGGTGAGGGAGAACCGTCTATAGCTAATGCTCTTTAACAGTTATCTCAGGGACCTGCTTTCTCTGTATCTTCCATTATCATTTAATTACTATACTAAATAATCCTACCAAGTGAGGATAAAGTCTGTTTTTAGCACCAAACCAAGCCAAGGACCATAAACCACCTGTCAACACCCTCACTAGAACTTGTCATGATATCACACGGAAGATGAAATCAGTGCTTTTGGTGTGTAGTCCTGCTGTGTAGACAGAGCTCAGAACTCCAGCTTTCCAGTTTCTCCCGGCCTGATTCATTTTGCCTAGCTCTCTGAATGTAGTTCCCGACATGCTTTGGGCCTTGCATGTATATTGTTATTATCAATTAGTGGCAGTATTTGCTATTGATATAGCACTTCATATCTGTAAGTCCCGTCCTTTGGGTCTTTGTGCATGGCTGGTCTTTACAGCCACAGATATGTTTGCACTGACATCACCTTCCCAGGATTATTCCTATGGGTTCAATGATTTGCTTATGGCAATTGCAGAGGAACGTGTTACAGAATACAAGATGAGCAATAAAGAGGAAAGAGAGGAAGGGTATAGCCTAGCTGTTTAGGGTCCGGTGAAAAGCTCAGAGAGCCAAGCAACTTGATTTTACTTGCTTCTATTTACAATCATAAAAGTATTATTATTAATGATGCTGTTTTACATTTTATAGCTCCTTTTCAACTTGAATGATCCCAAAGGGTTTTGCAAACTACATGTGCGTAGTTTCACTGTCTTCACATGGCCATTGCTCTCTCTTCCCTCTCAAGAAGCCTCTTACTAACAACAGCAGAAGCAGCGATGTTAGCAATAGTCAACAGAAAAAGGTAAAATGTAGGCATTATAATTTCCCCCTACTCTGCTTAGCGTTAGAAAGGAGCTAATCTTTGCCCCAGGATCCATTCTATTTTCTAGGCAGAAAAAGGTGGTGTCGTTGGCTCAGCATCCATTGGTGAAGGCTGAGTTCCTGCCTATTTGCACCACCAGGGACAATTAGAGCAAAATGAAACTGCAAACATCAATAGGGGTAAGGCTGAAAAGAATTCCAGCTAGATCTTAAGATTTGCTCCTGTTTGTTACAGTGAAATATGGATTTTAATGCCCTAAAGACACTAAAACCATAATGCCAACTCTAAGAATGTGAAACACAACAGAAACAGAGGGTAAGGTCTAAAGTATGAAATTTGGAAGAGATGAAGAGAAGGTTGAAATAGAAAAACACGGATGTGTGTGCTGTGGAAGCAGAAAAGTCTCAAGACTAATAGCCACATTAACAACACTGAGCGAGCATCAAATTCCAAAGCCCCCAAGCCCCAAGCCCCAGAAGCCCAAGAACCTTGCTGAGAGCATGCGGTCTTTGGGGCCTGCTTCTCATTTGTTATTAAGCCTGGCTCTCTCTGCGGAGCCAGAATCCATTTCTTGAGAATCATGATCATCTGCTTGAATTAGAAGAAGGTTTTTACTTACCTGGAAATTCTAAAGGCTGTATTTGGTTCAGAGGAGAAGTTCAAGAAATATGGGTTTCTTTATTCTTTTCTCCACCTTAAAAAAAAAAAATCAATGGGTTAGATTCCACACAGTAGTGCTGTACTTTATTCCTAATTATTTTAATTATTTAATAAGTATTTTTATTCCACTTACCACAAGCCAGACACTGTTCTAAGTGCTTAGCAATATCACTCATTTAATTGTCATAACAACCCGGAGAGATAGGGACTACTCTTTTACAGATGAGGTAACTGAGGCACAGAGAAGTTAAGTAATTTGCTTAAGGTCACACAGCTAATGAATGCTGAAGCCAAGATTCAAATTCAGGGAATCTGACTTGTCTCCATGTTTTTACCACCGTGCAATGCTGCCCTTCTTATATATGGCAAATTATGCTTGCAATTTATGAGGGGCAGTTTTCAGTAAAATACCAAGAAAATATTATCAAAACAAAAGGCAATGAGAACCTACAATTTAAGTAAATGGATGTGCCTACATATATTTTTATAGATTGCTTCCATCAAAATCTTGTATAATAAAGCATTACCTTATTAACCTTAAATTCTAGATTCTTTCCTCCTAAAGGAAGGAGTCATGCATTCATAAGCAGTGCTTCATTTTTGTCCTCACAAATGCTTTCTGGCTTCAAAGTATTGGAGATCTCGGGGAAAAGAAGAGTTTGGTCTACACAGGAGGGTAATGAGAACTTGGGTTCAAATCCTGGCTTTGCCACTCATTTGTATGGCTTTGAGCAAAATTCTTAATTTTTTTGTGCCTCAATTTCCTGGTCTGTAAAATAGGTGTGATAATGTCACCTACCTCGTAGGTTGTTGTGAGAATTAGCTTAGATAATATGTGCAAAATACTTAGAGAGCCTGGCGTAGAATGAGTATTCTGTAAAACCGACCATTACATTGGGAAATTTGGCAGTAGAATATAATGAGAAGTAAATAGAAGACTTAAAACTCATAGAGCCAGTCTCTCCTTTCTGTTAGTTCTCTGGGCAAACCTGTATGTGGCTCCTATATCTATGAGGGTAGCAGCAGAGCCCGCTCAGCTTTGAGATATTACCTGCAGTTTCATTTCTGAAATCCTCGCCCCTGACCCCAGAGGGCCAAGCTCAGCCAAGCCCAACCCCTGCACCCCTCCCTGTGCATTGTACAGGCTCAGCACGGGGCTACACTCACCGCAGGGCGCCAGAGGCCGATCTGCTACTTAGGCTGCCAGTATGGCAACTGTGAGGGGCTGTTGGCTTGGTCTGGAAAAGTGGGAGGGAACAGAGTATGGGCAGGAATCAGCCAGTGGGACCCGGGTATCTGGGAGGAGTTGCACTAGTCCTGCCCAGGGACTGCACCTGTGGTGTGTCTGCCCCTCTGGGGAGCCGGTGATAAAACCCAGCTTGACTCTGAGGCTCTGAGAATTGCTGTTTCCACTTTTGGTTGCCTGCTTATCATTTCCTTTTGCTTTTTAATTACATAGATGATGTATTCTTGTTGAGGAAATAGATGCAGTAACAGTGGAAAAGATGCAGTAATACAGTGAAAGCAAGCCCTTCCTTACCCCTCTCCTTTATCACACTTTCCAAAAAACCCAGTTAGCATTATGGAGAATTCCTTATCATTCCAGACTTTTGTATGCCTTTGCTTACACACATACACACACACATACACACACACACACACACACACACAATGTCCTCTTCTTACACAAAAAAGTAAATGGAGGGATCATACAGTTTTACAGATTTTTGCCTCTTGTTTTTTCTTTTAACTTAATATCTACCACAGAAGCCTTTCCAAGACAGAATACACAACTCATTTTTACAAACTGCATACTCCTCCATTGCACTGAATTCCTAATTTTACTTAACCATTGCCCTCATAATAGTCCTTTTGGTTTTTGTTGTTATTGCCGTAGTTTGGTTTTGTATTATCCATAGCACTCAATGCTCCTGTGAAAATCTTCATATATATGTACAAGTATTTCTACAGGAATCATTCCTAGAAATACAATTGCCAGGCCATACATGTATGTACTTTTAAAAAAATATTTTCATAGCTGCTCCAAATTGAGAAGAACCATTTCCTAAATAAAATGTAAACTCTTGTTAGAATTGCTGTCAAAATGAAAAAGATGACTGACAAAAATTTTACATTTCAAAGACAGAACATTGATGAAAATCTCTTTGTTTTAAAGATGATGGTTTTCTTATTTTAAATAAAATCTTTTTAAATTCATAAGGCATATACTATTAAGATATACCATGAGGCAAACCACATTTTGTAAATGAAAGCTTAGGAGATCAGTCAAAGAAAGACAAAAGGAACCAGTTCCAATGTCTGTTGCTCAATATTGGTGTCTGTTCAAACGTTAGCATTGTCAGCCTCATATTTCTCTGCGGTGGTTTTCAGTTACTCTAAAAGGCTGTTTAAGCACCCAACTGACTTGAATCAGATTTTCTGGGCCTGTGGCTTGGGCAACTGAGTTTAGAATGTTCCCAGGTGATTCTAAAGTACAATGATGCTGAGAACCACAGCTACAGAGCTTGCTAATTTTAAAATTTCTGAATTTTTAGCAAAAAAAGTAATGCAGCCATTCAGTGGCATTGCAATAATAAATGAACACTTAAAAGGAAGTTATAAGTGTAGAATTTTCTGAATTTTAAATTGATTAAATTTACAAAAAGAAATGCATTTCTAATATTTTTTTATTTTGTTGAATTAATCATCATGTGAAACAGTTACTCACGACTAGGAGTATTTGCAAAAGGCAGATGTATGGCTCTAGAGAAACCAAATAATAGGATAAGCTGGAATATGGAAGAAGGGATAAAAGGACAACAGATGGAACCAGGCAGGGTTAATACATATAGTGTAAATGAAGTAGAAGTTTTTGAAGCCCAAAGTCATGGAAGAAGTCTTTAGAAGGCCAGAGCTTTCCTAGCTTCAGTTTTTAGGAATACATCGGCACTGCCCAATAAAAGGCAGATAACAAGCCTCAGTAAATTATTATTATTATGGTGATAGTGAAACCACATCATAAGCGATGAAAAAATAATAAAAGAAGAGATTATCAGCACAGGAGGAGGTCAGGCCTGCAGCCAGCACCAGTTCATGTCAAAGCCAGCAACAATTCATAAAGTCGTAAAAGGTAATTGTGGAATAGGGACTTGGGAAAGACAATTACAGAATTAAAACCCAGGCCCTCTCCTGCATAGGGTACGGATGGATGAGGTGTCCTTTACCTTTTTCTGCCACTAGAATCTTTGTGTCAAATGAAAGTCAACTACTTTACACCCACAAAGAAGACTATGTCAAAGTGTGCAGTATAATTATGTAATTTTATAACAGCTAATGAACACTCAATATTTCAAGTCAGTTTGACGATAGCCTGCCACTGTCTCTCACAATTCCTAGGTGATTCAATGTTTAGCACTCTGTTTTCTAATTTTCTTACAATACTATGTTCTAAACTTCCACCCCTTTTGTTAAGACTAGAGTATGGGTATGATGCTTGGAAAACTCGTTCCATTAAAAATCCAGAGGTGAAGTCCATCACATTTAAAGAGTGGAACAGCACTTGGAATCCTAAAACTAGAAAACAACATTCAAGACAAGAAAGTAGATGATAACCCCCTGGGTTTCAGAATCCCTGCTGCTGCATCAGGTCCAGGTCCCAGGGCTACAAGAAGGGACAAATGAGGAGCTTATCAAAGCCATTCAATTGAATTTGAAGAATTGGCCCATAACCTGACAAAGGATTTTGTGTGATAGTAAATAAAATAACATAAAATAGTAACATCCGACCAGGCGCGGTGGCTCACGTGTGTAATCCCAGCACTTTGGGAGGCCGAGGTGGGCAGATCTTTTGAGGCGAGGAGTTTGAGACCAGCCTGGCCAAGAGGGCAAAACTCTGTCTCTACTGAAAAAAAAAAAAAAAATACAAAAATTAACCAGGCATGGTGGTGTGAACCTGTAGCCCCAGCTCCTTAAGAGGCTGAGGCAGGAGAATCTCTTGTACCCCGGGGGTCAGAGGTTGCAGTGAGCCAAGATCACACCACTGCACTCCAGCCTGGGTGACAGAGCGAGACAAAAACAAAAGAAAAAGTAGCATTCAACCTCCAGCTATGACTTTCCAAGACCACCTAGACAGTGGCAGAAGCCCCTGACTAGGAGATAGAACACTCCTGCTTAAATTTCCTTCAAGCACATGTGTTGTGTATTGGCCTTGACATCAGGATGTCAACATAGTAATTTCAATGGTGAAATCATACTTATTGGTTTCCCTGGGGTGTTGTTAAAATCTCATGGGCTTCTGTACCCATCGTAAAACAAAATTCAGATTCACTGTTTTTTTAATAAATATATATTAAATCACTTTGCTATTATCTCAGAAGCAAAATAAGAATAGGGCAAGAATGTGATAATCCTACCACAAAAAGGCTGAGAATTCCTGAATTCGGAACAGTAAGCTATCATTTCAGAGAGCACGAAGGTTAGACTTCTTCAACGGAGAAAGCTGCCTAGAAGGATGTACGTAGAAAGAAATGCAGAGAGTAAAGCTACACAGGGACCTGCTTTAGGGAAAGAAACAAGGTGACTTGCAGGAGGAAGAAAAGTATCATGGAAGAAGCAGAGAGCTTTAAAGGTAAAAACAAAGGTGATTCTGACGCATAAAAGCAGGAGGGAGCCCATAGCACACATGTAGTAAAAGTCTGTTAGAACATTTACTAAGAAACAGAGAAAAGAAAACAAGGCAGGGAAATGTCACATGGCATACATTCCAGACAATTTAGCTATGCTATTTTCGTCTCGATTTTTCATTTTTAATTCAAGGGACTTCAGCTTCATTGTGGTGAGACCTAAAGAGAAATTAAACTGACATTTGGATCAAAAAAATTGTAACAAACATGCACACAGAGATGGTTTCTGTCCCCTAACCAGTGCTCCATACTGGCTTCAGCCATGAGGCCGCTATGGCTCTACAGTTGTTTGCAAAGAGTTGCTGGACTACTGCCCCACAAAGACAATGGGTTTTGATTCGTTGTTTTTCAGTTGTTTGTTTCTGTATTTTGGCTAGCCATAAGGCTGATTCGTATATTTACCAACATTAAGATCTGGATTGAATTTCCACCTCCATCCTCACTCAGTCTTTCAGCATTTCAATATGCCCACGTGTGCTGGCCACCTTTCAGGTGAGAGCCTATCTGTTAAGTACAAACCTTTCTGACTTTCAAGCCAGATTCTCGTTCAAGTTTTTTGCAGGCTGAAAATGGTAATTAAAATATGAGTTAGGGGAAAGAATGGGAAGAAGGCAGGCTGCTCAGGATTTGCATTTTGCCCATCTCCCTTTAGTGTCAAATACTATACATTTACAAACCTCTTCTGTCTGTCTGGATGAGGAGGGAAAGAGCAGCTATACATTACCAACCTGGACCAATTAAGAGTAGCACAGAAGTAAACTGCTGGGCAGATGAGAACAGCTGGGCCGAACATAATGTACTTCCTTTCTCACCTTGTGTGGGTTGCCCTTCCGGGGTCCTTGTATTTCAGGAATGGTGGAGTCCCGCATGTTGATCCCTACTTGGTTGCTAGCACAGCCAGCCAGTTTTTAATGGGGAAAGACGCAAGAGGGACTCACAACTATTTCAGCCTTTTCCTCAAAGTGAACATTCTTTTTTTTCTTTCCTTCTGCATTATTGTGCCACGGTACTTTAAACTTTTCCCATCATTAAGCCTTCTGAGTGAAATTTTGAACTGATTAATGTGGCATTTTCCACTAAACTGTTTCAGGAAATGTTGCACCTTACCAGTGGGATGCTTTTGAATAATGTAATCTCCTTAGTATAATTAAAACTAAGTTCTGAAGTTACTACCTTTTCTCCCTGGAGGCACTCATCAAAATGTCAAGTGTTCCTTCTAGTAGAACTGCAAACCCATAGTACAAACAAATATATTACCCACTGCTCCTCGCTAGCAAGAGGCCCTTGCTGGATTTTTTTTTTTTTTTTTTTTTTTGTCACTTCATTTCGAACCTGTGCAAGCAGCATAAGAAATATGATCACCAAAAGCCACTGGACCCTCGTACCCTGAGCCGTGTTCTATACCAGCTGCCTGGTTTGCATTTACTAATATTCCTTTTGAATACTTGTCTTCAACAGATGAACTTTTTGTTGTCGCGTTGTTATTTATGCATAGAAAACAGCGTGGATCTAAAAGTCATTTGTTCTCCTAGAGCTTTCTATTTAGTTTAAAAGGAAAAAAAAAAAAAAATCAGGAATGCAACGCCCTCTTCTGGCTGAGAAGCATTTAGATAACTATGCAGACCTGAGCGGCATTTTGACCAAGTTTTTAAAGACTGCTTGGTATATAGTGAGTGATAAATGAATAATCGGCATTATTGTCAAAGTTTGCAACATTATTCCCCCTCGGGACAGGACAAGGTCTGGCCTCAGAGGGCCAGTCCCAGCTGCCCAGCTTTTAGGAGCTCTGGAGGAATTAAGTGAGTGGACCATTCCCCAGCTAAGCAGAAAGGTGATAAGAAACGGTATCAAGAGTCCCGTCCCTCTCTGGAACAAACATTCAATCCAAGACAAGGGTAAGTTCATTCTAAAGGCTTAGGAGATTTGTTTTTGAGTAGATGTCAGAGAAAGCCTATATTCCTTGCTAATTACTGGCTTTCTCTAGAAAAATCAGAAAGGGTATCAAAGGTTTCCAAATGCAAGCCTATTATTTTCTTATGAATGTAACCACCCTAATTATTTTGCTTTCCCGAGATCATATTAGAGTCTACCCTGGAACCTACATCTGCCTTTGAGGAGCCCTATCCCCAAATAAGGTGGCCCTGCCAGTCTCCATCTGGGAAGGAGGTGGAAGGAAGTGACAAAGGAAAGCGCAGGCATTTGGAGACAGAAGGAGCCCAGCAGGACTTTGAAAGAAAAATATTCAGTGCTGGAACATGCTTCTTACCAAGTAATGTTTTCACTCTCTAGAAAACATGCTTCTTTCCAGTCTGAAGGCCAGGCTGGCTGCCACTTCTCTCCGCCTGCCAACTAGTCATTAGCAAACAATGAGCAACCCAGTGACTACAAAAGAAAAAGGAAATAGGCATGCAGCAGCACAAGGTAATGACTGCTGAGTGTCTGGAGGATAAAGTATCCAAGTATCAGGCTGGAGGCTGCCCTCTTCATGGGGAGCTTCAGGATGAGGGAAAAAGGGAGGTGGGGCACAGCTGAGGAATACAGTCTGCGGCTGGCTAGGGAGGAGCCTCGAGATGGGTATACTTGGGGAGGCTTGGGACACATTCACCCAGGGATGTGTGCAGCTGAGGGCGTGCACAGCTGTGGTCATGGCTGGCACAGGATATTTCCTCTACCTAGCCCATGGTGGGAATGTTTGGAGTGAATAATTCAAGAAAGTCATTTCCAGAACACCCAAGTTGAAGGTCTTTGAGTGACAAGTATCAGAAACTCTCTTTAACTTGAGCAAAAACAGGAATTTATCAGAAAGAATCCTGAAGTGCCTCATAGAACCAAAGGACAGGAATTATGCAGGGGCTGGGCTGCTTGTGTATCTGGAGTCAGGAACTAAAAAGCAGTTAAGAAACCAGCCCTTACTGCCTGCCTCACCCCCATCCTCCAGCGCCACATGGTTTCTCGACTCTCTCCTTGCACTGTTCCACTTTTGTGTCCTCACTCTAGCATCTGCTTAATGTTTATATGATCAAACATGGTGGCCACAGCCCCAGAGTTTAATTGTCCTCAGTTCAAATATGGCATAAAACTGAATAAACTATTCATTCCAATTCCAAATTTCCAAGAGAGACCATTTGCTCCACACTATTTAGGTTCCTCTGTTTTCTAAGCAACCATGTGATATAATTTGGCTGTGTCCCCACCCAAATCTCACCTTGAATTGTAGCTCCCGTAATTCCCACATGTCGTGGGAGGGACCCAGTGGGAGATAACTGAATCATGGGAGTGGGTCTTTCCCGTGCTGTTCTCATGAGAGTGAATACATCTCATGAGCTCTGATGGTTTTGTAAAGGGGAGTTGCCCTGCACATGCTCTCTTGCCTGCTGCCATGTAAGATGTGACTTTGCTCCTCCTTGCCTTCCATCATGATTGTGAGGCCTCCTCATGTGGAACTGTGAGTCAACTCAACCTATTTCCTTTATAAATTACCCAGTCTCTGGTATGTCTTTATTAGCAGCGCGAGAACAGACTCATACACCATGATAAGGTAAACTCATGTGCTATGGCATGGCAATGGGGATTCATCCCTATGCATGGGAGACAGTTCTCAGAGAAGGTGTTATGGACTGGGAAGAAGGTCCAATAATAAACACACACACTCACATTGACTCTCAATGATCTTGAAGCACAGCTGAAATGGTTTTATGAAATGGCAAAATAAGGAGAAATTTTTTGGAAAAAAAAATTCTTAGAACATTTTCTGTTTCTGAAGACTTTCAAAGGTAGGGGGAGAGAAAAGGGTACCAAATCGTATTTTATGTATAGTAGAAAAGATAACTAATTTGGAAGCTAGAAGATCTGACAATTGCTCCTGGTTCCACCAAACTGGCTATGTGAACAAGTTATATAACCTCTTACCATAGTGTTCTCATTTACAAATAAGAAATAACAGTAGTTGCCCTGTGTATGTCATAGGGCTATTTTGTAAGAGGGGATGTACTGTACTGCAGTACCTACAGAGGCATGGGGATGAAGCAGAGTTTTGGTGTTCCATGGCTAATAATTACAGGTCACATAGAGATTCAGGGTTATATTACTCCTGGATGCAAGAAAGAAAAACAATGGAATTGCACCAATCACCATCAGCCTTACCTGCAGGACTCTGGAGGAATTCAGCTGTAAATTCTTAGCTAAAATCTGACAGAGCTAGAACACTCGCTGAGGAAGCACTTACAATTAATAATAAAAATGATGCAGAGAATATTCTCAGTGAGTGAAATAAGGAAGCACCCACTGTTGTTCACTGGGTCAGAAACGTGGCAGATCCAGGACTGGCTTGTTGGGCATGACCCTTTGTTCAGCAGAGTGATTCAGTGGGGCTTAAGTGATGTTTTACTAAATTAAGTCAAGGCTGAGTACTCCCCACCACCCACCAATGGATGTGGAGGGGCAGGGGCAGGGTGGCATCTGCCCAGCCCCTGGGAATTCAGCTGACCTGCTGGCTTGGTGTCCCCTTCCTCCCTCAATCTTCCTCATGCATCCCTTCTTGACATTGCACCCTCAAAGAAGATGACCTTCCCAGCAAAATGATTGTTCTTCTGGCAAGCATGTCTGCCCAAGTTTGTTGTGAAGATATAATAAGGTAATGGATATAAAAATGCTTTAAAAACTGAACTCACTACACAAATGTAAGTTATTATAATTATTATGATTAACAATGTCATAAAAGGAAACCATTAAATCAGTCACACAAATTGGCACATGTACTCAGTACCTAAAAGTAATCAAGCAGGGAGCCTAAAAGCAATTTGATAATCTTCTCCTTTTAAGTTCCTTTTCATTAAGCTTTTGCAGGTTTGTGCATCTATAAAATCAGAAGATATATTTGGCTTCAGGCTACTGCTTTCTCAGCTTAATGAAGGAATGTCTTCTTTGATTATTTCTTATCCCAAATCCTTGAAAGGGAAAACATATGTCCATCTCTGGGACACACACCATGCTATCTACCAACTGTTCGAGAGAAATGTCAAATCAGAGCTGGCTTCTGGTTTCTTCTTTGAGATTCTTTGCATCCATGATGGGGAATGGAATTGTTGAGGAGGTGAGAGACATAGAAAGAGATACAGAAAGATAAGGACAGACAGAGATACAGAAAGAGACAGGGACTGTTCTGTTTTCAACAGGCCATCTTAGCTACTCAACAGAGAGTAAATAAAGGAACAACAGCCATTCCTGCAGCTGAGTATGACTAGGGGTGCTGAAGTACAATTATATTATATTCAAAAATAAATACATAAGCAGCACCTAAGAACCACATTCAGGTAGCAGTACAACCTGAGGTTCTAGGTCAAAGATAGCCATCTTTTTGTAGCAAAAAGACTGAAATTCAAATTGGAGGACTACAGTACAGGACATGGAGCCTCTTCCAGTCAATTCACGTGGGGTAAAGGTTCAAAGTGGAAGAATTTGCTGTAATTTGTGTAGTAAGGTAAATCCTTTGACAACCCACAAAATTTATCTTTCATGAAATAAAAGATGATGGAAATGAATAGAGGAAAACATAATTTGTTACTGCCTATAAAGGGGATATAAAGACTAGAAAAATGAAAGGTGAACAGCATTCCACATGTTTGCCAGTTCCTAAGTGTAAATTTGCAAGTTCAAAGCTCAAGAGATCTTTTCCCTTCGATTTTGTGCTTATAATTAGGCTATGCTTATCGATAGAATTTTGTGTTTATCCTAAAATGATGGCCTTCCATTCAAGATCACTAGATTCATAGTCATGGGCATTTTAGACCTTACATCCAAAAAATATAACTCTTCTTAAGATAAACAGGGATGACAAATAAGTAGAAAAGCAATCTTATAGAATTCGCTTTTGAGAAATAAAAACTCCTAATTTACTATACTTTTTAATTAGGTTTTAAATATTAAGATCACTACTCTTTTCCTTAATTTCCTTATGGCGTATAAGGATAAAGCTCTTAGCTCGTTCTCAAAGTAGTAGTGGGAAAGTGATGGTGTTTGGAGTGAGAAGATCTGAGTTTAAGTTCTAGCTGTATCTAATTGTGTGTGACTTTGGAAAGTCACATAATGCTTCAAGGTATATGAAATGGGAGTGATGATACATTCCATACTTAATACGTCAAGGAGGGAATGTGTATAATAGCTAAGAATATGTATTTTAAAGAGTATAGAGTATGCAAAGGCCCACACAGGTACTAAGCCAATTTTAAAGATTACAGAATTACAATTAGAAGGAATCTTAATATTATCCTGTCCTAAAGTTTTTAAACATTTTAAGATGAAGATCTTGTCTTAGTTCAGCTGCTACAACAAAATAGCATAGACTGGGTGGATTATAAACAACAGAAATTTATTTCTCACAGTTCTGGAGCCTGGACATCTGAGATTAAGCTGTCAGCATGCTCAGATTCTGGTGAGAGCCCCCATTCAGTTTGCAAATTGCTGTCTTCTCATTGTATCTTTAAGTAGCAGAAAGAGAGTTAGAGAGCTCTCGGGGGTTCCTTTTATAGGGCACTAATCCTATTCATGATGACACCATCCTCATGACCTCTATACCTCTCAAAGCCCTTCCTCAAAATATCATCACATGGGAGGTTAGGATTTCAACATATAAATTTGGGAGGGACACAAACATTTCATCCATAACAGACCTTTTCTCCAAATGAAATCATATACAACAAATTAAAGCCAGAGCTGTTCTGTTAAAGCAAGGAAGGAGGAAGTACCACACCCCAGCTCGATATAACACAATGGGCCCCATCCCCACAGCCCACTTCTACCACTGGGAGAGGGGAAGATGTAGCTTAAGTACTATTCAGTGCACAAAATTTAAAACTCACTGATCTATTACAACCTCCTTAAATTACAGTTGAGGAAACTGAGGTCACAGAGTGGTTACAATCACCTCTACTATGAAATAGGTTTCTAAAACACCAATGAGCTTATTATACATGATTGATATATAGGGGAATTATGTCAGTAAAATATACAAGTCATGTTAGTTTATACATGGTTTTTCTTGGACAAGGAGAGCCAGACTATCAGGAGGAAATAAAAGGAAAAGCCCTCAACTCAGCTGCTGTACAGGGAGAAACCCTGTTAGCTGTTAAAAATGAATACATGAAAATAAGTACCTGCATGGTTCTCAGCTTGTAGTAGGATGTACTTTCTCCTATGCCCACCTTAATAGCAGCCCCACCAGCTCAGAGCTCCACTTCCATCTGTATCATCTCAGTGCCCCAATCAGCATTTCCATTCTATTGTTTCTGTGCTTTTTAAAATATCCCCTAAGCCTGGCGCTATGGCTCACACCTGTAATCCCAGCACTTTGGCAGGCTGAGGCAGGCAGATCACTTGAGCCCAGGAGTTCAAGACCAGCCTGGGCAACATGCCAAAACCCTGTCTCCACTAAAAATACAAAAATTAGCTGGGGGTGGTGGCGCATGCCTGTAGTCAGGAGGCTACTCGGGAGGATGAGATGGGAGGATCATTTGAGCCCAGGATGCAGAGGCTGCAGTAAACTGGGATGGCACCACTGTACTCCAGCCTGGGTGACAGAGTGAGACCCTGTCTCCAAAAAGATAATACATAAAATAAAATATCCCCAATGCAATCTCTAAACATGCTGAATTCCTGAGTTTTGCCAAGAATCTTCAAAGGTACTGTATTAGTCAGCTCAGGTCACCATAACAAAATACCACAGACTGGGGGGCTTAACCAACTGAAATTTATTTTCTCACACTTCTGGCAGCTGGAAGTGCAAGATCAAGGTGCCAGTAGGTTTGCCGTCTGGTGAGGCCTCCCTTCCTGGCTCACAGATGGCCCCCTTCTCCCTGTGTCCTCACATGACTTTTTCTCTGTGCCAACCTGTTGAGTGTTTCTTCCTCTTTTTTGTAAGAATATGAGTCCTATTATATTAAGGCCTAAGGCCCCACCGTTATGACCTTATTTAACTTTAATTACCTCCTTAAATGCTCCATCTCCAAATACAGTCACATTGACCGTTAGGACTTCAACGTATGAATGGGGGTGGGGAGGACAATTCATTCCATAACATTATCAATTATGTTTTTGTCAGTGTTCTTGTTAGTGTTGCATAGGTTTTAAGTGGTCTATCCCTCACCCTATTTTTCCCTTTGGGTTGCAAAGATATTTTTTAAATGCCCAGTGTTGCTAAATATATGGGGAAATGGTCACTTTCTCTTACACATCTGGCGATAGAATAAACCAAAATTGGCACAACCCTTATAGATGGAAACTTAATAATACATATCAAAAGCCTTACAATTTTGCATATCCCTTAACTCAAACACCCCATTTATCCTCAAGAAACTCCAAATTGTAATTTCCAGAATATTTGCCATAACATCAAATTTTGAAAAATTGGAAGTACTCAACCAGGCATGGTGACTCACACCTGTAATCCCAACATTTTGGGTGGCCACGGCAGATCACTTGAGCCCAGGAGTTTGAGACCAGCCTGAGCAACATGCCAAAACCCAGTCTCTACAATACAAAAATTAGCCAGGCATGGTGGCACATACCTGTAGTCCCAGCTACTCGGAGGCTGAGGTGGGAGGATCCTTTGAGCTCGGGAGGTCAAGGCTGCAGTGAGCTGTGATCGCTGCCATTGAACTCCAGCCTGAGCGACAGAGGAAGACTCTGTCTCAAAAATAAATAAATAATAAATAATTTAAACATTGGAAGTACTCTAAATGTTTAACGACAAAGGTACTGGTACATCACATGATAAGATTCTATAAAAATATTAATGTAGAATGTGGAACATGGAAACATATTTAATATAGTAAATGAATAAAAATTATGTAAAAGATAGCCCATATGACCTTGTTTTTACTAAAATATTGTAAGTTATAAACAGAAGAAACATTTTTTAAAATTACCTCTAGGTGGTAAGATTAAGGTTGATATTTATTTTATTTTTCTCTTTACTTTTATTTCCCACAATGAACAAGCATCACGTTTGTAAAAAGTGTATATGTGTGCATGTGTGTGTTTTCATGTGTGTGCGTGTGTATGTGTGCATGTGCGTGTGAGTGTGTTTATCTTTAAACCGCAGGAGAAATCAAAGCTGTAAGGGAAATTAGAACCTTAATCTAAAGTGATCAGATGCATCCATCACCCATTTCTTAGAATCCTCTGCATTATATGAATTCCCTGAAGAATCTTTTCCTTCTTTCAGATGAGAAAGCAACAAAGAGATTACTACGACAATAAAAATCTGTTTCTAGACAAAGAGTCTTTTGTTAAACAACCAATCCACTCTGCCTTCCCTGACTCTCCACCCCACTCCCTACCAAAAATAAGGAAAGAAAGAACCAACAATACAGCTTAACAGTAACACTTGCCTAACAATATTTTACACTGTTTTCCATAAGTTTACAAACTTGGGAGACCGAGGAACATCCTTGGGACTGTTCTGAATGGTGATTTTAAAAATCAGCATTGTTCTTGTCAAGTAAAGATAGCCTTTCCTTGGGAGACTTGAACAGTTCCTTCACAGTGGTTCAAGTCTCCGAGACAAATATGTATCTAGGCCTGTGGTGGAGAGTATTTGCCAGTGAGAATATCAATGCCCAGGTACACACGCAGTATGTGTTTTGCTGCAAATGTTTTCCCAGTAAACAATAATGCAGCCATCAAAAGAAAGGAATGCTAATCTTAAATCAATTAAATTCAAACAAAAATGCTTCCTTTGGGTATAGTTGCTTTTTGGTAAGCATACTAATTTTGGAGACTTGCATTATTTACTTACAAATTGTTTTTGAAGTTATCTGTGGTATTGAGAGGTTGAAGTCAACTGGTCTCTCCTATAGCTCCTTCCCAGGCCATGAATTATTGAGGGCAAAATTTAATGGGGCCATTATTGTTCAACATTTGCTCTAGTTGATATGCATTCATATTCATTTACTGCTGCATAATAAAGCATTCTTATGTAATTTTTATTAATTTTTATTGACATAAAAGGGGATGCCCAGGAATCAGAAACAGGTGGTTCTGTGGGTCCCCCTTCCAGTTCATATTAGGGCCACCAGACAGAAGGAAATATATCAAGATCAGCTGCTGACCAGGCTATTGGTCTGGGCAGGAGAATGGACTCCGGACTCTGAGTGCTGTCCAAAAGGAGGAATATTCAGCATGACTTCATCAAAGATGCGCCTCTGACCCTGAGCAGCCTCAGTCCCTAGAGCCACATGGGAAGGGAGGGATAGCAGAGCCTGAGTCCCTGGCAACCCAGCTCAGTCAAAGGGAGGATCTGTAGCCTACAGAGGAGGGAAGTGTTGGATTACTTCCAAGAAAAGAAAAATCTCGCACAGATGACAGCTATAACCTGGCATCTTAAACAAACAGATCCAAGTGGTACATGGATCCCTGCAAACAGCTGCTCGCCTGCCAATGCTTGAGTCACTTAACATCCAGTATCATTGTTTTAGATTTGCTGTCATTGTTTTTTTTGTTGTCTGGGGTGAGTTATTGGACTGAAAACAATTTGGATATTGTCTCCCTCCATGGGGTTCTGCAGCCAAAAAGAGATTAATGAAAAGCAGGAGTTTGGGGCAAGTGATTCCGACATATCCTTTCTCAGAGCAATACAAATGACAAGGCTGTTACTTGGGGAAACAACAGGCCACAAGAGTGATTTCACTGTCTCTGATGGGGAAGGGTGGGCATAAACATTAAGCACAGTTCATGACATTGGGGAATGACTGATGATAGAATGTTACAGTCTTGTTTCCTCACAAGGATTTCTCAATGTTTGTAGAAGCTGTGTTTTCATACAGCCTAGGAGGCATCAAAGCAACTTAGTAGTAGTCCTTGACATTGACAGAGTATTTTAAATGTTACCAAACACTTCAACACACATTATCATAAGTGTGCCCCAAACTTACACACTAGATAGGAGGGCAAGTACTTCTATTTTACTAATGATAATAAGAAGTATAGAAAAGTAAAGGACTTGCCCCAGTTTACCCAGCCAGGAATGTTACTTCCAATACACACCATGCCCACTCATAGAATGGAAGGCAGGACGAACGTCCATTTATTTATTTTTAACCGACTATTTAATGAGCACGTTATACCTTAGTTTCCTTTTCTATACAATGGGATTATTAATAATAATGCAACAACAAGTTATTGTTTAAAAGTAAGGGTTGCATGACTGAAACCTGGCAACATTTTGTAAAGCCTATCAGGATACATTAGAAGCTGTAGGTAATGCTTTAGCCTGTTTTGTAAAGACTCACATGAATCCAACAAGAACAGCAATCACCAACTGAAAATTGACCCCCCCCCCCCCCCCACACACACACACACATAGACACTCAATTTTCAGCCACAGTCTTAATTTGAAGAGCTTCAACTTCATTTTAAGGGAAGAGAAGTCTCATCTTAATAATCCTGGATTTATCTTTGTAAACATTTTTGTAAACCTTGGTAAAAATTATTTCCAAATAGCAATACTAACTTACATTTGTGGATTGCATTAGCATTAATCATGTGCTTTTATTTTTTACTTTTTAAAACTTTTATTTCAGGTTGAGGGGCAAATGTGCAGGTTTGTCATACAGGTAAACTCATATCATGGGGGTTTATTGTACAGATAATTTCATCACCCAAGTACTAAGCCTAGTACCCAATAGTTAATTTTTCTGATCCTCTCCCTCTTCCCACTCTCCACCCACAGGTAGGTCTCAGTGTCTGTTGTTCCACCTTTTGTGTCCATGTGTTCTCATCATTTAGCTCCCACTTATAAATGAGAACATGCGATATTTTGTTTTCTGTTCCTGTGTTAGCTTGCTAAAGATAATGGCCTCCAGCTCCATCTGTGTTCCTGCAAAGAACATGATCTCATTCTTCTTATGGATGCATAGTATTCCATGATGTATATGTACCACATTGTATTAGTCTGTTTCCATGCTGCTGATAAAGACTTACCCGAGACTGGGCAATTTACAAAAGAAAGAGGTTTAATTGGACTCACAGTTCCATGTGGCTGGGGAGACCTCATAATCATGGCAGAAGGCAAGGAGAAGCAAGTCATATCTTACATGGAGGGCAGCAGGCAAAGAGAGCTTGTGCAGGGAAACTCCTTTTATAATACCATCAGATCTCATGCAACTTATTCATTATCACGAGAACAGCATGTGAAAGACCCGCCCCATAATTCAATCATCTCCCACCGGGTCCCTCCCGCAACACATGGGAATTATGGGAGCTACAAGATGAAATTCGGGTGGGGACACAGAGCCAAACCATATCACACATTATCTCTATTCAGTCTACCATTGATGGGCATTTAGGTTGATTCCATATCTTGGCTATTGTGAATAGTGCTGCAATGAACATGTGCATGCATGTGTCTTTATGACAGAACAGTTTATATTCTTTTGGGTATATATCCAGTAATGGAATTGCTGGGTGGAATGTTTTTAGCTCTTTGAGGAATTGCCACACTGCTTTCCACAATAGCTGAGCTAATTTACACTCCCACCAACAGTGTATAAGCATTCCATTTTCTCTGAAATCTCACCAGCATCTGTTATTTTTTGACTTTGTATTAATAGCCATTCTGACTGGTGTGAGATGGCATCTCATTGTAGTTTTGATTTGTATTTCTCTATTGATCAGTGATACTGAGCTTTTTATCACATGCTTGTTGGCCACATGTATGTCTTCTTTTGAAAAGTGCCTGTTCATGTCTTTTGCCCATTTTTTAATGGGGTTGTTTGTTTTTTTCTTGTAAATTTGCTTTAATGTACATGATTTAACTTGATCCTTATCCTACCTTGAAGGTAGTTAGAGATGAACATTCTTACTACCTGCCACTAGAGCCCTATTGGAAAAGTGAGCACACTAAGGCTAAGGGAGATAAGTATGGCACTTGGAACACACATTACTCTTTTGGTTGGCAAACCTGGGTGGGCAACTAGCAGGCCCACCGCTTGCTGGTGTAAAGGTCTTGGAGGAAATTTCTGATTATCTCTGAGCCTCCAAGGAAAAATTAGTGGACTTACAAATGGGGCCAGTTGCGTACCTGCTGTCTCTCAGCCCTGCATCCACCCTTATCTATTCTGTTGCTGTATGGGCCTGGAGCTAGAAACCTACATCCCTTATTTCCCAGGCTCCCTGGCCTCTTACTTTCTATAAGTCTGCAATATTAGAGGGAGGGAGCAGGGGTGAAGATGTCCATCTTTCTTGCCCTGGCTGCAGGTTTGGAGGTGACTGCCTCCCTTCTGTGATTCTGACTCCTGCAGTGGGCTCCTCTCCATGGATCCAGCCCAGCAGCAAGTAATGTCCCTGGATTCTAGTAAATTTACCTCCTCCCTTCTCTTCCCCAACCCTGGAAGTGAGACTGATTCCTGAAGTAACTAATTTTCTGGGTGTGACCTCTTCTTTTTAATTGCTCTCCCAGCACCTAATCCTTCCACTTGCTCTTATAGCCCATCCAAAACATGTGTAACCAATTTCTTGCATTAAACTTCTTCAGTGTGAAATATCTAGAGTCAGCTCAGTTTTTCTAAATGCACCCTGACAAATACACAGAAGAAGCTAACACAAGAACTGCCACAGAGTTAGTGTGTAAACATCTAAATAATTCCAAATAAAAGGTTTTGCCATGTTGTATTGAGAACCAAAAGTATAATTCACTCTCCCATTGCCCTACCATTGGAGCTTTGTGTTAGGTGTGATCACCATGTGAGAATTGTCTTCAATCACAAAATGCTTCCAAATATCAAGAAGTTTAAGATTTTTATTAATGATGCATGTACCGATTTAATGTAATTTCCAAAACAAGGATGACAAAAATACTGACCTACCTCATAGAGCTGGTTGGAACAACAAATTAGCTCTCATAAAAACACTTCAACCACCTAAAGTACCTCATAAAAGTTTATTATGAGTAGTAATACTAACAGTTAAACATATAATGATAGGCATCAAATGGGCACGCTCCACAAGCTGATGGTGTTTTAAATTCTCTTTACGATCTCACACTTGTTTAGCAGTTCATATGTTGAAAGCTCTTCACAGCTGTAAATTAGTTAATCCCCATGACACTCACTCCTGCAAGATAGGTCAGTATTATTTTCTATTTCTATGGCAACAAATCCTATGTAAATGCCTAATGATAGAAGGTGGAGATGAGAAACAGGAAAGGTTAAGTGACTTGTTCAAGGCCACACATCAAGTAGGTGGCAGGGTTGACTTTAAAATACAGAAGTGCTGACCCCAAAAGTCACTCAAGTCCACCTGGTCAACACAGAGGGGATCATTGACATTCATTTGCTTAGAAATTCATTCAAACAGAAAATATTAATATGGTCTACATCTGGGAACAAAATATGAACAATTATAATTTGTAGCTGTATAGTTAAGTCCACTGGTGAGAGGCAGTAGTAGGCAGGGTAGCATGAATTCTGAAGACATACTTCATATTCATATCCCAGCCAGCCTCTGCCACATACTTGCTGTGCAAACTTGGGCAAGTTATTTCACTTCTCTGAACCTGTTTCAGATCCTAATAATGGTAAAATGAAGCTAATAACAGGATCATCCTTATATGCTATGGGAAGATTTAATGTAAAGCACTTAGAGCACAGCCAAGTAGATAATAAGCATGCAATAAGTGTCAGCTATTATTAGATAGGTAGATCATATTACAGAAGAAATATTGATTGCTTTCCAACAATGTATCAAGTACAGAGATGCCTAAGACACAATCCCTGTCCTCAAAGAGCTTTCAGTACAATAGGTTTGTGAAATGTATAACTTGCCACAGCATATAAGGGGGATGAGTGACATGGGACTGTGAGTGTTAAAACAAGACCACAAGTTTCCAAGGCAGATTATGTGACTCCTCGATTCTCTGATAGTGTGAATTTGGTGTGCTCCTGCCTTCACCTGTCCCTTGGTTTCTGTTTCCATTTAATCAATTTTATTTACATTTTTGTAAAGAGAAAGAACATAATAGTCACTAAAAGATTCCACCTGCTAGAGAGTATCACAGGTGCTCAGAGGGAAGCAGTAATTTCTGGATGAAGTGTTTAGGCAAGAGATGGTGCTTGAATTTCATCTTAAAAGATAAGTCTGATTTTAAAACCCCAAGAGAGCTGTGAGAGGGTGAGTGTAGGGAGTGGATGGGTGGACAGAAATGATGGGATACCAGAGTTTGAAGAAGGAAGAATGGAAAGATGTTTATTGAACAGCTACTATGATCCAGCAACATGTTAGCCCCTTAAATTACCTAAACAAAGGTCACATAACTGGTAAGTGGCTGATATGGTTTGGCTGTGTCCCAACCCAATTCATCTTGAATTGTAGCTCCCTCAATTCCCACATGTTGTGGGAGGGAACCAGTGGGAGGTAATTGAATCATGTGGGTGGGTCTTTCCCATGTTATTCTCATAATAGTGAATAAATTTCACAAAATCTGATGGTTTTATAAAGGGAAGTATCCCCACACAAATTATCTTCTCTTGTCTGCTGCCACATGAGATGTGGCTTTCACCTTCTGCCATGATTGTGAGGCCTCCCCAGCCACATGGAACTGTGAGTCCATTAAACCTTTTACTCTTGTAAATTGCCCAATCTTGGGTATGTCTTTATCAGCAATGTGAAAACAGACTATTACAGTAAATGAGTACCAGTAGAGTGGGGCACTGCTGAAAAGATACCCGAAAATGTGGAAGCGACTTTGGAACTGGGTAAAAGGCAGAGATTGAAACAGTTTGGAGGGCTCAGAAGGAGACAGGAAAATGTGGGAAAGTTTGGAATTCCCTAGAGACTGTTGAATGGCTTTGACCAAAATGCTCATAATGATATAAACAATGAAATCCAGGCTGAGGTTGTCTCAGATGGAGATGAGAAACCTGTTAAGAACTGGAGCAAAGGTGACTCTTGTTATGTTTTAGCAAAGAACTGGCGGCATTTTGCCCCCACCCTAAAGATTTGTGGAACTTTGAACTTGAGAGACATGATTTAGGGGATCTGGTGGGAGAAATTTCTAAGCAGCAAAGTATTCAAGAGGTGACTTGGGTGCTGTTAAAGGCATTCCATTTTAAAAGGGAAACAGAGCATAAAAGTTCAGAAAATTTGCAGCCTGACAATGCTATAGAAAAGAAAATCCCATTTTCTGAGGAGAAATTAAAGCCAGCTGCAGAAAATTTGCTTAAGTAATGTGGAGCCAAATGTTAATCATCAAGACAATAGGGAAAATGTCTCCAGGGCATGACAGAGACCTTTGTGGCAGCCCCTCCCATCACAGGCCCAGAAGCCTAGGAGGAAAAAATGGTTTCGTGGGCCAGGTCCAGGGTCCCCCTGCTGTGTGCAGCCTAGGGACTTGGTGCCCTGCATCCCAGCCACTCTTGCCATGGCTAAAAGGGGCCAAGGTACAGCTCAGGCCATTGCTTCAGAAGGTGCAAGTCCCAAGCCTTGGCAGCTTCCATCTGGTGTTGAGCCTGTGGGTACACAGAAGTCAAGAATTGAAGTTTGGGAACCTCTGCCTAGATTTCAGAGGATGTATGGAAACACCTGGATGCCCAGGCAGAAGTTTGCTGTAGGAGCAGGGCCCTCATAGAGAACCTCTGCTAGAGCAATGCAGAAGGGAAATGTGGGGTTGGGAGCATCCAGACAGAGTTCCTGCTGGGGCACCATCTAGTGGAGCTGTGAGAAGAGGGCCACCATCCTCCAGACCCTAGAATGGTAGATGCACCAACAGCTTTCACCAGACGCCTGGAAAAGCTGCAGACACTCAATGCCAGCCTGTGAAAGCAGCCGGGAGGGAGGCTGTACCCTGCAAAGCCACAGGGGCAGAGCTGCCCAAGACCATGGAAACCCATCTCTTGCATCAGCGTGACCTGGATGTGAGACCTGGAGTCAAAGGAGATCATTTTGGAGCTTTAAGATTTGACTGCCCCACTGGATTTTGGACTTGCATGGGGCCTTTAGCCCCTTTGTTTTGGCCAGTTTCTCCCATTTGGAATGGGTGTATTCATCCAATGCCAGTATCCTCATTTTATCTAGGAAGTAGCTAACTTGTTTTTTATTTTACTGGCTCATAGGTGGAAGGGACGTGCCTTGTCTCAAATAAGACTTTGGACTGTGGACTTTTGAGTTAATGCTGAAATGAGTTAAGACTTTGGAGGACTGTTGGGAAGTCATGATTTGTTTTGAAATGTGAGGACATGGGATGTGGGAAGGGCCAGGGGTGGAATGATATGGTTTGGCTGTGTCCCCACCCAAATCTCATCTTGAGTTGTAGCTCCCACAATTTCCAAGTGTTGTGGGAGCGAACCGGTGGGAGGTAATTGAATCATGGGGGTGGGTCTTTCCCATGCTAATCTCATGATAGTAAGTCTCACAGGATCTGATGGTTTTATAAAGGGGAGCTTCCCCACACAAGTTCTCTTCTCTTGTCTGCTGCCATGTGAGATGTGCCTTTCACCTTCCACCATGATTTTGAGGCCTCCCCAGCCACGTGGAACTGTGAGTCCATTAAAACTCTTCCTTTTGTAAATTGCCTAGTCTTGGGTATGTCTTTATCAGCAACATGAAAATGGACTAATCCAGTGGCTCAGCTAGGACTCAAATCGATTCACCTATTCAATCTTTGAGGCCACAGAAAAAAACACTGACATTTTTTATTTTATTTTATTTTATTTTGGAGATGGAGTCTCGCTCTGTCGCCCAGGGTGGAGTGCAGTGGCACGATCTCAGCTCACTGCAACCTCTGCCTCCCGGGTTCAAGCAACTTTCCTGCCTCAGCCTCCCAAGTAGCTGGGACTACAGGCACACACCACCATGCCCAGCTAAGTTTTTTGTATTTTAGTAGAGACAGGGTTTCGCCATGTTGCCCAGGCTATTCTCGGATTCCTGAACTCAGGCAATCCACCCGCCTCAGCCTCTCGAAGTGCTGGGATTACAGGCATGAGCCACCGCACCCAGCAACATTGATAATTTTTTATGAGGGGAGAAAGTGACACGAAGTGGAACTTTTGGAAGATTACTCTGGGCATAGTATTTAGACAGAATTGAATAAACAGTCTGGGAAAAGGCAGATAAGGCAGTTTACAGTATGTAAGAGAGATGAAAACTATAATAGAATCATGATATAAGACAGGAAGGGAAAGAATGGGTGGGGGGGCTGCTCAGTGATTCTCAGCTCTAGCTGTATAACAGCATCACCTGGAGATATTTGAAAAACCACTAATGCTTAAGCTCATTGACTATTGTATATACCAGAGGTGGGAGGTAAAGTACGATTTAAAACTTAACTAAAAAAAAAAAAACTAAATAGAAAAAGTCAAATGAAAACCAGGGGACTTTCTACACATGTATACCAGAACTTAAAGTATAATAATAAAAAAGGGGGGACTAACAACAGTTTTTTTTAGAAACTAGGTCTCACTCTGTTGCTCAGGCTGGAGTGCAATGAGACAATCATAGTTCACTGCAGCCTTGATCTTCTGGACTCAAGTGATCCTCTCACTTCAGCCACTGAAGTGGCTGGGATTACAGGGATGCATCACCAAGCCTGGTAAACTTTTTATTTTTTGTAGAGATGGGATCTTACTATGTTGCCCAGACTGGTCTCAAAGCCTTTGGGATCAAGTGGTCCTCCCACCTTAGCATCCCAAAGTGTTGGGATTACAGGTGTGAGCCATTGTGCCCAACCCATTTTACTTTTTATATCTATGAATTTGACTACTTTAGATACCTCATATAAGTGGAATTATACAGTATTTGTCTATTTATAGCTGGTTTATTTCACTTCACATAGTGTCCTCAAAGTTCATCATGTTGTAGCTTTTTTTAAGGCTGCAGAGAATTCCATTGTATATATATATATATATATACACCACATTTTGTTTATTGATTCATACACTGATGGATATTTGGGTTGTTTCCACCTCTTGGCTATTTTCAAAAGTGCTTCTATGAACATGAATGTACAAATATGTCTTTAAGACCCTGCTTTCAATCCTTCTGGGTATACACCCAGAGTTAGGATTGCTAGTAGTTCTATTTTCAATTTTTTGAGTAACTACCATACTGTTTTCCATAGCAGTTGCATCATTTTACAATCTGATCAACAGTGCACAAGGGTTGCAACTTCTCCATATTCTCACCACTTGTTATTTTTTGTTTTATGTAGCCACTCTAATGAGTGTGACTAAGGACATTTTTTAAAGATGTAAGTACAAAGATAATCTCTAAAACAAAAATATACATCATACTGAATATTAAAGTAATTTAAAAATCTAAAATGAATGAAAACAAATTGTGTAGGTAAACACAGCTAATGTAACATAACAAACATAAGAATAATGTCACAAGCTCTTTAGGGTATCACTTTGCCAGCCAGAAACCTCTGTGGCTGGTGGTGCCTCTACTTGGGTTTTGCTTGTGCCCACTGGGCTCATTCCCCCAACTCAACCTGGCAGGCTGTGCTTGGTTCCTACTACCAACCCAGATGCCACATCTGCCAAGGGTGAGCCAGTTGAGAAGCAGCAAAGGGTGTGGGAGCGAGTGAGCAAGCACGGGATCTGACCACTGCGCACAGCCAGGCATGCTGGTTGCTGTGATGGGGTGGACAGCTTCAGGCACCAGCACAGGTGCTGGCTCTGTGCGAGGCTGCAGCTGGACCAGATGTACCACACATGGCTTCTGCTGTGTGCACCCACGCCTGGAAAAGGGGAACTCAGTGGCACCTGGAAGCCTGGAGATGCCAGGAACCACAGAGCCCCAAAGAGGGTGTCACAGCTCTGGCTCAGGGATGCCCTAGGTCCGGGCTTCCCAAAGGGCCATAGCTCTTCTCTTCTTGTCATCCACAACATGGTGAGCAGGGGGCATGTTTCAGCCCTGTTTCCGTTACAGCTTTCAGTCCCACCATTCGGCAGGTCACAAGTTCTTATCCCACATCCAGGAAGAATGAGGTACAATTGGAGGGTGAGCAAAGCAGAGAGAAGCTTCACTGAGTGACAGAACAGCTCTCAGGAGACCCAAAGAGGGTAGCTCCTTTCCACAGGCAGATCACCCTGACAAGTGTCCAGCTCTCAGCAGAGAGGAGACCCACAGTGGATAGCTACTTTCTGCAGGCAGATCATCCTGAAGAGTCAAGGAGATGAGAAGTGGGTACCTCCTTGCCACAGCTGGTAGTCCAATGTTTGTGTGAGTCTGGCTGAGTCTGGGGTTTTTATGGGCTCAGAAGGGAGAAAGTGCATGCTTATTCGTCCATCAGTGGCCATATGCGGGCCCAGAAAAAGCACCATAAGTTCTCATTCCAGGTGCAGACTCTACCAGGAACTGGCAGCCCAGCCCCGAGGCTTCAGGTCAGCCCTGGCTTGAAGGTGGGGTTTCACTGGGTACCCACCCCTTTCCACCCAGGAACCTGTCTGCACCCACCATCAACATGCCATCCACAGCACCAAGGCTATTTGCACCAAGGGGTGCCTGCAGGCCCACACTGAGCTGCCTTCAGCACCCCTGACCCCATGCTTGTTGGTGTCCAAAGTCTGGAGGGGGCCAAGGCGGTGGCAGCTGGATTGTGTGTCAGTGCTGCCCTGAGCATGTGCACACCTGGCCAGGTTGTGACAGCACCCAGGCTCAGCCACAGCTTTGCTCCAAAATTAGAGTTGGCACTGGGAGTGGGGAGAGGCCAGGGAGCAGGAGCATGCACTTCTGAGCTTGCAGGGGCAGAGGGTGCTTCCCAGACCCCTGAAAGCACAGGGATGCCCGAGTTCAGAGCCACAGCTGGGCAGCTCTGCTGCACCCAGGAGCACAGGGTTTCCGCCCTGCCAACTTGGTAGGGGGCAGGGATCCCACCTGTTCCTAGCCCCTGCTGGCTCCATAGAGCACACAGTCCTGGCCATGCCTCCCCTGCTGCAGCTGGCGTCTTCGCAGCAGCCATTCCAGATGGGCCGCCACTGCCATCAATAATAACATAAAATAATGTGACAGAGTTAAAACTGACACATCATCTTTGTCAATAAATATGCATAGACTTAACTCACTTGCTAAAAGATTTTCTATTTGGCTCACAAACAAGACTCAACTATATGCTTTAAACCAGAAACACAATTAATACAAAGTAATTTAGAAAGACTAAAAGCAAAGGAATAGGCAAAGATTTTTCCAGACAAATGGAAGCAATAAAAAAGCATGGATTGCAATCCTGATACCATCCCATATATCCCTGGTGGGAAAGCAAACTGTATTGTATCTATGTTAAATTCCTGATTTTTGCCATGGTATTGTAGTTATGAAAGAGGATGTTCTTATTCTCAGGAAGTACAAACTGAAGAATATTTAGTAGTGATAGATTCTCAAGGGGTTTAGAAAAAATTGAGAGTTATTGAGAATGATACAGTAAATGGTGCAAAATGTAAACAATTGGTGAATCAAGTGTCTGTGTGAGTTATTTGTACCTTTCTTGCAACTTTTCAGTAAGTTTGAATTTTTATCAAAACAAAAAGTTTTTTTTTTAAAAAAAAAAAAAAAGCCCAGATCTAACTTCCCGGAAATTCTAACTCTCAGCCTCAAAATGGAGCCAAGATCTATGGTATTTTTTAAAGCTCTACAGGTGATTGTAATATGCAACAAGTTGAGAGCCACTGGACTAGTCAGTCGATGGGACTTAGTTACTGATTGAATGTGTGTGGCCCAGAAAGGAAGACACCAAGGAAGACTGTGGAAGGCTAGAAAATGGCCCTCAAAGATATCCAGGTCCTTCTCCCTGGAGCCTGTGAATGCTACTCCATGACAAAAAGGACTTCGCAGCTGCGATAGTTAAGGATCCTTGAGATGGGGAGATTATCCCTGATTATCCAGGTAGTGTCCTTATAAAAGGAAGGCAGAGGGAAATTCTGACCACAGAAGAGGAAGTAGGAGATGTGACAATGGAGGCAAGAGGCTGGAATGATGCAACCATGAGCCAAAGAATACTGGCACCTGCCAGAAACTGGAAGAAGCCAGACACAGATTCTCTCTTGGAGGCTTTAGAAGAAACTAGCCCTTGACTTTACACCTTAATTGTAGTCCTGTAAAACTCATTTCTGACTTTTGGCCTCTAGAGCAGAAAATAAATTTGTGTTGTTTAAAGTCACTAAGTGTACAGTAATTTGTTACCACAGCAATAGAAAACTAATACAGACTTAAATGTTTTAGAGATAAAGAGGAAAAAGTGGGGTTCAAAACTGAAGAGAAGTGTGACTTTTCTTATTCATGAGGGTAAGTTTTGTTCCATTCATTTTCCAAACCCTGGAAAAGAACAGGAAAGTGGGTAATTGTCTTAGTCACTTAAGGATGCTACAACAAAGTGCCATAGACTGAGTGACTTATAAATAACACAAATTTATTTTCTGTTCTGGAGAATGTCACAGCTCTGGAGGATGGAAGTCCGAGATCAGAGTACCATCATGACTGGGTTCTGATAAAGGCTCTCTTCTGGGTTGCAGATCACCTGTTTCTCATTGTATCCTTACATGGCAGAAAGAGAAGAAGAAAGCTCTCTGAAGTCTCTTTTATAAGAGCACCAATCCCATAGATGAGGGCTCCACCCTCATGGCCTATGTCACTCCCAAAGGCTTCATTTTCTAATACTATCACTTTGAGGGTTAGGATTTCAACATATGAAATTTGGAGGGGGACACAATCATTCAATCTATTGCATTGACAGATGAGAGATTTCAACAAATTTCTGGAAAATAGAAAGTATGGAAGCCTGCTGATAGATGAAACAGAAACATGAAACCAACAGCCCAAAACATCTGATTGAGGGGGTTGCAGAGAAGGTGGAACCTGATCTGCTCAAGTAGCCTTTGTAGGGCTCCAAGCTTAGAGCAGTCACGTAAGACAGGGGGAATATTGGAAGTCAGAGGCTATCAGAAGGCTTCTTAGAATGTCTATACACAAAACATTTGTATTAGGGAATGCCATATCCCTTTCCTTTCCCATCTTGCTACAGGCAGCCCAGCTTTTATCTCCAAAAAAATTCAGGAAAGCTCCTATTTAAGGAAATTGAACAAACTATTGACTGGAAGAAGCAATGGTTCTGTGTTGGATGTTTTGCTCAGAAGCGTCTCTCTCACTGTGACCTGAGGAGGGGCTCCCAGCCTGTTCATCCCAGAGCTAAGCCTGACAGTGATATACCCCAGTATATTTATGCATGGCCATCAGGCGCAAGATCTTTCTCCAGAGGACAGAGGAAATCCATATTAGCTTCTTAATCTTTTACTTTTAAATATAAATGAGCAATATAAGTCCATTAAAACCGAGGGAGGAAGGCAACAGAAACAATAATCAAAAGATGTTTGAGAAATGTGCGGTTCAGTCGTGAAACATTCTATGACTTTAAGCAATTGTTGCAAAGTAAGGCAAGAGAAACCTTTTGACCTTGATGCTACAACAATTCTATCTTGAGTAACCCAGAGGACATTTCATTAGGCTATTACAGAAGAAAACACAATCCTAACATACAACTTGGCTCTGCAGTGAACAATATTCACGTAGGTATGATAATGTAAATGCTGATTTTTGGTTTTCAATCCATAGCAAAAACTCATGAGAGTTAATTATGGTTTCAGAACAAATGTAAATGTTAACCATCTTGACAATGTAAAAGTTAGACAAGGCTGAGATGAGGTGGGAATTTGCAGGGGAGGCGTGGCATAGAGATATTCAGTAAAGAGGAAAAAATAGAGATATAAATATGGTGCCTAATATTGCAATGTTATCCAATAAAATCACTCAAAAATAACAATGTAAAGGTCAAATACTGCAAAGATGGAAAGGTGGGGTGTAATATAAATGAGTTAAGTCCTCATCTTTCATGACCGAGAGTCAACATATATTGTCAAAATTTTTTTAAAAATCAAGAAATGGAAGTCATTATTTAGAAGTTTGGACGTAATCATTAGAAGGCTTGAACATAAAAGAGGTTGCTTCTGGAGAATGGGACTGCAATGGAGAAAGAAGGATTGAAAGATTGTTTCTTTTCATTATAAATTCTTCTGTTCTCTGTGATTTTCTTTTTTACCAAATGCATATATTTCTCTAATAAACATAAGTTTTCAAAATGATAAAGTATTAAGCACATAGATCTTTGATTATTGGCAGTCTAGAGTTATACTCCAGATGATTCTGTGTCTTACATAACTTTAGGATCATTATTTAAGGACTGATCATAGTAATAGACTATTATATGCATAGAAGGACTGATCATAGTAATAGACTATTATATGCATAGACTCTGTAGTTAATCACGGTTAATAAAGAAGGCATAGGAAAGAAAGAGGAGGTGGACGGGAAAAAATAACAGGGGAGTCAAGATAGAAAAGGTATTGAGAGAATCAAGTTGCTGAGGTCAGAGTTAGAGTGGAGCTGGTGAGTCGTCTAGGTGGAGATTCCAACAGGTGGTAGAGATTTGGGCAGTCAAAGCCCAGAGGTAATGGTTTGGGGCCTCATTCACATAGACAGGAAACTCTTAAAGTGATGGCAGCCACAGGCTCTGCTCTAGTCCCCTTTGACTTTTTCCCCAAAGACACTTCCTCCTGGTGCTCTGTAGCACTGCCCACCCACCTCCACACACACAGATATCACCTGTCTCTAAAAGCCCTACCAAAGTGCAAGGCCTTCCCAAGTCCCAGCTGCTTGAAGCCTTTTTAGCAATCCCAGTCCTTACCCATCACCCCTTTGCTGTACTTCATCGGGCTCAACATTTCCACACTTGACCCCAGTTGGTACCATGTGCTTTACTAGATGTCTGAGGGTCCTAATCCCTTCTCCCCAACTAGATCATGAACTTTTTTTACAGGAAGATGCTCTGACATCTGACTTTTGTCTCTCCTAGAGAACTGAGCATGGTGTTGGACTTCAAATAAGCAATTACACTTCCAGTTGTAGCACAAAGTAAGGCATGAAGTTCTCATTTTAGCTGAAACAAGCTTCCCTACCTTGGAGCAAACTGTGATGCGAGGAACTTAGCACACTTCATTTGTCTGGTTTGTAACCCAGTAGTGACTGACAGAACCCCACACAATGCCAGTCACCCTTTATTCTCAGAGGCAGGCAGTCTGGAGTGACAAGGGTTGGAGGTCTGAGGGAGAAAAAGCAAAGTGTCCTGGCTGCCTCTTGTTCCAGCAGATACTACCCCTCCTGAAGAGCAGATGCATCCAGATGGCAGGCGCAAGTTCATAATGCACAGGTCAGAGGCGGGCAGTCTACCCAACATAGCCTCTGTCACTAAAAGAACAGGGATCCTGTGGGAAGTACACATACAGGACTTGACTGAACATTCCCTAGAGAGAGGAAGACAGTTTGCCATCCCCCACTGTCCATGCTTCGACCATTCTTCCCCCATACTCTCTAGATAGATGCTGCTGCCTGAAATATGAGTTCTTCCAATTATTTTAGTATCTATGCCAAGGTCACTTTCTATTACTCATTTTAGCAAACTTCTTTAAAGCTTAGGTCAAGATCTCTGCTCTCAAAGGAAGCATGTCAACATTTCTTCCCCTTGTTACCCTTCACATCGTGGCAACCACTCACAACATGCGTTTATCTGAAAAGCCCAGGCAACCAACATGTTCAGACAAGCTGAACAGAACACTCTACTGTGTTCAGGAGAATGGAGTTTGGGGCATGCCCTGTGGCCCTGAAAATAACAATGGTCCTGCTATGAAGATATATTTACCTTGAAAGCTTTGTCCCTCAAGTGTATAGAAATACAGATTTGCTCACACTCCTGACTTAACTGCCTTTTCTCCCTTGTTCATGACAGAATTCTCAAAGGACGGGACACTCCTAGTGCGCCCGAATGAGAACAAATCTATCACTCACTCTTCCCCGACTTCTTTCAATTTGACAGTGAAGTCTGAATCAAAGGGAACACTTCCATGGCAATAAAGAAAAAACCAAGAGTCAAGTAGCAGTGAATGATTAAATCACACGTTTTAACCATTCCTTCTGTGCCACAACACTTTTCCCTAGAGCACCCTTATAATTGTGCTACAGCACCATTTATTATTTACAATTGCCTTATTTTCTTCTGAGGTCAGGCTTTGTTTAAAAGTCCATTCAAGGCTGGTTGTACTGCAAGTAAGGTTCAGTTGAAGCTTCCATGTAATCTGCTATATGTCAAATGTCATTATGTTAGAAGCCCCCAAGCCAGCACATCAGAAAATATATTCACCTAAATTCAAAGAAGCTGCAATATCTCTTAATAGAACTTTAGTATCCACAAGGACATGTCAAAGAGAAAGAAAAGAGGGTCCCACAGTTTACTCTGCTGTCTGGTGTCTGTGGCACTTGTCTCTGGCACGAGAATATTTATGTATACTTTGTGGGAGTCTTGCTAATTGTAATTATGATTGCTTACTACAGTTTCCAAGGTAACAGTTGTCACTGCAATGCTTCACTGCCAACTCAATTTCCATTCTCCTGCTGATATAACAAATATTATGTGACATTTTAACTGAAAATATCTGTAAATGGGTGTCTGAGTGTGGTGTGTTTCTTAAAAAGGGAAGGAAAACAATTATTAGCTTTTCATTATTCATCTCAGTGGCACGTTTGATCAGTAATTACTTCAATTTTATATTTAGAAAGGAATGGACCAGGGTCCCATGAGGTCTTGGATTTGGAGGCTCTGGGTTCCTATCCTGCCTGTCCCTGTTGTTGCCTGGTGATCTGAATTCTGTAGCCAGGAGCTTGACCAGAAACTGAGGCTCAGTAAAGAAGCCCCTCAGCGGTGTCCCTGCCCCGCCCCTTCCTTTCCCAGGGTGCACTTCTCCCATATAAGGGGTGGGGACTGAAGGAGGAAAGACGAAGCAGGTGCTCTCCACTGTGGCTGCCTTCTGTGCCCCCCACTCCCACAAACAGCAGAATCATCCAGATAGCAGGTCAGAAGTGCCTCGTGAGCAGGAGGTGTTCCTGCAAGCTGTTCTGATCATGACTAGATGAAGGAACTTTTCCTCAGCCCCACAGTGCCACCTCCGGTCAGAGACCCTGCAGGGATCCCACCTCTGGCCACTCTGAGATCACTTCCTGCCATGGCAGGATTTGTACATCTGGTATAGGTAATGCATACATATACTATACCTGCATTTAGTATGAATGTCCACACAATGCCAAGAGCTCAGACCGCCTTTGGTAGGGCATCACACCAGAGCCACAGCTCTGAGCCAGCCTCTGCGGGTTTCTAGTTTCTCCATAGGAATTTCACAACCCTGCTTCCTTACAGGCTGAATTCCTCACCTACCACCTGGCCTTGACCTGGCTTCCAGATCCTACTAGCAGAACTTACCTACGTAGGATGCAGAGCGGCTGCCCACCTCTGGCAGTTATGTATGTTCTGACTCCTGACCCCCACCCCAGGAACTCTCATAGTCACCTGCCCATCTTAAACTGTGCCTTCTAATTCCTCAAAGACATAGAACCAGAAATACCATTTGACCCAGCAATCCCATTGCTGGGTATATACCCAAAGGAATATAAATCATTCTATTATAAAGATACATACATGCGTATGTTCACTGCAGCACTATTCACAATAGCAAAGACATGAAATCAACTGAAATACCCATTAATGATAAACTGGATAAAGAAGATGTGGTATATATGCACCATGGAATACTAGGAAGCCATAAAAAGGAATGAGATCATCTTTTTTGCAGGGACGTGGATGGAGCTTGAAGCCATTATCCTCAACAAACTAACATAGGAACAGAAAAACCAAACACTGCATGTTCTCACTTATAAGTAGGAGCTGAACAATAAGAACACATGGATACAGGGAGGGGAACAACACACACTGGGGCCTGGCGGGGTCATAGGGGCAGCAAGTGAGAGCATCAGGATAAATAGGTAATGCTTGCGGGCTTAATACCTAGGTGATTTAATACATAGGTGATTGGTCAATAGGTGCAGCAAACTACCATGGCACATGTTTACCTATGTAACAAACCTGCACGTCCTGCACATGTATCCCAGAACTTAGAATAAAATTGAATTTAATTTTTTAAAAAACTGTGCCCTCTTTCTATCTAATTCTCTTTGCTTTATTTCACCTCTCCTGGAGGTTCAATTCTCTTTGCTTTGTTTCACCTCTCCTGCAGGTCAGAAACCATACCTTTCACCTTTTTTCTAACCTCTCATAAGACATAGTAAGAATTAAATAAGTAATTGATCCATTAAATGTTAATAAACATTCAATATGCATATATGAAACCGTTCAGTGGAAAAGCTGAGTTTGAGCATCTTCAAGCCTTCATGTACTTCTCTTGTTCCTCTATAATATCATATTATAAAATGGTTCTTAATGTAGTGATTCACAACCATGGGAGAGCAGAAAATCTCTGTGGAGTTTATTAAAAATAGAAATGATACAAAATCTGAACTGGTTAACTAGTTCTGTGAACATATTAAAAATTATTGTTAGTTTTATTAGGTGTGATGCTATCAGCATACTTATGTTTTTTAAAAGACTCCTTTATCATTTCGCAATGGAGGTTGAAACATTTCTTTTAAAAACTATATCTGCAGTTTGCTTTTAAATAATCCCTCGGGGTGAATAGAGTGAGAGACAGTACTGGTGAAACAAGCTTAGATGAGTTGGTGATTTTTAAAACTGGGCGATGAAACATAGTGGTTCATTGTACTATATTCTTTAGTTAGGTTTGAAATTTTTCATGGTAAAAAGTATTTATAATACATGAAGTAAATATAGCAAAGTATTAATAATTATTAAATCTAGGTGAGATTTTGTAATCTCCCAAAGTTAAGAAACTATTCCATACTTTAATGTATGTTTGAAAATTATAGAAAATTTTTTTTTGCTTTTTTAAAAATTTTACTTTAAGTTCTGGTATACATGTGAAGAATGTGTAGGTTTGTTAAATAGACATACTTGTGCCATGGTGGCTTGCTGCACCTATTGACCCATCATCTAGGTTTTAAGCCCCACATGCATTAGTTGTTTGTCCCTCCCCTTGCCCCCCACCCCCCGACAGGACCCCGTATGTGATGTTCCCCTCCCTGTGTCTATGTGTTCTCATTGTTCAACTCCCACTTATGAGTGAGAACATGTGGTATTTGGTTTTCTGCTCCTGTGTTAGTTTGCTGAGAATGATGGTTTCCGGCTTCATCCATGTCCCTGCAAAGGACACGAACTCATTCTTTTTTATGGCTGCATAGTATTCCATGGTGTATATGTGCCACATTTTCTTTATCCAGTCTATCACTGATGGACATTTGGGTTGGTTCCAAGTCTTTGCTATTGTAAATAGTGCTGCAATAAACATACATGTGCATGTGTGTTTATAGTAGAATGATTTATATTCCTTTGGGTATATACCCAGCAATGGGATTGCTGAGTCAAATGGTATTTCTGGTTCTAGATCCCTGAGGAATCACCACACTGTCTTCCACAATGGTTGAACTAATTTTCATTCCCACCAACAGTGTAAAAGCATTCCTATTTCTCCACATCCTCGCCAGCATCTGTTGTTTCCTGACTTTATGACTGCCATTCTAACTGGTATGAAATGATATCTCATTGTGGTTTTGATTTGCATTTCTCTAATGTTTTAAAAATAAAGAAGATACAAATTCCCCAACCCTTAACCCTTCTTGCCCTTTCTAGACCCAAATCTCTACAGGTATAGGCAGGTATATTTTTAAAGCATCAAGAGCTAGGCACCTCTACTAGATCTTTGTTAGTGTAATTTTAGTTACTGATACTACTTAAATGCAATACATCTATGTTTCTTGTAAAAAGATTTTATAATTTTAATATTTAATTAACTTGGACAAGTTTTACCCCACTTTCATTCATACCCTGTTGATACTAATTTAAAAGGATTTATTGTGTATTACATGTTTATTCTTCCTTGGGATGATATTTCACAGTCTACTTAAAAAATAATGCCTTGTTGATTTTTCTATCATATTGAATGAAAAGTTAATAGAAATACACAGAGATGATTGACTTCAGGAAAGGATACTTTCTGGATACATTAGTAGGATGACTTCATAATATATTGCTCTAAATATATTTTCCTGGAGCAGGGAGATAAATGATAATTATCCACTTAATCTTAATATACTTGTATTAGTTTCCTGTTGCTGCTATGACAACTTAGTGGTTTAAAACAATAGAAACTTCTTGTCTTACGCTTCTAGTAGTCAGAACTCTGAAATGGATTTTACAAGGCTAAAACCAAGGTGTCCGTGATGCTGCTTTCCTTACAGAAGCTCTCTTTCCACAGCATCTAGACACTGTCCATATACCTTGGCTCACGGCAACATCACTCTGATCTCTGCTTCCATTGTCACCTCTCCTATTACTCTGGTCTCCTACATCCCTCAGATAAGGACCTTTGTGATTAACCAGGGTCCCTATCTTAAGATCCTTAGCTTAATCACCTCTGCAAAGTTCCTTTTGCCATGTAAGATAATATATTCACAGAAATTAATATATTAACATCTTTGGGAAGGCCACTGTTTTGTCTACCACAATACTCTTATTTTTCCCTTCTGAATTCAGTGCATTAGATAGCTATTGCTGCAATAATGTCGTGTAACAAACTACTCCAAAACTCAGTGGCTTATGGCAGCAAGCATATATTTTTCTCACTTGTGGGTCACAGGTTAGCTGGGATGGCTCTGCTTCAGGCTGAGAGTGGGGTGGCTTGGCTGTAGGGTTAAGATTGGATTTATGTATGTTCCACATATTTCAACTGGGGGTCCAGAATGAGGCAGCAGAGAATATCAGGGGCATGATTTTTTCTGCACAATGTTAAGCATGCAAGAGGACAAGCCAAGTCTCGTGTGCACATTTAAAGCCTCTGCTTGCATTCCATTTACTCAAATTCCACTGGTCAAATCACATGGCCAAACCAAAAGTCAGTGAAGTAGGGAAGTAGACTTCACCCCAAGGGAGAGAGGTAAGAGGGTGAATATTTGCTGAAGAGGAATTCAATTTCCTATTCCTTAGGTGTAATAGTAGCCAGCTTGGAGCTTCTCACTGATTATATACCTTCCAAATGTTTCGCCCTTTGACAGGTCACTGAAATAAGTGCAAAACCTCTCATTGTGACTTTTTAAAGGCAACATACATTGGAATGTCTCCAGAATTCTCACTTATCTAGGACATAGATAAAAACCAGGAAGTAGTCAAGAAAGGTTACTGAGCATCACCTAAGTAGCTAAACTAAGGTATGTAGATAACTCATAAAAGAACTCTTTAGAGCTGACCTACATCTATAAACTATTTACTCTTATTTTACACGCAATTCCAACAATGTTGATTGCTTCATCTCTAAGTTCACAATAAAATCACACATACACACACATACAAACACATATACACACAAACACACACACACACCCCTAACAGATACCAACAAGGAAAACATACATTATAGAGACTTAATCTTTGCTTAAAACACACACACAAGAGAATGCAATTATTATTTGCTATAGGGATAAATAATCAGTTCCACATAGCTCAATAAATCTTAAGGTTCTCACGAATTACATCACAATCTAAGAATAATTGAGCTAAAGAGTGGAATGCATGGGGTCAGGGAATCTTGCCCACCTTGTTCGCCACTGTTTTCCCATTGTCTGGGACAGTGCTTTGCACAGAGTATGCATTTACTAGATATATGTAGAATTAACATTTATAAAGTTGAAATTTTTATTGTTTATTAAATTCTATTTCAGATGGCAGAAAAGGACTCTGTGTGTATGTGAATCAACATGAGCTAAGCTGAGAATGAGGAAGTCAGGGAAGTATTTATTGTTTGATTTTTGTTTTTTGTTTTTTTGAGACAGAGTCTCACTCTGTTGCCCAGGTTGGAGTGCAGTGGCACAATCTCCGCCCACTGCAGCCTCCGCCTCCCAGGTTCAAGAGATCCTCCTGCCTCAGCCTCCAGAGCAGCTGGGACGACAGGCACATGCCACCACGCCCGGCTAATTTTTGTATTTTTAGTAGAGACGGAGTTTCACATGTTGGTCAGGCTGGTCTCGAACTCCTGACCTCAAGTGATCCACCCACCTTGGCCTCCCAAAGTGTTGGGATTACAGGCATGAGCCACCGCGCCCAGCTGGGAGTATTTATAGAAAGGCTACAGAGATGTTTTCTGAAACCCAAAGGCAGAAGAGCGGGTGGGGAGCCAGAGGATGCTCTGCCCATGTCGTGCCTCTGCCTCACTATTCACATCTACCTGATTCTTAGCCCAGGCAACAGGGAGGGTGCAAGACATAAACCTCACATCTTCAGTAATTTTATATTTTGGGACATGACATATGCAGAGACTAGCTAACTCTCTCCAGGTTTCCCTCCAATTCCCAGCAGAGAGAATTTTCTCCACCCCTGTTCCAATAAATGAACCAACAGGCAAGCAAAAAAACATAGCTACCAAGAGCCTGTGGTAGACAGACTCTAAGATGGCTCCTGCCTCCTGGTTTTCACACCCTTTTGTGACAACCCCCACCATGAGTGTGGGCTGGACTTACTGACTCCCTTGTAATTAATAAAATAGAGAGAAATGATAACATGTTACTTCTAAGATTAGATTATTAAAAGCCTATGGCTTTCCTCTGAGGCACATGCACTCTGTTGAATCACTTGCTCTGGGGGCACTCCGCACCTTATCATGACACAGCCCTGTGCAAAGGCCCATGTGACAAGGGATCAAGGGCTGCCAACAACCACGTGAGCAAGCTTGGCAGTGGCTCTTCACTCCACCTTACCCCAGTTGAACCTTTAGACGAGACCACAGCCCCAGCCAAAAACTTGACTGCAACTTTATGAGAGTCCTTGAGCCAGAGACAAAAAGCTAAGCCATCCCTAGATCCTGATTCACAAAAACTAAGAGATAATAAATGTTTGTTATTTTAAGCTTTGAAGATTTAAAATAATTTGTTATGCAAAGTAAGTTTCTCCAAAGAAAGGTGAGTTATTAGTGAGCTAGGTGGACACTGTAAAGTATGTCTACTAAAAGTCTGTAACACATTTTCAAATATCTCTACCCCAAATCACTAAAAAAAAAGTTTTATACTTTAAAAGCAAATCCCCTGGCCATATAGAAAGCTTAGCTGTCCAGAATAAAGAATTTCTTAAAGTTCTACACAACCACAGTTTTACCATACAAATTCTGAAATGCTCATAGGCACACCAGTCTTGTCATTTGGCAGCTTCCTCCTGGGTGAATTATCCAGGCCTCTAATGTTTCCTCCTTTACCTCCATGCTACTTTTCTTTTCACTCTTTCAATATTCATTATCATTCCACTCAGACTGCTGGCAAAGGAGGATACTGTGATACACAAACAGGTTGAGTTTGCTGCATAGCCAAAGCTCTGATGGAAGGCTTCAAAGGGTTGCAAAGTGAAAATAATTGCCCAAAAGATTTTTAGTGTTACATGTTGGTTTTGTTTTCCAAAATGTATTACATTTGCAATTATTATGGGTAATTAGAAATTCTATATTCAGGTTTTTAATTCCAGCACTGGTCAAACCTGGAGCTTAAAGCTTTAGTGAGCACTTTATATTTGCAAGACACATTGGAGATGTAACTGTGAAGATATACAGTCCTTGCTCTCAGAAAACTGAAAATATGTGAAAGGAAAAGATTTAAATACATAAAACAAATTTAGAACAATAAATACAAGGTAAAAATCAAAGTGTAATTGATGTTCAGAGAAGTAAGAAGTCTACATGGAACTAGAGTAATCAGAGGAAGATTTAGGAGGTGGTAATACCTGAGTTGAGTATGAAGGGTAGGGAGAATTTAGAAGAAAATAAAGGGATAGAGTACTACGTACAAGATAAAGAACACAGAGAAAGAAAACATTTCTCAAATCTCACGTAGATTTCTACTTGCATGAATCTATTATTTTAAGCCTAAATAGTGTCCAATATAAAAAAATGTAATTGTGTCCAGTAGCCATGATCCTTTAGGCCTGGGGTTAGTTAAGAGGACAGACATGAACAACACAGGGAACGAGGAATGGATGTCTCCTTTCAGGCTCCAAAACTGGCATGCCAAACAAGTGTTATAGGAGGAAGAAAAAAACCTTTGCCTACTGTCATGGTTCACAACACTCTGCCAATTTCAACCTCCTCCCACCTGTCAACACTCAGTAGTATTACTAGGAGGAGTGAGCCATTACTCTCTTCTCCCCTCGTTTTGCACCTATCTGGCTTCTGGCCTCCAATCCGTTTGTGGTATCTTGGGATTCTTGCAACACTCTTGCCAGGAGCATTGACAGGGCCTCCATGAAGGGTGCATTAGAACACTATTCAAAGATACCTGGTGGAAGGAATTTGAGGGGGCTAAAATCCAACCCAGCCCCTGGGAGGGGCTGCAATCATGAAGAAGGGGTGTCTATTGTAATTCATCTGCCAAGAGAAGTCATTTCTTTTGCAGTTTGCATAAAGGCACCTATATACCAGCAGTAGCCTTGAGCACTGCCAAATCTAAGCTAGACATTTTTAGGCCAGTGCTTTCCACCGGGTCCTCCCCTCTTGTCCACCATCAACTGATCTGACAAATAATGGAATAACAGGAATCCTATATACCAACTAGGGTGTATCTGACCAGTTTTCCCTAAGACGATGAGGAAATGAAAGTTATTTTCAGGCAGCTCTGTTTGCTGAAGGAAATGCAGGATGTCAGAAGACTGCAATAGGAGGCTGAAAAAGATTTGTTTCCAGACCCTAAGCCCAGAATGGCATCCTCCATTCTGACTGATACCATCAACAAACAGTACTTACTGTACCAGTTGAATCAAATCACTTGGTCTACGAACTAAAGGTTTAGTTATCCTTGAGTGTAAGTGCTCCATTCAAGCTCCCCAGGTACAGGCTGATCTCACACAAAGCTCTCTTGTTACAACTCATTGACTAAGACCTAGTCAGCCACAAAAGAAAAATGACTAAAAGATTTTAAAGAAGGATTATTTCAAAGTTTGTAAAGGGAGAAATCATTTAATATCTCAATGGGCTTCAATGGTCAGGTCTTTTTGAAATCAACATCTAACATCATGATAATGATAAATCTTTTTTTCAAAAAATGCCTTTTCGGCACAAACTGAGCGACCACTTCATGAACAATTGGGCACCCAAATAATTGGAAATATTTCAGAAAAGCAAATGAAGCAAAAGAGATCATGGAAAGCCGGGAATATGTGGATGCAATTTTGAGTCCAAATGAACATGCAGTGTCATATACAAAATAATCAGTGAGATGTGAAAACTGATGTGGATCCCTTTGATTTGAATCAACAGGGTGTGAAGGACTCTTATTATTAAAGAAAAACCTTGGTGCCAGCTCACCCTTGCCCAGATCCAGACATCCACCATCCTAGCTCTCGAAGTGCCAAAGCCCAGGGCTAAGCTATAACCCATCAGGAGTCTTGAAAGCAGTTTTCGGGCCAGCACTTTTTGGCTGACTAATGCTCAATAGCCTTCCTCTTGTCATTCTTCTTCTGAAAAATTTTCCTCCCCATTAGCAATGTTAAAAGTCCTTTGCAATATAGCGCATCTGATTTCAAGAAGAGAGGTGGCCTATATTTACAGACTAAATCCAGTGAAACTGGAACATTGTCATATGGAAAAGCTATACAGCCATTCTTTCCAGAAAACTACCCAAGGGCAAGAAAGAGCAGTGTTCTTCCTACCCCAAAGAAGGAACCAAAAACCATCTTTCCAGAACCCCAAGGGGCCCTAAAGATCTTCTCCAGTGGTTTCCAAACTTTGTTCAGCCAAGTGTCAAAGTACTGAGAGAGGCTACAAATGAAGAAAAGGGTGGCTTCATGGAGAGACAATGGAAAGCCTTTTTAAACAAATAATTACTTGAGGCTTTCTTCAATGACACCTTAAAATTAACAGAAGAAAATCTGAAAAACTCTGTAGTGTAGCAGGATTATA
The DNA here is from genome assembly GCF_000001405.40 of Homo sapiens. NCBI lineage: Eukaryota > Metazoa > Chordata > Mammalia > Primates > Hominidae > Homo > Homo sapiens. The sequence goes on from NC_000005.10 coordinate 62,178,212, forward strand.
TCTTGGAATCTTAATCTGTGTGTAGGTTCTGTATTCCTTTCTGCTTTCTCAACAATACTCAAGGCCACTGTTCTCTCTTCTAGCCAAAACAGTGCTAGCCTGAGAATGGTACTTTAAAAAGCCTACGCATAAACCTTTACCATGTAAAGACTGGATGGAATAAGGGGAAGGGTGGAAGGGAGAGCAGTGTGCAGTGGATACATTTAAGTTAAAAAAGAAGGAGGAGCCAGGCGCGGCATGGTGACTCATGCCTGTGATCCCAGCTCTTTGGGAGGCTGAGGCAAGCAGATCACTTGAGCCAAAGAGTTTGAGACAAGCCTGGGAAACATGGCGAAACCCCGTCTCTACTGAAAACAAAATTAGCTGGGCATGGTGGCACATGCTTGTAGTCCCAGCTACACAGGAGGCTGAGGTGGGAGGATCACCTGAGCCCAAGAAGTCACAGCTGCAGTGAGCTGTGATCATGCCACTGCACTCCAGCGTGGGAGACAAGAGTGAGACCCTGACTCAAAACCTCAAAAGAAAGAAGGAGGAGGACTCCCAGAAGTCCTCCAAGTGAGAAAGAGAAAAAAGGACTGTCTGTCTGAAGACTGAAGAGAGGAGTGGAGGCATCTCAAGGCAAGTTGCTCCAGTAATTGAGGACAATCATCTTCCAGAATTGAAGGAGGAGGGCTTGGACATCACGTGTTCTACCAAGTCTCAATCACAAAGGTGTGATTGAAAATTAGAAGGGAAAACTTGCCCCCTGACCAAGGTGGCAACAGAATAGAACAGAAGCATTTGTAAAGTCTCCTCTGAGCCAAAGTAGAGGTGTACATGTTGCCCCTCTTCCAGTTAAGCCCACCTTAGAAGAATGCATTGGAGATCCCTGTGCTACACTAAAGAAATGGCAGAATGAGCCAGAGGTAAAAACACACATTTAGATAACTGATTGAGGAATTAACCCAATTCTTTTTTACCTTACAGTTCAAAGAACACACGCAGATGAAGAAATTTTCTCTGTAATTACTGTTTATTTCCTATACTTACAATGAAATCCTATGCTGACTTTCAACATGCTTAATGATATTCATATTCTATCTGATGAATAAACTTCCAATGAAATGAGATATGTTTCTTAACAGAACCTGTTATTGACTGAAGAGCAATGCATGGGCATGTGAGAAGAGCAGCAAATCTGTGACAAACAATACTGTGGGAGCAGTAAAATGCATCAAAACCATTGCACAATCTGACTAGAATAGTAGACATTGTGTTCACCAAGAATGCCTTGACAAAGCATCTGGCTCTTGATCTTCTTGCTATGTGCAATGAGCCGGTAAAAATGAGGCAGATACTTTCAACCAACCAATATCCCAGGAGTGACTTAACCAGCTCTCACTGAGAAGATATAATTATTGATATTTCACCAAGAGTTGCATGAAAATGCCCTGAACCTCCTCTTGGGCAGCACTGACATAGCTCATACAACTGAAAAGTCTGCAGATATATATATCCAGATATTTATGAGCTTGAGTTTTTGAAATATTAAGAGAAATTGCTTGGACACCAAAACTGATATACCATGCTACGTTCCTACCACTCACCTTGATCCTCCACAGTTGAGAGACTGATTGTGAAAGACTCACTCATTAGCCGAGAATCAGGTAGAAATCATTTTTATTTTTCTCCACAGTTTATAATTTAAAATTTTTATGTTAAAACAGACAGATTTATTATAGAATTTTAAATTCACATGAATTTCTGACATAAAAATATAAGAACTGTTCCAATTTTCTCTGGGGATGAGGCTGGAATATGGCCCCATACTTCCAGAGATATCAATTCAATGTCTACACTACTAGGGACACTTAACGGGGAAAATTGAGAAGCACCTCCTTATCATAAGTGAAATAACTCAGCAACAGAAAAACAAATACTGCATGTTCTCACAAGTGGGAACTAAACAATGGGTACACGTGGACACAAAGATAGAAATAGTAGACACCTGGGACTCCAAAAGGGGGGAGGGTGAGAGGAGGGGTGAGGATTGAAAAATTACCTATTGAGCACAATGTTCACTATTTGGGTTTTGGGTTCACTAGAAGCCCAATCCTCACCATTACACAATATATCCTGTAACAAACCTGCATATGTACCCCCTGAATCTAAAATTTAAAAAAAAAAGAAGAAGAAGAAGATGCACTAGCCTGGAGTCCATATACGGAGAAGCCTAGTAGGTATAAAACACTCAGTTTTCATAACTGTTCATGGCGGGAAAAGCAATGCAACATTTAGAAGCCCTTGCAATAGACATAGTTACTGAAGCGGCATCACATAGCATTTTGGAAAAGACAGTAATGTGGACAACACACATGTCCATGCAATATATCTCAACTTTTGTCAAACAACAAATGGACCCTGTTAGAAAAAAAAAAAAAAATGTAGTCTGGAATTCATGCTATCTAAATCTGCTAAAAACAAAATAATTAGTCAAGAGGATATTTTAACTGAACATGGTTCACAGTTGTTTTTTTCTTTTTTCTTTTTTTGTTTTTTTTTTTTTTTTTTTGAGACAAGGTCTCACTCTGTCACCTGGACTGGAGTGCAGTGGCTCAATCTCGACTCACTGCAACCTCCGCCTCCCGGGTTCAAACAATTCTCCTGCCTCAGCTTCCCAAATAGTTTGGATTACAGGCACGTACCACTATCACCCAGCCAATTTTTCTATTTTTAGGAAAGATGAGGTTTTACTATGTTGGCCAGGCTAGTCTTGAACTCCTAACCTCAAATGATCCACCCACCTAGGCCTCCCAAAATGCTGGGATTACAATTGTGAGCCACCGCACCCGGCCAACTGAACATGTTTTAGAAGATGGCAATATTAGCCTCATCTCTAGATCCTTAATCACTTAGTCATTATGTTTTCCTTATCTGTGTTATTTCTCTTGATGTGGTATCTTTCCCTGCCTGAGACAACCCAGTCAAAAAGCATCATGGAAAGATTATCCATTCCTTAGCCCAGCGAGCCCTAGCCCCACCTTCTCCCTCCAGTTTCAGAATGAGTTCTGCAATCTTATCCTTTCATACGCCACCCCTATCTACCCTTCTCTAACTGGTATCTATCTCACTGCATCAGTTATGTATGTTATAATCAACCTCATATCTCAGTAGAAAATTTTTAAATAATGCAGAGAAAATTATTTTGAAATGAAATGAAAACTTTAGTAATTTGATTTGCAGGAAACGAAGAACAAAGTGTCACAACCTGAGTGCTTTTAAATAAGTCATAATTAATTACGCATGCATCTATGTTCGGATGCTCAATTTATGACTAATTATGCAGAAAATGTAATTGCATGCTGAAGTATTCAATCGTGCCTTCTCTCACTCTTATTTGCACCAGGCAAGGGTTGTGGTTTCTTGTTGTTGTTGTTGTTGTTGTTGTTGTTGTTGTTGTTGTTGTTAATGGTACGTATCACTTATTGAAATTGTTGAAATGTTGTCAAGACGGAAATAATCATGTGATCTCTCCTATAATGTAGTTGTTTCTGTTGAGAAAACTGCAGAAAGATCTAAAATTGTCTCCTAACTTATTTTTCAAAAAAAAAAATGTATGCACTTCTCTTTTCTTTTGTCCTCTACTGAAATACACTTGCTAAGAAATCACATTAGGCATATCCTGCCAGCTTCGTTTCTCCTATAGATTTGCAATACAGACTTTTTATTTTCTTGGAAAAGTCATAAAGCTCAAAGGAATCATGAATGACCGTCACATTTATGTCATCCTAGACAGGCTTCTTTTTAATGATACTAAAGGGAATGTGTAACCTTTTCTCCATCTTAAGATGCCTAATAAAGTGACTATCAAGGAAGCAAAGGAAATAAAACCAAATTTAAAACTTCCTCCTAATGAGTCATGGGAATAATAGCATTTGTGAATATTTTCTCACTGAAGAGAAAAAGAGAGAGAGAGAACACAAGGAGGCAAAAAACTGGAAAAACTCTTATAATATTTAACAAGATAATATTTAATATTTACAATATTTAACAAAATAACAGCTACATTATTGTGTTTTTCAGAAACTCTTAATGAAGCTTCACTACATACAGTTGGCTTTTCCTCTTTCTCTGCATAAGCCAAATAAATGTCAGAGCCCTCTGTGGCCTGATCTCAGAGAGGTGTCACCTAAAAGAGACACTGCCCAGCCACCGAAAGCAAAAGGCACTCCAGCCTCTGCATGCCTCTGAAGAGCCTGTGTCCAGTATTAGCAGAGCTCACCCATCCACAGCTCTCACCTTCCAAGCTCATGGAAGCCTATGCCTCCCAGGCCCCCATGGGCAGGCCCATCATGAGCCCCAGTGCAGGCAATGGGCTGCAAGTAAAAGTCTCTTCCTGGCAGAAGCCTGGAGCAATGGTTGTGAGGTCTCCATGCCCTCTCCTCTCCTGCCATTCTTATGACAGTAGAATCATGAGATCGAAGCAGCTGGGGCCACCAAGTCACTACATGGAGGACACCTGCACTGGAGAGTCACTCCAGACTCTGAGCAAGAAATGAAATTGGGTTGTGCTAAGTCTCAGAGATTTAGGAGTGGTTCGCTACTTGCAAGGGGCAGAACCTACCCTATCTTGACTTGCAAGCATTAGAAGAAATGCAATTCTTACTCTCTGAAGCACTTCCAGAACCCTCTATTTGCCCCCCTCTAAATATTCTCCCAGCCTACCTGCTTCCGAGCCTCTCCCTCTTTCAGCCTTCCCACCAAGCCCAGCAATCAGGACTCTGGACTATTTTCCCCCCTTGCCTCCCTGCTCTCTAATCCAGTCTGTCTCCTGATTCTACATCACAAAAGCCCAAGAGCTGGGTTGACAAAAGTCAAACTGTTTAGTGGGCTGAGGATAAGAATAAACTGAGCTTTCAAGGGGGAAAAACATCCCTTTGGGACAGGCAAAGCAGGGTGAAAGAAATGGAAACACTCACTTGCTGAAAAATGCTGTCCCCAACATATTTGGTTTTGTCCCAAAAACAAGTGTGTCAGGATTCACGCTTTAGTGACTTATTCTTCCCTGCCTAGCCCATTGCAGCTACTAATACATGTTTTACTTTTGAGCATCAGTGCTATTATTCTTTGACCTCCATTTTCCAGCATCATCAGAGGCACTCGCCATAGCCATCATCTATCTATGTGCATCAGCCTCTAGACTTGTGTAATATACAACCTGCATCCTATAGGCACCACCTCCATGGCACTCGTAACATGATATCAAAAGAGCCAGAAAAGCAAAACTCACATAATAGCAGTTAGCATAAAGGACTATCCAAACTATTATGTAAGACTTTTATTTAGTTGTTCAACAATGCTATTAATAAAATCCACCAATATTAGCCCCAAAGTTTACAAACGTTGTATCAGTAGGTGGGGTGGTGACAAGAAGATGTATAAGACATGGTCTTGAACCTCAAAAAGGTTGTCTCTACAAAGAGAGACAGGACACATTCATAAAAAGACAGATCTCAGCAGAGGATAACATTGAACACAGGCAAAATAGATGGAATTTATAACATGTTATGGTTAAGGTAGGCTGAAGCGATTAAGGAAAACAATGGAAGAGGTGGGTATTGAGCTAGAACCCAATAGATGTAGGCAGATCAGAAAAAAAAAAAAAGAAATGAGAAACCCATCTTTACATGTCAGGGAGGAGTGACAGTGTGTGCTGACAGGACTGAAAAAGGAGACTATTTGTCATTGTGTGGGACCAAACTATTTCCAAAGCCACTCAAAACAAACTGAAAGGGATGTGACTCTCATATTTCACAGGAATGTTTGATAGTCACAGTTTCACACCTCAGAAAGAGCACTTCTTCATCTCCCTGATCAAAATCATCTAATCAACACTCATCTAAGTGAGGGTGTAAACAGTGCATTATGCAGATATGGTCCCTGCCCTCCAAGGGATTACAATCTAAATCGTCAAACCTGGCTCCAACAAGCATATAGACGTAATTAACATAGATAAGGATGAAGAATGCATTTTCTACAAGCCTCACTGCCATCAGACAGAACAATTTGTAGTCATCACTGATCTGAGCTGAATTCAAATTAGTGACCCAAAGGCTCCACTGTCTGGGTGTTATTTTCAATCTCCTTAGCTATCCAATCTCCAGAAGTTTCATTTTTCATTCTTACTGTGCAGTCATCATCAACTACCAAAGGGAAAGACTGCAATCCAGACACACTAAAAATAGCATTCTTGCCTTCTGAAAGCCAGACTTAGATTTATGACAGTTTTAAAATTTGGTTCTTCATCTTAAAAGTTCAACATTCCGCAAGAACTGTGTGAAGTAATACCTACCTGGTCTTTAGAGCATGAAACCCCATAACTTGATGCAGTGGGAGAGCAGGCCTTTATGTAATCCATTTACATTAGGGAGAGATAGCATTTTCTTTGGGTTGACAGGTTGACAAGCCTTCATGTGTTTTCCACTTAATCAGCAGAATCATTAAAGCACTGAGGGTTTTGATGGTCTCAGTAAAAAACATCTATTTCTGTAGAACCTATCACTATAAATAATTTAACAAACATACCCCCCACCAAAAAAAAGCACTACAAAAAGAAGAATTATTTTGTACTTAAATCATAGACCACTCTGAAGTTGAGACAAAGGGAGCCCAGGTTTAAAATGAGGGCAGGCGCCGGGCGCAGTGGCTCACGCTTGTTATCCCAGTACTCCAGCCTGGGCAACAAGAGCGAAACTCCATCTCAAAAAATAAAAATAAATAAAAAGAAAAAAATAAAATGATGGCAGGATGATGTCCAACAATAAATCATAAAGCTAAAATGAAAAGCAGGTTACAGAAAAGTATAATTCAATTTCTGCTTGAGGGTGTGTGTGTGTGTGTTTACATTTATATTTCCATTATACTGGGAGAATTATATCAATATAAACCGTTAACATTATTAATCAGAGAGATGACTTGTGGTAGAGGGAACTTTCATTTCTCTGTATTTTTGCAATAATCTTGTCTTATCAGAAAAAGGTATTTCCATTTAGGAAATATATACATACATCTAGACTATACATAGGTACATAAATTTATACCAGTGCAAATCAAGCTGAATTTCCCATCTCCTTCTGACTGGCAGGATATAGTGATTGTTGTCAAGAATGAACTGACATTAGCCCAGGAATCTATGCTGGGAACCTAATCTCATTCAGGAAAGTAGAAGCAATCAACTAAGACTGGGGCTAAAAGAAAACTAATCTGGTTATAGGATGTGTCTCCAGAGGGTGACCAGCAGGCCACATTATAATGATAAGGGAGAACCAATACCCACAGGATCTTATTTGTGGCCTAGAATTTGGCAGTAGCAGTCTTGGGACAATAGCGTACACTGGTTTCTAGATGTATAGGAGCATCTTGTTGTGGGAATGAAAAGGAGAGGTGTTCATCTGGGTGAAATAGGACCTCAGCCACCTGGGGAGAGAGGGAAGGCAAGGGTTGGCAGCAAGACCACCCCTGGACAAAAAGCCGATCTCAGGGCAGGTCTCTGATGTCAACAGAGAATTGGAGTAACAACCAGGAACCAGAGCAGAATCCTAGCCGGGCATAGTGATAGGTGGTGCAGGGAGAAACAAAGAGGCTGCAGTTAGGTAGGCACACCTTACTCCAAGGCCCACAGGATCATTCCAAATTCTATGTTCTATTACTAGTGAGAAAATGGGTGCCTTTTTTAGCCCCCAGCATGACTCTCAGTGGTTCAGGGGCTGAGCTATAAGCTAAAAGTTTTTAGTATCTAAATTAGGGTACCACTGACCAGGCACAATCAATACCAGCAGTTGAGATAACGTTTCTCACAAAATTAAGATAATGTTTCCTCTAATACTCACCAGTTAAAATATAGATAAGTCTAGTCCCAAAAGTAGGTTTTCTGAAAACTTACATAATATCTGAGTACCGAAGCCAGGATTGCCTGTTCAGTAGCTGTGAGCCTTTGAGGTCCAGAGTTAACATAAAAGAAGACAAAAAGAAGTCTGTTTTACTAAATCTTAGAAGATTTTATTGATACCCTGATATCCATCTGGAAATCAAAGCAACTGGCATATGAACTTTCCAAGCAGTTTCACAAAAAACATTCAGAATAAGGACTCTATATGAAAGAGGGAAACTGGCTGGGTGCAGTGGCTTACACCTGGAATCCCAGCACCTTGGGAGGCCAAGGCAGGAGGATTGCTTGAGGCCAGGAGTTTGAGACCAGCCTAGGCAACATGGCAAGACTCCATCTCTAAAAAAAAAAAAAAAAAAAAAAAAAAAAATTAGTTGGACATGATGGTGCATGCCTGTGATCCCAGCTACTCGAGAGGTTAAGGCAGGAGGATCACTTGAGCCCAGAAGCTTGAGGCTGCAATGAGCCATATTTGTGACACTGCACTCCAGCCTAGGTGGCAAAGCAAGACTCTGTCTCAAAAAAAAAAGGAAAGAAAAGAAAAGAGAAAAGAAAGAGAAAAACGATCCGTCCTCATCTAGTGGCTGTGATCTAGTGGTTGCTCAGGTTGTCCAGCTCCTTCCTACCTTCCCCCTAAAAATTTTCAGCGTCTTGAGACATCAAGCTAAATGGACTGGCATTTTAGTCTCTATCTTTTCCAGAATCAAGAGATCAAAGAGATTTGTTAAAGGACACAAAATTCCAGCTAGCTAGGAGGAATACGTTCTAGTGTTCTACAGCACTGTAGGATGACTAGAGTTAACAGAAATATATAGATTCAAATAGCTAGAAAGAGGATATTGAATGTTCCCAACACAAAGATGATAAAAATTTGCAGTGATGTATATGCTAATTATCCTAATCTGTTCACTATACATGGTATGTATCAAAGCATCACTATTTACGCCATGAATATGTACAATTACTATTTGTCAAATAAACTAAAAAATTTTTTGAATTAGATCAAAAATATAGATCCCATACATAAACCAGGGAAAAAGGAAAGGTAGAATATTCTAAGACTAGAAGCACTTCAAAGAGTCTGTATGAAACTGTATTTCCTGGGTAGGGAAATGCTGGATGCTGCAGGGTTAGCCTTAGCAGTGCTGAAGGGTCACTCATTTTGGGACTCCTCTACAGAGCATTGCTGCTAAAGGCAGGAGTTCAAAATAGACTCAATTCCAGTGAAAATTATTATCAATGCAGGCTTGTTTCATTTAAAGGTTCTTAATTTCAAAATATTACATTTGTTTCAGTGATGCCCTGATTTTCAAGATAGGCATTTCAAGCAGTGACTTTGGAAAAGTAAAATGGGGCCAGGCACAGTGGCTCACGCCTATAATCCCAGCACTTTGGGAGGCCAAGGTGGGTGAATCACTTGAGGTCAGGAGTTCGAGACCAGCTTGGCCAACATAGTGAAACCCTGTCTCTCCTAAAAATACAAAAATTAGCCATGCATGGTGGCATGCACCTGTAATCCCAGCTACTCGGGAGGCTGAGGCAGGAGAATTGCTTGATCCCGGGAGGCAGAGGTTGCAGTGAGCCAAGATCGCGCCATTGCACTCCAGTCTGGGTGACAGAGCGAGACTCCATCTCAAAAAGAAAAAAATAAAGGAAGGAAGGAAGGAAAGAAAGAAAGAAGAAAGAAAGAAAGAAAAAGAAAGAAAGAAGAAAGAAAGAAAGAAAGAAAGAAAGAAAGAAAGAAAGAAAGAAAGAAAGAAAGAAAGAAAGAAAGAAAGAAAATAGAAAAAGGGTGTTTCTCCCCTTCCCAATTCACAGGGGAATAAAAGTCATTAAGTGAATGGACCGAATTTTCCCAGTTTTAAGACTTTTTTTCCTCCTCAATGTTTCTCAGATTTTTGGTAACTCTTGTCAATGAAGGCTAGATCCATGGCAGACTGTTCTACGGGAGTTGGAGCCACAGAGGAGACATGGTCCCTGTCAGAAATGTCACTCCATCCTGGGTGGAGAGGGAGTGAGTGGGAGGGGGGATGTGTGTGAGGGTTATGGGAGGACTAGGGGTGCAGGTAGAGGGAGGAGAAATACCCTGCCTTCTCCCTCCCACTCTGCCTGCCATCTCCTGCCTTGGCCTCCCATTGGCCAAACTCAGCAGGAACCTGGGAAACCAGAGCCTGCAGGGATCCACCTCCTGAGCACAGAGCAGGAAGGGGCAATAAATAGATCTGAAAGCAGAGAGACCAAGGACCGCAACTATAGCATATGATTTAGGGAGAATTCACAGATTAATTATGATACATTGACAACATTACTATTTCTGGGTAGTGTCCACTGTGCTCCCATAACATCCAGGTGTTCCTGCACCTGGAGAAGTCTGAGCATGATTGCTGGGTTTCTTAGCAGTCCAAGGCAGAGAATGATGTATCATGGTGGTTTCAAACTGTGTCCCATAGACCCAGAGCTTCCATGGAGCTTTCCCCAGTGTCTGCTCTGCAGATGGAGTGTACTGCGTACGTGGGGCTCCAGCCTCCATCTCTGCTTCTGGCATGTGAAGTTGCTACTAAGAATTGTCTCAATGATTGCAGCTCATTTTTTCCTACAGTTTCTTACGATGTCAAGTTACTCTACCACATTTATAGACTACACATAGATACAGCCCACTCCAGCTTAGAGTGGGTGCACATATGTAGCTATGTTTGGAATTTCAAATACTTTTTCCCAAAATAATATCAAGGTAGTTAGAACCTCAGACCAGCCTACACAATCCCGCTTAACTATAATGTACCTGAAATAAGATTCTATGCTAACAATAACTAAATTAGAAACTTGGCACCACTTATAACAAAATTTCAACAGAAAAATGTATTCCTGTTCCCATCTGAAATGCAGGAAATACATCTTATCTCCTTACAGTAAGATCTGAGACTCCCCTTCCTCACACCATAACTACATTCCAGGGAAGGAAAGAGAGTGTCTTTGCCATTTATGAGCTACTGCTGGTGTTCACTTTAGAAAAATGAGGTTAACATTTTCTATTCTCTGTGGAGGGGCAGGGCTGGGCCCAATGAAGATAAATGAGGGAAGGTTGAAAAAGAGTTTTCTTTTTCTTTTTTGAGACAGCATCTTACTTTGTTGCCCAGGCTGGAGGGCAGTGGCACAATCACTGCTCATTGCAGCCTTGATCTCCCTGGGCTCAGGTGATCATCCCACCTCAGCCTCCTGAGTAGCTGGGACCACAGGCACACTCTACCAAGCCTGGCTAATTTTTATCTTTTATTTTTAGTTTTTTGTTAGAGATGGGGTTTTGCTGTTGCTCAGGCTGGTCTTGAACTCCTGGGCTCAAGTGATTTGCTCACCTCAGCCTCCCAAAGTGCTAAGATTACAGGCATGAGCCACTGTATCTGGCCCTTGATGGGTTTTTTATTTGGGATTTTTTTTAGGACAGTTTGCTTCTCTTGGTTTTTTTCCAGTTTTATTGAGGTATGTTGACAAATAAAAAATTGTATGTGTTTAAGATGTACAATGTGGGTTTTAACATAGCTGTATGCTTATGTAATGATTTCTATAATTAAGCTAATTGACATATCCATCATTTGACATAGTTAACAATTTGTATGTGTGTGTGGTAAGAACACTTAAGATCTGCTCTCTTAGCAAATATCAAATATATAATAGATTATTATTAACTATAGTTAACATGCTGTACATGAGATCTCTAGAAAATATTCGTCTTATACTTGAAAGTTTGCACCCTTTGACCAACATCTCACCCTTTCCCCCACCATTCTGCTAGCCCCTGGCAACCACCATTCTGCTTTCTGTTACTCTAAGTTTAACTTTTTTAGATTCCACATATAAGCGATATTATGCAATATCTGTATCTATTGTGTCTGACTTATTTCACTTAGCATGATGTCTTTCAAGTTCATCCACATTATCCCAAAGGGCAGGGTTTTCTTCTTTTTTAAAGCTGAATAATATGCCATTCTTATAGGGGACTAGACAGAAAGAGATCATAATTTCTTTATCCATTAATCCTTCAATGGACACTGACACGGTTTGGCTCAGTGTCCCCACCCAAATCTCATAGTGAATTATAATCCCCACAAGTTGGAGGGGAAGCCTGGGCAGGGGGTGATTGGATCATGGGGGTGGATTTCCCCCTTGCTGTTCTCATGATGGTGAGTAAGTTCTCACAAGATCTGATGGTTTAAAAGTGTGTGGCACTTCTCTGTTTTCTCACTCCCTCTCTCCTGCTCTGCCATGATAAGAAGTGCTTGCTTCCCCTTTGCCCTCTACCAGGACCGTAAGTTTCCTGAGGCCTCCCAGTCATGCTTCCTGTTAAGCCTGTGGAATTATGAGTCAATTAAACCTCTTGTCTTCATCAATTACCCAGTCTCAGGTAGTTCTTTATAGCAGTGTGAAAATGGACTAATACAGACACTTATGTTGTTTCCATATCTTGGGTACTATAATAATGCTGCAATGAATGTGGAAGGACAGATATCTCTTCAAGATACTGATTTCATTTCCTTCATATATATACCCAGAAGTGGGATTATCTGGATATATGGCAATTCTGCTTTTAATTTTTTGAAGAACCTCTATACTGTTTTCCATAATGGCTGTACCAATTTACATTCCGACCAACAGTGTGCAAAGATTCCCTTTTCCCCACATCCTCACCAACATTTGTTATCTCTTGGCCTTTTGATAATAGCTAACCTAACAGGTATGAGGTGATATTTTATTGTGGTTTTAATTTGTATTTCCCTGATGTTGAGCACCTTTCCATGTAACTGTTGTTCATTTGTATGTCTTCTTTAGAAAAAGTGTATATTGAGGTCTTTTGACTATTTCCTATTTGGGTTAGTGGTTTTTTGCTCTTGAGTTGTATGGGTTCCTTATATTTTGGATATTATCCTTTCTCAAAAATATGATGTGATGATTAATTTTAGTTGTCAACTTGACTAAATTAAATGATACCTAGATTGCTGATAAAGCATTATTTATGGGTGTGTCTGTGAGGGTGATTCCAGAAGAGATTGACATGTGATCCAGTGGACTGAGTGGGTAAGATCCATCCTCAGTGTGGGCAGACACCACCCAATTAGCTGAAGACCCGGATAGAACAAAAAACAAAAACAAAAACAAAAACAAAAAAACAAAAAAAAAACAACAGAGGAAATGTTAATTTGCCCTCTCTCTCCTGGAGCTGAGAAACCCATCTTCTCCTGTCCTTGGACATCAGAACTTCAGGCTTTTCAGCCTTTGAGCTTCACTACTTGCACCAGTGGTCCCCCACTCAGGCCTTCAGCCTTGATCTGAGAGTTACACCATCAGCTTCCATGGTTCTGAGGCCTTCAGACTTGGACTGAGTTGAACAACCAGCCTCCCTGATTCCTCAGCTTGCAGACAGCTTATCAAGGAACTTAGCCTTCATAATCACGGGAGCTAATTCCTCTAATAATTCCCCTCTCCTCTATCTATCTATCTATATCCTATTGGTTCTGCCCCTCCGGAGAACCCTGACTAATATACATAGTTTACAAATATTTTTCCCATTCCATAGGTTGCTTTTTCATTTTATTATTATGGTTTTTTTTTGCTGTACAGATGCTTTTTAGTTTTAAATAGTCCCACTTGTTTAATTTTGCTTTTGTTGCATGTGGTTTTGGTGTCATACAAAAAAAAAATCATTGCCAAAACCAAGATCAAGGAGCCTTTTTCTATATATTGTCTTCTAGAATCTTTATGGTTTCAGGTCTTAAATTTAAGTCTTTAGTCTATTTTGAGTTGATTTTTGTGTATGGTATAAGATACATGTCCAATTTCATTCTTTTGCATGTGGATATCCAGTTTTCCCAATACCATTTATAGTATAGTTTGGATATGTGTCTCCTCTAAATCTCATGTTGAAATGTAATCCCTTGATTACATTGAGGTAGAAACTTCTGGGAGGTGATTGGATCATGGGGGACTGAATCCTTCATGAATGGCTTGAGTCACCCCCATGGTGATAAGTGAGCTCTTGCTCTGAGTTTACATGAGATATGGTCATTTAAAAGTATGTGGCACCTCCCCCAACCCATTCTCTTTCTTGCACCTGCTTTTGCCATGTGACATACTTGTTCCCCCTTGGCCTTCCACTATGATTGTAAGCTTCCTGAGGCCTCCCCAAAAGCAGATGCCAACACTATGCTTTCTGTACAGCCTGCAGAACTGTGAACCAATTAAACCTCTTTTCTTACAAATGACCCAGTCTCAGGTATTTCTTTATAGCAAGGAAGAATGGTCTAATACAGAAAATAGGTACCAGGAGTGAGGTATTGCTACAAAGACACCTAAAAATGTGGAAGAAACTTTGGAACTGGGTAACAGCTAGAGGTTGGAAGAGTTTGAAGGGCTCAGAAGAAGACAGGAAGATGAAGGAAGTTTTGCAACTTCTTAGAGACTGGTTACATGGTTGTGGCCAAAATGCTGGTAGTGATATGAACAGTGAAGTCCAGGCTGATGAGGTCTCAGATGGAAATGAGGAACTTATTGGAAACTGCAGCAAAGCAAAGATCACCTCTGTTATTCCTTAGCAAAAAACTTGGCTGTATTGTGTCCATGCCCTAGGGATCTGTGGAAGTTTGAACTAAAGAGTGATGACTTAGGGAAGAAATTTATAAACAGCAAAGCTTCAAGATGTGGCCTAGATTCTTTTAACAACCTCTGCTCAGATGCAGGAGCAAAGAAATGACTGTAAGTTGGAATTTATATTTAAAAGGGAAGCAGAGGGTAAAGGTTTGGAAAGTCTGCAGCCTGGCCATGTGACAGAGAAAGAAAACGTTTTTTGGGGAGAGGAATTCAAGCAGGCTGTGGAGCAAATATTTGCTAGAGATATTTGCATAATTAAAAAGGGACCAAGTGCTCATAGCCAAGACAATAGAGAAAAGGTCTCAAAGACATTTCAGAGACATTTGTGGCAGTCCCTTCCATCACAGGCCCAGAGGCCTAGGGGGAAAGAATGTTTTCATGGTCAGGCCCTGGGCCCTACTACTCTGCATAGCCTCAGGACATTACTCCCTGAATCCAAGCTGTTCCAGCACCATCTGTGTCTCAAAGGAGCCCAGGTACAGCTCAGGCTGTCCCTGGGGAGAATGGAAGCCTTGCTGACTTCCATGCATAGGTAAGCCTGTAGTCACACAGAGTACAAGAGTGAATAATGTTTGTCAGCCTCCTGCTAGTTTCAGAGGCTATATGAGAAAACCTGGATGTTCAGGCAGAAGCCTGCTACAGAGCCCCCACAGAGGAACCTCAACTAGAGAAGTGCAGAAGAGAAATGTGGGGTTGGAACTTCCACACAGAGTCCTCACTGGGGCACTGCCTAGTGGAACTCTGAGAAGGGAACTACCAGCCTTTAGACCCCAGAACTGTAGAGCCACAGGAAGCTTTCACCCTGTGCCTGGAAAAGCCACAGTGCTCAGCAACCTGTAGAAGAAGACATGGGGGCTGAACCCTGCAAAGCCACAGAAGCAGAGCTGCCCAAGGCCTTGGGAGCCCATCCTTCACACCAGTGTGCCCTGGATGCACACCATGGAGTCAAAGGAGATTATTTTGGAGCCTTAAGATTTAAGGACTGCCCAATTTCTCTTTTTGAAATGGACATGTTTACCCAATGCCTATACCCCTCATTGTATCTTGGAAGTAACTAACTTAGTTTGATTTTACAGGCTTATAGGTGGAAGGAACTCATTTCCTAGACAAGACTTGGGACATTGGACTTTGAACTTTTGAGTGATGCTTAAACAAGTTGAGACTTTTGGGGGTCTATTGAGAAGGAATAATTGTATTTTGAAATGTGAGGAGAACATGAGATTTGAGGAACCAAGGTCAGAATGATATAGTTTGAATACGTGTCCCCTGTAAATCTCATGTTGAAATGTAATCCTCAATGTTGGAGGTGGGACCTGGTGGAAGGTAACTGGATCATAGGGTTGGTGGATCCCTCATGAATGGCTTTGGCCATCCCCTTGGTAATAAGTGAGTTCTTGCTCCAAGTTCACAGAGATCTGGCCATTTAAAAGTGTGTGGCACCTCCCGCCCACCCACTCTCTCTCTCTTGCTCCTGCTTTTGCCATGTGATATGCCTGTTCACCCTTTGCCTTCTGCCGTGATTGTAAGCTTCCTGAGGGCTCCCCAGGAGCAGATGCTGGCACTATGCTTCCTGTACAGTCTGCAGAACTGTGAGCCAGTTAAACCTCTTTTCTTATAAATGATCTAGTCTCAGTTATTTCTTTATAACAATGCAAGAATAGCCTAATACACATTTGTCAATAATTCTTGTATCCATTCATAAAAAGATTATCTTTTCCCATTATGGATTCTTGGCACCTTTGTCAAAGATTAGTTAAACATATATGCATGTGTTTGCCTTCTTCTAGTTTAACCCACGATGGAATTAACTCCTTTTCTTTTTTCCTATCAGCCCCAGAAATGGGCCTACCCACTTCCCCTTCTGAGGGTTTTGACTACTAGTATACTAGATGGCTATGGCTGCCATAACAAAATGCCACAGATGGATGGGTTAAACAATAGAAATGGAGGCTGGAAGTCCAAGATCAAGGTGCCTGCAGCTTTAGTTTCCTCTGAGGCCTCTCTCCTTGGCTGGCAGATGGCCTTCCTCTTGTGGCTTCTTCACATGGTCTTTCTTCTGTGCATGCACACCCCTTGTGTCTCTCATGCATCCAGATGTTCTCTTCCTATAAGAACATCAGTCAGATTGGCTTAGGACCCACCTGGAAGCCTCATTTTAACTTAACCACATCTTGAATAGCCTTATCCCCCAAAACAGTCACATTCTGAGGTACCGGGGGTGAGGGCTTTAGCACAGAAATGTGGTGAGGGACACAATTCAGCCCATAACAGGCAGTAATGAGAAGGAAGTGGGCAGAGTATTTATGTCCTCACACACTGTACTAGGCCACAAGGTCCTTTTGGATGATTAATAAACACACTGGCACACACACAAACTTGGCATTTGCCACTTAAAATCCACTTGCCCTTTACTCGGTTCCTAGTTCTCTGGACTCAGAGATTCTGGGAAAATGTCTGAGAGAGAGGGAGAGAGAGAGCCAGAGAGAGACAGAGAGAGAGAGAGAGAGCAGAGATACAGTAGTGCCCTGGGCCCCTTCTGTACTTTGACTAATACTTTAATCTTAATTCCTTCTCTCCCAACTTCACTGGAGGCCACCACCTGTATTTAACTGGTAGTAGCTAAACTCAGGTTCCTCATGAGGCCAGAAAAAGTCCATATAAAGCTGATTTCTCACCCTTCTTCTTGCTTGTTGGTGACTCAAGAAGCAATTATATCACACTTTTGGACTGACTGACAAAGAAATGGTATCAGGCCATTCTGAATGACAACCCTTCAATTCTGAAGAAACTGACCCAACTAACCAGGTTCAGATAGTAATTCGGGGCGGGGGGGAGGGCAATTTGATTTCCCCTTCCAGGCATCACTCTAGACCAAGTCCAGATGCCAAAGCCCAAACCCTCAATAACTGCACTAGAGCCAAGAAGAGCCTGGAACTTGGTGACAACCTCTGAGTCTGCATAGCCAACAGTGACTGGAATGTTACTGTTGCATAACAGGATGTTAGAATGAAGCTATCCTTGCCTCTGAGTCTACTAAAGCACCAGTATGACAGATATCAGGATATCAAATGTGGTCAAGTTCCCTCATCCCCAAACGCAGAATGAAGGAGGACCTCATTAAATGTGCAACAGTTAATTTTTTGTCAGCTTGGATAGGCTACAGTACCCAGATAGTTGGTCAAACAGTACTCTAGATGTTTCAGTGAAATTATTTTTTAGATGAGATTAACTTTTTTTTTTTTTTTTTTTTTTTTTCTGGAGGCAGAGTCTCACTCTGTTGTATAGGCTGGAGTGCAGCGGCACAATCACTGCTCACTGGAGCCTCGACCCCTTGGGCTCAAGTGATCCTCCTACCTCAGCCCCCCAGAGTAGCTGGGACTACAGGCATGTGCCACCACGCCCAGCTAATTTTTGTATTTTTTGTAGAGATGGGGTCTCACCATGTTGCTCAGGCTGGTCTCAAACTCCTGGGCTCAAATGATCCTCCCACCTCAGCCTCCCAAAGTGCTGGGATTAAAGGTGTGTGTCACCGCACCCAGCTGAGATTGACATTTAAATCACTAGACTTTGAGGACAGCAGATTACCCTTGTGAACCCCAAATATCTGAGACAGTTCTCAGTCAACTGAGGAAGTTTATTTTGCCAAAGTTAAGGACATGCACCTGTGACACAGCCTCAGGAGGTCCTGGCAACATGTGCCCAAGGTGGTCCTGGCAACATGTGCCCAAGGTGGTCCTGGCAACATGTGCCCAAGGTGGTCGGGGCCCAGCTTTGTTTTATGCATTTTAGGGAGACATGAGACATCAATCAACATATGTAAGAAGTACATTGGTTCTGTCCTAAAAGGCAGGAGAACTCGAAGCATGAACAGGGCCTCCAGGTCATAGGTAGCTAAGAGACAACAGTTGCATTCTTTTTCGTTTCTGATTAGCCTTTCCAAAGGAGGCACTGAGATATGCATTTATCTCAGTGAGCAGAGGGATGACTTTGAGTTCTGTCTGTCCTTTGTCCACAAGGAAATTCCTTGTGAGGGAGGTATGTAGCTTTTTTATCTTAGTGGCTTCTTTTTTTGGAATAGAATGGGAGGCACATTTGCCCTAAGCAGTTCCCAGCTCGGTTTTTCCCTTTGGCTTAGTGATTTTGGGGTCCCGGGATTTATTTTCCTTCCATACCCTTAATAATGTGGGTTGGCCTCATCCAATCAGTTGAAGGCTTTAATTTAAAAAAAAAACATAAAAAAGATTGACCTTCCCTGAGCAAGAAGAATTCTGCCAGCAGACCACCTTTGGACTTGAACTGCAATTTTTCCATCAGCCTCTAGCCTACCAGCCTATTCCTATCCGATCAGATTTTGAACTCACCAAGTCTCCACAAATATGTGAGCCAATTCTTTAAATTCTCTCTCTCTCTCTTTCTCTCTGTGTGTGTGTGTGTGTGTGTGTGTGTGTGTGTGTGTGTGTGTGTGTGTGTTCTGTTTCTCTGGAAAACCCTTGCTAATACAAGACTCATCAATAAAATCACAGATACAGAGGGGAAGAGAAAAGACTCATCAATGAAATCACAGATACAGAGGGGAAGAGAAGAGAGTTTCACAAAAGGACTTGTTTGAGGCCAGGTGCAGTGGCTTATGCCTATAATCCCAGCACCTTGGGAAGCCAAGGCGGGAGGATCACTTGAGGTCAGGAGTTCAAGACCAGCTTGGCCAACATGGTGAAACCCCATCTCTATTAAAAATACAAAAATTAGCCAGGTGCGGTGGTGCACACCTGTAGTCCCAGCTACTCTGGGAGTCTGAGAAAGGAGAATTGCTTGAACCTGGCAGGCAGAGGTTGCAGTGAGCCGAGACTGTGCCACTGCACTCCAGCCTGGGTGACAGAGTGAGACTCTGTCTCAAGAAGAGAAAAAAAAGAGATTTCTTTAAAGAGAGAAGTTACCTGGTTGTGAGTCCCAGCTCCCCCTTTAGGGGAGGGGTGAGAAGTACTACCCTGCATCCCAGGTAAAGTGAGAAAGGTATCAAGGGAACCTCTCAGAGGCTCTGAAATGTGTTCTCTGAGTTGGCCCGGTGCCTAACTTTGTACAGCTAAAGTGGACTATAAACCTGTTTCTTGTCCAACAGAGCCACCTGTAGGGGTGAAGAGACCTCAGGAAAAGGCTGGAGACTTAGCACCTTATGTCCAGACACCAAGGGAAAGGGTCACTAGAAATCATTTGAAAGAAAAATGCTTCTTCCTAGGTAAAGAGAACTGGAGGAGAGAGACGCCCAGTAGCACACCTCTGAGAAGTCCACAAAGGAGAGAAAAGAATCAGCAGTGATCATCTATCAGGCCTAAATGGGGATGCCAGCTTCAGATACCCACTGGGCCCAGAGCCAAGAGCCACCCAGCCAGATAAGAACTTTGCTATGCCTGCGTCTTCCCACCTTTCCTGAGTTTCCATTGCCTGAAGTACAAAGTGGGGACCAGGGAGAAGGTAGAAAGCTGAACAACCACACCCCTTTCCCACTGAGGACTTCTAGGAAGAAACAAGCTTATCTGATGAAAAAAGGGGGGAGGGAAAAGCATCAGGCAGGCTTAAAGTTTTGATAACACTAACCTGGACATTCCCACTGTAAAGTAAATCTCTAGTTATGACTTAAAGAAGTTCCAAGATTATCTATTACTTAAGAGTGAATAGAAAAATCATGGGGTGGGTAGCTTCAACCAAGATTATGGAAAGATAATTCCCCACTGAACAAAGTTTAAAGAAGCAGTAGGAGGGAAAAAAAATAAGTTGTGTTATGATCACAACCACACATCACGCTTGTGCAGCATGCCAGCTACATTTGCTTGGCCCAGCTGGTGTAACTCTTGTAACAACCGTCCTTAGATCTCATCCTGTTTGAATGACAAGTGATTGAGATGATTGCTTTTGCTTTTGGAAAAATCCCCAAAGAGGAAAATGCCACCCATGTGTTTTGGAGAGAAGAAACTTGATCAAATACTAACAACAGGACCTGGTCTACTAGCAGAGGTAGGAACTTCTAGGACTCACAGCTTTTTATACCTCCTTTCAGTCTTTGCTAACTTAAACCATCACAGTGTCACACTAATGTCATAAATGATACATGACTTTTTACATGGAAGAGAAAGTAAGATCCATCCAGTTCCAAAAGGACACCAGATTTCTGTTATCCTTATCCTCAGTGTTTCATTACAGCTTCTGTAATGAAACAGTGAGAACCAATGAGGTTTGGAACTTCAAAGAAGAGATAGAAGTTGAAGATAGCATGAAGGAGATTAGACCTATCCCAGCAATGATGCATTAGGGAGAGGAAAAGGAAGAAGAAGTGAGACAAATCTCAAAAAAAGGTGATGGCCAAGCAAAGCAATCCCCCAGCCACCTGTCACTTAGCTTCAGGCAGCTGCTGGTGAGGGAAAACCGCTGTGTACAGGAGGGACCTACATAGGTTGTACAAGTCAAGGCTGCTTGTAGCTTGTAGTGTCTACCATGCTTAACTTTGATTACCTGTACTCAAGATAGAGTAAAACAGCAATGCCCTGCAACCTAAATCACTCTACTCAAACTGACAGAAAGATAAGCTTCATTACAGTAGCAAAAAGACAAATTTTTTACATAGCCGAGTTATTATAGCACATTCTGATCAGGATAGCTTTAAATCTATACGTGTACATTTCTTGCCGAGTATGTTATTTAATAAGGACTAAAGTTAAATTGAAAGCAAAAGCATAGTGAGTTTGTTGAAGTATTTATCTTATGTTCCTGACTGAAGAGATAAATTTAGTAGTTGTTTCTCAGGTAACTAAACTTTGCTGTCTGGTTTAGTTTTTCATGTATTTAATTTGCCTTTAAACCTGGATTCCTGCAAAGTTTCATAACTGCTTTAAAATATGGGCTTTATTAGAGATGTGAAAACTGAGAATGCAGTCATATTTTCTCCTTATTAATTCATCACGCAATAGCAAAGTGGGGAATGGAGATTTAGAACACTTAGATATCCAAACTGGAAAGACACAAAGCCAAGTAACTAGGTCTTTATATGACCCTGAACATAATTCAGGTTCTACAAAGAAAAACTTGATTCCCTTATACTCAAAATCCTTTGGTTTTATAGTTGAATAGTGTAATATTTTACTTTTTAAAAATGATCATCTTTTGTGTAAGGATTTTCAAAGCTTCGTTTTTGCTTTCTTGCTCACTGGTTATTGTTTTCGGGAGGCAGGGGGTTGTTTTTAAATCTCACTTCAAGAGATGTCCTTGGATGGGGTTGGTAAATGAATGCTGCATACCCCCACTTTAAAGAAGTGCGTGAGTATCTGAGGAAGCTACAGTCAATTCGTCAGGCTGACACAAATTCCAGGAAATCAGGCTAAGTCATCATCAGCATCACTTACTACTGACTATGTATTGAGAGGAAACGAATTTATAACCTAGGTAAGCAAATAGCTATGCAACACAATGCAGAATGGAGAAAAACCACAGGAGTGATGAAGAAGGCTTGAGGTCAGAGGCGCCTCAGAAGTCTGACTTAACAAAAGACTTCCAACTTCAAACTTAAGTCTGATTTTCATCTTTAAGTGCCACTGGGTAATTCTCTGAACATAATTTCCTCATCAATAAAATATTGAAAATTACTTAAGATTAAATGAGAGAAGAATGTGCCTAGCACATAGTAGATGCTGTATAAATGTTGGTCTCCTCTACATACCATGGGACCACGTGCTGGAACACATGGTTGGCTCTTTATACTTAACAAAGAGGAACTAACTAGTTCATGTTAGTGACACTCAGCATAGAGCTCACACTGCAGCCATACATCCCTCCTCTGGAGTGTAGCAGCTGGCTGCATCTCCCAGTTGAAACCTGCCAACTGCTGAGTGTTGGCAACTACAATGGAGAAAAGACAATGGAGACCACATCTCCCAAAAAGCACCTTTTTCCAGGTAAGTCTGTGTTTCCATGGACTCCACAAGGACAGTTTACAGATATCCAAATGGGTAAAAAGTATGAGACAAAAATGTAAAACCTTGCTATTAAAAAATGCAAATTAAAGGAGCCACTTCTCTTTGTTTTTCAAAGTAGCAAAGACTTCAAAACTATTAAGTGCTAGCAGAGATGAAGTAGAACACTGACTCTCATGGATTACTTGCGGGAATAGGGTGAAGCAAATATAATTATTTGTCTGGGCTTTTAGAGAAGCAGATGCTAAGACTAGATTAAGCTTCACACAAGAATTTTATCAGAGGAAATGCCCATGTGAGAAAAAATGGAGAGGGAGCCAAGGAAGGCTGAGAGAACCATCAGACCACAATGTAGTCTGACTTCAAGGGAAGGGAGGAAGGTTGAATGTAAGTGTCTTCGATTGCCTGGCAATCTCAGGAAGGCTCAGCAGGGCAATGGGGAAGCCCTTCAGCCAATGGCAGCCACCAGCAGAGTCCCAGGTACAGGTCTGCCTTAGTATCCCTTCCATGCTAGGGCACTGGCTGACAGCAGCCTGTGGGAAGAGTGGCCTTGGATAGGCCCTTAGTCAATTACACTCTTGCGTTTGGAGGACTTCGAGGTTCATTCCCATGGCCACCACAGTGACCTTTTGGTAAACAAATTTAGCAAGGTATATTAAAAGGTTTAAAAATAATTTTACTTTTTTTTTTTTTGAGGCGGACTCTCACTCTGTCACCCAGGCTGGAGTGCAGTGGTGTGATCTCAGCTCACTGCATGCTCCGCCTCCTGGGTTCACACCATTCTCCTGCCTCAGCCTCACGAGTAGCTGAGACTACAGGTGCCCGCCACCACGCCTGGCTAATTTTTTTTTTTGTATTTTTAGTAGAGACGGGGTTTCACCGTGTTAGCCAGGATGGTCTCGATCTCCTGACCACGTGATCCGCCCGCCTCGGCCTCCCAAAGTGCTGAGATTACAGGCATGAGCCACTGCACCCGGCCCACTTTATTTAATCTAGAAGTCTACCTCTTGAAATCTATCCTAAGGAAATACCCTTAAATGGGAAAAATAACTTGAGTTACAAAGCTGTTCATTAAAAGTATTTATAATAGCAAAAAATCACAAGCTAAACATCACTTCCAGTTAATCATGGCAGTTTGTACTTCATCCATTTCACTCGTTTACTTCAGCTGCCCACCCCTATAGGCCTTCAAGTTTGTGAGTCCTATGATAGTGATAAAGGTGATATACGTGTTGTTTTCAAACCCACTGGTTAGCAGACCTTAGTCCTGCTGAACTTATTCATGACTCCAGGACTTGAAGGAGTGTTCTATATCTCAATCCAGGAAGTAGTTCCCAAAACTGTACACATAAGTAAAAATTCACCAAATGTGCATTTAGGATTAAAGTACTTCATGCACTTTACTAGATGAGACTTAACCTCAAAAAGAAGGAAAAGAAGAAATCAAAGGACATGGCTGCTTAAATTTTCCTGCTTCATGACATAACTCTCTCAAATGCAAACACACATACCTGTTCATCTGACATAGGACTTAACCAGATTGCAGAGACAAACCAACCGCGGGACAAGAGGGGTGCTCCCAGCTGCACCACCACACACCTCCCTTTGTCCTTGTCCTCCTACTCATCATGACTATTTTCTTCTTTCAACTTTATCCTCCGCAGCTTCCACTACCTTAATCCTGTCACTGTCACTGGTGCCGTTCATTCCAAATCTCAATCCGTAGACACTCATCACTACTGTCTTCACCATTTGTACAGGGGGCCTGTTAGTATCTTACTGTCCTCTGCTTTCTTTATCAATTAAAAAAAAATTTCTTCAAATCCAGAAAGGACTTGGGTGACATCGTTGGATTTTTTTCTACAATAACTATAAGCATATTATAACTAAATCTTACTTACTGTTTAAATTAAAGCTGCAATCTGTCACTTGCTTGATGCATAACATCTGCCCCTCAGAGATGACAAAATCAATTTGAATCCAAATAAGAACAAACTTTCACTCAACCATGGTATATGTATTCTGTGACCCCCATCAGGACACAATACAATTCTGGATTCAGATATCCAGCTTTTGTAACTTAGAAACCAATTATGACTTTGAATAATTCATTAATCCGGAGTTACATTAATTGGACGGTGTGGTGGCAGGTTGCTGATCCCACTCTTATATTATGTATTCAATAATATGTATTAAGCAAATATATATTGTTGGTAGATACTGTGAGTTCCTACTCAATATCCATTCTTCCCTTCTTCCATACTAGCAGAACCCTTATTTTATTCTGGGTGGCAACATGCCTCGGCTCAACCAATAAGTCAATATTGTTACACATATTCGTGACCATCTTGTTCCACTTTGCTAGACACTAAATATCCCAATCTCCATTTGCAGCTAGAAATGGCCAAGGACCCAGTTATGGCCAAGAAGATGTAAGGGGAAGTTTACTGGGGAACTTCTAAGAAGGCTTTACTTTCCTAATAAAAAGGACAGATGCAGCTAGCACCATCCTTCCCTCTCTCTTCCTTAATGCAGATGTAATGTGTGAAGCTGCAGCAGAAATCTCGAGATAATGAAGCCACAAGCAAGAGAATGAAAGGCCATCACATTGAAGATGGCAGAAGGGAAGGTGAGATCCGTTTCTGAGCTCAGAAGCGCAGGATTAAATTAGTAAGTCTCAGGAGTATGAAGGGCCTGTCAGTGTTCTGTAGGCAGTGAAATAGAGAACTGATAAAAAATGAATACTAGGAATCCCCAAGTGTTTTGAGACCCTAGATGAGGCTAATACTTATTTAGAGCAGAACCACGCTCTCATACAAATATGGTAACGGTATAAGTTGCCATAATTTTTTGGAGAGAAATTTAGCATTATCTATCAGCATTTTAAAAGCACAGATCTTTTTTTTTTTTTTTTTTTTTTTTTTTTTTTTTTTTTTTTGAGACAGGGTCTCTCTCTGTTGCCCAGGCTGGAGTTCAGTGATGTGATCTTGGCCTCCAACTCCTGGGCCCAGGCAATCTTCCCATCTCAGCTTACCGAGTAGCTGGGACTACAGGCATGCAAAACCACACTCAGCTAATATTTGTATTTTTTGTAGAGACAAGGTCTTGCTCTGTTGCCCAGGCTGGTCTCAAACCCCTAAGCTCGAGTGACCCACCTGCCTCAGCCTCCCAAAGTACTGGGATTATAGTACAAAGGACAGATCCTTCAAACTAGCAAACCCATTACTGGGAAATTATCCTACAGAAAAACACAGGTGCAAAAAGATACACACAGGGGTTATTTATTGCAGCATTGTTTGAAGTAGCAAAAAATTAGAAGCAACCTAAATATAAAATTAGAAAAATAAATTAAAGTACGTACATTCGTAAAAGGAAATACTGTGCAGCTGTTCAAGAAAGAATAATATAGTATGCATGTAATGACACGGAAAGATGTCCAGAGATACTCTTAGGGGGGAAAAAAAAGAGCAATTTTTCTTAAAACTTTAAAATGCTGGCCAGGCTTGGTGGCCTGTAATCTCAGCACTTTGGGAGGCCAAGGTGGGCAGATCATTTGAGGTCTGGAGTTCAAGACCAGCCTGACCAACATGGTGAAACCCTGTCTCTACTAAAACTACAAAAAAAAATTAGCCAGCCGTGGTGGCGGGTGCCTGTAGTCCCTGCTACTCAGGAGGCTGAGGCAGGAGAATCTTGAGCCCAGTAGGCAGAGGCTGCAGTGAGCTGAGATAGCACCACTGCACTCCAGTCTGGGCAACAGAGAAAGACTCCATTTCAAAAAAATTAAATGCTACACATGGTTGTTGGTATATATATGCACATAAAAAGTCTGAAAGAGAGAAGCCAAACAGATGAAATGGACACAGTATGTTTTCTAACTTGCTTTTTCTAACAACTATTATTGGTGTGACAATATTAACCAAAAGCAAACAATAGGAATAATTCAAGGCTGAGGTTCATCACTGGTGACCAGGGGATATAAAATTGCAGATTTAAAGTAGCTCCAAAACAACCGAGCTTCCAAAGTTTTGGTAGGGGAAGCAAGTGAATGCCAAAGTATTATAAAGAGGAAGGAAAGAGACGAATTAAGACTTAAAGTCATTATCAAGATAAAAACAGGTTCAGAAAATGTAATCTGAATTTATGGCCCCTGAACCCACTACTGCTGCCTCTGGAAGCTTCATTCCCTGTGGCCAGTGCCAGCTCCACCAGTGGGTTCCCGGTGGCCTCTGCTTCCATGCATTTCTAACTTCCGATGCCAAGTCTGGTGCAGATGTGTCAGGCTGGGGGATCCTGCAGCCAAGGAAGACAAGGAAATCGTATTGGAAGAGAAGAAAGGAAGTTCTGAGCCTAATTCCCTGGAACTGGAACAAATGTGAACAATGAAAAAGTCCGAAGAGGGAACACGCTTGTGGTTCATGGAGCGAACAGAGTAACAGTGTCAAAGTCCTCCCTCAGATGTGCACCACAGCCTGTTTTTAACATGAGGCTAGTTCCCCATTTACCCCACCAGAGTCCATTCTATTTCTATCTGCTTTTCTACCTGAGTTTCTCCTTTGTGGCAAGACCGTATGTTCTTGAAATTTGTCCTCTGACCTCTGCCCCCAAACAACATATAGCTTCATTTGAGGGTTTCTAAGAGACTTTTGCTAAAGATTTCAGAGGATAACAAGATAATAAATGCTACTGATCTGTTGTTTGTCAGTAGAATGAGCCTGCCTCACCTTTTTGGTAGTGTTTTTGCTCATATTAACACATCTCTCTTAGACTTTGATTATGAAGTCAGCTGCTAAAAGCCAATCTATCCATCTTTCTATTGCTGGTCCAGTTTCTAACTTCCCCTTCAAGCCATCTTTTCTCTAGCCTCAGCCCTTCTGGTTTGAGTTACAACATTAACACCAATGGGGAGAATTGGCTTATATACAGACTCATTAAGTTTCAGAGCAAGCTTCAGACCTGTCCCTCCCATCTCACTGTCTTCTTAATTCAAAGTCATTTCCTAAGAAACGTCATCGAAGGTAAGAAAAGTATAGTTGGTCACCAACGTGAATGTAGAGGTTTTAGAGAATAGAAGCAAGCGGCTGAATACAAAAGTGGTTCTGCAAGTCAGCTGACAGCAGTGATGAGCTTAAGGTCAAAAGAGATGTTGCTAAGAAATTGCGATAAAGAGACACTGGTCTTAATGTGGCAGAGAAACAACGCCTCCTCCATCACTGGGTGAGGAAAGGAAATGACCTCAAATGATACAGTTTTGAGGAGGTGATATCAAAAAGTAAAAACAAAGTATATCCATCAAAGTTTTTAGTTTCAATACACATTAATCAACTCTGGGGTAATTTGCATAGAAAAGGAATTTATTAAAAGATAATTGGTAATTCACATAATCTCCCACAAAGTTGGAGAATCTGACGTGAAGCCACACTTCCAGAAACAATGTTCTCAATCTCACTGCACACAATTGGTTCTGGGAAGACTCCAGTGCCCCAGTGCCGTATATTTTACCTGGCTGTCCCTGCCAACACCAAACACACCAGACACACTGCTGAACCATCCTGGATGCCATGAGGGCCAATCTCCAAGGACACTTCCGGCCCCTCAACCCACTGCTGCTGCCTCTGGAAACTACATTTGCTGCTGTCAGCACTAGCTCCACCTAATGGGTTCCTGGTGGCTCTGCTTCCGTGCAGCTCTAGCTTCCAATGCAAAGTCTGGTGCAGACGCATCTGGCTGGGGGAACTTGCAACACGAGCCCATACCCTAGATCCAAGGGACACTGGGAAGATACCATCCAGCGTTTTTAGCTTCTACAGTAGACAGTGGGCCAAAGGTAAAAAACATCCACACCAGAGGTCAAAAAGAATGTGTGGACGGGTTGAAAGTATCAGAGTTGGTTGACACTGGCAGAGGAGTCCCGTAAGATTGAGTGAAAAGGAACAGTAAAGTCAGATCCTGAGCCCTAGGATAGGTAAGGAGTTGAGCTGAATGTGGAGAGAGAGAGATAAGAAGGGAATAATTTTTTCTAACCTTTATTTAAAAAGCGTTTTCTGATTAAAGAAAATAAATGTTCATTATAAATAAAAGTGCTAAAAAGTTCAAAAAAGCAAGTGAAAGTGATCCATAATCCACCAACCTCATCTTATTGCTGTTACCATTTTAACTATTTTCTACATATTTTTCTGTGACTATACAGGTCATAATCTACATAATATTTTCCTTGTGTTTTTTCACAAATTATGATTTTTATGACTACTTAAAATTCCATTATCTGGCTGCACCATCATTTTTGTCATATCACATATTTTTCCTTAAATTTTTAGAAGTAAAATAAGTAGGTTAAAAGGAGTCTAAATATTGACACATATTGTCTCCTTACTGCAAAAATAGTATGCATTTCTCATGATATATTTTTGAATATTTCATTTCTCTAAAATTTCACTAATACTATGTATAATCACTTTTTAACTCTTCATAGGTAAAAAATTATCCCATTTTTATTTTGTATTTATTTGATCATAAGTAAGGCTTTATGACTTTTACCACATACATATATAAATTGTCATGTCTTTTCCTCTTTCTCCTTTCGAAAATACATTTCTGGCTGGGTGCAATGGCTCACATTTGTAATCCTAGCACTTTGGGAGGCCAAGGCAGGAAGATCACTTGAGACCAGCCTGGGTGACATGGTGAGACCCCATCCCTACAAATTAAACAATTACCCAGGCACAGCAATGTGCACCTGTAGTCCTAGCTACTTGGGAGGCTGAAGCAGGAGGATCTCTTGAGCCCAGGGTTCAAGGCTGCAGTGAGCTATGATAGCACCACAACACTCCAGCCTGGGTGACAGAGAAACACTGTCTCTAAAAAGAAAAAAAAAAGCGAATACATTTCTTTTTTATTGATTTATAAGATTTCTTGGTATAGTAAGAATATAAATCCTTTGTCAAGTAGGTTTAAAATTTTTTTTAAGTTTTCATTTATCTTGCTGGTTTTTTCTCACATACAGAAGTTTAAGACGTTTATGTAATCAAATATTTTTATTTACATTGTCTACCTTTAGATTTGTGCATTATCTTTTGCAGGATAACATTTTTTAAACAAAATTAGGGCCTTAAATCACAGGGAAAAGGGAAACAAATCAGCTTGTCCCTCAACTTTGCACATTTTACATTTTTCAGGAAATGGTCCATTCTTCCAGTTGCTCGGAAAAAAAAACCCCTAGAGTCAAAACTGGTATCTGTTTCCTTCACCACACACCTCCAGCCTTCAGATCTGCCTTTAAGACATATATGCAGAATCTGACCACTTCCCCACCCAGGCACTACCACCCAGGTGCTAAGCTCGCTTATTTCTCACTGCAGCTTTCTAATTTATCTCCCTGTTTTCTCCCTGGAAACAGGGAGATAAATTTGACCCTTTAAAATAAAAATCAAATTACCCTACTCCTCTGCTCAAACCCTCAAACCCATTCCTGCCTTGGGATATTTCATAACGTTTTCCTGCCCCAAATATCCAAATGCCTCACTCCCTCACTCTATTTAGGATCTCTGCTCAAACACCCTTCCTCAAAGGCCTTCCCTGAGTATCCTATTTCAAACAGCGCCTCACTGTCTCTGCCATCACTCGGTCCCCTACTCCCTGCTTTGCATTTCACCATAGCATTTATTATCACCAGAGCCATGCACTTGTCATGTGTTTGTTGATCTGTCCCTCCTGTCCTTCCTAGAATGGAAGCTCTTCAAAGACAAGGGATGCACCCTCAGGACCTAGCATGGGGCTTAGCACTTAGCAGACGCTCAGTAAATATTTGTAATGAATGAAAGTAAATATTTGTCGTAGTTTGAGTTCTTTAAAACAGACCCCAAGGCAAGGGTAAGTGTGCAAATGATTTACCGTGGAACTGGGAAGGGAGTGAGGAAGCAGTGAAGGCCCAGCCTCAGCCCAATCCCACGTGGAGCTGTAGCCTGTCACCCAGAGGCAAGGGAGCCGAGCGTTATACCCGCTCAGCAGTCAGTCACTGGCCACCTGGCAGGTATAAATTCTCAGCTTGCCTCTCAGCTCCAATAGCTCAAGAGAAAGCCTCTAAAGAAGGAAACAAATACCAGCCAGTAGCAGCAAAACTATGAAAGCTGGAGAAAGGGATTCAAGATGTCCACTACAATACTGAATTAATGTGTGAATGTGTAAATGAATGAATGAAGAAGGAATATGTTTAAATATTTGTAAGTTTGATAGTGGAGACAGCTGGACTAATGAAAGGCAGGTGTAAGAAGCATGAATTTGATCCCAAGTGCCAGTGTGTACTTTCCTGAGCAGCGGGACCACACTGGGCTAAGCTTCCCCCTGCATCTTTGCTTCAAAACAAGGTTGGACTAACACTAGGCCACTGGATCTGCTGGGGACAGCATATGATGGGACAACTAGCAGAGCATGCCAGAAGGCTCTGCTCAAATTCTCAGCCACATACATTATCAATTAAAGATCCATTTGGATCTGTGGATTTCAACTAAAAGGACAAGTCAGTTGAATGGGGAGGAGCTAACTACAACCTTTTCCTCAAATTCTGCCTTGCCCCTTAAGAAACATCAGAATATTGGGGAACAGACAAATGTAATTTGTGAAATGTCCCCCCAGAAGTTAGCTAGGCACCCTACCCTTACCCTAATGATCAATAAGCTTCTCCTTTAGAATTTTAATTCTTCTTGAAATAACCAGATCCTAGAGACTCTGATTCAAAAACTGTTGTGTGAGTCCTGAGTATGCGTGTGAAATAACCAGATCCTAGACAGTGTGATTCAAAAACTTTGTGTGTGTCATGTTAAAAGTTGCCCAGACTCTTCTGAGTACATAGCCAGGGTTAAGAAGTTGGGCTTAGTCTTCCAATCACTCCTACTAGGAACACATTATTTCAGTAAGACAATCCGAATCTCTCCCCCTTCACATAAGCAAAGATACTGAAGGAAGGCAAGAATTTCCTCCTCAATTTTTAATTATGAAAAAAAAAATTTTTGAGACAGGGTCTCACTCTGTCACCCAGGCTGGAGTGCAGTGGTGTGATCATAGCCACTGCAGCCTTGATCTCCTGGGCTTGAGCAATCCTCCCGCCTCAGCCTCCCAAGAAGCTGGGACTATAAGCAAACGCCACCATACCCCGCTAATTTTGTGTGTGTGCATGGCAGGAGAGAGACGAGGTGTCACCATGTTGCCCAAGCTAGTTTCAAACTCCTGGCCTCAAGTGGTCCTCCTGCCTTGGTCCCCAAAGTGCTGGGATTACAGACATGAGCCACCACACCTGGTCATGAAAATTTTTATTTATACAAAAATGTTGGAAGAATGGGTATTATAAACACACATATGCCCTTCCGCTAGATTCAGTAATTGCTAATATTTTGTGTGTCACTTATTTACCTTATTCATATACATACATACACATGCTCATGCATGCATGCATATGGATAAATCAATATGTGCACACACATATTGCTGAGCCATTTGAAATAAGTTGCAGACAGCATGATCCTTTATCACTGAATATTTTCAGTGAGTATTCTGAAAACTAGAACCTTCTCCTTGATAACCACAATATCAGCATCATAGTATATCTGTCTGAGTTCAATCAGGAGACAGAAAACACACAGTTATTTGAAAGAGGAAGTTTAAAATAATTATTAGGCTAGGCATGGTGGCTCACATCTGTAGTCCTAGCACTTTAGGAGGCCAAGGGAGGAGAATTACTTGAGCCCAGGAGTTTGAGACCAGCCTAGGGAACACTGTGAAGCCCCATCTCTACAAAACATTTTTTTTAATTAGCTGGGCATGGTGGCACATGCCTGTAGTCCCAGCTATTCGGGAGGCTGGGACAGGAGGATTGCTTGAGCCTGGGAGGTTGAGGCTGCAATGAGCCATGATCACCCACTGCATTCTCCATCCTGGGCTGAAGAGCCTGCCTCAAAACAAACAAAAGAATTATTAAGGGGCCAGGCATGATGATTCAAGGCTGTAATCCCAGCACCTTGGGAGGTTGAGGCAGGAGGATCATGAGGCCGAAGTGAGCTACAATCGTGCCACTGCACTCCAGCCTCCTGGCCAACAGAATGATACCTTGTCATTTAAACATATATAGATAGATTAGATAGATAGATAGATAGATAGATAGAGATATAATTGAAAAGTAATTATAAAGATGTCGGGCCAGGCACGGTGGCTCACGCCTGTAATCCCAGCACTTTGGGAGCCCGAGGCGGGCAGATCATAAGGTCAGGAGTTCGAGACCAACCTGACCAACATGGTGAAAACCCGTCTCTGCTAAAAAAAAAAAAAAATACAAAAATTAGCTGGGCATGGTGGTGGGGGCCTGTAGTCCTAGCTACTCAGGAGGCTGAGGCAGGAGAATCGCTTGAACCCTGGGGGTGGAGGTTGCAGTGAGCTGAGATCGTGCCATTGCACTCCAGCCTGGGTGATAGAGCGAAACTCCATCTCAACTTAAAAAAAAAAAGATGTCAAGATAACTCTACTGAATCCACTAGAGCTGAGTGAGAGTACCCAGGGAAGGACCAGCTTGGAAGAGGGATGCAAACACGCCTGGGTTCAGACCTCATTGGAGAAGGCATGGTTGCAGCCAATAGATAGTGGAGAAGTCTGCTGGGTTTTCTGGGCCAGATCTAGTCCGCAGTCGCCAGGAAAGCAGAAAATAACCCACCTCCCTCTCCCATACAAACACACACACACCCAGAGCCAAGGCTGGAGGGCAGGTTTGCAGACAAAGTCAGAACGGCTCCACACACACAAGGTTGGAGCACACAGTGTTGTTGGGAGTCACATCAAAGGAGTTCACCTGGTCTGGACTGAGGCTGGAAGGTCAGGATCTGGCATGCAGCTGCGGCAGTGTACCACCAGATGTACCCAGACACACATGCACCACTGACCAATTGGACAGCTGGAGCAAAAAAAGCAAAACATAGCACTCCAAAAGGAGGAAACAAAGCCCCCTTCCTCCCACAGTATCCCTCCTGTGCCCTCTATTGACAAAGTTAACATCATGCTAATAAAGAAGAAATACTTGGAGAGTCCAGTCCATTATTGTAGAGCAGTACTGAAGTGTGAATTGGAGCTGAGGCAATTGATAGTTGACACACACACATAATAAAATTAATAATTCCCTGACGATGGCTATTCTCAGTCCAGATTCAAATTTCTCCAATTGTGCCAAACACATCTTGTATAGTTTTATGAGGTTTTTTAACCAAGATCCAATCAAGTCCTTTTAGTCTCATTTGATTCAGAGCAGTCCCTCCCAACGTTTCTGTTTTAATGACATTGATCTTTAGAAGAAATTAATTGACTGATTGAGTTTCATTCTAGATTTGTCTGTTTGTTCCTGGTGTTAATTTTCTGTCCCCTGAATTTCTTGTAAACTGGAAGTTAAATCAAAGGTTTGACTACAGCCAGGTGAAATGTGTTTAAGAAGAATACTTCATGAGTTACACTGTGCACCTCACATTGTAACACATCAGGGACAGAGGGAGTGTTGGCTTCCCATTATTAAGGCAAGGAACTTGATCTCAGTTAAAGTAGTGATGGCCAGATACCTCCACTGTAATGGCGTGGTCTTCCTTTTGCAATTAGCAAGCAATCTGTGGGGTGTTATTTTGATGCTTTGAGAATATACTGTCCCCCAACCATCTTTCGGTTAATGGTTTTAGCATTTAATTTGTCATTAGGAAGTGCAAAATGGACACATTTTTTAATTCAATCTTTTCTTTTATATTTTTTAGCTGGCATTCTTCTGTAAAAAGAAGCTTTCCTTCATCAACTGTAAATAAACTAAACTTTTTCCCAAAAAAGAGAAGAAAAATGCATTATTAGTTATTTTCAGAATAAAGAAAAGAAAGTTTTGATTAGAGAAGAAGGGGAATCATTTTGTTGCAAGAGCTTAGGAGTGGTAGGCATGTCCTAGGATGACAGGACAGCCCGGGTTCCGGGGAGACCCATGAGAGCGGGATGCTGGAGGTTGGAGGGAAACTGGGATAAGCCATCTGTTTTGCAATCACCTGCCAAGGGCTTGGAGTAGAAACCCCTCCTCCCCTCCATTTGCCACTCAGTTATCTTTCCAGTCACCATTGGCATGTGGGCTGCAGAATGCTGATGCTGATTTCAGATAAGTGAACATGCTTCATTTACAACCAATACAGAAATACTGAGTGGCTACAGGACAAAAGAGGCTACATGGACTGCTCTGTGTGAAAGTGCTCAGAAAATGTAGTACAGTAAACAAAAATGAGGCATTACTGTATATTTTTGCTCTTACAAATAGTTATTTCCTCAGTAGTTTAATAATTTAATGAAAAAAAAGTTTTTGAATCACCATCTCATTTAAAATTTGAGATCCTTGGCCAGGCATGGTGGCTCACGCCTATAATCCCAGCACTCTGGGAGGCCGAGGCGGGTGGATTGCCTGAGGTCAGGAGTTCGAGACCAGCCTGGCCAACATAATGAAACCTCGTCTCTACTAAAGACACAAAAATTAGCCAGGCGTGGTGGCACGTGCCTGTAATCCCAACTACTTGGGAAGCTGAGGAGGGAGAACTGCCTGAACCTGGGAGGTGGAGGTTGTGGTGAACTGAGTTGGCACCACTGCACTCCAGCCTGGGCAACAGAGCAAGACTCCATCTTAAAATAAAATAAAATAAAATAAAGTAAAATAAAATGTGAGATCCTCAACTAAAAACCCAAGAATCTGAACCTAATTCTATGTTCCTGACACATTTGCTTAAAGCTGGGATGTCTTCCACATGATTACCTTATTCAAATTTATATCTCTAGAGCTTCACAAAATACATTATCTAAACAGGAAAGCAATATAGTGTCATGT
Source organism: Homo sapiens (assembly GCF_000001405.40). Lineage (NCBI taxonomy): Eukaryota > Metazoa > Chordata > Mammalia > Primates > Hominidae > Homo > Homo sapiens. Next base: position 62,213,598 of record NC_000005.10, read on the forward strand.
AAAAGAGTATTGGGCTGAGACTTATAACCTGGATTCTGGCACTAACCACAGTTAGAGCCATGGACGAGTTAGTTACCCTCGCCCAGATTCAGCTTCTTCATCTCTAGAATGAAAGGAATAATTCCCCAGGGTTGTAGAAAGTAAGCATGGGGGCCAAGCATGGTGGCTCACACCTGTAATCCCAGCACTTTGGGAGGCCAAGGCCGGCAGATCATTTGAGGTCTGGAGTTCGAGACCAGCCTGACCAACATGGTGAAACCCCGTCTCCCAGGAGGCAGAGGTTGCAGTGAGCCAAGATGGTGTCACTGCACTCCAGCCTGGGCAGCAGAGCAAGACTGCATCTCAAAAAAAAAAAAAAAGAAATTAAGCATCGGTTTTAGGGGCAGAAAAACACAGGTTTGAAGCCTTAGGTTTCCTCATTCTTGATACGTGATCTTAGCAAATAAACTAAAATTCTGAGAGCTTCGATTTACCTTTTTTTTTTTTTGAAGAGATACAAAATTTACTTTTTTTAAATGCCTTCATTACAAGTCTGGAGAAGTTCCTTTTTCCACCTAAAGAATTCACCACTATAAGCAATGATGCAAGTCCATTTATTTAAAGAGAACATTTTAAAACAGTAAAAGATTATATCCATAGGCATTTTCCAGTTTCAAAGGAGTGATACAATCTTCAGGCAGCCAGAGAGCTAGTGAAGTTGCCTCACCCTCCAAAATGTATAGCTTAATTTCTAAACGTAAGAGGGAAGGATAAAGTTTATGTAGAACAGGGGAAAAACTATTCTCAAATGACATTCCTGGATGAATCCCCACATCTTCCAAAGGAGAAAATGTTGAGTTTTTCTTTCTTTTTGGCCTTTCGGATGTTTCCCCAATGTATTACTGTGATGCCCTTTCATGTTTTTCAGAAAGGTGAATGAAAACTTTCTTTGAATATAGCATAATATTAGGGTGTGACCTCCTGTATCTAAACTCACTGGTTCATATGTGATTGAACTTTGAATGAGAATACCCCATGGACATTCGTTCATACTTCTTGATGCCACAAGAAGAGAGAGGATAAAGGAGCTCAAAGAAATCCAGCAGCCCTCTGGTTACAGGACAGCAGTTCCCAGATGTCATTCATAAGGCTGGGGCTGAAGATAATTCACAGAAGGCACTTGTCTAATTCTGACCTGGCGTCGGTGTTCAGAAGAGGCAACAGACACATTAACAAAACCACAAATCAACAAAAAGGTAGGAGGAGCCCTTCTAACACACCAGAGACCATCATTGCTTCAGATGAAGGGAAAATATTTATTGCATTAGTGATTCATTGTTGTGTGATGAATTATACCAAAACTTAGTGGCTTAAAACAATAAATGTTTATTTTACTCAGTGTCTGTGAGTCATCTTAGCAGGGTAGTTTCTGGTCCAGGGTGTCTCATGAGGTTGTAGTCAAGATATCATCCAGGGCTACAGCCATCTGAAGGCTTGACTGGGGCTGGATCCACTTCTCCCCCAACTCCAAAAAAAAAAAAAAAAAAAAAAAAAAAGCCAAAAGAGAATAAAGCAGAAGCAGCAATGTCTTTTATGATCCAGTCTTGGAAGTCATACTTTGTCACTTCTGCAACAGTACTCATTAAAAGCAAATTACTAAGTCCAACCCACCTTCAAGGGGAGGTGAACTGGCTCTACCTTTTAAAGCAAAGAGTGTCAATTTGGAGGCACTTATTTAAATTGCGGCATAAAAACACTTAACATAAAATTTACCACCTTACCATTTTCAAGTGTACAGTTCAGTCATGCTAAGTATATTCACACTGTTGTACAACAGATCTCCAGAACATTTTCATCTTGCAAAACTGAAATTCTATACCCATTTTAAAAGTCTCCATTTCCTCCTCCATCCAGTCCCTGGTAACCATCATTATACTTTCTGTTTCTGTGAATTTGCCTACTTTACCTGCCTCATGTAAGTGGAATCATGCGGTATTTGTCTTTTTGTGACTGGCTTATTTCACTTAGCATAATGTCCTATAGGACATATTGTAGCAATGTGACAGGATTTCCTTCCTTTTTAAGGCTGATTTATATTCCATTGTACTTATATACCACATTTTGTCTATCCGTTCATCTGTCAATAGACATTTGGGTTGCTTCCACCTCTTGGCTACTGTGAATAGTGCTACTATGAACATGGGTGTACAAATATCTCCTCAAGATACTGCTTTTGATTCTTTCTTGGGTATACACCCATTCGTAGGATTGCTGGATCATACAGTAGTTCTATTTTTAATTTTTTGAGCAACCACCACTGTTGTCCACAGTGGCTATAGCATTTTACATTCTCACCAACACTACACAAAGTTTCTAATTTCTCTACATCCTTGTCACTATTATTTTCTGTTTCTTCATAGCAGCCACTAAATTGATTTCAGGTGATATCTCATTGTGGTTTTTTTTTTGATTTGCATTTATCTAATAATTAGTGATATTTAGCATCTTTTCATATGCTCATTGGCCACCAGTACATCATCTTTGGGAAAATGTCTATTCAAGTCATTTACCTGTTTTTAAATCAGGTAATTTGTTGATTTGTTGTTGAACCATGGAGACATATTTTTAAACCACAACACCTATCTTGCAGATTGTGGTGAGAACTAAAAGATTTATGTAAGCAGATCATATTACCTGTCACGTAGTAGGCACTCAAAAATTATTACTTGTCTTCTTAGGGTTGTTATGTTAAATAATGTTATGTTAATAACATATGTAAAACTGCTTCTTAAATTATAAAGTGCTATGCAAATGTGAGTTAATACTACAAAGCTGTATACAAAATATTTGAATATTTTTCTGAGGTTCTCCATACTTAAATATATAAATCTTTCCATCTCTAGACTTTATTCTGTTTTTTAGCTGTAATCCCTTTTTTCCATTTTACTTCAAGTTTTATCAAAAAAAAGAATAGCAGCCAAAATAGAACAAGTAAAGATGGAGAAACAATAACTAATTTCACTAAAGCAAAGTCAGAGTAAGATCTATTTAAAAATAAAATGTGAAGAAAAGCTGCAATGGATTACACTATTGAAAAATCCTAAGAGAACCAGAACTGCCGTTCCTTCAGAGAATGTGAGTGATGTTGAAAGATTAATAACGTTTGGATAACATTAATTACAGTGATGTTATAAACTCTGGTATTCCAGTTGCCATAACAACCCGCTATATGTTGGTTTTCTAATGACATTTCGAACAAGTGCTGAGGCGAACTGCATCACTTCAGAACTTTGATTGCTGTCACTCAGTGATTTTAAAATTGAATTGTTTTGTTCTTAAAGAGTCAGAATATGTCACTGTCTTCAGAAATATTCTCAAAATTATGGAGAAGAAGTGATACACATTCCTATACAATTATAGAGCACTCAAGAAAAAGAAATGTATTTTGTTTTTAATACAAAATTAACAGGTTTTTTTTTCATAGGGAATAGAAAAAAACAGAAAGGAGAAAGATTATGCTTCATGCTTCTCAGAAGACTTTGTTCCCTTGCAGAATTATTTGACAATAAAATTCTTCTAGAAAAACTCACTTTTCTTGGTTATATTTCTCTCATCTCCATTCTCTCCTTTCTCTTCACCTCCCTGTTTCTTTCTTCCAATGAATTCTTTTAGAAGCCATGGATTCTGGCCAAGGTAGATGCAACACTTTGGAGTTAGTGAGATGAGGTCATTCCTCCATCCAGCTTTCTGCTTTCTGATCTCTCTTCCCTCTACTGACCAACCCGTTGCCCAATGGATATAATAAAAGAAAGACTACTTGCCACTGGCTTATATTATATTGGATTTTAATATTCCCAAGAGAATGTGTTAAATATATATTGTGCCACTGACCAGAAGCAAAGCATGATTGTAACAGACATGCTTCTAAGTATTTGCTCAGCCCACAGCCTACTCTGCTCCTGCTGCCCAAGGGGCATCCCACCCACCCACCCACAAATATGGATCGTTTGATTTAAATCGGAGGTGAGCACCAGAACCAACTCATCCATATGCATTGAGTTGGACAAACACATTCTTTCTTTTTCTCCTCTTTTCCCTCTTTCCTCTCCCTCTCTACAAATTCAGCTAAGGTGAATGCTAACCATTTGCAATGGTGTTTAAAGCAGAACAGTGGTGTTCTGTGGCAGAACTCTGTGCTACAGGACTCTGAAGGGAGAGTGTGCCCACTGCCTCCCCACCCACCCCTCTTGCCCACCCCCACCACAGTTCCAGCAGCATCTCAGTCTATACAGTGCATCTTAGGCAGTGGGGGTGGCATCATTCCATGTAAAGCATATTCTATGCTCTATAAACCCTGAGCCCAATGCAATGCCATCTTAAGTAGGCCCAGGTCTGCCCCTTGCCCAGATGTGCCATCAGCACCCTTTCAACACTCTCTCCCCTCCCCTTTTCTCTATACTTAAAACTCCCTCTACCCCACCCAGATATCCAAAGGTGTTGATCCTACCCTCCCAAAGCTCCCACTGTAGCTAGCTCCTCAGAGGCCTCTCAGGGAAGAGCGAAGTGAGCTAATCAACCCAGCCTAGGCTTCTGTTGACCCAGAACCAATTCAAGATGAAGGCCATGCCTTAGACAGCAGCTGCCAGGGAAATACATGACTTATACAATGACATCAGCTGAAATTCACAAAGGTCATTGCATTTAACTCATTCCTCACCCAAGGTGATGCAAACATGCTAACCCTTTTCCTCCCAGTCTTCTCTGGATGATCTTCTCCACTTGATTTTACTGGGATGTACATGAACAAGCTAGAGGAGCAGCCTGTGCCTGTTATCCTCTCCTCCCCACTGCTGAAGTCACTCTCCACCCTTCTCATCCTACTCTCTTGCTGGGGACACTGGACTGTATGAGTTTCATCAATGGACTCCCTTGCCCTTTGACCTCCAGTTGGGTTCTGCCAATTAGAGATCCTTAATAGGAGATAAGAGGGAGGGAGAAGGAGTGGAGGCTGGGGTATTTATGCCTCTGGCTTGATCCCTGAAGTATTGTCTTGCAGTCATCTCTATGTGATTCTCTCCACCCAGGTTCCAGTAACTGATCACTCCTCATATCATTTCTGGTGAGGAGTCGTAACTGAACTCAGTGGTGCTACACTGTCCTTTATGGATTCCATAAACACTGCTCATCCTTTGTAAACAGTCCCTTCATTAAACCTCCCTCCAATTGTTCTAATGCAAATGGCCCAACACATTCCTCCTGGGATCCTGAAATGATTCCTTAAATGATGTGGTCTATCCTATCTCCCCTTCCTGCCTACAATGGCCTTGGGCTCCGTCCTAACTCTGCTGCCTTTAAGATTGGTCTACCCTAAACTACATCCACATAACCCCAAGATTGTCTCTTCATGCCTAACCCACAAAGAGAGGTGATAGGAGTTAGGCTGAGGAGTGGGGATAGGGAAAGACAAGGCTCAGCATGGTCCCTGATAACCTCGTAGCTTCCAGGCAGATGAAGTGCAGGGTGGAGGCAGGCTGCTCTGAGCCCAGCTGGTCGGTGCTCAATCAGAAAGGATATGGGTTGAGCTCAGAAAGCCTGAGAGCAGTGGCACTCTGGAGCAGATCAGAAGCCAAGACTCTAAGAACAACATGCAAATCTGTGTAGGGAACATCAGAGGCTCCTGCCCAGGTCTGAGCAAGTGCAGACAGACAGGCTGGTTGTCAGGAGGCACTGATTGACAGGGGAGAGGAGTGAATCAAATATGAAGCAAAGCAATAATCAATTAGCTCAGTCTGCAGATAGAAATAGATTCCTACAGATAGGAATTTAAGTCAGAGTTGCAAGGGGATTTAGAAATCACACACTTCAATCACTTCACTTTTAGATGAGGACTACCAGACTGTAGACACAGGGGTGATGAGTGCAGAACAAAGACAAACACCCAGAACTTCTCACTTCTAGATTAAGGATTTACCTGTGAAACCCATGCCTCTAAAAAGACAGGTGGATTCTACTTTTTTAATATTTTTAAACCAGAATAGCTTTGGATGAAAACATGATGTTATGACCTTGATATTTTTATATCAAGTATATTTTCAACTGGTCACTAGAAAAAAAAAAATAGATGTAGTAAAAAGAATCTACACAGGATCAAACTGATAATAGCTAAAATGATATATGTTAACTTTGATATTGACAAAAAACTGACTGAAGAATCTCATTGTGTTGGTAAGTCTCAAAACTACAAAAGTGAACCCTTTTAAAATTGCACTTTATAGAAATAACACAAAATAAAACTGACAAAGGCGAAAGCTTTACACAGAAAAAATTGTAATTGACTTTAAAAATTGACAAAAGAATCAAATCTTCTTGTCAAAAATTATACCTGCAAAATCTAGCCCAGGAAAATTAGGTTTGGTAGAAAATGACTACAAAAGAAACCTCAAAATTGCTGATTGGAAAAGTTGGAAAGATTTAATACGGACACAAAATGGGATCACTGAATAAAGTCTAAATTATTTCAGTAAAATAAAAATACTGAAAATTATTTAATGGCACAGGAAGAAATTTGATCAAAGAATTACATTAATTCAAGACAGTTGCTTCTAGAAAATAATTTCTTGATAATATTTCCAGAAATGTTGGAATAATTCTGATGAAAACGTTTGTTTTCATTCAATAAAAAATGTCCTCAGGGTCAAAACAACTGAGAGAGAAGTACCTGATGTGGGACTTCTCAGGTAGCCCCCACTCTTGGGCCTTCCAGTTTTACACTTACCAAGTTTAAAGAAATCTAAGATCTCTTTCCAGGATCCTAACAACTTGCCTAGATCAAAATAACATGTACTTCAGTGAATGATTTCAGCTGGTTGATAAAATCAAAGTTTACCAGAAGGCATGAAAGTTCAGAGATCCCCTTACCATTTCAAAGGGGGTTTGTACTTTAAAATCAATCTACATGTCACCTCACACCCATTATGATGGCCACTATTTAAAAAGAAAACAGAAAATAGCAAGCGTTAGCACCAATGTGGAGAAATTAGAGCCCTTGTGCACTGTTGGTGGAATATAAAATGATCCTGCCATTATGGAAAACAATATGGAGGTTCCTCAAAAAATTAAAGCTAGGATTACCATATAATCTAGTGATATGGTTTGGCTCTGTGTCCCCACCCAAATCTCATGTGGAATTGTAATCCCCACATGTTGAAGGTGGGGCCTGGCGGGAGGTGATTGGATCACGGGGGTGGTTTCTAATGGTTTCGCATCATCCCTCTAGTATTGTCTCATGACAGAGTTCTCATGAGATCTGCTTTTTAAAAGTGTGTAGCACGTCCTCCTTCGCTCTGTCTCTCTCTCCTGCCACCATGTGAAGATGTGCCTGCTTCCCCTTCACCTTCTGCTGTGATTGTAAGTTTCCTGAGGTCTCCCAGTCATGTTTCCTGTACAGCCTGCAGAAACTGTGAGTCAATTAAACCACTTTTCTTCATAAATTACCCAGTCTCAGGTAGTTCTTTATAGGAATGTGAGAATGGACTAATACATCCAGCAATCCCACTTCTGGGCATATATCCAAAAAAGAATTGAAAGCAGTATCTTGAAGAGATATTTGTACACGCGTGTTCATAGCAGCACTATTCACAATAGCTAAGAGCCGAAACCAACCCAAATGCTCATTAACAGATGAATGGATAAACAAAAGAGTGTGTTTCTTTAAATGTGATTTTATGCTGGGATCATAGAGAACCCTGGATTTTATGCAAATGAGTGGGAAAAAAATTAACCCAATACAAAAAAGTAGGTTTATACTGATCATACAGGACAACACCTTTCAAGATTGTAAAAAGTTAAAACTTTTCTCTCTTTACATCACCTGTAATAATGACACCCCAAAAAGATTTTTCTCTATGTATCCTTAGTTTTGCACAATCCCCTGGCCCCAGTGCTGTATCCCCATATCCCAGTTGAGAAGAATATGCCAATATTTAAGGCCACACAATAGGGTCAGCACATCAAGCTTCAGGACTTACAGCCTCCATAAAAGAGAAAATTCTCCTTTCTCATGCCACTCTCTCAAAGCCAGGGTTCCTGAAGAAAGGATTTCTGGTGTTATTACACAAAGGAGATCCTGGAAATTAAGGTTTGCCATGGGTTATGTCCAGTACTGGAATAAACACAGAATTATGGAGGTACCTTCCTCTGTCTTCTTTGCAAACTCCTCGTTGCAGCTCCTGCCTTGCAAACCCCTCTGTCTTCCTTGCGAACCCCTCATTGTAGTTCAGAACTCTGCTTTGGCATCGCCTCCTGGTAAAGCCCCTGCTGCGTCCACCCTTCCAGCCACACTTCCTCACTCTCCTCTGCACCACTTTGGTGCTGCAGGAGTTACACTTTCTGTTGCAAAGATCAAGTAGTCTCGGGTGACCTCTGGTGATGTGGGTGATTGGAAAGATACTTAAGGCAATAAGGAAGCACGGGTATGACACTAGGCAGGTTGCAGTCCAGCCTCCCAGAGCCCTGGGATGTCAGTAAGGGCTCCCCTTTGAGTCAGTAATGGTAGCACCCCCTTGAGAAGAGGGACCTTTGGCCCCTGACTCCTGACGGTGCCATACTCACAATTCCACTTCTCTCCTTCACCTCTCTGTGCTTCCGCTTCTCACCAGTTCAGCTGTTACCTCCACTTTTGTTTCTTTCTAATTCTACTCTGGTTCTGTAGTTGAGTTTCTCACAGTGGAAACTACCTGTGCTCTCACTGGTTGGGTCAGTGAGTTGCCTCCACTATTGGGCAGAATTCTGCTATTAGGCCTCCCAGAGCCCATTGGTAAACCTAAGATTGTAAAAATGTAAAACTTTTCTCTCCTCAACGTCATCTGTAATAATGAAACCCCAAAAATATTTACTCTATGTATCCTGTAGTTTTGCACAATTTTGTGGTTACCTTTGGCCAAGTTACAGATTCTTGATCAGTTCGATCATGGTTACTTACCAGGGTCACAAGACAGAAAGTCAACAACTTATGGAAAAAGAACACTCTTTGCTGCTTTGCTCAGAAGGTAATATGTACAAACTTGCATTATTGCATATATCACAATACAGCTTGTTTCTGCATAGCCCAGTCCCCTACAAGACTATAACCGTGAGGCCAGTGGTATTTCCTATATTTGCATGTTCAGCATGTAGCATAGTGCCTGGTACATGGTAGATTCTCAATAAAGCTCTGTTGAAGTTAATTGAAATGAAAGTAAAATCAAAATACCTGAATTCTAATTCTAATTTTGCTATTTCTTTGCTATCTGAACTAAGATAAGTTACTTAACCTTTCTGAACCTCCCTTTCTTCTTAAGTAAAAAGACATAGTTGTGGTAAATATTAAGTAAGATGTGGACATACCTAGCACAGTTTTGTGTGTGTGTGTGTATGTGTGCGTGTGTATACATATATATATATTTAAACATATATATATATTTCAACATATATATATATATATTTAAACTGTCTCTTTGTTATACCACTGCCATGTATTGTAATTACATTCAAATAGATCTTCTCTTAAACAGAGAGTAAGTTTTAAGGACAGGGTCTGTGTCTTATTAACCTTTGCACCTCCATACCACCACCCAAATTTCTGCTTTTGGTGGGTATTTAAGATAATTAATGGCATGAAGCGCCAATGGATTTATAAACTGTATGCGCTTAAAATCTCCATATATTAACATTTTTAACAATTTTTTAAAAGCAGGAAATATTAAGCATGACAAATTACGGTCAACCCGAGTTTCAATAACTCTGGGTGCCTAGCAATCTTCTAAGAGTCAAACGAAAGCAATGTTGCCTAGGTTGCAGTTTTCCAGTGTGTGTCTCCACCTACTGTATTTACTGGAAAGCTGCTGAAGCGTTCCTTCTAATCTTGAGGTTTTCAAGCGTCTATCTCTGGGACAAGCAAAGCTCTGCATTGGGCACCACAGTCTAGCACATGTTTTCAGGCACCACTAGAGGGCAGGCTAACGCTAACTTCGGGGACTACTAAGCAAGGGCTTTAGTCTCGAAAAAATGGGTAAACGCACCACTTGTTTCTTGGGTCTGTTTCTAAATGGAAAAGTACATGTGGGCATGTCCAGATTTGTATTTCGTGTTCCCTTGATTCGTTATTTAATCCTTCGGCTCACCTTTCCTTTTGTTTTCTATTTCCTCCTTCAAGTTCTTTCTCCTCTGGAGTGTAACAAATAAACCTTTTTCCCCCCCCCCCGTCAAAGCCTTAACCCATAAAAATAAATAAAGACGAAGGAACAGAAGGAAACACTGCATAATTTAGTTAGTGAAAGTTGGACAGCTGAGGTTTCCTTTGGGTTTATTCTAAAATAAAGGATTTTTTAAAGGTTCAACTTGCCTAATTTTTCATACTTTGGGCAGCTTGCCAAGATGGGAAGGGAAGGGGATTTGCAGAAAGAAGAAAACAGAGAGAGAGAGAGAGAGAGAGAGAGAGTGTGTGTGTGTGTGTGTGTGTGTGTGTGTGTGTGTGTGTGTGTGCGCGCGCGCGCGCCCTCGCGCACGCGCATAGCGGGGCGCGTTTCTGGGTGTAGGGGATGTTTATAGGGATGGAGGAAGGAAATGAAAAGCAGATGTTGAGGAGTTGGATGGTCACAGAAAGAACACTGGCCTGCAAGTATTACTGGGCCACCATGAGCAGTGCTGGGACACAGCTCCACTGGACAGCCACCCCTTTCTGTAACCTGAGAGCAGCTACCCTACTCACACCTCAGTCTCCTCATCAAGCATGTGAGAAATTTGTACTAGATGATCTTCTGGTTCAAATATGAGCCTGTGTTGAGTGAGAGAAAACATGGGGGTTAGAAACACAGGATGAATATTTGTGGAGAATCTGAGAATGACAAACAGAAAGCAAGCAAGCCAACAAATACACCATGAAGCTGGAAGAGTCTTCCAGCTGACCCAAGTGTAGAAACAGTTGCCCCATTTAGAATATTTGGAACATTTTCCCTCCCATTATCAGGGCTCTAACACCGGGCTGCCCTCTGTTCTACCCTCTGGGAAGTCCAAGGGAAAAAGGTACCAAAGCAGACAAGCAAGGATAGAGACGGTGGTGGCATTGCAGGCTAGTCTGCATTGCGGCTATAGAACAAAAATTTCCAACCCAAAATGATAAGCTAATAAAATTATAAACACAAACTTCCTCTAGCCAGTTAAAACAATGGTTCAAAGAAATACACACCCCTGGGGATCGTACTGCTATTCTTCCATAGTTAGTGGAAGTTCAGTGTTGGTTTTTCATGACTTTTGGAGGCCACTAACTTTCCATTTCACCTGCACAGTTTCAATTACTTTAATCGTATAGCTCTTTAATAATCAGCCTGGCTATGAGTTGGAAGCTTTAACTGCTCTCTGACAATAAGTAGTAGCTAATTAATTGCTACTTATGAACTTTCTATTTTTTTATCTTAATACTTCTGAGAGTCCTTTCCAGATAATCACTAGAGAATAAGGAGTTTTTACCCCCATGTGGCTATTCCTCTAAAACTAGCTATATTTAACTAGCTCTAAAATAGATGCGAACGATTGTTACTTTGCGTGCAACAAATACACAGGAAGAATTCGAAGAATTGTATTTTCAATTTGTTACATCTGCAATTTCAAGTAACCACCACTAGGGGGTGGTGCTAAATACTTAAATGGTAATTCTCAGTCTGAGTTCAAAAATGCAGATGTCTAGGTCTTGGAGAATCAGGATCTTCTGAGTAAGAGATTAGGAAATCTTCCCCTTTTTTATTATTATACTTTAAGTTCTGGGGTACATGTGCAGAACGTGCAGGCTTGTTACATAGGTATACACATGCCTTGGTGGTTTGCTGCACCCATCAACCCGTCATCTACATTAGGTGTTTCTCCTAATGCTATCCCTCCCCTAGCCACCCACCCCCCAACAGGCCCCAGTGTGTGATGTTCCCCTCCCTATGTCCATGTGTTCTCATTGTTCAACTCCCACTTATGAGTGAGAACGTGTGGTGTTTGATTTTCTGTTCTTGTGTTAGTTTGCTGAGAATGATGGTTGCCAGCTTCATCCATGTCCCTGCAAAGGACATGAACTCATCCTTTTTTATAGCTGTATGGTATTCCGTGGTGTATATGTGCCACATTTTCTTTATCCAGTCTATCACTGATGGGCATTTGGGTTGGTTCCAAGTCTTTGCTATTGTGAACAGTGCTGTAATTAACATATGTGTGCATGTGTCTTTATAGTAGAATGATTTATAATCCTTTGGGTATATACCCAGAATTGGATTGCTGGGTCAAATGGTATTTCTGGTTCTAGATCCTTGAGGAATCACCACACTGTCTTCCACAATGATTGAACTAATTTACACTCCCACCAACAGTGTAAAAGCATTCGTATTTCTCCACAACCTCTCCAGCATCTGTTGTTTCCCGACTTTTTAATGATTTCCATTCTAACTGGCATAAGATGGTATCTCATTGTGGTTTTGATTTATATTTCTCTAATGACGAGTGATGATGAGTTTTTTTTCATATGTTTGTTGGCTGCATAAATGTCTTCTTTTGAGAAGTGTCTGTTCATATCCTTGGCCCACTTTTTGATGGGGTTTTTTTTTTTCGTGTAAATTTGTTTAAGTTCTTTGTAGATTCTGGATCTTAGCCCTTTGTCACATGGATAGATTACAAAAGTTTTCTCCCACTCTGTAGGTTGCCTGATCAGTCTGATGATAGTTTCTTTGGCTGTGCAGGAGCTCTTTAGTTTAATTAGATCCCATTTGTCAATTTTGGCTTTTGTTGCCATTGCTTTTGGTGTTTTAGTCATGAAGTCTTTGCCCATGCCTATGTCCTGAATGGTATTGCCTAGGTTTTCTTCCAGGTTTTTTATGGTTTTAGGTCTTATGTTTAAGTCTTTAATCCATCTTGAGTTAATTTTTGTATAAGATGTAAGGAAGGGGTCCAGTTTCAGTTTTCTGCATATGGCTAGCCAGTTTTCCCAACACCATTTATTAAATAGGGAATCCTTTCCCCGTTTCTTGTTTCTGTCAGGTTTGTCAAAGATCCGATGGTTGTAGATGTGTGGTGTTATTTCTGAGGCCTCTGTTCTGTTCCATTGGTCTATATCTCTGTTTTGGTACCAGTATCATGCTGTTTTGGTTACTATAGCCTTGTAGTATAGTTTGAAGTCAGGTAGCATGCTGCCTCCAGCTTTGTTCTTTTTGCTTAGGATTGTCTTGGCTATGCGGGCTCTTTTTTGGTTCCATATGAAATTTAAAGTAGTTTTTTTCCAATTCTGTGAAGAAAGTCAATGGTAGCTTGATGGAGATAGCATTGAATCTATACATTACTTTGGGCACTATGGCCATTTTCATGATATTGATTCTTCCTATCCATGAGCATGGAATGTTTTTCCATTTGTTTGTGTCCTCTCTTATTTCCTTGAGCAGTGATTTGTAGTTTTACTTGAAGAAGTCCTTCACATCCCTTGTGAGTTGGATTCCTAGGTATTTTATTCTCTTTGTGGCAGTTGTGAATGGGAGTTTACTCATGATTTGGCTCTCTGTTTGTCTATTATTGGTGTATAGGAAAGCTTGTGACTTTTGCACATTGATTTTGTATCCTGAGACTTTGCTGAAGTTGCTTATCAGCTTAAGGAGATTTTGGGCTGAGACGATGGGGTTTTCTAAATATACAATCATGTCATCTGCAAACAGAGACAATTTGACTTCCTTTCTTCCTATTTGAATACCCTTTATTTCTTTCTCTTGCCTGATTGCCCTGGCCAGAACTTCCAATACTATGTTGAATAGGAGTGGTGACAGAGGGCATCCTTTTCTTGTGCCAGTTTTCAAAGGGAATGCTTCCAGTTTTTGCCCATTCAGTATGATATTGGCTATGAGTTTGTCATAAATAGCTCTTATTATTTTGAGATACGTTCCATCAATACCTAAAGAGATTTTTAAGGGGTGGTGAATTTTATCGAAGGACTTTTCTGCATCTATTGAGATAATCATGTGGTTTTTTTCATTGGTTCTGTTTATGTGATGGATTACGTTTATTGATTTGTATATGTTGAACTAGCCTTGCATCCCAGGGATGAAGCCAACTTGATCGTGGTGGATAAGCTTTTTGACGTGCTGCTGGATTTGGTTTGCCAGTATTTTACTGAGGATTTTTATATCAATGTTCATCAGGTATATTGGTTTGAAATTTTTTTGCTGTTGTTTTGTCTCTGCCAGGTGTTGGTATCAGGATGATGCTGGCCTCATAAATGAGTTAAGGAGGATTTCCTCTTTTTCTATTGTTTGGAATAGTTTCAGAAGGAATGGTACCAGCTCCTCCCTGTACCTCTGGTAGAATTCAGCTGTGAATCCGTCTGGTCCTGGACTTTTTTTGGTTGGTAGACTATTAATTACTGCCTCAATTTCAGAACTTGTTATTGGTCTATTCAGGGATTTGACTTCTTCCTGGGTTAGACTTGGGAGAGTGTACGTATCCAGGAATTTATCCATTTCTTCTAGATTTTCTAGTTTCTTTGCATAGAGGTATTTAGAGTATTCTCTGATGGTAGTTTGTATTTCTGTGGGATCAGTGGTGATATCCCCTTTATCATTTTTTATTGCATCTATTTGATTCTTCTCTCTTTTCTTCTTTATTAGTCTGGCTAGCGGTCCATCAATTTTGTTGATCTTTTCAAAAAACCAGCTCCTGGATTCATTGATTTTTTGAAGGGTTTTTTGTGTCTCTATCTCCTTCAGTTCTGCTAGTTCTCTCCATTGTGATGTTAAGGTGTCAATTTTAGATCTTTCCTCCTTTCTCTTGCGGGCATTTAGTGCTATAAATTTCCCTCTAAACATGGTTTCAGCTGTGTCCCAGAGATTCTGGTGCACTGTGTGTTTGTTCTCATTGGTTTCAAAGAACTTATTTATTTCTGCCTTCATTTCGTTATTTACCCAGTAGTCACTCAGTAGCAGGTTGTTCAGTTTCCATGTAGTTGTGCAGTTTTGAGTGAGTTTCGTAATCCTGAGTTCTAATTTGATTGCACTGTGGTCTGAGAGACTGTTTGTTATGATTTCCATTATTTTCCATTTGCTGAGGAGTGTTTTACTTCCAATTATGTGGTCAATTTTAGAATAAGTGTGATAAGGTGCTGAGAAGAATATATATTCTATCAATTTGGGGTGGAGAGTTCTGTAGATGTCTATTAGGTCTGCTTGGTCCAGAGCTGAGTTCAAGTCCTGAATATCCTTGTTAACTTTCTGTCTCATTGATCTGTCTAATGTTGACAGTGGGGTGTTAAAGTCTCCCACTATTATTGTGTGGGAGTCTAAGTCTCTTTGTAGGTCTCCAAGAACTTGCTTTATGAGTCTGTGTGCTCCTGTATTGGGTGCATATATATTTAGGATAGGCAGCTCTTCTTGTTGCATTGATCTCTTTACCATTATGTAATGCCCTTCTGTGTCTCTTTTTATCTTTACTGGTTTAAAGTCTGTTTTGTCAGAGACTAGGATTGCAACCTCTGCTTTTTTTGCTTTCCATTTGCTTGGTGAATATTCCTCCATCCCTTTATTTTGAGCCTATGTGTATCTCTGCAAGTGAGGTGGGTCTCCTGAATACAGCACACCAATGGGTCTTGACTCTTTATCCATTTGCCAGTCTGTGTCTCTCAATTGGGGCATTTAGCCCATTTACATTTAAGGTTAATATTGTTATATGTGAATTTGATCCTGTCATTATGATGCTAACTGGTTATTTTGCCTGTTAGTTGATGCAGTTTCTTCATAGCATCAATGGTCTTTATAATTTGGCATGTTTTTGCAGTGGCTGGTACTGGTTGTTCCTTCCCATGTTTAGTGCTTCCTTCAGGAGCTCTTGTAAGGCAGGCCTGGTGGTGACAAAACCTCTCAGCATTTGCTTGTCTGTAAAGGATTTTATTTCTCCCTCACTTATGAAGCTTAGTTTGGCTGGATATGAAATTCTGAGTTCAAAATTCTTTTCTTTAAGAATGTTGAATATTGGCCCCCATTCTCTTCTGGCTTGTAGGGTTTCTGCAGAGAGATCTGCTCTTAGTCTGATGGGCTTCCCTTTGTGGGTAACTTGACCTTTCTCTCTGGCTGCCCTTAACATTTTTTCCTTCATTTCAACCTTGGTGAATCTGATGATTATGTGTCTTGGGGTTACTCTTCTCAATGAATATCTTTGTGATGTTCTCTGTATTTCCTGAATTTGAATGTTGGCCTGCCTTGCTAGGCTGGGGAAGTTCTCCTGGATCATACCCTGCAGAGTGTTTTCCAACTTGGTTCCATTCTCCCCATCACTTTCAGATACACCAATCAAACACAGGTTAGGTCTTTTCACATAGTCCCATACTTCTTGGAGGCTTCATTCATTCCTTTTCATTCTTTTTCTCTAATCTTGTCTTTACACTTTATTTCATTAATTTGATCTTCAATCTCTGATATCCTTTTTTCCGCTTGATTGATTTGGCTATTGATACTTGTATATGCTTCACAAAGTTCTCGTGCTGTGTTTTTCAGCTCCATCAGGTCATTTATGTTCTTCTCTAAAGTGGTTATTCTAGTTAGCAATTCATCTAACATTTTTTCAAGGTTCTTAGCTTCCTTGCCTTGGGTTAGAACATGCTCCTTTAGCTCAGAGGAGTTTGTTATTACCCACCTTCTGAAGCCTACTTCTGTCAATTTGTCAAACTCATTCTCTGTACAGTTTTGTTCCCTTGCTGGTGAGGAGTTGTGATCCTTTGGAGGAGAAGAGGTATTCTAGTTTTTGGAATTTTCAGCCTTTTTATGCTGGTTTCTCCCCGTCCTCATGGATTTATCTCCCTTTGGTGTTTGATGTTGGTGACCTTCAGATGGAGTTTCTGAGTGGATATCCTTTTTGTTGATGTTGATACTATTCCTTCCTGTTTGTTAGTTTTCCTTCTAACAGTCAGGCCCCTCTGCTGCAGCTCTGCTGGAGTTTGCTGGAGTTCCACTCCAGACCCTGTTTGCCTGGGTATCACCAGTGGAGGCTACAGAGCAGCAAAGATTGCTGCCTATTCCTTCCTCTGGAAGCTTCATCCCAGAGGGGCACCCACCAGATGCCAGCCAGAGCTTTCCTGTATGAGGTGTCTGTTGGCCCCTGCTGGGAAGTGTCTCCCAATCTGGAGACATGGGGGTCCGGGACACACTTGAGGAGGCAGTCTGACCATTGGCAGAGCTCAAACATTGTGCTGGGAGATCTGCTGCTCTCTTCAGAGTCAAGTCTTGTTTGTTTTTAAGATAATATATAGATTAGTAATGCATATCTTGCAACCATTTTAAAGATTTCAACAGATGATATAGGATCTTTACTTCTTTATTTCAGTTCAATCCAACTCGGGTGACAATTACTGATGCCTCTCAGGCCCAGGGGCTTGCTGGCCCATACAGAGGGCTTGTGGCTTTGCAGACTCTGAACCTTGATTCTTTCTGATTTAATCTTTCTACTTCCTTCAATCCAAGGGTCACTTCCTCTTATCAGTTGCACAAGAGACACCATCCCACTTGCGTGTCCTGGCAACAGCTTGTCAAGGTTCTCTAGGTCCAAAGAAGAATGCCAATTCTGCTTTCCCTTAAATAAATCTCTCTGGGAAATCTTCCTTTTTAAATAAGTCTCCTGAGTGAATTTGAGGCAAGCTAAGTTAGACAACAGCAATTCGATTCATTTTAACTGGTGTGAGTTCCCTCAACCCCATCCACAAAAGAAAATCTTCCTTTAGAAAATTGTCATCTTTAACTAAAAGGACAATAAGAATATCTACATAGAGTGTATCCACGCCCAACCACTTTTCAGCACCTCTACTGACCACCGTCATCCCTTGTCACAGCCACTGAAATCGCTTCCTAATCAGTTCCCTTGCTTCCATTTCCCTGGAATCAATCTCCACATAGTAGCTGGAGTGATCTTTTAGAAAGATAAATTCTGTCATCTCACTTTCCTGCTCAGAACCTTCTATTTACATCACCCTCGGAATAAAATCCAAATGTCTTACTGTGGCCTGGAAGACCCTCCATGAATAGGCCTCGGACCGCCGTATCATTGCCTCCCCTAGCACCTTCCGCCTTCACGCAAAGCTCAGATCCTTAAGCAAGCTATTTCCTCAGCCCGTCCCCAAGATCTGCAGGGCTGACTCCTTCCTCCTCTGCTCAAATGTCACCGCCTCAGAGAGGCTTTTCCTTTGCCTCACCACCTACCATCAGTCCTGCCAGTGGTGGCTGGGGGTCAGGGGCCACGAGTCAGGGAGGGTTATCAGAGACAGATTTTGTAGATCCTTTTATAATCACAAAGCAGGAGCATAGTATGTGTTTGTTGAATGAAAAAATGGATAAACTTAAGCTAAATCTAAGTACAAAGTGGGAAAATATTAATATGTGTAGGTGCAAACTGTGACCCCCTCTTTATTATTATAACTATGCAATGGCTTTTTAAGCCTTCCACACACATTCAACTTTAACACAGCTACCCTTGTCTTGCCTCTTAGCAGTGATTTTCCATAGGGACTTGAGGGAGATGGACACTTCCAAAACAGGCATTTCAGAATTTTCAGGCACCAAGAGATATATAAAGTTGAAGCTGCGCACTCAATATATGTCATTATAATATTTTAATTAATTAATAGTGCCTTTAATATGAATAAAGACTTAGGAAAGCAGATTTCAACACAGTCTTCTGGTACTGTCTATCCCTAGGGCATTAACATGATCCTCTTCCTTGGAGCTGAAGGTTTTTGGTGTGTGGCCCTCCAGAGCCCTCTCCACCCTCCTCTGCTCTGCTGACCCAGTGGCCTGGGAGGCTGACCTTCGTGGATTATTGCATCATATGGGTTCCCTTGGTCTCTGTTTCATTTTAGGGTTTGGCCAATGGAAAGTATCAGCAGAAATTAAGAGGATGAAAGAAAAGAGTGTGTTATTTATTCTCCAGCTCACCCCCTGTAGATTGGCAGTGGCTGCTTTCCTCTACCAAAGGGCCCAGTTAAGTCAGACAGCCTCTGCTAAACTATAAGTCTCTCTAGGTTCCAGTAAGTGCTCCCTTCCCTTGCCTCCTTAGGCCTGAGGATGGTCATGGCTCTCTGCAGCTACTGGCTCCAGAATGCCCCCCTAATCCTGCTTGCACCTTTGTAAATAGCCGCTTCATTAATCTTTCTTCAATCACTCCTTTGGAGTAAGCAATTAGTCTACTACATGGACTCAGATGACTACGCTATTTTTATTTTTATTTTTTGAGACAGAGCCTTGCTCTGTCACCCAGGCTGGAGTGCAGTGGCATGATCTTGGCTCACTGCAGCCTCTGACTCCTGGGTTCAAGTGCTTCTCCTGCCTCAGCCTCCCAAGTAGCTGGGATTATAGGTGAGTGCTACCACACCCAGCTAATTTTTGTATTTTTAGTAGAGACGGGGTTTCACCATGTTGGCCAGGCTGGTCTCGAACTCCGGACCTAATGATCTGCCCACCTTGGCCCCCCAAAGTGCTGGGATTACAGATGTGAGCCACAGTGCCCAGCCCAGATGACTACACTTTATGAGGGTGATGTTGCTGTTCTAGTCTCTTTCTAATGACAAACGGATCTTAAGTTGCTCAGGTGACTACATTTCAGTCCTTTTCTCTCATTGTCTCCACACTATCTTCTCTTCTCATTCCCCTCCCGTCCCGAGCTGTTCTCAGCAACAACTTTACTAATGTTTACCCATGCCTGTGCAAAAGCCAGCACTCCCAGAAAGTCCTAGCATTCTCCAATTCTCTACAAAAAGGGTCTTGGCTTTTGTTTTCTTTCAGAATATTTATATTTTAAGCATGGAGAGCTTTAAAAAAAGAATCAGCTACTAAATATTCTTTAAAATGACTATCCCACACCTGTCACCCTGTTTATTCTCAACACCCTATAAATGATACTGCTTTAGGCAAGACTGGTTGTGTGAGCATTTAACCAACAAATATCAGCAACTGGGAAGCCCATAAATAGCAGCAGAGAGGACAAACAGGATGACTCAGTAAGCCCTCTGAGTCAGACTGGCAGAGACTGACCTTCCTTCATAATTATGGGGCATTAAACCCGTCATCTGTGAAGTCACCTCCAAGTCTCATCTCACCAATATCATGCATCTAGTTTCCTTTGAAGATGTGCAATCTTCCTCCTTGTAGCTACTAAGAAATTAAAGTGCTTGGGCTGAGAGGGCTCCTGTAAGCTAATAGTCTATGTCTTCAGCAATTAACCCCTTTCTGAGATCGGCTGGTGTTCATGCTTTTAGCTGGTCCTAGTCCTGGCTTGGGCACCCTCGATTGTGAGTCCTCAGTCACTTCATCTTACTGAACTTCTTTCATCTATGATGAGATAATAAAACTTGCCTAGCTACAGAGTTGTCATGAAGATTAAAGTCAATTTGGCCAACTACATGACATTTTGGAAAAGGCAAACTATACAGACAGGAAATAGACCAATGATTGCCAGGGACTCGAGGATGAACAGGTGGAACACATCATATTTTTAGGGCAGTGAAACTATTCTCTATGATATTCTAATGGTGGATACATGACATTTTACATCTGTCAAGGCCCACAGACTGCACAACACAAAGATGAGCCCTGATGTAAACTGTGGACTTCATTTAATAATAATGTATCCATACTGATTGATCAATTGTAACAAATATACCTCAGTAATGCCAGATATTAATAGTAAAAGAAACTGCAGGGAGAAGAAAGTATAGGTAAGTGGGAATCCTCTTCACTTTCAGGCCAATTTTTATGTAAACCTAAAACCATTCTAAAAATAATTTTTTGTGACATTACCAGGCCAAAATGAATTAATTAATTTAATTTAAAAAGTAAAATACAAATAATTTTTTAAATCAGTTTGGATAAGATATGTGAAAGTATTTGACAAACTCTAAAGAGCTAAATAAACATAAGGCATAATACCCAAATGATCTTAAAGAACTTAATTGTGAAAGTTCGTTTGGGGATCTGACAAGTAGAGCCCCAGGTGATGTCTTAATTACCTGTCTCCATGCCTTCGAAGTTGGTTGAGATAGAAGGGTGGGTAGGACTTCTATGACCAGTTTGCCTTCACTGCTGACTGAAAAGATTTCTACCAAATCCAAATCATGGTACAAATATTCTACCCTTCACACAACTACTACCTCTTTGAAATTGCTCAGGAAAGTTTAATACACATACACACTACCTTTCAGCATGTTTCCTTTTGATTCCCTGTGGCTCTCACCCTGTCCAATATTTAGCAGTCATGTTTGATTAAGGTCACATTTTTCAGAGGTGAAAAAGCGATGAGAAGATTTCAGGATTAAGTTCAGGATTAAGTTCAGTTAGGTTAGGAAGGAAAATCTTTTCTCCTTGTAAGCCAGAGAATGCCTGACATAGACAAAGCTTCTTACAGTGTTTCGTTGTTGGGACTGGGGGGCTGAAAGGGTGGCTCTTGCTGGAGCCTGGAAAGCATTATCTCTGATGCCCACCATATCCGTGTCAGTTAGGGAGGATAAATTGTAGGGCAAGAGAGAGGACCAGTGGGGTCAAAAATTAGCATAGATCATACAGAAATGACAGACAGGGATTCAAACTCAAGACAGAGGAAGCTGTTGCTCAGGCCTTGCCAAGTGAGATTAGCTAGCTAATTTCAGCCAACTTATTCTGGGATAGTGGTGGTCAATTGCATTTCCTCTCCTGGATAATGCATGTACTTTTGACAAGAACCTTCAAAGCTTTTGAAAAAGATCTTCAGTGTTCATCACACAATGATCGTTGGAACTCTGTTCTAGGAGCTATTAATAGACTTAACTATGAAAAAAGAAGTTCTATGGTCAAATAACTAGGAAATGCTTAACATGATGGAGCCCTTTGTGAACAATTATGACACACATTCGCATGTTGCAGGCTCTGGGCAGCCTGCAGCTAAGAAAACTATTTAGTTTCGTTTAACTCCAACATGTCCCAGGTTTATGTGCACTTTGAGCACCTTTTACTGTATGCTTAGTAACATTTCCTTGAATACCAGCATAGGAAAAAATTGGTTTTAAAAAAGGAAGCAGGCTGAACACGGTGGCTCACACCTGTAATCCCAGCACTTTGGGAAGCCAGGATAGGCAGATCCCTTAAGGTCACGAGTACCAGCCAGCCTGGCCAACATGGTGAAACCCTGTCTCTACTAAAAATACAAAAATTAGCCGGGCGTGGTGGTGCATGCCTGTAGTCCCAGCTATTTGGGAGGCTAAGGCACAAGAATCACTTGAACCCAGGAGGCGGAGGTTGCAGTGAGCCAAGATCACGCAACTGCACTCCAGTCTGAGCAACAGAGCGAGATTCCATCTCAAAAAAAAAAAAAAAAAAAAAAAAGAAGCAACTAATGGTGGAAGTAAAGCCACCCTGACATGATAACAAAAGAGTCATTTTGGGGAAATGACCTCATAACAGCAGTTTCCCCACTCATCCAGAGGTGAGTTGGTGTACTCTCCATGTAGTGACAATAAATATATTTATTAAATAAATAAATCCTGTGTCCATGATTTCCCCACAACTCCATGTTAGATCCTGTTATCATCCATTAGGTATTGAAGTGCTCTCAGCCAAGGAGCACTCGGGGGTTAGTTCTAGATTCCGAGGTAATACTACCAGAAACTAGAAAACGAGGAGAAACAGGTGTCTGAAAAGAGAATCAGAACAGAGAACAGAATCTGATGCAAGGAACTGAAGAAAAGCAAGCTGCAAAACTGACATCTCTTGCACTGCCTCCACTCACTATCTGACTATGTAGACAGAAACATCTAGGTTTTAGGTTGGTGCAAAAGTAATTGCGGTTTTTGCCATTAAAAGTATATTTAAGAATTAACATCCCTAATGAAAGGTACTTGAAGTTTAAGCCACTCTAAATACTAATAAGATACATAGTGTTTGCACATAGAAGGATAGAAAAGCAGGCAATGAGAAAAACTTCTTTGCTGCATATAACTGTCAGTAAATGTGGAAGCTTAGTGGTTCGGAATCTAATAGTTGAGACCAGTTTTCAAAACCACTCCCAATTTCAGGGCGCAGAATGTCTTAGTAACACCCACAAGTTTCATCTAACGAATATGACTAAAGCCAGAAAGCAGCCCTGAGGTTTTTCCGCAGAGAGTCAGCCCTGCCTGGGTCATACATGCCCCTATGCAAAGTGGGCCCAGCAGCTGTCCCCTCCTGGTGCTCGCCCTGCGGGGGAGCAGAGCCAGGGTGGAAACCTGCTATGGGCAGAATGAGGCTGCGCTGGGCTGGAATGAGCCACTCCCTTAGAGAATCTAAATGAGGATAAAGAATTTCTGAACCAGCTAGGAGCCAAAACCCATCCAAGAATAGAAGTGGAAGGGACTCAAGCTTTTTAAGTTTCTTCCACAGCAATCCAGATTCCAACATTGTTTCTAAGGAGGCTTTTGTTTCCCTGGAGAACTCTAGTTTCAAAGTGGACTTTCTTGCACAAAGAGAGCTTCAATAAAATTGGTTGTGTGAGTGAGTGTTAAGTGTGAATTCAAAGAAGAATATTAGGCTGGGTCTCAGGCATACGTTACTACTACACTATGTATCGTATTAGTAATCAGAGTGGCTTAAACTTCAAGTACCTTTCATTCGGGATGTTAATTCTTAAACATACTTTTAATGGCAAAAACTGCAATTACTTTTGCACCAACCTAATACCTAGATGTTTCTGTCTACATCTCAGAAGCCAGAGGTGCCTCTTGAGAACACTGAGGTACCCTGACAAGGACCACATCCAGACAGGAAGAGCACACAGCACAGTGGCTGTGAGCGTGGGTTTTCCATGAGATAGACCTCAGTTAGAATCTCAGCCTCAACACTTACTAGCCATGCAGTCAGGGGAAATCTTGCTGTATGATCCTGCTGAGCCTTGGTTTCCTTAACTGTAGAGAGACTAAGAATCTCTAACTTACTTGGGGATTCAATGCAATAATATGTATCACAGGCCAGGCACGGTGGCTCACGCCTGTAATCCCAGCACTTTGGGAGGCTGAGGTGAGTGGATTGCTTGAGCCCAGGAGTTTGACCACCCTAGCAACATGGTGAAACGCCATCTCTACCAAAAATACACACACACACACACACACACACACACACACACACACCAGGCAGGCATGGTGGCACTTGCCTGTAGTCCCAGCTACTCGGGGGCCTGAGGTGGGAGGATCACCTGAACTTTGAAATTTGAGGCTGCTGTGAGCCAAGACGGTACCACTACACTCCAGTCTGGGAGACAGGAGTGAGACCCTGTCTCAAATAATTATAATAATACATGTAATATTTAGCATTTTACCTGGCATATCATAAGTACTTGATATATTGTAGTCATTATAAAGGTCAAATTTCTCTCCAGGACTGGGTTAGAAAATATGAGGAAAATAGATAAGTTCATAGAACTAATTAGGAAAGAGAGAAAGTTAAACTCTCCTATGACTTGATAAAATGTCTGTAGAAAAAGACAATTTCAGCAGGGTTGCATCAGATAAATTGAACCCATCCCCTGCCACATTTGTCCCTCGGCCTTTATATCCTCAGCATGACATTGAACTGATAGGACCAGAAGGTACTGGGAGAAATGTAAAGATGGGATGTGACTGAATTTGGGGTGGGTGATTTGCTTCGCAGGAATTCTTTGGTTTTTGGAGAAGAGGGCCAAACTGTGATTTTGTCATGAAGCTGTCATGAAACTGGCATTTTATGATCATTTTTAAACTTCCATTATAGTTTTAAATAAGTTCCTGGCAGTCTTCAACTTTTACAAAGTCTTCCTGGAAACAGGGTCAGAAAACGAAAAGGGTGAAGCCAAATCCCTTTCCCCTGACATTTGCTGTGCTACAAAACAGACCGGGGTCCCTCTCAAAGCTGGCTGCCCTTCACTTCCCAGTTCCCCTGATTCCTGTGTGCCATTCAGACACCCCACTGCAGTGCTTTCAGCCCACAGGATAGAAAGGAAAAGCTCATGGCTATTGCTATAAAGCACAGTTATAAGATCAATGGAACGGTTTTGAATGCATTTGCTTTCTAATGGGAATTTTTACAAGAGGGAAATAAAAGAGAAATTAGTTCAAATTTCCCTAGAGAGATGTCTTAAAGAAATCTGAGCCTTCCAAAATGCTACCAAAAAGCTTTTCTAAATTCTGCAAACGAAGCAAAATTGTTGTTAGTTAAATGCATAATGTTTATTATCACCAGCATATTAGTTTCAGAGCAAATTTACACCACAGTGGAGTTGTATTTTCATGTACTATGAGTATATTTTGTCAATCGTTAGGGTCCCTGCTAAAATCAAAGTAACAATATAGTAGGCCCATTTTAAAGAAGCTAGAAAACAGTTTTACTATTTTTTTATTGGTTTAGAAACTTGTGCTGTTGTGTTTTTTCTTTAATGATATCATTAAGTATCTGGCCAAATATCCCTGTCCAAGGAATTCAATCTTTAATTATTACATTATTTCCATGGGAATAAACACTGTCACTGAGTGTTACAACTTAGTTTCTAAAAGTACCTGGTGGCCAGAAGCCTGCTAGCCTCAGAGATATTTCCACAAGTTTAGCAGGGTCCAAACTAACTGAGTTACATCAGCTATTTATTGAAAGAGTCCCACCAAAATCTGATAAAAGGCCCATAAAGGAATCAGAATGTTTGCTTATTTGTCTGTTTAAAGTAGTGTCAGAGTAATAGATCAATACAAAATAGGGGCCGCCTATATTGTTCAAAGGAATAGTATATGAAAAAATGCTATTCTTGATCAAAGTACACCCCTAACATGATAACACATAAGAGAATCTGGAATTCTGAAACTATAAGAAATGGGGAGAGATAGGAAGTAAGCACAAAATAAGGAGAAACCATCAATAATCAGCTTTAGTTTAGCTGATCATTGAATGACAATATTTACTATAGTGTTTCCTGCCTTTGCTAGTTTAACCACATGTTCTGTTTTCCAATTCAAGATCAGGGCATTTTTACATTCACTTTAGGGAAATCATATGTCAAGAAACATTTACTTCTATATCCCAAAACATTCAGATTTCATGGTAAAAATTAACGTATATGACGTACATTTAGACAACAGCTACTGGTTGCCCCCTCCAAAAAAAGTCAAGGTGCCACAAAGACTGAGCTCTTGATGTGAGGAAAACAGTCATTATAAGCAGTCCTGTGGTCCCTGAGAAAAAGGATTCCTTCACTCTCTGAAGAGGGATTTATTTATACAGCATGAACAACTATCTGCTGAATTTTAATTCTGTCCTTTCTCAGAAATAAGTTTGGGCTCTGCTTTTAAAAACAAGCCCAGGAAATAACAGTTTTCAGGGGCCTGAAATCAGAAGTCTGCAGACTGCTGGCAGGAATGTTCAATATTCATATTCATTCTACAATCGACCTCATGTACCAGAAGGCTTTTCCTCAACTTGAAATCTCAGTGGTCCCTCAAACAAGTCTCAGCATGTGTTTGCCTCACACGTGACACTAACTCTTACTTTTGGACTGAAACAAAAGCCAAAGGTGAATCCTGGTGACTGTCAACACTCCAGGAATGACCCAGCATTGATTATGGGCTTCTTGGAGAAATTCAGACAAATATGAGAAAACAAATAGGGGTGGAGCCAGAATTTAGGGTGGTGGGGCACTGAGAAACTTTTTTTCTCATTTGCATATTTTCCATTATTGTTGTAACACATGCTTCATTCACAGGGTATGTGACAATCCAGAAGGACACCACTCTCCAGGATGACCTGTGTCTGAGCATAGAGTTTCAGAGACCAGGCCATTCACTTGGCACAGTTACCAAGAATGGTCTTTTGGAGTTTTTCAGAATGGTTGGAGTTTCTCAGAGATACGTCCTCATTGTTTGATTTTCTTACATAATATGTACTCCCTTGGTAATCACATCCGCATTTTTAATTATTAACTATATTCAAATCCTCTGGCCCCTCCACTGAGCACCAACGCTATATAGCCAACTCTTGTGGACATCCCCACTGCTGGTCCTACAGCCCATCACATTCAGCAATGCTCGCATCATCCCCCCTTTTCCCAAACCACTCCCCTTCCTGTCTGCTGCCTCAGCAAATAGCACTTCCATCCAGCAAAGCTCCTCAGCCAGACACCTGACTTTCTCTCCCTCACAACCACCCATGACCAAGCCTGTCAATTTCACCTCCTATTAATAATTTCCCCTGAACCAGTCCACTCCCCTCCATCTCTATCACCACCATCCTGGGGGAGGAGACCACTACCATCTCAAACCTATGTTACACACAGTCTTCCTAACTGAAATGCTGAGCATCTTCTAAAGCACTAGAACTTTCAAAGGCTCAATCCTACCTTTCTCACCCTCCTGCTCAAAACCTACTCCCACTGCCATTGTTCTAAACAAAACTCTTTTATGTGGCATGAAAGGCATTTCTTGATCTATC
Source organism: Homo sapiens (assembly GCF_000001405.40). Taxonomy (NCBI): domain Eukaryota; kingdom Metazoa; phylum Chordata; class Mammalia; order Primates; family Hominidae; genus Homo; species Homo sapiens. The sequence goes on from NC_000005.10 coordinate 62,241,050, forward strand.
TCTTTTATCTCGAAAATCTCATCCCTTGCACTCCATAATCTAGTCATGCTACAACCTGGTCACTGTATTTTGATTACCTGTTTTAATTTTGGTTTTTGTTTGTTTGTTTGTTTTTCAGAGACACTGTCTTGCTATGTTACCCAGGCTGGAGTGCAGTGGCTATTCTCAATTATGATCATAGTGCACCATGGCCTCAAATTTCTGGGCTAAAGCCATCCTCCCACCTCAGCTCCAAGGACTACAGGCTCACACCACAACACCTGGTCCTCTGTTTACTTCTCTTTTTCCCCTACTAGGTTATAAACTCCTCCAAGGCAAGGATTTAGTCCTGCTCACAGTTGTAACATAACACCTAGCTCAGTGCCTGCACATAGCAGATGTTCAATCATTAAACTAAAATTTATTTCTCTCATAATTTTTTGTTAAGTTTTGGTGGTTCCAATTGAAAAAAAGACAACATGAATGAACATTAACAAATAAATAAAAAGCTCAGATGCGTGAGACCTGCCTGCATCCTTATAATAAAAGTTGTATTTCCTTCAAGTAATTTTTTCCTGTTTTACGTGAGGAATTAAATATATCAATGTGTCATAGTGTTCGAAAAGGAGAACTTTGCCCTTCAGGTAATACAACACCTAAAAAAGTTTTATGTCATTTGTATTAGAAAATGTCACATTCCTAGGCTGCTTAGATACTCAGGATTCATTAGCTATTTCTCATTGCAAGTGCCAGAAAAGTGCCAGAAATCCAACTCAATTAACTTAGACACTCCACCCTCACAAAAACGATAATCGGTTCATGTAATCCAAGAAAAGATTGAAAAACCAATACACAGAAAGGACAGTCATGCATTTAGGTCTCAGAAAGGACTCAAAACCAAGATTCAAAAGCTATCAGACTCACTGTGACTCTTCTCTCAAAAAAAAAAAAAAAAAAAAAAAAACCTGCATACTCTCACTAGTTCTCTCCACTCCATATGATGAGAAAAAAAAAATGCAACACAGTATTATTTTCTAGGGCTGCTATAACAACACACTAAAAACGAGTTGTCTTAAAACAACAGAAATCTATTGTCTTACAATTCTGGAGGTTAGAAGTCCAAGCTCAAGGAGTTGGCAGGGCACACCCACTCAGAGGACTGTCGGGGAGAATCCTTTCTGGCCTCTCCCAGCTTCCCATGTTTGCGGGCAATCCTTGACAGCCAGTGGCTTTTAGATGCGTCACTCCAGTCACATCACCATCTCCTCCCTGTATCTCTTCGCATGGTCTTCCTTCTGTGTGTGTCTGTCTCTGAGTCTAAATTTCCCTTTTTTATTATATAAGGACATCAGTCCTATTGATTAGGGCCTACTCTAATGACCTCATTGTAACTTGATTACATGTATAAACACCCTATTTCCAAATAAGGTCACATTCTGAGGTACTGGGGGCTAGGACTTCAACATACCTTTTTGCAGGAGACATAATTCAACTACAACAACGAATAACAACAGTTTCCAATATTTGCATCTAAAGTCTCCCCTACCAGAGGAAAAGTCTAGAAGTCCTTGACCTGGTTTGTGTGGTGTCCCCAACCCCTGGGCCAAACAACAGAGATGGGGGCAGCAGAGATCTATAAGAACACGATTGTTTCTGTAGTAGTCATATAGATGGGGAAAGTGGTACTATGGAACAGCTATGCTCACATCTGCTTCCCTTCTAGAGACAAGGAGATGGGTTAATGTTAGAGGGTAAAAAAAAGATACAGACACTCAGCAGAGTGACAGGTAAACATTCACAAGGAGAGGAGTGTTAGGAAAAAGATCAGGAAAGGAGTGTGTGCCATGACATATCAAATGTCTTCTTTAATATTGTAAGTGGGAAACAAAGCAAAGCGTTTGTTCAGTTTACTGCTGCTACAAATGAGAGATGCATTATTTTTCTTTTTCAGGGGTTATGGTCAACCCAATTTTCTCCCTACGTACAGCATTCCATTACATATATTTTGCTCCTAACTTATTTTATATTCCGGAGGTGAAAGCATATAATAACAAATCAGTAAAAACTGTGGCGACATTTTGGCACCAGAAATAAAGTTCTTTTTTAACATTATGAACTATGGCTAAACCAGGACAAAGGTGACTCAAAATTTCCTTAACTTAAGCTGGGTATGGTAGCACCTGCCTGTATTCTCAGCTACTCAGGAGGCTGAGGCAAGAGGAGAGGATGGCTTGAAGCCAGGAGTTCTAGGCCAGAGTGCACTGTGATCACACCTGTGAAGAGCCACTGCACTCCTAGGCAGCAAAGCAAGGCCCTGTCTTTAAAAAAAAAAAAAAAAAAAAAAAAGTTAAAAAAATTTCCTTTACTTAAAGGTTTGCATGATGACTATTTAGACATACATTGAAGCCAAGTGTGGAGGCTCACATCTGTAATCCCAGCATTTTGGGAGGTGGGGCAGGAGGATTGCTTGAGGCCAAAAGTTCATGACCAGCCTGGGCAACATAGCAAAATCCTGTCTCTACAAAAATTTTTAAAATTAGCTGGGCCTGGTGGCATGCGCCTGTAGTCCTAGCTGCTTGGGAGGTTAAGGCAGCAGGATCGCTTGAGCCCAGGAGTTTGAGGCTGCAGTGAGCTATGATTATGCAGCCTGAGTGACAGAGCAAGACCTTGTCTTTAGAAAAAATAAAAGTAAAAATAAAATAAAAATAAAAACATACATTGCAATTGTTCTAATTGTCAAATTTATTTGCTCCAAAATAAAACTGGGCAGGTCTATTTTGGATACCATTTAAACTCCACCATTAGAGAAACTGTGTTTTAAAGTATTTTTTAATTATAGAAAAAAAATTTGTTAATTTATAGACATTTTGGAAAAATCTATGAAAGACTGTTTAAAAAATAAAAGTCACCTATAATCCCATCACTAATTACCGTTAACATTTCAATATCTTAGTTGTTTTCTCTATTTACATAAGTACATTTTTAAAAACTTTACAGAGTTAGATTTATATTATACGGTTTTTGTTTTTTGTTTTTTTGAGACAGGGTCTCACTCTGTCACCCAGGCTGGAGTGCAGTGGCATGAACATGGCTCTCACTGCACCTCTGCCTCCTGGGCTCAAGGGATCCTTCCACCTCAGCCTCTCCAGTAACTGGAACCACAGGCATGAGCCATCACACCCGGCTAATTTTTGTATCATTTTGGTAAGGTTCTGCCATGTTGCCCAGGCTGGTCTCCAACTTTTGGGCTCAAGCAATCCTCTTGCCTAGACTCCCAAATTGCTGGGATTACAGACATGAGCCGCTGCACCCAGCCAGATACATATTAAACAGTCTTATGTCCTCATTTTTTCATTTTATATTTTGGAAATACCATGTTTAATCACAGCATAATATTCTACGGTATGCCATAATTCATATAAACACTATTTTATTGTTGGACATGTAGGTTGCTTATTTTTTTATTATAAGGATGTTCCAAATATATATATGCACAGTTTTATTGTAAGCATAGCTAATCACCCCTAAAAGAGATGCAAAGCTTTCGGCCATCACTAAGCAAATTTCAATTTATTCTATACAATCTGCCTCTAAAATGAGATAAAATATCAATCATCACAAGAAATATACCAAAATGCATACATACAATTAACAAACATATCTAATTCCTAATTACAAATTGTCTCATATATAGAAAAGCACAGTATTCAAGTTCCTTGAGGGCAGGCACAGTGGCTCACACCTAGAATGCCAGAACTGTGGGAGACCAACGTGGGAGGATCGCTTGAGGCTGTTACAGTAAGTAGCTAGTCAGACATGGGTGGAGAAGGGCAGGGCAGGAGAGGGGAGGAGTGGGCAGGAGAGGGAAGGAATGGGCAGGAGAGGGTTCCCCCATCCCCAACCCAGGAGTCTTGGGCGGGCGAGGGGGTTGTTAACTGTCTCTCTAAAGTAATAATTGGTCCCAGCCGGTGCTAGGGAAAGGCAGGCTCCCAATAAATAGAAAACACCTGAAACTGATCAACTTCTGGATAAGCTTTCAGGAGTGGGGAGAAGTAACCCAAGATCCTGGAAGTATGCCGACGTATAAAACCCCAAATCAAAAGGTCAAACCACACACTTGTCTTTCAGGTCGCCCACTTGGCCCTCTTCCAAGTATATTTTCCTCCCTTTCATTCCTGCTCTAAAGCTTTTTAATAAACTTTCACTTCTGCTCTAAAACTTGCCTCAGTATCTCCTTCTGCCTTCTGCCCATCAGTTGAATTCTTTCTTCTGAGGAAACAAGAATTGAGGTTGCTGCAGACCTGTGGGATTTGCCGCTGGTAACAAGGCCAGGAGTTCCAGACTAGCCCAGAAAAGGTGGTGAGATCCTGCCTCTAAAGAAAAGAGGGGGAAAAAAGTGTCTTGAACTCTCTTCAGATCTTTTGGAAAACTTATCCCTTGCTAATAAATATTTGTAGAGTCAGAAAGAGGAGATGGCATTAATTTCTGCATTGATGTTTATATTTTGGTGGTATATGGTCGTGTCAAAGGGCTACATATTCCACCTCTGCTCCAGAGCTGCTTATCCAAGTTCTCTGGGATATAGCTGGTATAACTAGGAATTATGTCCCTAGAAAGACGCAACCCTGCAGCAGCTAGAATTAGTGCAATTTAGTGAGAAGAGCATAGGACTTTCTCTACATCTGGGTTCAAATTTCAATGCCAGCACTTCTGGGAGCAAGTCTTTGGGTAACTCAGTGTTTGTGAGTCAATCTACTATTTCTAAAATAGGGAAGGAGACAGGTGAACATTCATTGAATACAGAGGCTTTACACAAGCGATCTCGTTTAACTCTCACTAAAAAATGACTGATCCTTTTAAAAATAAGAAAACAGGCTCGGACTGGGTAAGTAATTACTCAAGACTGCTAAGGAGGCAAGGCAGGATTTAATTCCAGATCTGTCTAGCCCTAAAGCTCACATTCCCTGCCCCACTTGACATGTTGCTTCCTGGACTCACTTGGATTGTGGAGAAATTAGTTGGATTTGAACGTCTCCTCTAACGTAGTGAGCACAGTTTTCATTCCTGTAGCAGTTTTTGTATTATAGTCTGTTAGGATAGAGGGTTGGGACCAGGGCCAGAAATAGGTTAAGGCAAGCGAAACACTAACCTCAGGCAGAAAATGTAAGGGCCGTCGGGGGGAGCACAAAAACTCAGTCGTCAAGATAAATAATATTTTAATATAATATTTTTTAAAATCTAAATTAATGCAAAAATCCATGAAGAACAAAATAACATTTTAAATGAAAACAAGAACTGATAGTGCCGTGTTAAGCCATATTGGAGCCTACAACAGAAAAACATACAACCCTATTCACATGTTTTTTATGTATTTTTGATGTTTAATTATGATAAATGCTATGTATTAATACCTTGGCCGGGCGCGGTGGCTCACTCCTGTAATCCCAGCACTTTGGGAGGCCGAGGCAGGTGGATCATGAGGTCAGGAGACCGAGAACATCCTGGCTAACACGGTGAAACCCCGTCTCTACTAAAAATACAAAAAAAATTAGCCGGGCGTAGTGGCGGGCGCCTGTAGTCCCAGCTACTCGGGAGGCTGAGGCAGGAAAATGGCGTGAACCCGGGAGGCGGAGCTTGCAGTGAGCCGAGATCCCGCCACTGCACTCCAGCCTGGGCGACAGAGCGAGACTCCGTCTCAAAAAAAAAAAAAAAAAAAAAAGACTCCGTCTCAAAAAAATAAAATAAAATAAAAATAATACCTTAAGCAGATATGAATTTTTTTCAGAACACTAGTTTTAAAATATTGAAAAAATTGAAAAGTAGCTATATTAAAACTCACATTAAGTATTTGATTTATACCAAAATCAGAATTTATTATAAATTTATTTTGCTGGTTTTAATGGAAGCAAACTCATAGGTGATATTTTTATCTAAGTCAATAACCTTTTTTTTTCCGAGACAGAGTTTCAGTCTTATTGCCCAGGCTGGAGTGCGATGGCGCCATCTCGGCTCACTGCAACATCCACCTCCTGGGTTCAAGCGATTCTCCAGCCTCAGCCTCCCGGGTAGCTGGGATTACAGGTGCCCGCCACCACACCCAGCTAATTTTTTTGTATTTTTAGTAGAGATGGGTTTTCATCATGTTAGCCAGGCTGGTCACGATCTCCTGACCTCAGGTGATCCACCTGCCTCGGCCTCCCAAAGTGCTGGGATTACAGATATGAGCCACCGTGCCTGGCCGCCAATAACTGGTTTTAAAAATACGTAAAATCACATATCCAGTTATATAGTATGTAGTACACATCCTTCCTTTTGCAACATGGCTCAGCACAGCACTGGCTGGAACTATGACTTGCGGCTACCAGCCTCAAAGATTTTCAGGACTCTAAATGGAAACAGAACATCTGATCATATCTGACTCCTCACGTCTCCTGTCACAGCTCCTTTGGGTAGTAGCCTCTCTTTTCATAGAAAAATATCACTGTCAGGCTGACTTTTAGGGTCATGTTCCTAAAGGCCAATAAAGACAAGCTGTGTTCTCATGACAACAGGCAGAAATCAACCTCACACATCTGCTGACGCTCCAGAACATCTATGTGGACTTCCAAGCACTAAATATCTGAGAGTTACTGTCTTTTAAATACCCCCAAATGAAGGTTTTGAATAACTTTTCTGGAGCACATATGTTCATTTAACATTTATTGAAGACTACATCCCTACTAAATAAAACAGCCTATAACTGGGTTTGCAGATTCTATTATCCAGCCTTATGTTCTTTAAAATACCAATTAGTAGTGTATGTCATTATATCTTTTGTCATTTAAAAAGCATGTATTATGCATCTTTTATTACAGTAAAGGCTATATAATAATGCCTTATGCTTTTACGATTTTTCACTTGCATTCAATGCTTATGAAGGTTCTATGAGGTAGGTAGATATGATATTTTATAGAAATTAATGTATTAACTTTTTCTTTGAAGCTGCAGATTATCTAGTGATCAGCCCCCTCACTTTTTACTCACTGTCCTCTGATTCCAGTTCTAATGCTCTTTCCACACTGCCAAGTTGCCTCTTCTAACAGACACACAGCCTAATAACATAGGATTTCAGATAGACAAGTGTAGACAAACCAGGACTGTACGGTTGAATATAGGATGTCTAAAGTGATCAAATGAATATGAAATTATGATATAACCTGCCAAGGAAAAGATGAATTTTCCAGAAGGGAGAGTGAAGAGGAGTCATAGGGCGACTCAGTCCTGGACACAGCCACAGAGCTGTGGAGGCCCAGACCTGCCGGAGAGGTGGTGCCATGTGTGGTTACCATATGGCTGGGGGCAGAGGCGTGGTCGGCAGCACAGGCAGAGCTCAGAGCATGACAGCCTCACCAGAGACAAAAAGTTGAGTCACAAACCTGGCCTAATCAGAATCAAGAAACAGACCAGGCGGGGAGCGGTAGCTCATGCTTGTAATCCCAGCACTTTGGGAGGCTGAGGTGGGTGGATCACAAGCTCAGGAGTTCAAGACCAGCCTGGCAACACAATGAAACCCTGTCTCTACTAAAAATACAAAAATTAGCTGGGCGTGGTGGCGGGTGCCTGTAATCCCAGCTACTTGGGAGGCTGAGGCAGGAGAATCACTTGAACTAGGGAGACAGAGGTTGCTGTGAGCCAAGATCGTGCCACTGAACTCCAGCCTGGGCGAGAGAGCTAGACTCCATCTCAAAAAAAAAAAAAAAAAAAAAGAAAAAAGAAACAGACCAATTCTCAGAATGAATGCCAGTGAGAAGACCTAAGAAAACAAGAGACAGGCCAGGTGCAGTGGCTCACGCCTAGAAACCCAACACTTTGGGAGGCCGAGGCGGGTGGATCATAAGGTCAGGAGACTGAGGCCATCCTGGCCAACATGGTGAAACCCCGTCTCTACTAAAAATACAAAAATTAGCTGGGTGTGGCGGCAGGCGCCTCTAATCTCAGCTACTCTGGAGGCTGAGGCACAAGAATCTCTTGAACCCAGGAGGTGGAGGTTGCAGTGAGCTGAGATCATACCACTGCACTCTAGCCTGGAGACAGACCGAGACTCCGTCTCAAAAAAAAAAAAGAAAAAAGAAAACGAGAGACAAAACAGACTACTGTCCGTAATTTCTTTAAAAAACCAGGAGGAGAAGATAAAACTGTTCTGGAGATGGATAGTGGTATTGGTCGTACAATAATGTGAATGTTTAATGTCACTGAACTATACATTTAAAATGGTTTAAATGGTAACTTTTATTATATGTATATTTTTAACATAATATATATTGTGTTATATATAATTGTGTATACATGCACAATTTTTAACGTAAATAATTTTTTTAAATCAGACTCAAGTTGACCTAATTCTCTGTACCTCAGAGGCAAATCCTCCCAGGTCCAAAAAAGAAAAATAGTCAGGAGCTGCTTAACCAGTGATTGAGGTGAAGGCAGGGGAATTATACCCACCTAAAGGGACAATTTGTAAGTTTGTCAGTATTTTGGGGTTCTACTTTTTTTTTCTTTTTTGAGACAGAGTCTCACTCTGTCACCCAGGCTCGAGTGCAGTGGCGTTATCTCGGCTCACTGCACCCTCTGCCTCCCAAGTTCAAGCAGTTCTCATGCCTCAGCCTCCCAAGTAGCTAGGATTACAGGCACATGCCACCACGCCCAGCTGATTTTTGTATTTTTAGTAGAGACAGGGTTTCACTATGTTGGCCAGGCTGGTCTCAAATTCCCGACCTCAGGTCCGCCCGCCTCAGCTTCCCAAAGTGCTGGGATTACAGGCATAAATCACCACGCCCGGCCTAGTTTGTATTTTGGCTCTAACAATGAATGGGGTACAACTGGCTGGGGTCCTGGGATTAGAGATGCCCAATAATATGTGGGTCAGTCATGCAAACAAAAAGCTGTCTCATGTCAGACATGAGCTTTGAATGTCTTTCAAGTAGATGAAAAACCTATTTACAATGATGTGAGCCTAAAACCTAACTTTAATTTACACATAAAACACAAAATACTTTTGAGTAGTTTTAAATGCACTGAATTTTCTAGGAATACAATTTATAAATGCAAAGAAAATTGGACGTTGCCTCACTGAATTTTTCAGGAATGCACCTTATAAAGGCAAGGAAAACTGGATGTTGCTTCACGCATAACTTAACCCATTGTAGTTCATCATTTTGGAAAATTACAATACCAGTGGTGATGCCCCCTGTGGTATTTGAGTCATCAATGTATCACTGCAGTATCAGTCTGCATTTGTAGGTGTCACATTCACAACGATTCTAGGTATAAGTACAAGCATCTGGCTATAATGTATGTTTACTATAAATTAAATTTTTAAAATTTCTCCTTTATGTTATGCTTAGGTTATGTGTGAGATTTGCTTGTACTTTCTATTCACTTTCTTTTAGAATAGAAGATATTTATGAAAGGAAAAGGATATTGAGACTGGTGAAATGTATCTACATCCAACGAGGATGGCTTGGAGTACACAGCTACTGGGGATTTTCCAAGCACTTTGGGAGAACGCATGCATTCTGTTGTTTGAACAGAGACCACCCATTTATCACTGACATCCTGTATCCCTTTTCTGCTGCTATCGGGGGTCTAACCTTGTCCAGACAAGCCAGAAACATCTCGTTTTCTCTTCCAAGTACTCTGCAGCATCTTCACTGGAAAAGAGGAATTTCAGATGTTTGACTATTAGAGGCTTGACAAGGGCAGAGACAGCAGACACCTAGCACAGAGTGTAGTCAGTAGGAACTCTGAGGAAAAGGGCAATGATCAGTCAAAAAAGGTCAGCTATAATATGTTTCCTATCCTCAAAGCCTGCTTCTAAATTAAGGGAAAAAATTTTAAAGATGTATGCAAAAAATTTATTGTACACAATCAAAAGGAAGTTGAATTTAACTACAATTGCAATTATTCATGAGGTTTATCAATTTGTAGATCATTTTGAAGAATTGACAACATTTTGTATGCTCCTTGGGGAGACACTGAAAAAGTCATTAAAGCAAAGGAATCTCATTAGCAAATGTGGTCTCTGTCCTCACTGAAAGTTAAAGAATGACTCAACTCACAGATAGTTTCCATACTTCCTTTTTAATAGCCATACCTTATATCAGTTTGCTCTCATACATGAGAATTAAAGACCACATATTTTTTCAGAGCAATTTAAAAACAACTGTTTCGCCGAGCGCAGTGGCTCACGCCTGTAATCCCAGCACTTTTGGAGGCTGAGGCAGGTGGATAACAAGGTCAGGAGTTAAAGATCAGTGTGGCCAAGATGGTGAAACCCCGTCTCTACTAAAAATACAAAAATTAACTGGGTGTGGTGGCAGGTGCCTGTAATCTCAGCTACTCGGGAGACTGAGGCAGAGAATTGCTTGAACCCAGGAAGCAGAGGTTGCAGCGAGCCGAGATTACACCACTGCACTCCAGCCTGGGCGACAGAGTGAGACTCCGTCTCAAAAAAAAAAAAAAAAAAAATCTGTTTCTTTCTACAACCACTTGAAAAAACAAACCATGCCCAAACTTAATTTCATAAACTAAATTGCACTACTAAAAACCAAAGGTTAATTGGAAAATTTAAATTTTCATTACTTTATTGCAGAGTTGTTTGTAATAGTAAAAACAAAAATGGAAACAACCTAAATGTCTCAGCAGAAACATAGTTGAATAGAAGACTGTGCATTCATAAATGGAATACCATGCAATCTCCAAAATGATCTTATAGAATTACCAATGTTATTGAAAGATGTGTATGTGCCAGGCATGGTGGCTCATGCCTGTAATCCCAACAGTTTGGGAGGCCAAGGTGGGTGGATCACTTGAGCCTAGGAGTTTGAGACAAGCCTAGGCAACATGGCAAAACCCTGTCCCAACAAAAAATACAAAAATTAGCGGGCATGGTGGCGCACACCTGCAGTGCCATCTACTTGGGAGGCTGAGGCAGGAGGATCACTTGAACTCAAGAGATGGGGGTTGAAGTGAGCCAGAATTGCACTACATTCAAGCCTGGGTGACAGAGCTAGACCATGTCTCAAAAAAAAAAAAAAAATAAGCAAGAAAGAAAAGAAAGAAGGATATGCATGATATATTTAATCATGAGAACATTACTGAAATCCTTTAAAAATGCATATATTTACACATATGTGCTTAGAAAAAAAAGGATACACACCAAAGTGTTACAAGTCATCGTAACATTGCATTTATGTAACAACATTTTCTTTGGCTTGTCTATAATTTCTAAATTGTCTGTGTATATATTACTTTTGCAATAAAAACAATGTCTTATCAAAATAAATACATTTAACTTTTATTGACAATATTTTCTCTGGGGCTGTCATTTTTTTTCTAAGGCCTCAATAAACTAAACAACTAGACAGAACAGAAGGGTAAAAAAGTGAAGCTCATTTTCTTCATTAGTTGTTTATGACCATCATCATCTCTACTCATCACCTTTAAGCACCAAGCTGGTTCTTCCCCACCATCCCTGCCTCATGAATGGCATCACCTCACTGGCTGCCCAAGTGAGAATTTGTTACCTTTACCCATCCCCAATCCAGGGGCCCACCTCTGTCTAATGTTTCTCCATAATACCTCCCAAACTCTAACACCCTCCTTATCATTTCTACCATCTTGTTGCTCTATGACTGCAGCAAGCCCTGTAACTGGCCTCTCTGCTTCCAGGCTTCTCCTGACGTAGACTTCCTTACATTGCTGTACAAGTGAGGTTTTTAACATTCTCAGTCTTGTCACTCACTGCTTAAACTCCTTCAAGAGTTTTTACTCCCTTCAGGCCAAGGGCTATATGAAGCCCTTCAGATGTGGCTCTTGCTTGCGTCTCCAGCCCCATCTCTCAGCAGTGCTCTTAACACTCCCAACCATCATGAGCTAATTACTATCTTTCCAACACGCCATGCTCCTTCACACCCCTCTTGCTTTGAACACGCTGACTCTTCTGCCTGAAATGCCTTTCCCAGTTCCCTTCTGATATGGTTTGGCTGTGTCCCCACCCAAATCTCATCTTGAATTGTAGTTCCCATAATCCCCACATGTTGTGGGAGGGACCTGGTAGGAGGTAATTGAGTCATGGGGGTGATTACCCTCATGCTGCCATTCTCATGGTAGTGAATGTGAGTTCTCACAAGATCTTATGGTTTATAAGGGGCTTCTCTCCCTTTTGCTCAGCACTTCTCCTTGCTGCCGCCATGTGAAGGACACGTTTTCTTCCCCTTCCACCATGATTGTAAGTTTCCTGAGGCCTCCTCAGCCATGCTGAACTGTGAGTCAATTAACTTCTTTCCTTTATAAATTACCCAGTCTCGGGTATGTCTTTATTAGCAGCGTGAGAATGGACTAATACACCCCCTTCACTCACGTTTCAGTCTTCAAAGTGCACAGCCATCCTTTACTGCCCCGTGCAGCACCTTCAGGCCTTGAGCTCTATGCAGGGAGGTAAGCCACAGAAGTCACAAGCACATCATCTTTTATGCTAGTGTACACAGCTGAAAACTCACAGACTGGTACCAAACCAGCTTGGTTCTGTTCTGCTTCCACTGCCTGTCAAGACTGTGTGCTCTGGGCAAGGTACTTCAACCACTGGGTCTTGGCTTCCTCATCTGGAAAATGCAAATAAAACTGCAACTTTATAAAGCTTTTCTGAAATCAAATGCAGCAATGTACATAAAAGGCAAATAAGCTCACCCTATGTTTTACCTAATTTTCTTTTTATCCTGCTCTGTGTATTTCTTAAGCCAAACCATCTTACTTCCTTTTTAGAATGCATCGGGATAGACACAAATAAATGGAAACACCATTACAAAGCCCCTGCTCACACTTCAGAATTCAGATTGCATTACCTCCTCCGGGAAGTCTTCCTTAATCACTCTCTGCTCGAGTCTCATTTAGATGATCTCCTGTGTGCTTGCATATCGTCTGTGCATACCTCTGTGTCGAGAGGAGTGGTAAGAGATGGGGCTGGAGACTCAAGGCCACATCGGAAGAGCCTCGATCCTTTCCCCTGAAGGGAGTAAAAGGCTCTCCAAAGAGTTTAAGCAGTGAGTGAAAAGACCAGCCGAGAATGTGAAAAACCTCATCTGGACACAAGGCAAAAATAATTATTTTCTCCTTTGGTTACCTTTTCCATTCCCTTTCTTCAAGGGAAAGAACCATGTCTTATTTTACTTGGCGTCAGCTGCTCTCAGAACAGTGGCTTGACCAATACCAAGCATTCAATAAATGTTTATTGAAGGAATGAATCAATGGCCACCCACAACCTATACCTCTTACAGCCCATTACCTCTTACGCCCTTTAGCCCCTTCCATAGGTATTTGCCTGGAATGTTTGTAAGATTTTTGAAAATCTCAGAAACAACACCAGCCCTCCACCCATGGGAAGATGTGTTTCAGGCTAACACCTGTGATCTTGTCGATGCCATTGCCCCAAAGAAGATCAACCTCTCCTTCTTGCCTATATAAGTTGGCTCTAATTTCAATGTTGCTGAAAACCTCTCCTCTTCCATAAATTATTTTTTGAGATTGCTCCAGCCCATTGTGATCTTTCATCCTTCAAACTCCTTTAACATCTAGGGCCTACACCATTAATCTGACAATCACCACATACTGCTTAATATTGTTGTAGTCTGCTATTTACCTTCAGTCTGCAATTTAACTTCCTTAAGTTTATTTCTTGTTCCCCATTGTAGAGAATATCTCCCTTAAATAGCTGCCAAGTCTTGCCAATCATGGCCTTTCCTGTAGTGTTTTGCATGTGTGTGCACACATGTGTTTTTAATTGACTTGAAGACAAAGAGACTCCCCTTAGGAAGCTTTATTTCCTGTTTGCCACTTCCCTAGGACCCAAGATACCCTGATCCCCCTCAATTCATTCTCTGCCTTTCCCTGCTCTTCTTCCCAAGGAAACGAACACCTTCCAACTTTATCACCAGGGCTCCTTTGCCTTCTGGCTTGCATTTGGGTTCAACCAATAGAAGGCACAGATAGGTAATAGATGGGTGGGAGGACAGAGTGGTAGGGAATGTCTTCCCTTGCTTGGCCCATTCTGTAGTGTTTGAGTCCTTCCAGGACTATGGCTTCTCTAGGGTGGCCCCTCTTCAAAGGCTCTGCCCCCCAGGTAAGCTCCAATAGCATCATTTCTTCCCTTTACCTTTTCAGGCCTGGTGCCTCAACATCCTTTTTTGATGCTCTTAACTCTGCCCACACATCTGTAAATAGTCCCTTTATTAAAGGGACTTTTATCTCTTCAAAAATCCCCACAGAATATTCTGTTTCTTGCTGGGATCTTGACTAACACAGGAACTTTCCGTTTAGTTGGGATAAGACTATAGGAACCTTATAATTTATCATCCAAACCAAGACACTTCTGAGAGTGAAAGGGGGCACTATTAATTAAACCATGGCAACGGGCGCAAATCAGAACTGTTCCAGGCCACCGGAATGAATGAGCATCCTAGGTAAGTCAGGCACATAAAAAGATAATTGTTATAATGAAGAGATAAAAACATTTCTAAAAGAGATAATATTACAGCATAGATTAAGGTAAGTGCCAAGGGTGGAATAGACTTTCAGTGCTACAGCCATTCCAAGACAAGAGAGATTATTTCTCCTGGGGAAAGACATTTGAGATCAGTGGGTTGCTCAGTTCTCCTCCAACTAAATGAAGTCACACAATCCATGTGTGCTTGGCTGATTTTGTAGATTTTCTCCAAGAAATTTCAGTCCCAGTTGGGTCCCCCGCCTCCACCCCTCACACACCCAGTGTAACTGTTTCTATTTCTTTCCATTGTTTAGGCTCTGGGTTTTTAAGGAAAGCAAATTAATTTAAATCTTAGCCAATTATTCCTTTTAAAAAATACCAAATGCATTCCTGATTCAATTATAAATCATTGTAAATATCTTATATTTTTGATTCTTTAAACCATGTTTTAGCTTCATTTTGCAAAGATATCTAAGAGGTGGTTTATAAGCTTTGCTTGCAAATAAAACATTTCTGCTAGTAATCACATAAAGCCTAAGTAACCCTAGAAAGCTTCTCTATGTATGTATGTATGTTTACCTTGTCTCTTAAACAAAAGAGTTTGACAATTAACCAATACTCTACAGCCTTGTCACCCTGAGCAAAGTGAACCCAGACTCATTGCACCCCTACTTCTAGCGAATTCAAGCCTACTTGGCCAGGAAATGTTTCTAATGCTCACGTTGCTAGTAGAAGCAAGTTACTATGAGCCCCAGTGTGTGGCTTCAGGCTTGCCAAATCACTGCTTTGTTCAGGCATTTCATACTCAAGAGAATAGTATATAAAAACACACCTCTGCCCAGGAGCAGAGAGCACCATGTAGATTAGGGCAGCCAGAGTTCCTGCTCTACTTCCCAACCAGCTGGTGCTGGTTAGGATTAGACCAGAGGGAGTTGGGGTTGAAAAGGTCTCTCTTGAGAGAGTCAGAAAGGGTCCTACAAGAACAAGACAAACAGGAAAAGAAAGCAGTAACTAGAGACAAAAAGCAACTGCAGACGTGCAAATCATACACAGGAAATAGCACAAATCAACGCAGATAGGTGGGAGTAAAGTGAGAGTAAAAACCACAGTGAGGAAAAGTAAAAGATAACAGAGCAGCCTCTAATTCTACACTGGTAAGCCACTAAAATCCAAAAGGAATGGTGCACATAGAGCAATTGTAGCAGGATGTAAGGTTCAGGCACAAGACAAGGAAAAGCTGCAGTGTGCCTTCGACAGCAGAAAAAATTAGAAATGACCTAAGTGGTTTAACAAATCTATTCAGGCAGGATTCAGATTCCTATAAGGCGCTTTCAGCCTCCTGCCTACTTTATCACCAGGGAAGATCTCCAGCTGCTGTACTGATGGATGGAGGAAGTGCTCTCCTGAACATGGAACACGTGGTATTCTGTAGGAGGAACGAGAGTACTGGAAACTCCCTGATGAGAATATTCTGGGTCCATATGGGGTGTAACATTCTATCAGCCTGTGAATTTTAAAAACCACCCTAAGGCCCCAAACTAATCCTTCAATTATGGGCCATTGCCTGCTGTGTTTTGCATGCATTATGTGAAATGGATTATAACTAATTTTTCAAAGTCAGCAGATTGTTATTTACCCATATGTTGACAATCAGTTTAAAGAGGCAAAAACTGTGAGCTACTTCATGAAAAATACTACACCTACTCAAAAGTCCTCATTGGCAACATCTACAATGGCATTTCCTTTCAAAAATTATATTAAAAGAACTTATGTTACATGTAAAGTGTTATATCTATAATTTATATAGAGAATTTATAATACCTATCGTTTACATAGCATGAATTTATATTAAAATACATAATATTATTAAATTATATAAAAAATTGAAGTATATATACTTTTCTTGTCTAAATATAAAATTTTATATAATATTATAAAATGTGAAATTAATTTTATATTATATATAATTTATTTATAAATAATTTTGTTATGTATATTAACTTTTTAAAGTAAAAGCCAATATAGATGTTATCAATGTGTGTGTGTGAGTGTGTGTGTGTGTGTGTGTGTGTGTGTAATATATAGTATTGATTTAAAAAAACCCTTTTCCTTTTTTTTGTTTTTTTGAGACAGGGTCTCACTCTGTCACCCAGGCCAGAGTATAGTGGCACAAACATGGCTCACTGCAGCCTCGATCTCCTGGGTTCAGGTGATCCTCCCATCCCAGCCTCCGGAATAGCTGGGACTATAAGTGCACGCCACTGTGCCCAGTTAATTTTTTAAAATTTACTTTTTATACAGACAGTCTCACTATGTTGCCCAGGCTGGTCTCAAACTCCTGGGCTCAAGCAATCCTCCTGCCTCAGCCTCCCAGGGTGCTGGGATTACAGGCATGGGCCTCTGTGCCCAGCCAAAAGCCTTTTCTAAAGGTTTTGCAAAGGTTCTACCTGGCAATATGTCAATGTTTGTGTGCATTTTGGTAATCTACTATTACAATGGTTCACTGACAGGTAATTATATGTTTATACAACTTCATTTTCATTAATTGCACAAATACATTATGAAGCCTACTATTTAGTAGGCATATCCCAGTGTAAACTCCAACCAGGAGTTTTCAAGGAACTTTGTAGATCAGTTTGAGACAAGTCCCTTCACAATAGGATAATATCTTGATAGATATGTTCTTAGGTGACAGGGTAGTGGAGGCATCTAGGAGGACTTTTCCAAAGATGGTCTCAGCAGGAGCTGAGTTTTGAAGGATGAATACGAGCTAGATGAAGGGAGGATGAGTAGGAAGGGGAAGGAGCTTCATGCTAAGGGCAGAGGGAACTGCATCTTTCTCAGGCACTGAAACATGGCTCTGCCTAATGCGTTTATGTCCAAGGCACTGGTAAAGTAGACACTGAAGAATGATTGACAATGAGACTAGATAGACAAGGCCTCATATCATTAGGGACTTTGCATGCCAAGTTGGAAACCACGGAAAGATTTTAAGCAGTGACATAGCATGATCAGATGGTAGAAAATGATGTGTTTAAGGAGGAAGGTAATATGACGATATCAAAAACTTCAAGCCACTAATGGAAGAAGGGATAAGAGACAGTGGAAAGAAAGAAGTGGAATGACTCAAGCTGTTTAAAAGGGAGAATCTCAGCCTGGAAAACACAATGAGATCCCACCTCAACAACAACAACAACAAAATTAGCTGGGCATGGTGGCATGCACCTGTAGTCCCAGTTACTTTGGAGGCTGAGGTGGGAGGATCCCTTGAGCCCAGGAGTTTGAGGCTGCAGTGAGTTGTGATTGCATCACTGCACTCCAGTCTAGACAACACAGCAAGACCCTGTTTCTAAAATAAAATTTTTAAAAAGAGAGAGAATCATCTAAGCTCTTGGGACTGCTTGGATATGAAGCAAGAGTGAGAGGAAGAAATCTAGGATGCCTCCCTGATTTCAGGCTAAGACCACAGGATGAGTAGTGGTGCCATTGAAGGCCACAGGACCACTGGAGGATGAACAGGTTGCCATTGTTGGTTGTTTTCATTTTGGAGTGTTTTGGATGAAAGGATGTGAAGATAAAACATTCTATTCGGGGGTGTTCTTGTTTTGAGAAACTATATGGCTCTGAAGCTCCACAGCAAGGTCTGAACTGAAAACTCAAAAACTAGGCATAACCAAGACATTAGCAGAGGTTGAAGATGAGTGTATCTATGAAAAATGAGTAAAGGTAGATGAGCAAAGTCAAGGACAGAATCTTGGGATACACCATCATAAGGCAGGCACCAGACACAGATTATAAAGGAGCAACCAGAAAAATAGAAAGAAAAATAGAGCTTAATTTTTCTTTGAAATCAAACAGAGAAAAGATTTTCAAGAAAGAGGAGTTTACAGTGAGTGTCAGATGCTGCACTGAAGCCAAGAAAGATTTAGGAAAAATAAAAACTTATTATTTTAGCAGTGCATTTTCGTATGTTGAAAAAAATTAAGTTTCTGGAATATAACTAACTGATAATTTTTAATGTGGTCATTTAGTACTGAAAGTCATCATGGGGCTTTAATTCAACATATATTATGTTCTCAAATGATGGCTGAAAGATCATTCCCTGAAAAAGGTAGAACCGTTTGATAAATGGTTCTGTTTTTATGGTGTCACCAGTTGGTTTTTCTAGAAGCAGATGACGAGACATGCCTAGGTAGAATCTGGGGTGTAAGATATTTATGAGAGATCAACACTGGAGGGAAGGGGAAACAGGGAGGGCTGTAGGATGAGAATGTGCCATACCATGCTACAATGTCTGGGCCTTTGTACTTCATCTCACATAGTCACTGGATGTGGACTATGTGACTATGGAAGGGCATGACATCAGGAGGTGACTCTATAGCTGAGACAGACCCTGAAAGAACAAACAGCTGGAGTGCCCACCCACAGCTGGGCAGCAAGTCCTCCTTTGAAGGAGATCTGGCCTGTGTATCCTATTTCAACATCATGCAGCTTGCAGCCATGGCCACATATGGTGTAAGCCACATGAAGCTGAAATGTCAGAGCCTCATCCAGCTATGATTACTGCTTGTTGAAGTAGCCAACTATTAGTTCTTTGCTCCTGTATCAGCATTATAAAGCTATTTCTCTGTCATTACATATATGAAACAATTTTCCAAGGCAAGAAAACATTGAATTACGGTCCCATCACATTGGTTATGTGGGTGTAAAAACCTGGACTAGACAAGAATGTTGTAATTACATTTACTTTTGGAATTAAGTGCTGGATGTATTTTATAACTAAGGCAAAAGAAGAAAATAAATTTAAGTATAAGGCAATAAAGCAGTTGAACTGTTCCAATAATATCTAAAACAAAGTTTTGGTTACATAGCTTGAGAGGACTGTCAATTAATAACACTTTTCCAAAAAGTGCTCTATAATTGCAGAGCCCTGAGAAAATAGAATGAAGCAATCATATTTGGTTATATGTTGCATTTATACCATTTGATATCTCCTCCTTTGCAAAATAAATTTCCCCTTGCCAGCTGTAATTAGGCACTGAGATAAAACTGCCTTAATATTCTGCATATTTTATTAGGGCTGCCAGCAGCTGTCGGATCACTGGCTCTGTTCTCATGTACAATGAAAACATCAAAGACATCTGTGGTTTGCCCTAAAATTAGTGCCAGAATTGGCCTTCTCTCCATTGTGTAACCAGCTTTGCTATTTGCATAACTAACAAGGGAACCTCCAGACATTGCTGCTCGGTTCATGAGGGAAAACTACGAAAGGCAGACTTTGGAAAGTGGCCGGTACGGCTTGTCCCCATAAGGCTTAAGTGCATGGGGTTTGGAATCACACAGACCTGGATCCAGGCTTCAGTTTTTACCATTTATCTGTGACTTTGGGCAAGTTATTTCTCAGCCATATTGCCTTTTTTGTTATAATGAGAAATAGTATTTATTGTTTTGAAGAAGAGTTAAGACAATGTATGTAAAGCATTAGCATGTGCCCAGGCCTCCTGGGAAGCACTCATTAAGAGTTAGCAATCTTCAGCCTGGTGCCGTGGCTCATGCCTGTAATCCCAACACTTTGGGAGGCCAAGGCAGGTGGATCACAATGTCGGGAGTTCAAGACCAGCCTGGCCAAGATGGTGAAACCCCATCTCTACTAAAAACACAAAAAATTAGGTGGATGTGGTGGTGGGCACCTGTAATCCCAGCTACTCAGGAGGCTGAGGAAGAGAATTGCTTGAACCCAGGAGGCAGAGGCTGCAGTGAGCCAAGATCGCACCACTGCACTGCAGCCTGGGTGACAGAGTGAGACTCTGTCTCCAAAAAAAAAAAAAAGAGTTAGCAATCTTCCTTCTTTCATCTAGTGCCCTTTTCTAAGAAGTCATAACTACAGTGGCTTTAAAACACACATTTCCTTGTAAAGCAAAGGTGCAAAGAATTCTCCACTCAGTTTAAAATCGCAAATATGTCACAAACACACATGTGCACACACACAATTGTCTTCAGAATTCCCAAGTTACAGAAACCTCTTAAAGTTTTCCCTAGCAAACACTGGGTGTCCTTTTCACTACTGTTTAGCATTGTGAGACAGGCTTTAAAACTTTACCTCCTTCTTAGAACCACATATTTACTATCAAGTCACTATCAGGTGAATTGCAGTGAATATTCTGGAGAACATATCAGATAGTTGGCCTTTAACTGCAAGTAACATCTTGGCTAGACTGCCTTAAACAATAGACATTTCTTATCTCACAAAATAAGTTCACAGACAGGCAGCTCCAGGGCTGCTGTGGTCAGTGACTCTGCAGTTGACCACGGATGCAGGTGCTTCCCAGCTTTCTGCTCTGCCGTCCTCCACATGCAGATTTCATCTTCAGGCTAGCTCCCTCATGGTCACAAAATGGCTGCCATTTATAAACAGTTACAGCTGGTCTTTCCATGTCTCTTTTTAAAAAGAAGGAAACCGGCCAGGCGCGGTGGCTCATGCCTGTAATCCCAGCACTTTGGGAGGCCGAGACGGGCAGATCACGAGGTCAGGAGATTAAGACCATCCTAGCTAACACAGTGAAACCCCGTCTGTACTGAAAATACAAAAAAAAAATTAGCCGGGCGTGGTGGCGGGCGCCTGCAGTCCCAGCTACTCGGGAGGCTGAGGCAGGAGAATGGCATGAACCCGGGAGGCGGAGCTTGCAGTGAGCCGAGATCGCGCCACTGCACTCCAGCCTGGGCGACAGAGCGAGACTCCGTCTCAAAAAAAAAAAAAAAAAAAAAAAAAAAAAAGAAGGAAACCTATCTCAGACGCCTTCTGGTTTGTGCGTTCTCAAGTCTCAGTGGCCAGAACTGAATCATATATCCATTCATGAACCAAACAGTAGCAACGGAAATGGAACTGCCATGACTGACTTCATGAAGCACACAGCAGTATGCAGGAAGGTTTCATGAGAACAAGGACCAGGTTCACCTTGCTCCCCATTGTATTCTCCATATCATCATAAACGGCACATAGGAGGTATTCAGTAAATGTTTGTTGAATAAATGAATGAATAAAATGATACAAAAATAAATAAGACACTAGGCATACTGCAATAGGACTCCTGTCCCTACAGTCTCCTAATATTTACAACTAGGGCTGTCTAATGACCTTCTTCCACAGCCTCTAATTTCAGTGCTGTTGTTAGCCCAGGAGACTAAGGAACACCAGGTCAGTTGCTTAATGTCAAAAAAGCCTTTCTGATTGTTCTGCAATTATCATAATGTCTTGGCTTTTTCCTCTACAATGCAGCTCTTTCTGGATATCCCAGAACCTACCACTAATAAATTAATTTCATGGTACTGAATTTCAACCTGCCTATTGCTGGAAGTTAACACTGCCATCAGACCTCCCCAGAGGTAGCAGCATATGGAAAACGCAATGCCCTCAGACAGGAGCATGTCTTAAAAAGACACCTGTCTGGAAGGTGGATGGTTGATCTAGAATGTTCACTCTGTACACCAAAATCATACTCATAGTTGTCAGTTCAGATTATATGTGATCCTGCTCCCTATGATCATATCTACAAGAATTAACTTGAAATTTTATTAAAAATAGCTATAGGACTATTTGAGAATTTAGCCCACACTAAGAAATAAGACCCACATACAGTTTATAATATAGTCAATTTTAACAAAAAAATAACTATTAGGATTCTCATGTTAACTTTCAATTTTTTATCCTAAGGATTTAACAAATCCTTTTGGCAGATATTGGCTAGGGAATGGTGTCTGTTCTTGTCTAGTTATCTTTTCCTTTATTAATGGATAGTTTCTGCTGATTCATTTCATCTCTGCAGGAATGATTACTTTCTTGAATTGTAGTGGCCAATGTCAATTGTAGAAACTATTCAATTACTGGTTTTGGTTGTTTTTTATTTTTGAATCTAAATTTTGAGCAAATTCAGACAAAGTCCCCACCAATTGATTTCTAAGGAAACTTTGGTTTTTACCAGGAAATTTCTGCAAAATGTCTGCTACCAGTGAGCTGTTTACCTTGGAGTTGTATCTATATTTGCTCAACCCTACAGCTCTTGATGCTCAAGGACTCTGCTACTGCCTTGCTGTCCTGTTTGTGCTGGATGATTAGATGAGTTCTAAGGCCTGCTAGAGGCAAGAAGAGTAGAAGTACAACTTTCAGACTGAGCCCAAGCTGAATAAGATTCTTCCATTGGTATATATGGATTTTATGATACATTCTGAAGGGTACCATTAAACTTATCCCATTTAACCACTTGGAACCAACAACACATCAGTCTAGTGGTTTCCAAATCTGGCCTAAGAATCTCCTAGAGAGACTTTAGCTAAGCACAGATACCCTCTTATCCCCACCAAGACTGGAAACCAACAATCTTTTGGATAATATCAGTTTTTATGTTTACCATTTAAAGTAATTAAACAGCTTTAATTTTTCAGGTTTCATGTTAATCACCATTTTAATAAAAATACTTATTTTATGAATGGATTTTATAAATTATAAGAATATAAACAGATTTTATAAATTATAAGAATTTTAAATAGATTTTATAAAATAAATGCACATGGCCGGGTGTGGTGGCTCACGCCTGTAATCCCAGCACTTTGGGAGGCCGAGGCAGGCAGATCACCTTTCAGGAGTTCAAGACCAGCCTGGTCAATGTGGTGAAACCCCGTCTCTACTAAAAATACAAAAATTAGCCAGGCGTGGTAGCGGGCACCTGTAATCCCAGCTACTCGGGAGGCTGAGGCAGGAGAGTTGTTTGAACCTGGGAGGTGGAGGTTGCAGTGAGCCAAGAACATGCCATTGCACTCCAGCCTGGGCGACCAGAGTGAGACTCTGTCTCAAATAAATAAATAAATAAAATAAACGTAAATAACATAAAAATAAATGTACATTATATTTTCATTCTTCTTGACCATTTTTATGTATATGGAAGGAAGTATAAGCTGAAGTACACTTTTTGGAGAATGAATTGACAAGAAGTGTCAAATTTAAAATGTTTAGGCCATTGAAGCCCAGTAATTTCTATTCTCAGAATCAACCCTAGAAAACTCCCTGTAGAAGTGTGTATGGGTGTTGTAGTATTTAGGGCAGTCTAACAAAAACTTTTTAAATCTCAAAAACCTCAGTGGCTCATTATAATAAATGTATGTTTTGTGTTCATGTCACCAATGCAAGTCAGCAGGGGCGCTCTGCTCACAAAATCATTTGAAGATTTGTCTTGTGACTCTACCTTTCTCTAGATCCTTGGAGTCACCTCTATTAAGTTGAAAATGGGGAGAGAACAGATGGAGGATGGTACCAGAGATTTCTTTCTATGGACCAGGTCCAGAAGTGACAAGCATCACTCCCATTCACATTCCTTTACAGAACTTGATCACAAGGCTACCTGTAAGGAAGCCTGGGAAATGTAGACCAGCTATGTGTCCTGGAGAAAAGCGAAGTGTGGTGAACACTGCCATAGGGAATTGAAGGAAGATGTTCATCACAGCATTGTTTATGAAAGCAAAACACTGGAGAAAACCTATGGGTTCATAAACAAGGCATGGTTGGGTGAGTTACAGCACATCAATATTACAGAATATGAAAGCCATGATTAAACAGAAAGTGGTAGCTCTGCACACACTAATGTGGAAGAATGCCTGTATTATATAGATGGGTCAAAAAAAGAAAGGTTGTATGATAGTGGGTCTGGTATGGTACAACTTTTATTGTAATTTGTCATTACATATAACTGGAATGTAAACAACCTAGCCTCAAGATAGGGTCTTGTTTTAAAAAAATTAGCCTTATCCACACAATGGAATGCTATGCAAATATTATTAAAATAAACAGCTCTATATATGCTGTACTAGTATAGAAATATCTCCAAGGTAGATCATTAAAAGTACAAGATGCTGAGCAGTGGATAAAATATGCTAACTTTTATGTAAAATGAAAAGGGTGTATATTTACATATATTTACATGAACAAAGAAGATAAGAAACACAGGAAATGTTTTGGGAGAGGAGAACTGATTACAGGAACAGGAAAACAAAATTTGGAGTAGAACAGGCACATATTTTATAATAGTTAACCTTTTGTACCTTTTAAAATTTTGCTGTGTGAATTAACTAGGCAAAATCTGTTTTAAAAACACCAGTCCTTGGTAAGAAGTGGCCAGGCAATTAGATGGAGAGGTGGTGAATCAAGACCTTTATTTTAGCCATGTGGCTTTCAGATATCCATTAGCCAGCCAAGGGGTGCAGTTGGCCATAGTAGTGTGGATCTCAGGAGAGAAGTCTGGGCTAGAAATAGAAATATAGGAGTTTTCAGGGTTTAGATAGTATTAAACTTATAAGAATGGATGAGATGACCTAGGGAGAGTGTAAATAAAGAAAAAGGGCCTAGGGCCAAGCCTGGTTCTGCAAGATAATGCAGGCCCATGACCAAAAGCTTGGAAAATATTACTAAAAGCACTAAATAAATAAAAATCATCTCTAATCCCACTCCCTAGAGATTGCATCTGTTAACATTTTGGTACATTCCCTTCTAGTCCTTTTCTGTGCATCTAAGAATATGTTACTAAGTACCTCCTTATATAAAAATCTGTATGTATTGTAAGAAAAAGAAAAAAACCCAGCATTTTAACCACCCAGAGTACTTGAAAATGAAATACAATTTTTACAGTAGGCTTATGGATCATTAAAGAGCATTCCATTTATAATCTGTAGCACATGTCTTGAAAATCCCTTTTGTCCATCTCCCTCTCTCTCTCTCTCTCTCTCTCACACACACACACACACACACACAAGTACATACAGAGAGAGAGACCAGCAGCAGTAGCAGCAACAACAGTGACAGAACTCAATATTCTTCCGCTTTCTCTAAATTCCCCAACCTCTCTTTTCCTTTGTAGACAGGTCTCTGCTATCTTTTTCCATCCCTCCTCCTGCCTCCTAAAATATATTCTTTAGGAAATGTTATGTTGGATATCCTCCAGTTATCCTTCTAGTCTTATTCTCTATTCTGCTCTGTGGCCTGCATGGGTGACCTAGATGGACTGTCTTGACAGGCCCCTTTGCCTTCTGGCTTCGGATTGAGTTGGGCCAGTGGGGAGCCTTGGCAGAGGAAGGTGGACGGGAGGAGAATGGAGTCAAGTTGGTTTTGCTCCCCTGAATCCTGCTATGCTGAGTTGTCAGCACAGCTCCTATTAGGGTGACGCTGACCAAGTTCTGGTAACAGGCCCCACCCCTTGCCCCATGAGGTCTAGGAGAGGTAAGAGCCCCTGGTTGTTATTGGCCCTAGGGCACTTCAGCAGCTCTGTTGGCTTCTTTAAATCCTGTCCACCCCTTTATCCTTTAATTACGCTCTTCTTAGTGACCCCTGCCCAAATATACTATCTGTTTCCTGCTAGGACTTTACTGATAACAAATATCTCAGGCACCTTTAAATTATACATCTCCTTTAACTTATTTTCTTCGTCACCACAACCAAAAACCTGAATTCCAAGTAGGCAAAGACATTTTTGCGAATATTACATCATAGTTTTTTATCCTATAGGAAACATTAATACAGATAGTATGGATACATTTTCATGTGCGCAAAGAAAATCTGTAAGGAGTGTTTAATCCTAGAGAGTTGGTGATGGGGTAAAAAGGAGAGATGAGTTTTCACTCTTTCCTTTATGCATATATTATTTGATTTTTGATTTCAATAAGCAGGTACTACTTCTGCAAAAAAAAATATGTATTTTTTTTTAAGGAATGAAATACAGATTCCAGGACCCTACCCCTAACAACCCTGAATTTGCACTTGCTCTGCAGCGCCTCTGTGTGCATTTGTGTAGGTTGTGTCCTGCATGTGGGTTCCAGTTGATGGAAGCCAACATCCAGACTACAATGTACTTGCCAACCTTTGAGACCTGTCATAGAGCCCCAAAGCACCTTAAGACCAGTGGCAGTCCTGCTCTTCCTTGCCTGTTTCTGTGCTAATTTTCTGCCACTTGGAATGACTATTGCCTCTGCTGCTTCTATCAGGGCAGAAAACTGAATTTGGGGCTTGAATTGGAGCTATGCTGATGATACTTGGACTTGCCTATCTTTTTTCTACCCCACACTTTGTCGCTCAAATCTCCACTTTCTCAGCCCTGTTCTAGGGTTCTTTATTAGCACAGATTTCTGGCCTCAAATTTTTCTGATCTGGCCCATTTCATTGTTCCCAAGTCTCAGGCTTGGAAACTGCAATAATTCTCTTAGGCCTTCTTGCCAATGTTTAAGTAGCTTCTTTGCCACTACCCAAGTTACTAGGAGTCATCTAATCTGAATTTAACTTGATTTTCAATCTCTATTCATAGATTTCAATTCAGAGATCTTTGTTTTTTTAATCAGCTTCCATCTGGAAAGACATTAGATTTTCCTTGTCTTTAATGGTCATGACATATGTCACTCAATCACCTCAGCCATTTCTAAAACAGTTCCATCGATCCCTACCCTGACTCAGCAACCTGACTTTTTAATAAACTATTCTATTTTGAACCACATGTTAAAATTTTGAAGTGTTTTTAAAAGCCAAATATATAAGAATATTATATATGTATATTTTTTAAATAAGAGAATATACATTAAGATCTCTTTACTTAAAATGAACTTTTTAAAAATGATAAATACTATATATCCGGCTGTCTCCAAATTCCTAAAGTTTTCAGAAGCGAGCTGAGGTTCTGCTGTGTTTTACAGTACTACTCTCTGGCACAGTTCCATCTCACTCTCCTTAAAACAAAGGGGATGGGCCAGGAACCAATCACATCTCCTTCCAGTCTGTGATTCACCTGCTGAAGTTGCTCCACCACTTCTGGAAGCTCAGATGTCAAATAACAAACTAAGGCTCCATTTACCTTTGGTTTGGCAGACTCATATTCTATTCTCTTGCCCTCCCACTCAGGAGCAAGATTTAGTTACTCATTAATTTTAAGGGGGTTTCCTAAGAGACACAAGGAAAGATTTCCTGGTGATGTGGGCTGACAGCTATAGAAGCACTAACAAGAGAAGTTGTAAAATCTCTTCCCTGGGAGTCTTTATGAAAAGCAAAACCACATGGGTCTTGTTGAGAGAAGAATTAGAAGTAGGTAGGAGACTTGAAAGGGGTAAAGTGTCATATAATTCAATGATTTTGTAGTAACAGATGGGCTACTAATTTAAAATAAGAAGCAACAAGCAATTAACAGAGTTGGTGATTCCCAAATTCCATGGGTCTTTTAACCACGGATTTATGCTAACTACACTCCCACCTTCTTCAGGCTTAATAAGATTTCAGCCTGAGTTGCAGTGCTGTATTTACCATTACACAAATAGCAAGTTGAACTTGCTATTTAATATCTGATAATAAACTATCTCCCTTCTCCCATTTGTTCTACTCTTTGGCAGAACACAAAAATGGTCTGATGTGGGTAGAATGTAGGATGTGGTTCTTTATTGCTCAAGTTCCCCTCTGCACACTCGCTCTATTTTTCTTGTATAGGAAAAGGATGAGCCATGAATATATCTTGTCCAAGTCTCTTATTAAATCAAAACAAAGTTCAGCTTTGGCACAAATGCAATCAGTTTCCATACTTGACTTCTCCATACAACTGATTGTGGCAATCACATGCTTTTACTAAATTGTTGCCATCTAATGAAAATAGCAATAATCCTCATCTTTACCTATGAGATCAAACATTTTTTCATTCATATGTTTTGTAGGTTAACTTATGTTAACCCCATCACCACTATGTGCAAATTCCCA
Organism: Homo sapiens; assembly: GCF_000001405.40. Classification (NCBI taxonomy): domain Eukaryota; kingdom Metazoa; phylum Chordata; class Mammalia; order Primates; family Hominidae; genus Homo; species Homo sapiens. The sequence goes on from NC_000005.10 coordinate 62,269,312, forward strand.
TGCAGAGCCATACATGTGCGCTTTTCTTTTAGGAATTTTGTTATTTAAACTGCTGGGTGTCATTAACAGATGAGTTTTTGAAATTTTTTTTTAATAATATGTTGAGTTTCAAAAGCCAGGTAACCACTGAGAAGAATCAAGTACTGCAAACCATAGTCACCTGTGGCCCCTCCATCTCTGGTTCTCTTCACTTGAATTCATATCAATGCCCCAGCAGAGATGTGTGGCTATATTTATTTATTGTACACTGAGGTTTTTTTATTTTAAAATTCATAGTAGTATAATATTCATTTATTGACCATCTAGTATATGCCAAACACTATTCTAAATACTTGTTTTATCTCATTTAAGTCGCATAATAACCCTAGGAGATAGTATTCCTGTTATCTCCATATTACAATGAGAAAAAGGAGCAGAGAAATTGAGTAACTTGCTCAAGGGAGAAAATAGTGGAGCCAGAATTTGCACTGAGGCAGTGAGAGTCTAACAACCAAGGTTCAAGCTTTTATTATCGGATGGGACTTTTGTGTACAGAAAAGCATATTTACAATTACTAATATTTTGTTTAGCATGTAGTTTATTTTAAATGTAACTTTAAAAATATGTTTTTCTTAATAATTTTATATCAAATAAGAACAATCATTTGTATTTCTTTGATTAATGCTCAAATATCTCTTACATTTGAAAACTCAAACTCCTGTAAATGTTTAGCTATGTAAACATTTGATTAATCAGATTTTCTTAGGCTCCTAAATTATAATGACAAACTCTTCAATCACTTTACAAGTCAATATAAGAAAACAAACAAAATCTTTCTTTTAAGCAATTGTATAAATGTGATAAACCAGATCTTCAAATTTAGAAGCTCAAATCCTCTTAAGCCTAAAATGCAAACAGAATATACAAAAGCGATTTCATTGCAAGCCTAGTTCTTAAATATAACATAAGAATATTGAACTACAGGTTCTGGGCTTATCAGTTCATTGTTCTATACCTTCCTGGTGTTTTACCTAAGCAAAGGTAACAAAGTTAGCCCTTTAAGATCATGACCCAGACTACTTGTCATAGGGGCATAGAATGCCCCCTTTTTTATTTTTTATTTTATTTTATTATTATTTTTGAGATGGAGTCTTGCTCTGTTGCCCAGGCTAGAGTGTAGTGGCACAATCTCGGCTCACTGCAACCTCCACCTCCCAGGTTCAAGCAATTCTCCTGCCTCAGTCTCCCGTGTAGCTGGGATTACAATCATGCGCCAGCACACCCAGCTAATTTTTGTATTTTTAGTGGAGACGGGGTTTTGCCCTGTTGGCCTGGCTGGTCTTGAACTCCTGACCTCAGGTGATCCGCCCGCTTGGCCTCCCAAAGTGCTGAGATTACAGGCGTGAGCCACCGCGCCTGGCCAGAGTGCCCCTTATTGTCTTTCAAGAATAAGCCAGTAAATGTTGTGATGAGCCTGTTTATGGTCAGATTGCATCTCACATTTAGACTTCCTAAACCTATGCCCTTCTGACTTAAATAACCACATACGTTTCCACTTCTCGTAATCCTCTGACTTTCCCAAAATACCCCATCCCTTAAAATACTGGGGGCTTTCCAGGCCTCAGGTTTTGATTCCCTTTGGATTAATGAGAAACTTTTTCATTAAAACCCGGGTAATAATGAAAATTTTGAACCTATTAGTCAGACTTTAATCTCTTTTATTTTTATCTTTCTCATCAACCATCATTTTATGGTTACATTTCCCCTTTTTCTCACAGCCCTAAGAATCTTCCTATGCTTTCTGTAGCATCTCTACCTCTGAGAATGAATTTCTACCCATACTTTATTACATAGCAAAATATGTCATTGGAACCCTTCTTTTTCATTACTAGATGTGTCACTGTTGGATCAGGCTGTCCTTACACGAAGGGTGGACCTAAATTGTCCTGTTCAGAGTTCTACATAGAACCAGCAGAAAGTGTCTTCCCCATCAAGGTCAGAGCAAAAACATGCTAAGAGACATTCACAAAGATCATGAATGTGACCCAAAAGTCCCTGGCCCCAGCCTGTAACTAAGATACAAGATCAAGCCAACTGACAAAGGAACAAGCCACTTCAGCTTCATTGCTAGAAACTAGCTCTCTTCAAAGTATCCACCAGCTAGCTAGCTCTGTGTTTCCCAAATATTGTCTCTTAAATGTGCTCAGGCGCACAACTTGGTATTTGGTTTCTTAGTTTTCCTACCATGCTGCAGCCTGAGTGATAAGGGCCTCAAGACTGACCTGCCTCTGAGCACCAGTGAGTCTCCCCTACCACCATTATGGCCTCAGAAGAGGAGACCCATTTCCTCCTCATCTCTACCTAATTCCTCAAGTGTGGGCACAATGAGAGGGAGGAAAAACCCAGCAAATTTTGATATCTTCCATTAGAAGTGGCAACTAGAGATCACAGAGGTCTAATCTCAGGAATGTAGCCTGTTTCCCTAGCAAAGGTCAGCTCACTTCTCCCCTCAAGAATAATCCAAAAATTTCCACAACTTAGATTCCCAGACAAAATGTCAAGTTCAAAAAATAAAACAGAGATTTCCCTTTCTCCCCAGCCTTAAGCCCACCTCCCAGGTCCTCATTTTCTGCCATGAAACTGATTCTTTGCTGGATGATGCACTCTCTTCAAGGCATCACTGCTCTTACACCGTAGCCCCCAAAAGACATCAGAGCCATCGTTGTCCACCATCAGCACGCTTCCCATGATCCACACACTCCACTCTTAACATCACCATGTCAGTGCTACCTACACTAAGCTGTGCTACACCAAGGCTCCCCCAGGGGGACTCCCCCAACAAAAAGTTAAAATGTCAGCCCTAAGTATATTTTCTGCAGTTTTGGAGGACTCCATTGCAACTATCCTGAAGGAAAATTCTTTGACATGACACACACACATACATACACAATACCTCTACAAGAACAAGAAAAAATAAATAAGCACTATGCTTCTAAATTCAAATAGAAGGAAATAAAATTTCCAAAGAAGTATCTTCTAACATGTAGTCTCTGTAGGACTTATTAAAATACTGATTTTTGGACACCATGCAAGACCTGATTGTATAAGAATCTCTGGTGGCAGGGCCCAGGCAATCAATATTTTAAACAAAACGTCCATTAACTCTTCTGTATACTAAGGTTTGAGAACTACTACTCTGAGGGCAGCCCCATCTATAACATTTGCAGTGTCTGGGCAAGAGGGCCCTGACCCACCCCTCTTCTTCCATCCAGCTCCCATACCTCAAGGGGCCTCACCTGTAGTCACCCCTCAATTTGCTCGTTTAGGCTCTGTCCATATATCCCTAGGCCTAGGGATATTATCAAGAAACCAGACTCAGTAAAGAGGCCTGCAGAGATCCTTGGAGCAGGCTCAGGGATGTTTGGGCAGGAAATTAAAGGGTCCTTGACACCCAAAACATGGTCAAGAAATTGGAAAGCAGGCTCCAGTAAGCATGCCCCCATCGCCCCGCAGACTTCTCACCCTATGGGGAAAGATAGGCTGGAAGGTCAGTATGCAGGCCTAAGTCCCATTTCTAAGGGAATTGTCAGTGATGGAGACATGGGTTTCTAAACAGAGCTGCTCTGTTGGATGCATCTGTTCCTGAGTTACCCCCCTTCATTACGTTTTTTTCCTATGAACAATGAGAAAGAATTTAATTTGCTTTATAGTGGAGGTTTCTCCAAAATAAAAGAGCTATCTGTCCCGGAGGTAAGTTTAAGTCTCAACCCTTAAAACAAAAACAGAAACAACTACAACTAAAAAATGACAATTTTTTACAGCTACCATACTGTCAGGGTTTCCCCAAAACACTGAGGTTTTGACAAGAGCACCCCATTACCCCACAGCACCCCATAACCTGAACTTAAAACATTCTAAAGTCAAATGAGATTTAAGAGGTTGAAATGCATGATGGATAGTCTCTGTCTTTGATGACATGAAAACTTGATACTGTTGATACCCAGGAACAGATATTGGGCTCTACAATGAAGGACAACGGAAAGTCTTGAAATAGCGAATTATTTTCTTTTTTTTTTTTTTGAGACGGAGTCTCGCTCTCGCCCAGGCTGGAGTGCAGTGGCGCGATCTCGGCTCACTGCAAGCTCCGCCTTCTGGGTTCACGCCATTCTCCTGCCTCAGCCTCCCGAGTAGCTGGGACTACAGGCACCCGCTACCATGCCCGGCTAATTTTTTTGTGTTTTTAGTAGAGACAGGGTTTCACCATGTTAGCCAGGATGGTCTCGATCTCCTGACCTCGTGATCCGCCCGCCTCGGCCTCCCAAAGTGCTGGGATTACAGGCGTGAGCTACCGCGCCCGGCCAAAATAGCGAATTATTTTCAACTCGTCATGAATACCCCCAAACTTTTCCCCATAAAAGTATACCTATTCCCAGAGTGAAGGCCCTAGCTCCTAGCCTCCTTGATACTACCACTGCCGAGGGCTCTGGGCATTTCCTCTTAGTGAATGGCACTGTGGTGGCCACACACAGGGTTGTCGACGTAGACCCTCTTCTCTGGGGATTGCTCCCTAGCCTTGGATGGTTTCCCAGAAGCCAAGTTTGTGTCATATAACCCTGCATCCCTGGCAACAGTTGCTTGGACTAGGGGCACCTGACTCCAACTGGGTCAGCTTGATTGTCTGCACTGGGAATTTGAAATTAGGAGAGAAAGAGAGAATGTTCCTCTATGTAGCTGAACCTAAACTATGCAAATTTGGGAGCTGTGGGCCAGCCATGAATTAATTGTTCCATGTGGGTTGGGAGCTAAGGAACCCTGCCCTCTCAGAAACAAGTGAAGCGGGTGTTTAAAGAAGTGAGAGAACATATTTCCTGTGTTCCTACAGCAGCTGCATTCCTGGCTTTGGGTTCTCTGGGTCACTCCTACGGTTTTACAGTAAACTCTTCCCGGGGGAAGGAGGGGTTAAGTTAACTGATCAGGGCTTTTGTTACCTGTAATTAAACTGATCTACCTAGAAGAGCACCATTAGTGACATGTTTACTTGCCTTGACTCCACTCTTTCCCTCAGACCCCATCCACAGAGCCAGGTCTAATCCATTTTAACTCTTAATATCTCTTCATTTATCACCTCCTCTTTATTTCTACTGTCACAGCTTAGTTCAGGTGTACAACTTGAAGTCATCTAGACCTGAGTTCAAGCCCCAGCCTTACCACTCACTAATTGTATGACCTTGGACAAGTTACTGAACCTTCCTAAAATGGGGATCATCATAGTACTTGCCTCACAAGATTGTTGTGAGGGCTGAATAAAATAGTGCATATAACAAAATGTATGGCATATAGTGTTCAGTAAATGTCTATTATCATTATTATGGCATTATTGTTTTCATTTATAATATTATTAAAGAAGAAAGTTTAAGTTACTTATAGACCCCAGCTTAATTGCTAATAGACCCAATTGTATTTCTTTTAGGAATCTATGTTATTTTAATAACTGTGATAATGTGCATTAAGGACTTTTGGCCTTATTATAATATATCTAAAGTTATTCTAGTTTAATTCAGGTCTTTCAAAGGTAGGAAAATGTTAATATCTATAGTGTACCTAAAGTACCAGATACTCTAATAAGCATTTTACATAAATTTTCTTATTTAACTTACAAAAGATGATACTATCTCTATTTTAAAGATGGAGAAACTGAGGCTCACATACATTAGTTAACTTACCAAGAGACAGGAAAAGAGACAGGCCTGGAGTTCAAATCCAAGTCTTTCTTTTTTTGCTGTTGTTTTTTGTTTTTCGTTTCTGAGACAAGGCCTGGCTCTGTTGCCCAGGCTGGATTGCAGTGGCACGATCTTGGCTCACTGCAGCCTCCATCTCCTGGGGTCAAGTGATCCTCCCACCTCAGCCTTCCAAGTAGCTAGGACTACAGGAGCACACCACCACACCCGGCTAATTTTTGTATTTTTTATAGAGATGGGATTTATGCTATGTTGCCAAGGCTGGTCTCGAACTCCTGAGCCCAGGCCATCCACCTGCCACGGCCTCCCAAAGCACTGGGATTACAGGTGTGAGCCACTGCACCCAGCCACTCAGCCTTCAAATCCAAGTTTTTCCAACTCCAAAGTTTATATTCTTTCTACCATACTGCTTAGTCTCCTGATTCATGGATATATTTTTCTATTGGAGAGACAGCCAGAAAGATCCATGACAATTGTGGTACACAATCTTATAAACATGTAATTTTAATCTAGTGTGATAGCTGCCCAGAATCCATTTTTGCAGAGTTAATCATCTGAGCATGTCAAGTCCCCTGAAACTCTGCTATCCCTATCTTGAATCCCTTAACTCCACCTCGCACATTAACCTGAAATGATAGTAGTAACCCTTTAGTTGGCAATCTGGGTAGCTTAAATATAAGCACAAATTTGAATTGCTGATGTAACAGTTAGCAAAGAGCATGTCAGTATATCAAGTGCAGATGATAGATAGATAGATAGATAGATAGATAGATAGATAGATAGATAGATAGATAGATCAGACATTTAGCTTCACAAGGTTTTTGTAATGACTAATTAATGTGAATTTGAAATATATAAAGTTTTTCTTCTTGGGAAGGAAATGTGGAGTACTATAACCTTGTTCAGAAGTTTCTTTCTTTTGATAGGAACTCTGAACATGGGCATCTTTACAACTCCCTTTAGTGCTTGAGTGTTCACATTACCATCAGATAAACTCAAGAAAAAGAAAGTAAATCCAAAGGCGTTTTGATGCATGAAAAAAACTTAAGTAAGAGAATTCGAAAAGCATTTCTTTACGTTTATTATTTAAACAATTTTTTTTTTTTTTGAGACAAGGTCTCACTCTGTTGCCCAGGCTGGAGTGCACTGGTGTGATCTTAGCTCACTGCAACCTGCGCCTCCGAGGTTCAAGTGATTCTCCTGCCTCAGCCTCCCGACTAGCTGGGACTACAGGTGCACGCCACCATGCCTGGCTAATTTTTGTATTTTTAGTAGGGACAGGGTTTCACCATGTTGGCCAGGCTGGTCTCGAACTCCTGACCTCAGGTGATCTGCCTACTTCTGCCTCCCAAAGTGCTGGGATTACAGGCATGAGCCACCACGCCTGGCCTTATTTCAATGATCTTTTTATGTTCTGAGATTTATAAAAATGAGTTGCACTGTAAAAAAAAATTATTATTTTAAATACAAATTCAGGTGACAATAAAATTAAAATATTGAAAAACCTGTGCTGGATATTTAAAGACAAGGAGCAGAAATATACTTTTTTTTTTAGACGGAGTCTCACTCTGTCACCCAGGCTGGAGTGCAGTGGCACGATCCTGGCCCACTGCAACCTTCGCCTCTCAGGCTCAAGTGATTCTCCTGTCTCAGCCTCCCGAGTAGCTGGGACTACAGGCACATGCCACCACGCCCGGCTAATTTTTTGTATTTGTAGTAGAGATGGGGTTTCACTGTGTTAGCCAGAGAAATATACTTCTCATTCTTTAAAAACTTGACTAGTAGGTAAGTCACTTGGCTTAAGGTAAAGAGAGTATAATTTCTTATACACATTGTTTTATGCTGAGTCCTGAGAAATGCCTGTAAAACACAGACTATCATTTATTTCTTCTCTAAACAACAACAAAAATATTTGAGAGTGCAGTTTTATTAAGTATTAAAATAAAGACTCAAGGATATTTTGAAACAGGAAAATATTTTAATGGAGCATGTTGATTATATTGATACTACTGTTATTTTCTAATCACATTTCCTTCATTCGTATGCTTTTTCAATGTACATTTTCTGCTAAAATAGAGGGTCAAGAGAGAATCACGCTTCTGTTTCCTGCTGATAGTGTGAACCCAAAATAGCAGCCAATGAAAGCAAACATCTGTGAAGGCTTAGTCAGAACAGTCACTCACTAGTCATACCTCCTAACTAATGTTTTACTCCCAGAAAGAATTTTACCTGCTTCTTCAGTGTCTTAACCAACATCCTCTAACAATCAAAGCAATCTTCTAGGAAAACAATGTATACAGCAACATGCCTTTCCCCAATAAATCAAAGCAGGAGATAGATAATGCATACCAGCAAAGGATATGAGAATTCACCAGTATAGGCATCAATCAATGAAAATGGGATACAGAAATCAAATTTCAAATTCAAAGCATTTTAAAGTAATATTTTAATACAAGGCTATGCTGTCGTTCAGTACTATTACCTGTATTGATACAACTGGTGTGTTTCACTAGGTAAATGTCAATGGTAAATGTAACATGTTAATATTTAAATTCATCAACAATCCCACTGAGCAAAAAGTTTCTTTCCCAGTTTTAAGGATGTTAATATAAGGATTGAGTACAAAAGGAATGGCAGAAATTCTTCCTTGTAGATTACCCTTTCAGGAGAAAATACCTTGGGAAATCTAACCTATGAATGGTGTTGGATTTCCTAACATAGATTCCTAGTGGAGTGAAAAAGTGTCTTCATAAAATACCTTTGGCTGATCACCCTGTAACAGTGAGAGAAAATACAGACTGTACCATCACAGCTCCCAGCAATATCACTGTGTCCATGCAATTTATTTATTCATCCAGCATATATTTATTGAACAAATGCTTTATTGATTATTAAGAAAAAATGTGGAAATTATCTTTGCCAATTCTTTTTTTTTTTTTTTGAGACAAAGCCTCACTCTCGTTGCCCAGGCTGGAGTGCAGTGGCACGATCGGCTCACTGCAACCTCTGCTTCCAGGGTTCAAGCGATTCTCCTGCCTCAGCCTCCCAAGTAGCTGGGATTACAGGCACCCACCACCATGCCTGGCTAATTTTTGTATTTTTAGTAGAGACGGGGTTTCACCATGTTGGCCAGGTTCGTCTCAAACTCCCGACCTCAGGGGATCCGCCTGCCTCAGCCTCCCAAAGTGCTAGGATTACAGGTGTGAGCCACCATGCCCAGTCACCAATTCTTGATAAATCACAGCTGGATCTGACTTCTTTCTTGCACTTCTAGCCAAAATATTAATACTGTTGCAAACATCTATTATACTTGAGCATCTATCTTATCTTGAACCTGAAATTATACGTTAGGATTTCATCATCCACTGAATAATTAAGGTCACCAGAAGTCAGATAATGAACATGCTTTGCTCCTGGGCCTTGTTTTGATGCATTTTGCATGGAAAGTGCTCTCAAGGTCAATTTCTTGCAGAATGTCTGCCTCATATCCTTGAATCTGCAAAGAATCTTGCTAGAAATGTGGATGTAACATTTTTGGCTTGATATGATATATCTCAACCCCTGGTCTGTAGAATGGTGTGTTTTCTATGTTATATTGACCCACTTCAAAGAACTCCATTTTTCAGATTGAACTTTATATTTGAATATGCTATTGCAATTAAGAGACGTCAAAGAGGAAATTGGCTGTCACAAGAGGGTACTGTGGTAGGTTGAAAAATGGCCACCCAAAGATATGTCCATGTCCTAATCTCCAGAAACCGTGAATTTTACCTTGAGATGAGGAGATTATCCTGGATTATCCAAGTGGAACCTAAATGCCACCACAAGAGTCCTCATAAGAGAAACACAGAGGAAGATTTGGCACAGACTCACAGATGAAGACAAAGATTGAAGTGATGGGGCCACAGCCAAGAAAGTCAAGGAATGCCAATAGCCTCCAAAATCTGAAAGAGACAAGTAAGGATTCTCTGAGACACACACAGAGAGAGAGAGAGATACTGATTGATTGATTGATTGATTGATTGATTGATTTTAAGGAACTGGCTCATGTAATTGTGGGAGCTGGCAAATCTTAAATCTGCAGGATAGGCCAGCAGGCTGGAGACCCAGGGAGAAGTCAGTGTTGCAGTCTTAAGTCCAAAGCAGTCTGGAGGCAGAATTTCTTCTACCTGGCTGGGTACAGTGGGTCACGCCTGTAATCCCAGCCCTTTGGGGGCACCGAGGCGGGCGGATCACCTGAGGTCAGGAGTTTGAGACCAGCCTGAGCAACATGGAGAAATCCCGTCTCTACTAAAAATACAAGAATTACCTGGGTGTGGTGGTGCATGCCTGTAATCCCAGCTACTCAGGAGGCTGAGGCACAAGAATTGCTTGAACCTGGGAGGCGGAGGTTGCAGCGAGCTGAGATCGTGGCATTGCACTCCAGTCTGGGCAATAAGAGTGAAACTGTCTCAAAAAAAAAAAAAAAAAAAAAAAAAGAATTTCTTCTATCTGAGTGGAATTCAGTCTTTTCTCTTAAGGCCTTCAACTGATTAGATGATGCTCATGCATATTATGGAAGGTAATATGCTTTACTCAAAGTCTACAGATTTAAATGTTAATCATATCTAAATAATACACACCTTCACAGTAACATCTAAACTGGTATTTGATCAAATAACTACATACTGTAGCCTAGCCAGATTGGCACATAAAATTAACCATCACACTGTCTTGTCTATTCATGATAGGACTCCTATCAACAGAAAGAGAGTGCAAAGAGTAGACTCCAGCTCTTCAGAGAAGGAAGCAGAATTAAGGACACAGAGAAACCAAGCCTGGGAATTGTCAAAGATTATGGAGAGAAATGGGGACTGCTCAGGATTGAGCCCTGGAAATATCTACAATATTTAAAGTGGGGTCAGGGCTTAGAGAAAAGGGTTTTTCATAAGCTTCAACCTCAAATGTAGTTGCAACCTACTGATCTCTCTATATTTGACATTAAGATGCAGGTGGCTGTCCAGTGGGATTGCCAACAGCTGGAACCATAATTTCAACCAGCTGAGTGACAGATAGCCGATGTATATCCAGCAGCACAACTTCTGAGCCGTGACATCAATAAGCACAGGGAGACAGGATCAATAAAAATTCCAAAACCAAGATGACTGGAGTGAATTCCAAATAAAAAGGTGATATCTAAGGAATTAAAACCACGCAGAGGGAAAGGCAAAATCAGAGTTGTATCTTTAAGATTTTGTTGACTTGGAGGTGAGGTGGGTAGTGAATAAACATGCCTTGACTTGTCTAAAGTATTATTTGTTCTTCTGGACAGGGTGAGAATTGGGACCTTTTGCAAGTTTCTTGCAGGAAATAAAAAGCATACAGCAAAAGTCTACAACTTTCATGATAGACTTTGTGGACAAGTAGAGTTGCTTTAGTACCCAGGTAAGAAAGGACACAGGCCCAGGTCTCAGGAGCAGATGTTGGTGATAACAGATCAGCCTTAGCAACAGACAGTGTCACCAATAGAAATTTCAGATATTTTCATATCACATTGTAGTGTTGCAGAATCTTAAAATATTTTATTGCTGGCCGGGCGTGGTGTCTTATGCCTGTAATCCCAGGACTTTGGGAGGCGGAGGCAGGCGGATCACCTGAGGTCAGGAGTTCCAGACCAGCCTGGCCAACATGGTGAAACCCTGTCTCTACTAAAAAATACAAAAATTAGCTGGGCATGGTGGCACATGCCTGTAGTCCCAGCTACTTGGGAAGCTGAGGCAGGAGAATCTCTTGAACCCAGGAGGTGGAGGTTGTAGTGAGCCGAGATCGCACCACTGCACTCCGGCCTGGACAACAGAGTGAGACTCAGTCTCAAAAAAAAAAAAAAAAAATTTATTGCCTTCTTCAGTACTTCAAAATTATAGTAGTTTTTGAACACGATATTACATTATTTTATTTATGATTTGATTAAGACATCCATTTTTATAACTATTTCCTCAACATATTTGATTTTCTTTGTAATCTTATATATTTTATTTTATGCATTAAAAACATTATTATTAGGGTCAGGCATAGTAGCTCATGCCTGTAATCCCAACACTTCGGGAGGCTGAGGCAGGAGGTTTGCTTGAGCCCAGGAGTTTGAGACCAGCCTGGGCAACATGGGAAGACCCCATCTCTATAAAACAAATAAAAATATTATTCTGAGAAGACTCCATAGGCTTCATTAGACTGTCAAAGGGGTCCAGACAGAAAAAAATATTAAGAACTCAGATAAAACAATCTATTATTCTGTCCTATTAATATCCATTCATTTAACAAATGCTTATTAGAACTTACTTTGTTATGTGCATAAACCTCTAACTCAGAAAGTGTTTTGGAGGAATTTAGGGGAAGAGATTTAAAACGGAAACATAAAACATAGTAAAGCATAAATATAAACCACGACAGAAATGCTACAAAAATAATGACACAACAAAAGCTGTAAATTTAGGGACAAATCCATTTGAAGGATTTCTTAGCACTATGTAATTTCTTACTGTTAAGCTTCTGATTACTATATAATCAGGCTGACAAATGACTAATGCTGGGCAGGCTCAAACAAGTGAATTCGAGTTTTGTTTGGGACTCTGTCTCCCCTTCTTTGTGTAGAGTCTTATGGAATTTTAATGGTCCTACCTCCCTTTGGGCCATCTCCCCTCTGGATGACTGACAAAAGCTTTATAATTTTTCTCATCTAGACTACAGACACTGGATGGAGTAATTACCTAGAAGCTTAGAGCACATTTATTTCATCTATCATTCATTTTTTTAAAATTATATTCACAACTGGAGAGAACACATAGATTTTACAAAATGCCTAACATTTTGCTAATACAAAACTTGGAAAAAAAGAGAAGATAGGAAAAAATTAAAATCTGCCAAAATTCATAGAACTCACTTTTATGAGTTGATCATTGATTATTTAAGGGAAATAGAATCATAATTATACTGGGCAGTAAATGTTGGCATTGATGAGTTTGGTTAAAAGGATCATTACATCAAAATTTGAATCTTAAAGTAGAAACCAAATGAATGAATGACAAGACTGCCAATGAAGGCTAGATGTTGATGGAAAAGAGCTAATGGCACAAATCACCAATCCCTGCAATGTGAAAAAGCCTGGAGCCAGGAGACATGGAAGTCCAGGGAGAAAAACGAGCAAGCCGTCCCAATAGGCAGTGGAGGAGGTTGGAATATGTTTCTTCCTCTTTCAGCCCACGCAGACACAAATGGGCAGAAAACACTGATGTTGGTGAGGTTACGTTTCCCTGATTCTAATGCTGACTTCAGCCATCCTACCTAAAAACTTTAGAGTAGTATATTAGAAACAATAAAATGGAATGTTTGCATTTGGGGGCATTCAAAAGGAAGTCTAAGAATAATCTTTATTCTTCTCAACCGCCCCAGCCTCCATACACATACACACACACAATATCCCCGCTGATTAGAAGCCATTCACTTGATAGTTACATTTACAGAGATAATTTCATTCTGATTATAATTTCTCTTTCTTTTAAAAACTAGGTCAGGAACATGTTCTTCCATACTTTTATACTCAATAGTTGGTTTTTGTTTTGTTTTGTTTTCCATTTTAACGTAAAAACATTTGTAATGGCAGTCTTTCTACCTTTTAGAGAGATTTTTTTTCACCAAAATACATGAAACAAAAAAGTATTTGGACTTAAACATGGCATTAAACTCCCAGATGCTGAAATTGGTTATTAGCAAATCTACTACTGTTGTCATCAAGATCTTAGAAGGAGGTAGGTGTTAAAAAAAAAAATTCTGAATCCTCCTTTATAGCTAAATAATGTAGTGGATGCTGTAACCCATAGTTTATCTCTTCTGAAACCTTCCCCAGCAACTCAGCAAAGGAAATTAAAATCCTAATTAAACTCTTTTTGTTAGATGTAGCAATGAAGACAGTGCTTTCACCCTCACCAGAATAATATTGTGTTAAAATGATTAGAACACAACAAATGCTACCCTGTCTCAGACCAAGGCTCTAAATAATCATTTCTTACAATGACACTGACAATACCCTGTGATTTGCTGTGTCAAACTCCAGAGACTTATGTTGGACTCTGAACACCCTTCATGTTTTATTATGAGTATGTCATCTCTTAACTTATCTACAGAGTCATTAAAAACATACCTATTGTTTTGTCTACCCAGCAACTATTTTCCAGAAATTGCCTCACCCCATTGCCCAATCTGGAGAGTGGCAGCAGGATTTGCAATATTCCCATAATGTGACCCTGCCCCAAGTCATGCTTAATTGGTCTGAAGGTGGGCATCTAAACTTAATTAAATCTATTGGTCCCTTCCTCAGGAATGTAAAACTGGAATGAGAAACGATCATCTCTCTCTAGGTGACCAGTCTATAAATGCCAACTTCAGAACTGTTTCTGCTACGTGTGGACTGCAAACAAGAAAGCTGATCTGCATTGAGAAAGTAAAGCAGATGTGGGGAGAGGGGCAGAGAGAAGGGTCAAAAGGAGAAGAATTTGGGGGTTTTCTTTTGTGCTCCACTTCGGGTGGTTCTATGCCTGAAGTTCTTGTGTCTCTTGGATTCTATTAATTACTTCAGTAATTCTCCAATAAATCCACCCTTTTTATTTGTAAGCTAGTTTGAGTTGGGCTTTGATTCCTCACACCAAAATAATAAAAACCCTAACTAATATTCATGTATTCAATAAATTTTTATTTATTTAATATTTAACATATAAATTATTTCTATTTTAACATGTTGTATCTCTTGAAAACACAAGTTTCATAAGCTTTTAACTCATTTCATCTAAAGAACATATCTTTCAAGTGTCAAAAAATGCCTTCTAATCTGAGATTTGATGTTAATTTTGTGTTCCCCATATGTTTAATTATTGAAGAACCTTGTTCATATCCTCCCAAGCCTTAGTCTATTTAGTTCAGTTCAGTTCACGCATTTTTGATCATCTACTTTGTGCCAGACAATGATGTGGTGATGTAAACTCAAAGATGAAAGAAGAGATTTCACAATCTAGTGGAAGAAAAATATTTGTAAATGAATAATTAAGATGTAATGTGCCAAGAAGTAACACAGAGGTGCAGTCACGTATTAACAAGGGAGTTTTTAACATTCTGGCTAGCAACAGACACCTATTTTTTCCCCAACACTCATCCTCCAATTTTTCTAGAAATTTCTCTTTTATCTTCCCCATCTTTACCATAGTATTCCTTTTCTTCACCCAAGAGAGATGAATGTCATGTGATCTATTCTGTCTCTGCTCTGGCTACAAAGACTAGGAAACGAATGCAAGCTGTGCAAATTAGAGTGCCTTGATATCTAGCCCCCAAAATTAACCCCAAAGATTCTCACCTCCTGTTATTCATACACTTATGTAGTCTCTTCCTACACTGAATGGGTCTGCCCTATGTAACTATCAGGATATTAAGGAAAAACAGAGTATGACTTCAATGTCTAAGTCATAGAAGATGCTATAGTTTCCACCTTGCTCCTTTGGGTCATTCACTCTAGGGAAAGCCAGATGCCATGTCACGAGAGTCCTCAAGCAACCATATGGAAGTGTCACATGGCATGGAACTGAGGTCTCTTGGAAACAACCTTCATTAACTTACCAGAATTGTGAGTGAGTATAGTTGGAAATGGATCCTCCAGCCTAGTTAATCCTTTAGATGACTGCAGCTCCAGCTGACATCTGAACTGCAACTTCATTTGAGACACCCCCTTCAAGACAGAACCATCCAGCTAAGCTGTTCCTAAATTCATTTTGCACAAAAACTGTGTAATATAACAAATGTTTATTGTTGTTTAAAGCTGCTAAGTTTGGGCATAATTTATTACACAAGAACAGGTAATTAATATCATAGCCCTTTGGAACTAATTTTTCCAAGAATGGGCAAATAACCTGTTAGGGCAATGAGTAATTTCCCCCAAATTTTTTGATGGGCTATCACAGAGAACATAAAGATAGTTTCTTTGATAGCTACACATATAAGATGTCAAACTTCGATGCTTCCTGTGACCATGTTTCCACCAGGTGGAGAAAGCCAGTCTAAAGTGAAAGAGAATGAAGTTGACACAGAGAGAAACAGAATGGCAGAGAGAAAGCCATTAGGGTGTTGGGGTCCTTCATTCTAACTATTCCTGAGACTCTGCTGGATCTTGCTTTTTCTTTGGGTATTTGACCCTTCTTCAGAGTCCTCCATCCAGATGCCATTGCCTCAAGGCCTTTGTATGTCCTGGTCATCTCTCCTTTTTTTCTCTTGGCCCAATCCTTCACTTTAGTTGGTGTGCAAATGTCATCTCACTGGCTGCACACAGTGGTTCACACCTGTAATCCCAGCACTTTCAGAGGCTGAGGCAGGAAGATCACTTAAGCCCTAGAAGTCTAGGCAGTAATGAGCTGTGACCATGCCACTGAACTCCAGCCTACGTGACAGAGACTCTGTCTCAAAAAAGAAAAAAAAAAAGTCATATCACCAATGAGATCTGACCACCCTGCCTAAAATAGATTATCCAGTGTGTGGTAGTTTTGTAATGTGTCAACCTGCGTAGGTGGAACATTTCCTAGAATTCATTTTCTGGTATGCTTCTAGTTAGAGTGGGTCACAAGGAAGATTCTTGAGAAATTTGGAGGGTGGTAGGGAAACGGTGGCCATTTTGTAGCTCACACCTACATTATTGCTGATCTGCTGACTCACTTCATTGGTGTGAAGCAGTAGCAGGGCTTGTGCCTGCAGTTGCTCTAACTTCCCCTGGATTTTCCCTCAGCTCCTCCCACCCCCGCCAGGTCGCTGGGCTGAGGAGCCCTCACTTTTACAGGATATCCTCATCACAAAGGCCAGAGGCAATAAGAATAAACATGGGTTTCCATCTGTCCTTGTCCACTTGTCCTTTCACATATATGAAATTCTAATAAGATTTTGAAAGATAAATAGGTTTTCATCAGATGGAAGAGAATTGGGTGAGAAAAATGCATCAAGCTAAGAAACAAGCAGATTAAAAGACAAAGAAGTGTGAAATGATTCATGAGGAAACATGTTTTTCCTAGAACACAAATTGCAGAGGTAGTGGTAAGATGAAAAATTAAAGAGGTAATATAAACCAAATGCTGAAATGTGTTATATACCCTAAAAAGGAGTTTCAACTTAATCTTATGAGTAAACATTTACAAAAATTTTTTGTGCATAATAATTCCTTTCTAGAAATAAAAGTTAAAAATGCATCTCCAGAGACTCTGATTCATTAAATCTGTGATATGGCCTAGAAAACTGTATTTTTAATATGTCATCCAAATGATTCTGGTCAAAGGCAATCTAAGATCACACTTTGATAAACATCATAGAACAATGGGGAGCCCCTGGAGAGTTTTAAGCAGGAGTGTCACCTGATAAGATCTGAATTTCCAAAAGATAACTTTAGATGCAGTTTAACAAAATGGATTTCAGGAAGGTAAATCTGGATATAGAGAGATATATTAGGAGATTTTTTTTTGGTGTAATAATCCAAATGAGAAGTAATGGCAGCCTTAATTAAGGCAGTAGAAATAGCAAGAAGATTATGGAGAGAAGTAATATTTAGGAAGGGTGAAGGGAGGAGGAGAATCCAAGATGAATCCCCAAATTTTTATTTGAGTAATTAGATAAATTATAAAATAGAAAATGTAGACAGAAACACAGATTCTGAGGTTGGAATGTATTTTTTAAGTGATGAGTTCAGTATGATGGATTTTAAGTTCAATATGCCTGTATGCTATTTCAGGCAAGATGCATAGTAGACACACATACGTTACATATGGATTGTTACTCAGGAACATTTTTTCTCTACATTTGATATTTTCATGCTGTGAGACCTCTGTTAGAGCAACACTTCAGTTCTCCTTTTTCCTCCTCATTCACTACTTTCCACAGAGGACAGAGGCAACTGGTAGGTGAATTTGGAGGAAATGATCGAGGCATGTGTGGCTTGACCCATTTTTTCTCCTTCCTTTGAGATCTGCCTACTTGTAGATTCAGTTGTGAGTATGGGCACGTATGTGCAGAAAATAAAATATTGAAAGAGCCTGGAGGACAGGAGACAAACCAGAAGGTATAAGGCTGTGCAGGCAGCTGCCATCTAACAGAAGTGATATCCTTTCAGAGAGGGTGTCAGGAATGGAGGCTGGACAAGGTCCTTAGCAGAGGGAAGTAGGTGTGGGGGCAGGGTGACTCTGAGAAGTATCCAGAGGAAACCTAACTCACCATCTTGGCCAAATTCAACCACAGAGGACAGGACCGGACAGAGTCAGAGGGAGACCAGACCTATAAGGCAATCCCTGCCTTCCCTTCTAGTGAACTTCAACCTAGTGAACCAGAAAAGGGAGGGGAGGAAGAGTGAAAGAGCTGACTTTGAAGGTGCTTGGACCATGAGTCAAGCCTCAGATGGGGAAGTAGAGACGTGATTGGAGTCATAATCGAATTCTCCAGCTTTTTTGCTAACTACAGGGTAAGCAAGCTGTGGGATCTGCTTGACACATCATGGAGGAGCAAAAGAGAGCTGATATAGAACAGTTGAGGACAGAGATGGGGGAAAAATAAAATCTTAATGTTTATACCCCCTTCAGGTTCATTCTGTTTAATAAGTTGGTGATGGTCAGCTGGGCATTTTTCTGGGTTTGAAGGTCATGATATTTTCGAAGAGTTATATGATCCCGTAAAGGTAAAGAATGCCTTGTGAGAAGAAATGAGGAAAGAGGACCAAACCCAGGAGTGTATCAATATTAAAGGGTCAAGAGTGGGAAGAAGAGCCAGGAAGGAAGACTAACAAATCAGAAGAATCAAGCCAAGGGAGGGGTTCAAGAAGGAAGCAGTTCTACAGTGAGTTATGCTGCATAAATGCCACCTGATGATCCCAAGCTCCAGCAGCTGGTGGATACAAATCTGATCACATTAATCTCCAACTTCACAACCACCCATCTATACAATTGCTGTCACCCTTCTCCCTTAAAGTCTCCTTTTCTGGGAGCCCTTCAAGATAGCATTCTTTCTTTGGTGCCTTTTAATGCCCCCATTGGCCCAAAGCACAAAATCTTGAATGAGCTAAAAAGACTGCATTTAACTTATTCTTCCATGTGGTGAATCCACATTCTCTTTCTTACACAAATGGGGGAGTATGATAGCAGAGACTGCTAGTTGTACTTCAATATCCTTTTTGTTTGTTTGCTGGTCCCAAGCCAACAAGAATAAAGACTGTATAACCTAGCTTTCCTTGAAGTTAGGTATGGCAATGTGATTAGACTCTTGCAACAGACTGTGAGCAAAAGTAGCGCATACAACTACCAGGATAGTTCCTTTTCCTTCTTCCAGCTGGCTGGAATATGAATGCTGAAGTTACAGTAGCCATCTTAGACCACAGGTAAACTTGAAAATGAGGAGGCTGAACCTATTGACACTGATATGTACCTCCTAGCTCTCTCTTCAGTGAAGGCTGTCGGGAGTGATGTCAGTAGACATCCCACAGCTTTCTTTCCCTTTAGCTGCAGAGAGCCACCTTGCTCAAGGTCATACTCATTCCCAGGTGGCTTATACCTAACGCCAAATCAATGCTGGGATATAAAGTCCTGGCCATTTTGGCCTAATTCAAGACAACTCTGAGAGGCCTTTTCAGCTCCAGCGTCCCATGGGGTTGGCCATGGCGATCACAGGCCTGCATCATAGCTTCACTCTCTTCTGCCTGCCCCAGCTATTCCTCAAACCAGCCAGATAGCCTTAGTGTGGCTGCAGTTTCAGGTTGCAGTGCTCATTGTCCAGATAGTCAGGCAGACTGACTTCCTCACAACACTCTTGACGTCTTCATCCTCTTCTGTTGTTTTTTTTTCCCATAAACCTGCCATCCTCTAACATGCTGTATAATATAGTTAGTTGTTTATTGTGTTTTGATTTACTTTCTTTCTCCCCCATGTAAGGCCCATGAGGAGAGGAATCTTTGTTTTGTGCCCTGATATACCCCCAACACCTATAGTGATGCCTGGCACAGAGCAGGCATTCAATAAGTATTTGTTCTTATGGGGTTTTTTTGTTTGTTTTTTTGTGTGGTTTTGTTTTGTTTTGTTTTGTTTTTTCACGAAGCCTTGCTCTGTTCCCCAGACTGGAGTGCAGCAGCATGATCTTGGCTCACTGCAACTTCTACCTCTTGGGTTCAACTGATTCTTCTGCCTCAGCCTCCCAAGTAGCTGAGATTACAGGTGCGTGCCACCACACCCGGCTAATTTTTGTATCTTTTAGTAGAGACAGGGTTTCATCATGTTGGCCAGACTGCTCTCAAATTGCTGACCTCAGGTGATCCACCCGCCTAGGCCTCCCAAAGTGCTGGGATCACAGGCGTAAACCACCACACCCAGCCTCAATAAGTATTCGTTGAATGAATGAATAAGTGAATAATTCTCTGACGATAATTTTGCAAATATCCACTTATTAGGGCCCTCAATTTCAAAAAGTTGGAAAGAAATTTTCGGCAGCAGATTAACTGAGTATATACATTCTATATCATCCAATAACAAAAGATTGATCATGTACTTTTATGGAGTGCTGTAAATCTCTCCTTGTATAACCTAGGCTTATTAACATTTTCATATATATACCTCTAGATATTAGAGTTACCTTATTTCACATGAGATGTCTACTGAAAAGATTGATTTTCCCTAAAATATTAACAGGAAATTTAGAAAAAGCAACCCTGAAATTCTCAAGTGTGGTGATCCAGGACAGCTTCCTGGCTTACATTATAGGGTACAGTTACTTCTAACAGGAACTGTCTGTTCTCAAGTACAATTCATTGCAATTGAGTTGTTGGAAACTTTGTTTTGCTTCATATTACCTGCTTCTGAAAGAAGTCAGTATTTGTGAGGTTTCAGGAAGATTCATTTGAAGTCAGCATTCCAATAAAAACATGAACTAGATCAGCTGAGCACCCATTGAGTTGGACTGATGATTTATTTCTGTAGCTCTGAATTCTCAGGGGGCTTTCCTCTCCTGGGCAAGTTCTTTTTTTCACAATTTGTCTTAAGAGTTAGTAAAGGTTACATAAATGTCATTATGTCCTTCCAATTCAAGTGAATTAGAAAGGCAGTCATGATATGATTGAGTGTGATTAAAACCAAACTTTTTATATAAAACAAAGAAAATAGACTGGGCGTGGTGGCTCAAGCCTGTAATCCCAGCACTTTGGGATGCTGAGGCAGGTGGATCACGAGGTCAGGAGATCGAGACCATCCTGGCTAACACAGTAAAACCCCGTCTCTACTAAAAATACAAAAAAATTAGCTGGACGTGGTGGCGGGCACCTGTAGTTCCAGCTACTCGGGAGGCTGAGGCAGGAGAATGGCGTGAACCTGGAAGGCGGAGCTTGCAGTGAGCCAAGATTGCACCACTGCACCTCCAGCCTGGGTGACAGAATGAGACTCTGTCTCAAAAAAAAAAAAAAAAAAGAAAAGAATTCCAAAATATTTATGAGTAAAATAGATCATTGGACTGCCTAGGAATAACATCTTTATCATTTATTAACAAATTATTAATTACGAATATGGGGTGGTGAGAGTACAGATGTTATTGTACTACTCTTTTGACTTTTTTGATATGTTAATAACTTCAAGGAATAAAGGTACATAAACCATCACTAAAGTTCTTTTCTTACCCCTAGAGCAATGTTGCTTCCAATCAATCTACCCATCACTCTTTCATGCTCCAGAAAGCATGCAGGGATCAGAATGTAATTTTAAGGCCAGGTGCGGTGGCTCACACCTGTAATCCCAGCACTTTGGGAGACTGAGGCGGGAGGATCACTAGAGGCCAGGAGTTCGAAACCAGCCTGGCCAACATGGCGAAACCCCGTCTCTACTAAAAATACAAAAATTAGCCAGGTGTGGTGGCACATGCCTGTAATCCCAGTTACTTGAGAGGCTGAGGCACAAGAATCCCTTTAACCTAGAAGGCGGAGGTTGAAGTGAGCCGAGATCACGCCACTGCACTTTAGCCTGGGCAACAGAGTGAGACTCTGTCTCAAAAAAAAGTAATTTTAAAACATTAGATTTAAACCTCAGTTGGAATTTATCTTTGGGCAGCTTTTCTGTCCTTTCAAAATTTTGTTCTGCAACAAATAATAAAGATTAGTAAGAGAGAACGGGTGCGGTGGCTCACACCTATAATCCCAGCCCTTTGGGAGGCTGAGGTGGGCGGATCACGAGGTCAGGAGATGGAGATCATCCTAGCTAACACAGTTAAACCCCGTCTGTACTAAATATACAAAAAAAAAATTAGCTGGGCGTGGTGGCAGGCGCCTGTAGTCCCAGCTACTTGGGAGGCTGAGGCAGGAAAATGGCATGAACCCCGGAGGCAGAGCTTGCAGTGAGCAGAGATCATGCCATTGAACTCCAGGCTGGGCAACAGAGTAAGACTCTGTCTCAAAAAAAAAGATTAGTAAGAGAAAGATTACCTTTAAAAATGTATTAATGGGGTGGAGCCAAGATGGCCGAATAGGAACAGCTCCAGTCTACAGCTCCCAGAGTGACCGATGCAGAAGACGAATGATTTCTGCATTTCCAACTGAGGTACCGGGTTCATCTCAATGGGGATTGTCAGACAGTGGGTGCAGGACAGTGGGTGCAGCACACCAAGCGTGAGCCAAAGCAGGACGAGGCATTGCCTCACACGGGAAGCGCAAGGAGTCAGGGAATTCCCTTTCCTAGCCAAGAAAAGGGATGACAGATAGCACCTGGAAAATTGGGTCACTCCCACCCTAATACTGTGCTTTTCCAACGGTCTTAGCAAACGGCACACCAGGAGATTTTATCCCATGCCTGGCTCTGAGGGTCCTATGCCCACAGAGCCTCACTCATTGCTAGCACAGCAGTCTGAGATCAAACCGCAAGGTGGCAGCGAGGCTGTGGGAGGGGCGCCCGCCATTGCTGAGACTTGAATAGATAAACAAAGTGGCCAGGAAGCTCGAACCGGGTGGAGCCCACCGCAGCTCAAGGAGGCCTGCCTGCCTCTGCAGACTCCACCTCTGGGGGCAGCGCATAGTCAAACAAAAGGCAGCAGAAAACTCTGCAGACTTAAATGTCCCTGTCTGACAGCTTTGAAGAGAGTAGTGGTTCTCCCAGCATGCAGCTGGAGATCTGAGAACGGACAGACTGCCTCCTCAAGTGGGTCCCTGACCCCCGAGTAGCCTAACTGGGAGGCACCCCCCAGTAGGGCAGACTGACACCACACATGGCCAGGTACTTCTCTGAGACAAAACTTCCAGAGGAATGATCAGGCAGCAACATTTGCTGTTCACCAATATCCACTGTACTGCAGCCTCCGCTGCGGATACCCAGGCAAACATGGACTGGACTGGACCTCCAGCAAACTCCAACAGACCTGCAGCTGAGGGTCCTGACTGTTAGAAGGAAAACTAACAAACAGAAAGGACATCCACACCAAAAACCCATCTGTACGTCACCATCATCAAAGACCAAAGGTAGATAAAACCAAAAAGTTGGGGAAAAAACAGAGCAGAAAAACTGAAAAATTCTAAAAAGCAGAGCGCCTCTCCTCCTCCAAAGGAATGCAGGTCCTCACCAGCAACGGAACAAAGCTGGACGGAGAATGACTTTGACGAGTCGAGAGAAGAAGGCTTCAGATGATCAAACTACTCCGAGCTAAAGGAGGAAGTTCGAACCCATGGCAAAGAAGTTAAAAACCTTGAAAAAAGATTAGATGAATGGATAACTAGAATAACCAATGCAAAGAAGTCCTTAAAGGACCTGATGGAGCTGAAAACCATGGCACGAGAACTACATGATGAATGCACAAGCCTCAGTAGCCTATTCAATCATCTGGAAGACAGGGTATCAGTGATAGAAGATCAAATGAATGAAATGAAGTGAGAAGAGAAGATTAGAGAAAAAAGGCTAAAAAGAAACAGTTAAACCAAGCCTCCAAGAAATATGGGACTATGTGAAAAGACCAAATCAATGTCTGATTGGTGTACCTGAAAGTGATGGGGAGAATGGAACCAAGTTGGAAAACACTCTGCAGGATATTATCCAGAACTTCCCCAATCTAGCAAGGCAGGCCAACATTCAAATTCAGGAAGTACAGAGAATACCACAAACATACTCCTTGAGAAGAGCAACTCCAAGACACATAATTGTCAGATTCACCAAAGTTGAAATGAAGGAAAAAATGTTAAGGGCAGCCAGAGAGAAAGGTCAGGTTACCCACAAAGGGAAGCCCATCAGACTAACAGCTGATCTCTCAGCAGAAACTCTAGAAGCCAGAAGAGAGTGGGGGCCAATATTCAACATTCTTAAAGCAGAGAATTTTCAACCCAGAATTTCATATCCAGCCAAACTAAGCTTCATAAGTGAAGGAGAAATAAAATCCTTTATAGACAAGCAAATGCTGAGAGATTTTGTCACCACCAGGCCTGCCCTAAAAGAGCTCCTGAAGGAAGCACTAAACATGGAAAGGAACAACCGGTACCAGCCACTGCAAAAACATGCCAAATTGTAAAGACCATTGAGGCTAGGAAGAAACTGCATCAACTAACGAGCAAAATAACCAGCTAACATCATAATGACAGGATCGAATTCACACATAACAATATTAACCTTAAATGTAAATGGGCTAAATGCTCCAATTAAAAGACACAGACTGGCTAATTGGATAAACAGTCAAGACCCATCAGTGTGCTGTATTCAGGAAACCCATCTCACGTGCAGAGACATACATAGGCTCAAACTAAAGGGATGGAGGAAGATCTACCAAGCAAATGGAAAACAAAAAAAGGCAAGGGTTGCAACCCTAATCTCTGATAAAACAGACTATAAACCAACAAAGATCAAAAGAGACAAAGAAGGCCATTACATATTGGTAAAGGGATCAATTCGACAAGAAGAGCTAAACCAACAAAGATCAAAAGAGACAAAGAAGGCCATTACATAATGGTAAAGGGATCAATTCAACAAGAAGAGCTAACTATCCTAAATATATAGGCACCCAATACAGGAGCATCCAGATTCATAAAGCAAGCCCTTAGAGACCTACAAAGAGACTTAGACTCCCACACAATAATAATGGGAGACTTTAACACCCCACTGTCAGCATCAGACAGATCAACGAGACAGAAAGTTAACAAGGATATCCAGGAATTGAACTCAGCTCTGCACCACGTGGACCTAATAGACATCTACAGAACTCCCCACCCCAAATCAACAGAATATACATTTTTTTCAGCACCACACCACACCTATTCCAAAATTGACCATATTGTTGGAAGTAAAGCACTCCTCAGCAAATGTAAAAGAACAGAAATTATAACAAACTGTCTCTCAGACCACAGTGCAATCAAACTAGAACTCAGGACTAAGAGACTCACTCAAAACCGCTCAACTACATGGAAACTGAACAACCTGCTCCTGAATGACTACTGGGTACATGACAAAACGAAGGCAGAAATAAAGATGTTCTTTGAAACCAACGAGAACAAAGACACAATGTACCAGAATCTCTGGGACACATTCAAAGCAGTGTGTAGAGGGAAATTTATAGCACTAAATGCCCACAAGAGAAAGCAGGAAAGATCTAAAATTGACACCCTAACATCACAATTAAAAGAACTAGAGAAGCAAGAGCAAACACATTCAAAAGCTAGCAGAAGGCAAGAAATAACTAAGATCAGAGCAGAACTGAAGGAGATACAGACACAAAAAAACCCTTCAAAAAATCAATGAATCCAGGAGGTGGTTTTTTGAAAAGATTAACAAAATTGATAGACCGCTAGCAAGACTAATAAAGAATAAAAGAGAGAAGAATCAAATAGACACAATAAAAAATGATAAACGGGATATCACCACCAATCCCACAGAAATACAATCTACCATCAGAGAATACTATAAACACCTCTACGTAAATAAACTAGAAAATCTAGAAGAAATGGATAAATTCCTCGACACATACACGCTCCCAAGACAAAACCAGGAAGAAGTTGAATCTCTGAATAGACCAATAACAGGCTCTGAAATTGAGGCAATAATTAATAGCTTACCAACCAAAAAAAGTCCAGGACCAGATGGATTCACAGCCGAATTCTACCAGAGGTACAAGGAGGAGCTGTTACCATTCCTTCTGAAACTATTCCAATCAATAGAAAAAGAGGGAATCCTCCCTAACTCATTTTATGAGGCCAGCATCATCCTGATACCAAAGCCTGGCAGAGACACAACAAAAAAAGAGAATTTTACACCAATATCCCTGATGAACATCACTGCAAAAATGCTCAATGAAATATTGGCAAACCGAATCCAGCAGCACATCAAAAAGCTTATCCACCATGATCAAATGGGCTTCATCCCTGGGATGCAAGGCTGGTTCAACCTATGCAAATCAGTAAACATAATCCAGCATATAAACAGAATCAATGACAAAAACCACATGATTATCTCAATAGATGCAGAAAAGGTCTTTGACAAAATTCAACAAACTTCATGCTAAAAAATTAGTTTTTTTTTTTGAGACGGAGTCTCACTCTGTCGCCCAGGTGGTAGTGCAGTGGCATGATCTCGGCTCACTGCAAGCTCCCCCTACCGGGTTCACGCCATTCTCCTGCCTCAGCCTCCCAAGTAGCTGGGACTACAGGCGCCGGCCACCACGCTCGGCTAATTTTTTTTTGTATTTTTAGTACAGAGGGGGTTTCACCGTGTTAGCCAGGATGGTCTCGATCTGCTGACCTCGTGATCTGCCCGCCTCGGCCTCCCAAAGTGCTGGGATTACAGGCAAAATTTATTTATTTTTTGCTTCTTACTCATCCCATAGTTTACTGCAATTCAATGGGAAGAGGAGCAGTATGGTGGAGGCTTGGCTCCACACAGTCATTCAGGAATCCAGATTCTTTCCAGCTTTTGGCTCTACCCTTTTCTAGGAGTCTTGTCCTTCAGCTGATAGATGAAGAAAGAAAAGGAGAAAAGTGCACGGGAGGTTAGATAGCTTAAAAGGCCAGACATCAATTCTTCATTAGCCAGAACTCAGTCATCTGGCCACAGTAAATCAAGCTGATAAGCACTAGCAGTCTCTGCAACACATTTATAAAGCATTTGTGATTTTCAAATTTTCCATTATCCATGACCTGTGACACTCTAGTACCATTCTTCAATTTGTAACAACTAAAAAATCATCTTTATTAAAGATTCAAAAAGAGCTGTGGTCGCTCCACTTCAATAAAAGTCTCTGTAGGGTTTGGGGTTTTTGTTTTGTTTTACTTGTTGTTATTGTTGTTTTGTTTTGATTCAGTTTTATGTCTTTAAAAAATAAGGGCTTTAGGCTGGGCGTGGTGCTCACGCCTGTAATCCCAGCACATTTGGAGGCTGAGGCCGGTGAGTCACCTGAGGTCAGGAGTTTGAGACCAGCCTGACCAACATGGCGAAACCCCGTCTCTACTAAAAATACAAAAAATTAGCCGGGTGTGGTGGTGCATGCCTGTAATTCCAGCTACTTAGGAGACGGAGGCAGGAGAATCGCTTGAGCCCGGGAGGCAGAAGTTGCAGTGAGCTGAAATTGTGCCATTGCACTCCAGCCTAGGCAACAAGTGCAAAACTCCATCTCAAAAACAAAAGAGGGTGGGGGGGCTTTCACAAAAAACAGAATGCCAGGTGCAGTGGCACATGCCTGTAATCCCAGCCACTCGGGAGGCTGAGGTGGGAAGATAACTTGAACTCAGGAGTTCAAGACCAGTCTGGGCAACATAGTGAGACCCCATCTTAAAAACAAGAAAAAAAATTAATCAGTTAAAAAAGAAAACAGAACCACAATATCAGTATCATACATAATAAAACTAATTCCTTAATATATCTAATACTCCGTATGTGTACAAATTTCCCTGATTGTTCTTCAAAAGTATTTTCATTTAGTAGTTCTTTTATTTTCCAGACATTTTATTGGTAGCTATGTCATACATAGTTCCGGCAACTGGCCATGCCACTGCTCCATCTTCCCAAAACCTCTGCAGGATCCATTTACTTCTTTTTGAACTGATCTGACTGAATTTGTCATAACTACAGCCCTACAACTTCAAAACCATAAACTAAACCTTCATGGGTTTGCTGAGACCAGCTTGTGGTTTTTCTGTGTTTTCTTTTCTACACGTAGTCTTCATCCATTGTCTAAGCTACTACTCTTAACCATAGCACTGGCTAGCACTTCAAAGGCCACAAATGCCTCAAGGCTTGGGGCTACTCCTGCAACATTCTCTTCAGGTAATATGATTTAAAGGTAAATGCTTCTACACCCTCAGAAAAATGACTCCTTCAAGAATTCTGAAATCCTTATGTTCAATAATAAGGACATATATTTACTCAATGACTTCAAACAGCGTCTCATCTTCAAATTGTTGTTGGGATGTTAGAGAAAACAATGCGTTTATTTCAAAGTAAAAATTTAAATACCAAATTTTTTATGTCTTTAAATGTAGCAGAAATACTTCTCATTAAGAGGTTAGAAAATAAGCTGAAATCATTCCCCTAAGCTGCTTTATATCTTTAGCACCATCTCTCCTAGTACTCGCTTAAACAGTAAAATGAAGCTTCATAGGAGATTTCAGAAAATAGTCCTAGAAGCTGACTTGTAATATATCTGCTAACAAGACAATCTTAAATTCTTCTAAGGATTCTACTGCCCTACAGAAATTTGCACCTCAGTGATTTCAGCTTCTGCCATAAACTTTGCCAAAGCACAGACAAATTAAAATCCCAACCTAGGATCCATTTATTGTCCATAACACATGACATTGACAATATCCTGCAGAGCCGAAGGCAGTACTGACACCCATAAATGACTTGGCACTTGTATTAGTTGAGATTTTCAGTGGCAGGTAGCAGAAAATCTAGCTTAAACTAGCTGAAACATTGAAGTGAATGTATGGATTATGCTGCAGAAAAACTAAAAGATATATCTGATTCCAAATAGCTTTCATTCAGCCCAGGAACTCAAGAATTAGGACAGGTATGCAGTTTCTTTTGGCTCCACTCCTCCAGGGTCGACTCCCTTTCACCAGGCCCTCTTCTTGTGGTCACACGATGGCTGCCAACAACTGTGGAGCTACTTTTTTCCAGAGAACTGGGAGTTTGCTTCCCCAACTCAAATCAACCTGAGAATTGAGACTCTTTGCCTCTTATTGGTCTGGAGTGGGGGAATGTTTTCATCCATGAACCAATCATTGGCGGGAAGGATGGGGGAGAATGACCTACACTGATTGCCTAATCAGACTACACATGGAGGAAGGATCAGTCCTATCCAAACCATATGATTAAGAAATTCATAGTACTGCTAGGAAGAGGGAAGGGGTTATTGAGAAGGTAACGACAAATGTTCACTGTAATACTAAATCCAAAGTGGGCTGACTTGGGCTTTCTATCAGGGAAAAATACAAAGCAAAATACAGCTTCAAATAATTTGGTTTTTGCTTTGCATTCCATGAATTTGAACCCTGAAAGAGGCTTTAGGTAAACACAGTTTATTTAACTTTTGGTACTGGTAGGTAATTTCTTCTTACAAGTATTCAATGTGATTGTAAAATTTTCATGTTACCACCAGTTGGTATTAGTAAACCAGGATAATAATTTCCAACAAAATCTTGTCACCTGAAGTTGTATCTTTAATATATTTCCCTAAATTATCAGTTACCTATATACTCTTTGACTCCCATCTTGCTTGATTCTTGCTTCTCAAACTACATTTCATAGTAATGCCAATATAGACTACTTCCTATAAAATAAAATAATAATGTTCTCAATTTTTGAGTATCAGAAGACTACATATGTTATTCTCCTTTATCCTCTATGTTTCATATGTAATCAGTTTCCATTTTTGACATCTCATGTGTGTTGGCCCTTACTCTTGTTCCCTGCCATCCCACTAATTTAAACTTGAATAATTCCATGCCTGGATTTCTCATGAGTCTCCTCGCTGACCATCCTGATGCAAAACTCTCCTTCTTCCAATCTGTTTGGCAAAATACTTCTATACTAATATTCCTTAAATAATTATAGCAACTGGTTATCAAGGGCTTACTTTGTGCCAAGTGTTTTATAGCTCTTACCTCATTTTATTTGTTACAAAAATTCTATGACATAAGGTACCCCCATTTTATAGATGAGGAAATTAGACTCAGAAAAGTCAGGAATTTGCCCAAGGCTACAAACATCATAAGCAGCAAAACTGGTATTGGAAACCAGGTCAGTCACACGTCAAAGCCTGTGCTGCTTCCATCACATCACATGCTGCTCTATGACTTCATGTCATGTCTGTTCTCAAAGAAGTTCCCTACTGCTGCCCTTCCCAAGGGTAAACGTCTCAGCATGGCTTTCAAGGCCTGCCGTAATTGTATCCCACCTAAAGATTTTTCTAGTTACTTTCAATGTGTACATCTTTCGGCAGATATGTCTCTTCCATCTCCCTCCTGTAAACTGGCCCACATTCATTATCCTACACTTAGAAGAAAAAAAATCTCAATAATAATAATACATACTAACCTAAAGGTTAAGCAACAAAAGTAACTAAAGTAGAAAATGAAGTCTACTATATTTGGAGTGAACATGGAATGGGATGGAATAGAGATCATAAATGTCTAGTTGCATACGTTACTCTAGTTAAAAAAGACATGGTAATGTTTACATTTTAACTAGCTAGCATCAAAATGGCCACATCAAAGTGGCCACATAAAAATACTCTGTTTCTGGTTTTTCTTGCCTTGTTTGCTTTCTTTTCTGCTGTCTGCCTGTTTAAGTCCCAGTCATCTTTCAGGGCCTACCTGAAGTCACACCTCTTGAACCCTACTCCCTGGTCCCCTTTGTTTTCCCCCAAAACCTTAGCACCCACCAGAGGATACTCCCTTTTTAAACTGAACTTCTTCACTGCTCATAAATAAAACACAAAACCAAGAAAAGCATAAAACTTTAGCATCAGGAAATCTTTCCTGACTGCTCTAGTTCTCATTGACTTTCTACTGTCTACTTACAGCCTGTACCACAAAACTAGCATTTAATTACATACTATTTGTATTGTTTGTTCCATATGTGTTAGAGTAGGTAACAAGCTTGTGGGTGGAATTAGATTATGGGGAACCAGGCTAGGGAATGGATTTACAGGGTTGATGAGTACTCTACAAGGCAGGCATGGAAACAGCTAGCCCTGCGAAATTACACGGAGTTGAGTTGTGAATTTATAGCAGGGGTCTGGAGCAAGTCCTGAGCCAGGGCTTGCACACAAGTTTGAAGTCAGAACATGTCAGTATGTCCAAGATGAGAATTTGGCTTAAAATCTAGAAATCTACAGAAATGAGTGAGGGTATGGCAGGCCATGGATTCATAATAAAAAATGATGATATAGTATCCTTAGTTCAAATATTGTGTAAAATATAATTGATATGTAACATCAAAAACATTAAAATAACATCAGAACCACATTTTTAAAAATCACCCAATTTCACCAAAATTATACACATTTATCTTTTGGCTCAGCAATTCCACTTCTAGGAAATTATCCTAAAGAAATATTCATGCAACTGTACATAATGTTTACATTTAACATTGTTGATAAAAGCAAAAGATAAAATGGAAACAACCCAAATATCCATCTAAGTGTTTGTTTGCTTACATATTCCCCTATTATCCACACATACAGTAGAATAATAGCCAGATATTAAAACAGAGATAGATTTATGAACACTGGCATGAAAAGAGGTCCTAAATATATTTTAGGCTGGGTGCAGTGGCTCCCACCTTTAATCCCAACACTTTAGGAGGCTGAAGCAGGAGGTCACTTGAGACCAGGAGTTTGAAACTAGCCTGGGCAATATGGCGAAACTACATCTCTACAAAAAAATACAAAAATTAGCCAGGTGTGGTGGCACATACCTATAGTCCTAGCTACTTGGGAGGCTGAGAGGAGGGAGGATCGCTTGAGCCCCAGAGGCGGAGGCTGCAGTGACACATGATTGAGCCACTGCACTCCAGTCCAGGTGACAGAGTGAGATCCTGTCTCAAAAAAATATGTGTGTGTGTGTGTGTGTGTGTATATATATATATATATATATATATACTTTTTTTAAAAAGAAAGTTTCAGAACAGTATATACAGCATGATTTCTTTAAAATATCAGTCACACAGGTAAAATCATATATATAATAAAATTTATTTCATTTTATTTTATTTTATTTTTAGAGATAGGGTCTTGCTCTGTCAGGCGGGAGTGCAGTGGTGCAATCATAGCTGACTGTAGCCATGAATTCCTGGGTTCGAGCCATCTTCCTGCCTCAGCCTCCAGAGCAGCTGGAACTAGAGGCACGCACCACCTCGCTCAGCTAATTTTTTTTTTTTTTGCAGGAACAAGGTTTTTACTATGTTGCCCAGGCTTAAAATTTTTTGTAAAATATATTTTAAAAAAGAATTATCACCTGACCTGGAGTGAAAATCACCTGGAGTGAATGTTAAAAAAGTGCATATTCCTACACTTCAAACTAGATCTACTGAATCACAATCTCTGATGATAGGACCCAAGAGTCTGCATAACAATCATCTCATATGACTTTTATGCCCAATAAAGATTGAGAATTATTGGATTAATATGATACTTAACAGTGGCCACTTCCAGAAAATGGGACTTGGAGGGCAACGAGGGCTTTCCCTTTCATTTTACTTTATACACTTTTTGTTTTAAAATTTTATTTTTTATTTTTTGAGACAGGGTTTCACTCTATCACCCAGGCTGTAGTGTAATGGTGGGATCACAGCTCACTGCAGCCTCAAACTCCTGGGTTCAAAAAACTCTCCCGCCTCAGCCTCCAAAGGACTAGGATTACAGGCATGAGCCACCGTGCCAGCCTAAAATTTTTATAAACATTTATTACATATACACTAATCTATATCTACTAGAGATTTTTGAGGTTCAAATGATTGAAACATTAAATATTGATTGTCTGGGTCATATTAATGAGAAAATCTATTACCAATTGAGCTTATTCAGAAAGAGAAAAGATGAGCCAGGCACAGTGGCTCATGCCTCTAATCCCAGAACTTTGGGAGGCTGAGGTGGGCGGATCACTTGAGGTCGGGAGTTCAAGACCAGCTTGGCCAACATGGTAAAACCCCGTCGTCTACTAAAAATACAAAACTTAGCTGGGTGTGGTGGCACATGCCTGCAATCCCAGCTACTCAGATGGCTGAGGCGTGAGAATCTCGATTCTTGTGAATTGCTTAAACCTAGAAGGCAGAGGTTGCAGTGAGCCGAGATCATGCCACTGCACTCCAGCCTGGGCGACAGTGAGGCTCCATCTCAAAAAAAGAAAAAAAACAAACAAACAGAGAGAAAAGACTACCTAAGGCTATAAATTTGGCAACATATAACAAATTATTAAACTTTTCCTTCATTCATTCAACAAATATTTGCTGAGCAGCTGTGTTCCAGGTACCCTTCTATGTGCCAAAGATAGAGTGAAGAATTTTAGGCAAGATTTCTACCCTTGAGGAGGTTACTTTAGAGTTGGGGAGGAAAGACAGATTGAGAAAAGTGGGGGTAAGGTGAGGGACAAGGAAAGGCTTTTTCCAGGAGTGATTTTTGACTGAGACCTGGAAGATGAATCAGTCACATGAAAAGATGAGCAAGAGCAGCCATCCTGATCAGAGATCTTGACTGATTTAAGGGACAGAAAGGAGTTCTGCGAAAATGGAGCAGAGTGAGAGGAGAGCAGCACCAGACGAGGCTGCCGAGGAAGCCAGAGCTAGATCGCGTACAGTTTTGTAAAGAATTCAGATTTTATTCTGGGAAGCCAGCGATAGGTATTAAGAAAAAAATGATATTATCTCTTTTGCATGATCTAAGTGATCAGCAGCCTTTCACCTGGTATTTTCACTTAGCTGAATGTGAATACAAATGTCTGGTTTGAAACTCCTGAGCTCAACGGATCTTCCTATCTAGGCCTCCCAAAATGCTGGGATTACAGGCATGAGCCACAGCACCTGGCCTGGGTTATATTTTATAGGATGGTTTACTTTTATAAAACAAATTACAGGCCAGGCGCGTTGGCTCACGCCTGTAATCCCAGTGCTCTGGGGGGCTGAGGCGGGTGGATCATCTGGGGTCGGAAGTTTGAGACCAGCCTGACCAACATGGTGAAACCCCATCTCTACTAAAAATACAGAAATTAGCCGGGTGTAGTGGCAGGTGCCTGTAATCCCAGCTACTCGGGAGGCTGAGGCAGGAGAATTGCTTGAACCCGGGAGGCAGAGGTTGCAGTGAGCCGAGATTGCACCATTGCACTCCAGCCTGGGCGACAGAGTGAGATTTCATCTCAAAAAAAAAAAATTATAAATATCAAGGCACTATCACATTTTATTTCATTTGTCCTCACAAAAACTTTCTGTGATTGAGAGAATGTAAGTTATTATTCCAGGTTGATCAAAGAGGTAACTGAGATACTGAGCAGTTTAAGAAGTTAACTCATTGAACAAATGTCTGAGTGCAGACTATATAATCCTAATAAAAACAGTAGTTCTTAGTAGGGTATATATCTTAGTGATTAATTAGTAGTTACTAATTCAGGATCTTATTAGTAGTAGTTCTAGTTAGGATTATATATCTTGTTAATGTCTCAGCCAGAGTTAGAATATTTGATCCAGGATGTTGATGGAAACATAGCCACATTGCATGTATTTATGGCTGCTCTTTAGGAAGCCACTAGCATACAAAGCCCATAATGAAAGTCTTGGTAAATACATATGCTGATGTGTACCAAAAAAAGTAAGCCTTTTGGGTATGTCTTATAAAGGAAAGGTTTTGTGTTTGTTAAGTGTTATGTCATACATTTTTATGGAGCAAAACAATGTACATATTTTAAAAATACCTTTTATATGGATTAAAGGTTAAGATTAACCATATAAACCACAGAGTGTAAGGTATGTGTCAGCAACCACGATACAAAATAATATTTTATTGGCTGGACGTGTTGGCTCACGTAATCTCAACACTTTGGGAGGCTGAGGCGGGAGGATCATGAGGTCAGGAGATCGAGACCATCCTGGCTAACACGGTGAAACCTCGTCTCTATTTTAAAAATACAAAAAATTAGCTGGGCGTAGTGGCACACGCCTGTAGTCCCAACTACTTGGGAGGCTGAGGCAGGAGAATAACTTGAACCTGGGAGGTGGAGGTGGCAGTGAGCTGAGATCATGCCACTGCACTCTAGCCTAGGCACGACAGAGTTAGACTTCGTCTCTAATAATAATAATAATAATATTTTATGAAACAATGTTAACTTTGAGCTGTATAGCTTGATTTCTTTGCATTCTTTATAAAGTATAAATAAAATATAAATAGATGTTTTATACCTCAGTTGCAGAGACATCAGAAAATGAATTCTAGACAGGAGCTTGAAGAGTTCAGATAAAACTCCCAAAATTATAGAAAAAATAAAAACTAAACCCTGATTTGGTCAAATTTCACTTGAAACCGGGGTACTCAAGTGTGTCATTTCTGGAATGTAAAAGAAGTTATTTTCCACATTGTCTATCCAGTGTGGTTTTTTTTCCATAGAAATTATATGCACTTTAGAATGGATTCAATAGAATTGTTCTTTTGACAGGTATACCTTCAATATGTTCAAGCTACAGATGAAGCCAGTCTTTTAACAGTTTTTTAAGGACCTACATGATTACTTACATTAGATAGAAAACTCTAGGCACACATATATCCACATAAGCATTGATGTATATATCCAGTTTCCAATTTTAAAATTTTAAATTGTATATTTGTAGTTATTGTTACAGGGAGATTATCAATGACTAGGGAAGGCCGGGCGCAGTGGCTCATGCCTGTAATCTCAGCACTCTGGGTGGTGGAGGCGGGTGGATTACCTGAGGTCAGGAGTTTGAGACCAGCCTGGCCAACATGGTGAAACCCCGTCTCTACTAAAAATACAAAAATTAGCCAGGCGTGGTGGCGCGGGCCTGTAATCCCACCTACTCGGAAGGCTGAGGCGTGAGAATCGCTTGAACACAGGAGGCAGAGATTGCAGTGAGCGGAGATCGCGCCACTGCACTCCAGCCTGAGCGACAGAGCAAGACTCCCCCTCAAAAACAAACAAAACAAAACAACAACAACAAAAAACAATGACTAGGGAAAGTAGGCCATGAAAAGTGTTGTTTCCAACCTATCAATTGCCAGTACTACAAGCAGGAGTTAGACGTTTGGAGGTTTTCACACGGTGCTATAAATACAGTTTCCAGGGCCCCGGTACACGTGGCCTTCCTGCTCTGCCAGGATGGAGAGTCTTGCTTTCCACATTGCTGATGTGGTCAGACTAATTAAATTATTGCAAAAAGACACATTCCCTAGTCAACCTTATGTGTCTGCCTTCTTCCCTTGAGTCACAGTTGTTGGCTTTACAGGCCAAGGCAAGTAAGTCTTGAACCCTCAGCAGAAACAGGGCACCAGCATCGGATGCCTCATAACCTGAACAGTTAAGGACGCCCCACCACAGAGCTTCTTTCTGAGTGTGATAAACTATAAGGCAAGACTGTAAAGGGGTGGATCTTCATTTCGATTTAGGGTAGGTGACACCTCAAGGGTGTTTCTTCCCTTCCAGCGTAACTGGATGGGAAACCTACACCAAGTGTGCTTGGGAGGGCTGCTTGGGTCAGCTACCTGTAAGTGGAAATAGGGGGTGCCACCTTCCGATGAAAACCCGGATCCCGTACTGTCAACGGAGGGCCCTTGAATTCACATCCCTCAGCCCGCTAGAAAGCCCCTGAAACCACGTGGCCTTTAACCCATTCCGGCAACAGCGCCAATTCCCGGAAGCGAGAGGGCAAGAAAGCTCGGCGCGACGCTTCCCGCGTCTTCTAGGCCGCGCGCTGAAATCAAACGCGACGCCGGCTAGCTGTGGGCCGGGCCGAGCGCTCAACGCTCCAGCGGCTGGGTAAGCCGCGGCCGCCGCCCACCCCGCTGCAGAGCTGGGCGGGGCCGCCTGGAGGCAGCGGGGAGAGGCCAGCCGAAAAGGAAGAAGAGACGCCGGAGGCGCGCTCTGCGCAGGCGCGCGGCGCCCCGCCTCCCCAGCGTCGGCTCCCCGGCGGGCGGTGCGGGCCCTCCCACTCTACCCCGCGCCGTCTCACGGCCCCGGCCCTAGCTTCACCCCGACTACCCGGCGTGCGCGTCCTCCTGCCGGCCTGCAGGCCCGGGGCCTCCGCCTGCTTCCCCACAGCTGCTCCTTGCGGCCCCGCTTGCGTTCACGCTGTCGCCCGGGCCGGCGCGGCCGCGGGCAACCGCTCCCCCTCCCACACCTACCCCGCCCCCTCCCCGCCTTTTCCGCCCTCCGGTCCCCCTCCCTCGGCCCGCTGCTGCTGCTCCAGATGAGGTGATGGCAACGGCCAACTTCGGCAAGATCCAGATCGGGATTTACGTGGAGATCAAGCGCAGCGATGGTGAGCCGCGCTGCCAGCCCCGCTGGCCCGCTCGGCCCCGTGTTCGGGTGTGCACGGAGGGGACGCGGGCGCCGGCCGCCTCATTGATTGCTTCGCCGGGCTGTGGGGGTGGGAAGGCGGCGGCCGCGGCGCTTTTGTGTGTGGCGTGTGTGCCAGTGAGGCCGGCTTGGGGTCCGCCCGGGCGCTGCTGCAGTTCTCCGGATCGGGCCGCGGGGGAGGGAAGCCGGGTGGGGAAAGGGCCCGGGTGTCGAGGGTCGCGTCTCCGGGGGTCTCTGGGCGAGGGCCGCTCGCTCCTCCTCCCGCAATCTCCAGCCCCCCCCCGGGGACACCAGCCCGGGAGGGAGCGGGCTTCGTTAGGGATGACCCTGCCTCGCGCTTCCCCTTGGTCTTTGCATTTTACCGGCTTGGCCTCTGACGGGGATGGGGATGGGGGTGGGGGAGCGGGAAGACCAGCGATTTCACATTTAGAGAACCGACTGCTGGTCGGAGGCCGAGATGGGGGGAAAGAGCCAGTTCCGTCGCCTTAAACTGCCGTCTGGTTGTCAGGCCTCCCCGGTTTCGTCGTCGACCATGCTGCTTTCTTTTTTGCCACTTCTTGGGAGAAAAATGTGGAGAATATCGCGCTGAGCCATGAATAAGGGTGGGGGAGCAATGGGAAGAAATATTCGATGGGCTTCTCCAAGGTGATGAGACTGTAAAGGGAATGATAGGGGATGGGCAGAGTCAATGCGAGGCACTGCTGAGAGAGTGGGGGTGGGCGACCGGATGTTGATATTTTCACACCCTCGGGAGAGGTAACTGAGAAAAGTGTAAGGCGAGGTGAAGACACATGCTTCATTTTTTTTTTTAAGAGCCTTAGGCTTATGTATCTTTCTCTAGGTTTCTCTTGGGGAAAATGGTTTATGACACTAGCTTGGGGTGTGGAGTGAGATACGCCAGCCAGACTGGAAATAATTCATATTGTAAAGGAATAAATGCACGGAGGGAGATAAGTAAAATTATTTTCTTTCGGTACCAATATTGAAAGAACGAGAGATGTGTGATAATCTCGAGTTGAGCAGTGTTCCTGACTCCATCTCTCATACCGATTCCTTTTTTTTTTTTTTTGAGACGGATTTTCACCCAGGCTGGAGTGCAGTGGTGCGATCTCGGCCCACTGCAACCTCCGCCTCCCGTGTTGAAGCTATTCTTGTGCCTCAGCCTCCTGAGTAGCTGGGATTACAGGCGTTGTCACCACACCCAGCTAATTTTTTGTATTTTTAGTAGAGACGGGGTTTCACCATGTTGACAAGGCTGGTCTCGAACTCCTGACCTCAAGTGATCCACCTGCCTCGGCCTCCCAATGTGCTGGGATTACAGGCGTGAGCCATCGCGCCTGGCCTCGATTCCTTTTATGAGTGCCTTATTTATTAACCTTTAGCCTAGCCTAGTCAGTAGTAACTTGGCTGTCACGTCCACGTGCCCCTTGGATTCTGCCAGGTTTGACCAAGTTACGTGAAGCTAGATTGATTTTCATGTTGTGTGTATGATATATTGGAAGACCCTATATAGCTAATGATTTTTTCCTCCGTTATATTTGAAGTAATTTGTGGTAACAACTGAAACCATCGTTATCCTGTATATGAAAAGATAAATTATACCGCTTAGAGCTTTAGAAATTACCAATAACACTAATGGGAAAGAGATACCTTCTTTACTTGGGTTGAGGTTTCTTTTATATTTTCTCTTCAGATTACTTTCTTGAAAGAGTGCTGTTAATGTCATTTTTTTAGGTAAATACGAGTTCACAGTATACCAGCAAAAGTAGGATTTACATATTATTTTGAAGATTCTGGGTGCACAGCAACACCTGTCCCTGGTATACACCCAAGGGAGAGGAAATCACCACCTTGTGAAGATATCTGCACTCTCGCGTTCATTGCAGCATTATTCACAGTAGCCAAGATAGGGAAGCAACCTAAATGTCCATCGATGGGTGAGGAATGGCTAAAGAAATTATGTGTGTGTGTATACGTTTATGTGTGTGTATAGACAATGTACAATGGAACATTATTCAGCCTTAAAAAAGGAGATCCTACTGTTTACCACAACATAGATGGACCTGAAGGACGTTATGTTAAATGAGATAAGCCAGACACCAAGGAAAATATTGCATAATCTCACTCATATGTAGAATATTTTTTTAAGGAGCTAAAATACACAGAACGAAACAGTGGTTACTACTGGTGGTGGGGAAGGAGAGGAAATGGGGAGATATAGGTCAAGGATACAAAATAGCAGATATGTAGGATGAACAAGTTTAGAGATACAGGGGGACCAATGTTAGTAAAATTGTATTAGAGATTTTTGTTAAATAAGTGGATTTTAGCAGCTCTTGTTAAAGTATGTGAAATGATAGCTATATTAATCTGCTTCACCATTTTGCTGTCTATATTCCATAGCATCATGTTGTAAACCTCAGTTGCACAATGAAATTTATTTTTTAAAAAATTAGGGTGCAATAAAATGTGTAAATTCTTTACACTCATAAGTATGAGTATAGGTGTTAACTTTGAAATCGTATCAGAAAAAGTATATGATATTTGATTTATACATTTTAATTTCTACGGAGCATATTTTATTTAAATTTATTGAACTTGAAGCAATTTTCGTTCTTTTCAGCCTTCACCTTCAGCCTATACCAGAAGTTCCCAGACATACAAGAGCTTTGTGTTCTTACATAAGTGCTACTAACCTAAAGCCACATTTCAAAAGCGGTTTGCCTATAAGAAATTAGGGAAGTCATCACAGTGTGTTATTATCCTAACCTATGGTCATGTATCTTTTTATGTGCCTCAGATGCATGATGGAGTTGGTGGAAGGCAGGAGATTAGTAGAGAACTTCGAAAGAACAGAAGGATCATTTGCATTGGACAGTAGTGTTTCACAATAGAAATTGATGTCTGGGAGAATGCCCCTCAAGCTTTCCCTTTTTCACTTTAAAGAAGCTTGTTTGCTTCCTCTCACTTCCATAACGTCTATATTGGATAAAACACTAGTGGTTATTATAACAAAAATAAACTTTGCAGTTGGAGGAACACTAATATCTGAGACAGTAGAAATGACATGAGTAAAGAAGGGCTGCTTCAGACCATTATTAACTGGTGACTTGATGTTTTTCTTTTGGCTTGCTGATGGCGATCCATGTCCCTATTTCAGACCACACTTTTCCCATCAGTGATACTCTTACACTAATAAACATATCCCAAGGGCAAACAGGTACACTAAAATGAGCTTATTCCTATCTTTCAAGACCATGATGAAAACTATCCTAATGAGTCTTCACTGATTACTAAAACCAGATGGCCAGTCAGCATCTGAATTCCTAAATCATTCTGTATTATTCATGAGACAGCATATTTCCTTAAGTATTAATGTTTGGGTCTGTAACTTTTTTTTTTCCACTCCTCTCAGCTCATACCTATGGGTACATATTCTTAATACTATGTTTTTAAACTGCATGGGGTAATGGGACTTACTAATAACTAATAATTCTTTTTTTTTTTTTTTTTGAGACAGAGTCTCGCTCTGTCAGTGGTGCGATCTCCGCTCACTACAACCTCTGCCTCCCAGGTTCAAGCGATTCTTATGCCTCAGCCTCCCAAGTAGCTGGGACTACAGGTGTGTGCCACCATGCCCGGCTAATTTTTGTATTTTTAGTAGTGACAGGTTTTTGCCACGTTGGCCAGGCTGGTCTCGAACTCCTGGCCTCAAGTGATCCACCCACCTCAGCCTCCCAAAGTACTGGGATTACAGGTGTGAACCACTGTGCCCAGCCTCTAATGACTCTTAAATTCCCTGAATGCATCTGTGTCATTACCCCCATTCCCACCCCCACTACTGGGATGTCTAGCAAAATTCCTTGCACATCGTTTTTGAATAAATCATACATTATTGGATTTTTTGTTTTCAAACATTTTAATTAATCATTAGAATGACATCTTAGCTGGAAGTGAAACCTTCCATCTGTGCTCCTCTGTACTGCTACCTCCCTACTCTGGCCCTCTACTTCCCGCTGGCCTGTTAGTCAGGAACTACAGCGTTAATTGAAATTGAGTGATCTGCTAAGGTTAATCTGACTTTTCTGGTTTTCTAAGGTTATCAGTGACAGGGGTTAGGCTTGGACTGCTAAGATTATTCTCTGCCACAGGAGATAACCTGGTATGAAATTGGACTGGTGTGTTTTCTTACATGTGTCTTCCTATTTTTCTGATTCAATTCCTTTCCCTTTTTAAAACCCACTGACTCTTAAAAAAACCTACAATCTTTCTGTCGTGTAGCTAGTTTGGTTTTTTTTTTCTTTTAGCTGTGCTGTTAACAGTTCTGTAGTAGCTGTGACTACCCTTTGGGGACTGGGGAAGAAATGGGAAATGTTGAACATTTGGAAGCTGCAGCTAATATGGGATTGTTCTTTGGGGGCGGGTCTCTTAGTCACAGTACTGTGACTGTATTGATACATGTAATCTGAAGAGAATCTTAGAATATTTCCACCAGAAAGGTTTTTGGAGATAAACTAGTTTTCATTTTTATAAATGTGGAAACTTGAGTCCCAGATCACCATAAGTGACTTATCTAGATTCATACAACTTGTCAATGGCAGCCAGGAACCTGACATGCTTAGCATAGAAATCAGACTATCAAGAACTATGACAGTAAAGGAGGAATTCTCTGTTATTTTGGAACCGTATACCGCTTTTTACAGCCCAGTCAAGATGTAGGAAATTGCTTCTTACTTCGGAGAAAGGCACCAGCGAGCAGTGTTACAGAGCTTGATTAGAATGATCCCTGGTAAGAAGTGCTATGTTACTACAAGTTCACCAAACCTAAAATTGTGGGAGGAAAGTATTCTTGTTTCTTAGTTAAGTATTGGTGTAAAGAGTTCCTTTTAACATCTGAAATCAAGAGGCAATTGAAGATTTCAAAGGACCCATCAGGAATTTTGGAGTTCAGGGCAGGCAAAGAAAATCTTTAGAAAAGATTTTAAATGGCCTAATTCTTTATATGCTTTGCCACATTTTTCTTCTGCTAGTTCATCTTTACACGTCACTATATAGGCTTCTGGAGAATAGCATGTGTAAATTTAAGTAATAAAGATGAACCATGTGGCAATACAGTTGTTCTTTAGGTACAATTATGTGATTGATTATGGGGGTGGGATGGAATAGGGGCATTTGTGACCTAATAGTTCCCTTTTCCCTGAGGACTAGGACGATAATGTTTCTGTATATGGATTTGTTAGGGCTTAATAGTTTTCCAAGTGCTTCAAGACATGTTAGCTAATTGGATCTTCACAGGAACTCTATGAGGTAAGCAGGATAGAAAGGTGGCAGATTATTGGTTTATAGGTGAAGAATCTGAGGTTGGATTATTTGCCAAGATCACATGGTTAATAAGGAGCATAGCCTGGGCCAAAGCCCGAATCCCTTCACTCCCAGCTCTCTAAGTGCTGCTGACAGATGTTTGCTGATTATGGTGTGAAGTTGTATACTTTAGTATTTCTTTCTGAGACATACAAACCCCTGTAGTAAAATTCTTTCCACTACTACCAAAGAAGCTCAAAAAACTTAAAATAGGCACTTATTGCTTCCAAAAGTACCACAGAAAGCCAGGAATCTGTATTCATTGCCTAGCCACTTGATTCTTATGACAAAGATTTTGAAACTCTGGGGAAAGGCTATGTGTCAACTTGTTTTATGTGTCATGATTGTTAAAATGCTAGAGAAAACAGCAAAGAGCCAGTTAAATCTGTGTCTGCTCAAATAAGACAAGGGGCAAGAGTGTGGAAAATCCAGAACAAGATTCCCTGAGAGATCATCTAGACCCCGTTCTTTCTAGTCAGAAGTATAGTTGTGATTAATATGACATTAATCTTTTGCAAAGTTTAATTCTTGGATTCAGCCATCTGCTTTAATTTTAACACATCTGTTTTGTAACCTAAAATAATTTTAAGGTGTTTGTTTATTTGTTTGTTTGTTTTGAGATTACGATTCTTAAGAATAGATACAAGTTTTAAACCTTGGATAAAACTAATTTTTATTCTTCTGGTTCAGTTGTAGAACAAATACAGGTTAAGTTGTCTTCCAGCTCTTTTAGATAAAGCAATATTAGTGGTTTTATAGTGCTAAGTGAAAAGAGACATTAGAATTTCACCATATTAAACTATCTCCCAAGAGTAATATGAGTGAGGGAAGTGTTCCTTTTAAAAGTCATGCTTCTAGGCTGAGCATGGTAGTTCATGCCTGTAATTCCAGCACTTTGGAGGCCAAAGCAGGAGAATTGCTTGAGCCTATGAGTTTGAGGTTATAGTGCACTATGATATCATTACCCACTACAATAAAACACGAAGTTCAGATGGTCATTCACTAGGGTGTGTGATATTTTGGAGTATAGACCTTAAGTGATTATGACATATCAAAATAATGTGGTCTTATGTTTCTTTTTTTTTTATTGCAGATTTCATTGAATATACTTCTATTAACAGCCTGCTATATATCAGGCATTCTGATAGGTGTTGGAGATACAAAAAATGAATAAAGCAAAAATAGTTCCTGCCCTCACAAACAAGTAAATAAGTGATTCATCTATAGTGTGATTAGTACTGATAGAAATATGCCATTTTGTGTGTACATTATTACTACCTTCCTTTTGAAGATTAGGCTTTTTTGTTAGACTCTTGAAGTTATGGACCTTTTGGATGGAAAATACATGTCATATATGCCATCTCTCCTCCTCTATGACCAATATCCGTGATCCCTCATAGCATTCCTGATGAATTTAGCCTCAGAGTTTTTTTTGAGAGGGAGTCTCGCTCTTGTTGCTCAGGCTGGAGTGCAGTGGCGTGATCTCGGCTCACTGCAACCTCTGCCTCTTGGGTTCAAGCGATTCTCCTGCCTCAGCCTCCTAAGTAGCTGGGATTATAGGCATGCGCCAACATGCCCGGCTAATTTTTTTGTATTTTTAGTAGAGATGGGGTTTCACCATGTTGGCCAGGCTGGTCTTGAACTCCTGAGCTCGTGGTCCACCCACCTCAGCCTCCCAAAATGCTGGGATTACAGGCTTGAGCCACTGCGCCCGGCCAGCCTCAGAGTTCTTAATACAGCATTATCAGCCCTAATAGCCCTAGTCTGCCAATTGAAATTGGCATTGTCATTATTAGCCTATTTCCTATACTCTAGTACCTATTTGAGTTATAAGTTTATAACTTTTAAATTGTTTTGGTATCAAAAGGAATTTTTTTTTAGGGTTTTGCTCTGTCACCCAGGCTGGAGTGCAGTGGCATGATCATAGCTCACTGCAGCCTCCAAGTCCTGGACTCAAGCAATCCTCTCACCTTAACTTCCCAAGTAGCTAGGACTACAGGTATGCACAACCATGCCTAGCTAATTTTTGTATTGTTTGTAGAGATGGGGTCTTGCTATGTTGACTAGGCTGGTCTTGAACTCCTGGCCTCAAGCAATTCTCCCTCTTTGGCCTCCCAAAGTACTGGGATTACAGGTGTGAGCCACCATACCTGGTCAAATTTATTCAATTTAAAGTTTTTGGCAGACCAGCACCTGACAGCAGGTTTCTCTCTAGATATCCTGGGTTTGGGTACTTGTAAATAGAGACTGGCTCGGTGTGGTGTCTCATGCCTGTAATCCCAGCACTTTGGGAGGCCTA
This sequence comes from Homo sapiens, assembly GCF_000001405.40. Taxonomy (NCBI): domain Eukaryota; kingdom Metazoa; phylum Chordata; class Mammalia; order Primates; family Hominidae; genus Homo; species Homo sapiens. Next base: position 62,314,235 of record NC_000005.10, read on the forward strand.
GGCAGGAGGATTGCTTGAAGCCAGGAGTTGGATACCAGCCTGGGCAACATGATGAGGCTCTATTTCTACAAAAAATAAAATTAGCCAGGCCTGGTAGCATGTGACTGTAGCCCCAGCTACTCAGGAGGATGAAGTGGGAGGACTGGTTGAGCCCAGGAGTTGGAGGCTGCAGTGAGCTATGATCATGCCACTGCACTCCAGCCTGGGTGACAGAACAAGTCACTGTCTCAAAACAAACAAACAGAGACCAAGGAAGCAGAGCATGGGAAACAGCAGTGGATGCAGCTACTGGTGGTTATGTGTAATTTGGATATAAACTCCTTACACATTATGGCCCGGGAACTGTAAGAATCAGGTTCCTCCCTGGGCTATGTTTTATTTACTTTTGAAGACTTTTTCTCCAGGTTTTTGTAGGTTTTGGCATTAATTTTGACCACATTTTACCTAAAGGAAGGACAAGATCAGCAGGGAACAAACTTGTGGTAAAATTTGCTGAGTGTCTATACTGTGCTGAGAATGAACTGTTTTTTTTTTTTTTTTTTTTTTAAGATGGAGTCTCACTCTGTCACCCAGGCTGTAGTGCAGTGGCACGATCTTGGCTCGCTGCAACCTCCGCCTCCTGGGTTCAAGTGATTCTCCTGCCTCAGCCTCCCCAGTAGCTGAGATTATAGGCACGTGCCACCATCCCCAGCTAATTTTTGTATTTTTAGTAGAGACAGGGTTTCACCATGTTGGCCAGGCTGGTCTTAAACTCCTGACCTCAAGTGATCCACCTGCCTCAGCCTCCCAAAGTGTTGGGATTATAGGTGTGAGCCACTACACCCGGCCTTATGCCCGCATTTTGACCGCAACCCATCACAGGGTCGTGTGTGGAATTTTCCACTATGGTGTCATGTTGGTGCTCAAAAAGTTTCAGATTTTGGAGCATTTTGGATTAAAGAATGCTCAGCCTGTGGTGGTTTATAACTCTGGCTGCTCAATAGATCACCTGTGGGGCTGTGGAAAAAAACAGACCAAAAAAAAAAAAAAAAAAAAAAGCAACCCACCACAGCCAATATCTGGTTCCTTTGCCTAGAGATTCTGTCTGGTATGTAGTCTAGGTATCAGTATTTTACTTTAAGGCACCTAACATACTGATGAAGCTTAACTTGTCACACATTAGTGATTCCAGGGTATAGCCAGGGTTGTGATCCATTATTTTAGTAAAAGTAGTATCTCCTAACAGAGTATCTGACAAGACTTCTTGGAGAGTGAAGTTTAAATGGTGAGAGGAAGATGACCAGTCGGTTGCCCTGAGGGCAAGGAGGCATTCTAGCCATGTAGGCAGCATGGAAGAAGTCCCTGACTGGAAACAAAGCTGTCAGGTGAAGGGCATTTAAAACAGGCAGAGGGAGGATGATGAAGAAGATAAGGGAGGAGGGGTAATCTGGGGCACCTTATTAAAGACCTGGAAACAGAGGTAAGGTAAGGATCTTGGAATTAATTTCTAGGACACTTGGAAACTACTATAGGACTTAATCTCCTAAGAGCAGTAATAGGAGTTAGTGATTAGTGATAGATTAGAGGGAGCATAGTACTGAAAATGAGAGGTAGCATGGATAAGATTGCATCAGTCTAGGAGGGTGAGCAATGATTAAGGAACAGATGATATGCAGAACACACAGCAAGAAGAATTGATGTTATATTGCAATATATCCCTTGTGCTGAATAAAGGGCAGATGAGTTGAAAGGAAAGGACTTAACATTTGCAAAGTCTGAGTATAGCTTTTAAATCTCTTCAGTTTTATTTAATCAGGCTAACGCTGTTCAAGAATACAGTGTAGAGGACTGTAGAGCCTATCAAGGTAATATCAAAGAGAGCATCCAACTCAGGCTGCATATAGTTTTTGCCACTAATATCCTAAAAGTAATTGAGTTTAAGGTATAAATCACTTCCATTACATGTTTACCTGCAATGGGAATTTGCTTAAGCTATAACTAAGTACTTTGCCTTCTTAGTACTGAGCTGTAGTGTGTTAGCCAGGACCCTCTCAGAATTCTTGGAACGGAATGAGAAGGAAAAGCAGTACACAAAGAATATGACGTCATCTCTTTAAGGGATGAGGTGTTTTATTTCTTGAAATGCAGCTGCTCTTTTTTACTTTTTCTTTGCTCTTACTTTTGGCCTATTTTTTCTGTCCTGGCATTTGCCTTCTCTTTTTCACCCTTAGGATTCTAAGTGCCATTTCAGTATTCAGAATCTCTTAACTACAGTTTGCAATTTAGGACTTAAAAAGAGGTAAGCAAGGGATAAATAGGCACAGCACAGAGGCAGTGAAATTATTCTGTATGATACTATAAAGGTGGATACATGTCATGATACATATGCCAAATTCATAGAAGGTACAATACCAAGAGTCAACCCTAATGTAAACTAGGGACTTTGGGTGATAATGGTGTGTCAAGATAGGTTCATCAATTGTAACAAGTGTACCTGGTGCAGGGCATTGATAGCGCGGAGGGTGTGTGGGGTTAAGAATTGTACGGGAAATCTCTGTACCTTCCACTCAATTTTGCTGTGAACCTAAAAAAGGTTGGGGAGGAGAGGATGCAAACTTTAGGTGTTAAAAGTTAAAACCACTCTTGAAATAATGGACCAATTAATGACAAAAAAATTATAATTTATGAATGAGGATTAGTCATATAGGTGTACAATTAAGGTAAAATTTTGCCATTCATTTTTGTCATGCATAGTCTATTGGCCAATGTTAGAAGAAAAATTTTTCAATGAGCTATAGTATAGTAAAAAGGATTCACATATGTATGGCAACTTTAGCCCTTTTTTTTTTTTTTGAATCAAAGTTTCACTCTTGTTGCCCAGCTGGAGTGCAGTGGTGCAATATCGGCTCACTGCAACCTCTGCCTCCCGAGTTCAAGCAATTCTCTTGCCTCAGCCTCCCAAGTAGCTGGGATTACAGGCATGCGCCACCGTGCCCAGCTAATTTTGTATTTTTAGTAGAGATGGGGTTTCTCCGTGTTGGTCAGGCTGGTTTCGAACTCCTGGCCTCAGGTCATCCGCCTGTCTTGGCCTCCCAAAGTGCTGGGATTACAGGCGTGAGCCACAGTGCCCAGCCACCTATAAGATTTTTAAGAAATGAGAACAAATTAGGGGCCCTAATTAGTGAGGTACATCTTAGAATTTAACCACAGAAAGCTCTTTGATGAAATACTGCTGTTGGTCAAAACTTGCCTATATTGTTATAATGAGGAAGTTGACTTGTCCAAGGTCATACATAAAATAAGTAGCAAATCTGAGATTAGAACATAGTTTGTCTGCCCCCAAAATCCTCTACATACTAATTCATTGTAGACTGTAATTCATTTTTGTGCCCTATTAATGTTCCGGGCATTGGAAGTCACATAATTAATTTCATAATGCTTTTCTTTTCCTTTCTAGGGTATACTTTTTATTAATCAGGTGTTTTTATTAATCCAACTAATATTTGCTGTATGGCCATCATGTGTCCCTTCATCTGATTTCTTTGAAGAATTAGTTGAAGGACTTTTCTCTAGAAGAAGTTAGTTTGCCAGCTACAACAAAATAATAAGTAGCTATTGCACTCAGTACAAATGCTCTGTGGCTCTGTAATTTGACAAAGACATTCTAGTTTTCTCCAGTCTCTTTTGCTATTGCCTATGTTTAAACTCTCTTGCTCACAAGACTTTAGACAATTTAAACAGGAACAAATGCTATCGTAAGGATGTCTCATATTAGATGAGCAACAATATTGTCAGGAAAATAGTAACAATTATAGCAACTTGCTAAAGTGCTGACATAATAGATTGATTTGGGGGCCTGTCCAAATTTAGTGGACTTTTTTTTTTTTGGAGACAGAGTCTTGGTCTGTCACCAGGCTGGAGTGCAGTGGCGCAATCTCAGCTCACTGCAACCTCCAACTCCCTGGTTCAAGCGATTCCCCTGCCTCAGCCTCCTCAGTAGCTGGGATTACAGGCATGTGCCACCACGCCCAGCTAATTTTTGTATTTTTAGTAGAGATGGGGTTTCACTATGTTGAGCAGGATGGTCTCGATCTGCTGACCTCGTGATCCGCCTGCCTTAGCCTCCCAAAGTGCTGGGATTACAGGCGTGAGCCACTGCGCCCGGCCATAAATTTATTTTTATAAGCCCATTGTTTGAAATTATTTTGGGATTATATATGGGTTGTGTGTTTATTTTTTAAATTATAGCTGATACTGAGAGTTGCCTATAACTTCGCTCTAAGTATATGGTAAGTGCTTTCTTTATATGCTCTTTGGTTGCAGTTTTATTAAGAGTAATAACATTGCTTTTAAGTGTACATGCTGTTTTGGGTTTCCATTAAGAACAATTTCTTAATTAAAAATAAGTAGAGCTTCTTTTCCTTCTATTACTCAGATTTTTTCCTTTTTAATCTTTACAGGTGCTTCTTTCCCCATTCTCTTTAAGTATTGATGTTCTTCAGGGCTTGATCCTACCCCTGCAGTACTTCTCACATAGTATTCTCTTTCTGGGTAAACTAAATGCTTCTCTTTAGCCCACATTGGCTACAGACATGTACTGTTCGTATATGTCATGGATTACTGCATATCTCCATTTGGATATCTCATAAACACTCAAATTCAGCATGTCCAAAATTGAACCCATCACCCCTTCCTCAAGTTTACTTCAGTATTTCTCATTCACTCTATTGCTCCAGTCAGAAACTTGGTTGTCTTCCTTGACTCCTTATTCTTTCTTGACCTTATAGCCTTATTACCATGGTCTCTTAATTTAATGACTCAAGTAACTCTTCCTGCACTTTTTCTGTACCTACCGCTATAACTTTTGGTCATGCTAGCATTATGTCTTGCCTGTGCTGTTGCAACAAATTCCTAATAGGCCTCTCTACCTAGGAGAGTAATTTGGTTAACAACAACAACAACAACAACAACAACAAAAAACCCAAAACAATAATTTGGTTAATTACTGTTTCAGAGTAACCTTTCAGGCATGTAGGTTTGACCCTCTGATCACAGGCTTAAAACTTTGAAAGTGTTCTCTACTTCTGTTGCCCTTTTTATGAAGCCCAAGTCTAACATGGCTTATGGTGGACCCTGAACAAACTAACCTGCCTCTTCAGTCTTATTCTTGCTGCTTATTTGAGGCACACTATACTCCAGACAAGCTGAACTTTCTTGGAACACTCCACTTCTAACTAACCTAGCTAACTGCTGTATCTCCTTTTGATTCCTAGCCTAAGATGGGTCCCCTGCTTTATGAGTGGCGAGTCCCCTTTGTTTGCTCTGTCAAAAAACTCATTGTATTGTATTATATGTTTGTGTCTGGTCAGACTCAAGTTCCTTTATATTCCCCACTGCCTAGCACAGGCACTCTGCACACTTTATAAATTATCTGTTTGCTGAATCAGTGACTAAATGAACTTCCAGCTTCTCTTTCACTGCTCTGTCTATTCAAGTTTTGACATTCTAAAAAATTGACTTGTGTTGTTCATCCTCCAGGCATCAAGAATATGACATGACAAGGTGTGTGTCACTGTTTTTAATGTATACTTGTAATTTTCTCTTTAAGTTTAATTGCCTGTTTTGAATAGCAATATAGTCCCATGACTAATGAAGTTCCAAAATGATATATATGTATGTATGTATGTATGTATATATCTATTAGTCTCCATCCTACCCCTACCCCACAGCTAGCTACCCAGTTCTTCTCCAAGAGACAAAAATATTACTAGCTTCTTATATTTGTAGAGCATTACCTCTTTTTCATTTTTCAGGAAAATCTCTGCTTATATATCTCTATCTACATGTAGTATAAATATGTGTAAATATATACCTTTTTCCTACAGATGTTATATTGTATATACTGGAGTGTAATTTACTTAATAATAATGATATCTTGGAGAACTTTTGAGTAGATAAATAATAGTCTCATTCTTTCTTGTACTGCATTTCATTAGTGAGTAAATATACCACAATTTATTTAACCAGTCTTTTACTGATGACATTTACATTTGTGCCTAATCTGTAGCTGCTGCATAGCCAATACTGTAGTATTTAATAGCCTTCAACTCTTGACATTTTATACATACATGAATATATCTGTAGGGGAAAAAATCCTAGAAGTAGAAGCACTGGGTCAGATAATTGTGTATGTGTAATTTTGATAGATCTTGCTGATTTGTCTTCCATAGATATGAATTTACCTTACTATCTGCAAAAATGCCTGTTTCCTCATACTCTTATCCACACAGTGTACATTACACTTTTGAAATTTGCTAGCTTGGATTGTGAAGTTCAGGCTGTGACTATAGCATTTTTTTTTTTTAAGTGGCCCTGTAAGGGATGACATGCTTAATTTATGAAGTGTTTATGAGGTCCAAACATATAATAGAAAACACCTAAGTTCTGGTGTTTATCTGTCATAGCCAATATAGAAAAATAAAGAGTATATCCTATATTATGTCTGATTATGAGAAGAAAGTAATTTTTTAGTGAAAATTTTTTGAGAAATAAATATTATAGTTTTAACCTAATAAACCTAAAGAGCCCTTTAAAGTGCACAATTCAGTGATTTTTTTTTGGTATATTCATGAAGTTGTACAATTATTACCACTGTCCAATTTCAGAACATTTTTATGACAAACTGTAAAAGAAACCCATACCCATTAGCAGTCACTCTGCATTCCCCTCTCATTCCGGCCTTTAGTATCTGCCATTAATCAACTTTTTATCTTTGTAGATTTGTCTGTTTTGGACATTGAGTATAAACGAAACTGTACAATACATAGCCTTTAGTGTATAGCATCTGTCACTTAGCATAATCCATACTCAAGTTTATCAGTATAGTAACATATTTCAGTACTTTTTTTATGGTTGAATAATATTCCATTTCATTTCATTTATCCATCCATTAATCGATAGACATTTGGGTTTCCCATTTTTTGGCCATTATGAATACCATTCATATACAAGTTTTTGTGTGGACATAAAAGAACTGAAAATTGTTTTCAGTTTTTGTGGGTTATACCTAGAAGTGGAATTGCTGGATTATATGGTAACTATACTTACTTTTTGAGGAACTGCTGTATTATTTTCAAAAGTGGCTATATTATTTTGCATTCCCACTAGTAATATTTGAGGGTTCCAATTTTCTACATCCTGGCCCAAACTTGTTATTTTCCATCTTTTTTATTATAGCCGTCCTGGTGGGTATGAAGTGGCATTTTATTGTGATTTTGATTTGCATTTCCCTAATGACTAATGATGTTGAACGTCTTTCCATGTGTTCATTTACCATTTGTTTTGTTTGTTTGTTTGTTTGTTTTTAAAGGATAGAGTCTTATTCTGTCTCCCAGACTGGAGTGCAATGGTGTGATGTCAGTTCACTGCAACCTCTGCCTCCTGGGCTCAACTGATCCTCCCCGCTCAGCCTCCCAAGTAGCTGGGACTACAGATGCACACCACATCCGGTCGATTTTTATATTTTTTGTAGAGACATGTTTCGCCACGTTTCCTAGGCTGGTCTCATACTTGTGGGCTCAAGTGATCCGCCCACCTTGGCCTCCCAAAATTCTGGGATTACAGACTTGAGCCACCATGCCCAGCCATTTGTATGTCTTTTTTGGAGAAAGATCTGTTCAAATCCTTTGTTCACTTTATAATTTGGTATGTTTTCTCTTTTTTTTTGAGACAGCGTCTCACTCTGTCACCCAGGCTGGAATGCAGTGGCATGATCATAACTCATTGCAGCCTTACCTCCCAGGCCCAAGTGCTTCTCCCATTTCAGCTTCCTGAGTAGCTAGGACCACAGGCACAAGCCACCTTGCCTGGCTAATTTTTTTTAGAGGGGATTGGGGTAGGGGAGAGACAAGGTCTCACTATGTTACCCAGGCTGGTCAGACTCCTGGGCTCAAGTGATCCTCCCGTCTCAGCCTCTCAGAAGTGCTGGGATGACAGGTATGATCCACCGTGCCCAGTCAATATTTATTTTTTTATTGTTGAGGTATAAAACTTCTGGATACTACTGCCATATCTGATACATGCTTTATAGATATTTTTTCTCATTCTGAGGGTTGTCTTTTCCCTTTATTGATAGTATCCTTTGAAGCACAAAAATTTTTAATTTTGATTAAGTCCAGTTATCTATTTTTTCTTTTGTTGCTTTTGCTTTTGTTATATCTAAGAAACCATTGTCTAATCCAAGATGAGACCTACCTTTATGTCCTACTACTTATGTAGGCCTTTCCATGGACTATATTACCTAAAATGTTTATGTTCTTCCTTGATCTTAACACTAGTTCTTGACCTTTTAACATAGAAAACAAATTAAGCATTTGACAGCAAATATGCTGCAAGTCTTTGGTAAAGGATGAATAAGGCCTTGAAATACCTTGCAACTCTAGTCTCAAAGTCATCTCTTTGTTACCAGAGTTGAAGGGTGGGAAACGGTTGCCTTTTATCTGTGTACCTACACACATATATGCATATATGGTATAATGTATCAATATTTACAGAGACCATAGTAAACACAGCACAAAACCAGGCATTAAGAGATGCATGGGAAATAGCATTTAAATGGTAAATATGGTAAAGATTGTTTTATGGTTTTTGGGTTTTTTTTTTTAATGATCATATTTTTAATGTTACTTTAAAATAGATTAGTGGAATGTGATTCAATTTAGTAAAAAAAAAAAAAAATCAGCTTTATTAAAACATCTGAGAAAGCCGGGCGCAGTGACTCATGCCTGTAATCCCAGCACTTTGGGAGGCCGAGGTGGACAGATCACATGAGGTCGGGAGTTCAAGACCAGCCTGACCAACATGGAGAAACCTCATCTCTGCTAAAAATTCAAAATTAGCCAGGCATGGTGGCGCATGCCTGTAATCCCAGCTACTCAGCAGGCTGAGGCAGGATAATCGCTTGAACCCGTGAGGTGGAGGTTGCCGTGAGCCAAGATCACGCCATTGCACTCCAGCCTGGGCAACGAGCGAAACTCCATCTCAAAAAAAAAAAAAATCTGAGAAAGATGGAAAAATAAATGTATTAGAAAAGGTTTTTAAAAAGGAGAATGTTAATCGAGACCACGTTGAAACCCTGTCTCTACTAAAAAAATACAAAAAATTAGCCGGGCGCGGCGGCGGGCGCCTGTAGTCCTAGCTACTTGGGAGGCTGAGGCAGGAGAATGGCGTGAACCCAGGAGGTGGAGCTTGCAATGAGCTGAGATCACACCACTGCACTCCAGCCTGGGCGACAGAGCGAGACTCTGTCTCAAAGAAAAAAAAAAAAAAGAAGAATGTTAAAAACACATAAAATTATAGCTTTATACATTCTGAAGTAAATATTGATGAGTTGATAGGATAGCTAGAATTTGTTTCAAAATAATCCAGTTGTGATAGAAGTGGCAGTGGGATTGGCCATATATTGAAAATTAGTGAAGCTGAATGTAGGGGGTTATCATCTATTGTGTAAGTTTGCAATTTTTCATAACACTTTAAATTTTTTTTGCTGGGTACAGTGGCTCATGCCTGTAATCCCATCACTTTGGGAGATCGAGGTGGGTGGATCGCCTGAGCCCAGAAGTTTGAGATCAGCCTGGGCAACATGGCAAAACCTCGTCTCTACTCTGCAAAAATTAGCCGAGCATGGTGGTATGTACCTGTGGTCCCAGCCACTCTGGTGGCTGAGGTGGGAGGATCCCTTGAGCCCCAGAGGTTGAGGCTGCAGTGAGCTGTGTTCATGCAACTGCGCTCCAGCCTGGGTAACAGAGGGAAACCCTGTCTCAAAAAAAATAAAATAAATAAATAAATAATTTTTAATGAAAATTCTTTTTCAAAATGCCTCTGCACAGAATCTCATTTACAGTAGCCACCTAAAGAATAAAATACCTAGGAATACAGCTAACCAAGGAAGCGAAAGAGCTCTACAGTGAGAATTACAAAACATTGCTGAAATAAATCTGAGATGATACAAACAGAAAAACATTCCATGATCATGGATAAGAAGAATCAGTGTTGTTAAAATGGCCGTACTGCCCAAAGCAATTTACAGATTCAATGCTATTTCTATCAAACTACCAATGATATTCTTCACAGAATTAGGAAAATCTATTCTAAAATTCATATGAACCAAAAAAGAACCTAATAGCCGAAACAATCCTAAGCAAAAATAACAAAACCAGAGGTATTATACTACCCCCATTTCAAGCTGTACTGCAAAGCTGCAGTAACCAAAACAGCGCGGTACCGATATAAAAACAGACACATAGACCAGTGGAACAAGATTGAGAACCCAGAAATAAAGCCACACACCTACAACCATCTGATCTTCAGCAAAGTCGATAATAGCAAGCAACGGGGAAAGGACTCCTTATTCAGTAAATGGTGCTGGGGAAACTGGGTAGCCACATGTAGAAGATTGAAACTGGACCCCTTCCTTTCACCATAAACAAAAATTAACTCAAAATGGATTAAAGACTTAAATGTAAGACCTCAAACTATAAAACCACTGGAAGAAAACCTAGCAAGTACCATTCTGGGCATTGGCCTTATCAAAGAATGTATGACCAAGTCCCCAAAACAATTACAACAAAAAGAAAAAAAATGACAAATAGGAGCTAATTAAAGAGCTTCTGCACAGCAAAAGAAACAGAGTAAACAGACAACCTACAGAATGGGAGAAAATATTCACAAACTATGCATATGACAAAGGTCTCATTTCCAGAATCTATAAGAAACAATTCAAGCAAAAAGCAAACAGTCCCATTAAAAAATGGGCAAAGGGACACACTTGCTTTCTTAAGTCGCCTGCTTGTTCCTCTTCCAAGTTGTACTTTCTTTTCTTTCCTTTCCTTACTGTTGTAAAGCTTTTCTTTTCTTTTCTTTTCTTTTTTTGAGACAGAGTCTCGCTCTGTCACCCAGGCTCGAGTGCAGTGGCGTGATCTCGGCTCACTGAAACCTCCACCTCCTGGGTCAAGTGGTTCTCCTGCCTCAGCCTCCTGAGTAGCTGGGATCATAGGTGCCCGCCACTATGCCCGGCTAATTTTTGTATTTATAGTAGAGATGGGGTTTCGCCATGTTGGCCAGGCTGGTCTCGAACTCCTGACCTCAGGTGATCCACCTGCCTCGGCCTCCAAAAGTGCTGGGATTACAGGCATGAGCCACCATGCCCAACTGTAAAGCTTTTCAATAAACTTTCATTCCTGCTCTGAAAGAAAAAAAAAATGGGTAAAGGACATGAACAGATACTTCTCAAAAGAAGACATACATGTGGCCAACAGGTATATGAAAAAATGCTCAACATCACTAATCATTTGAGAAATGTAAGTCAAAACTGCAACAAGACACCATCTCACACCAGTCACGATGGCTATTATTAAAAAGTCAAAAAAATAACAGATGTTGGCCAGGTTGCAGAGAAAAGGGAACACTCACACACTGTTGGTGGAAATGTAAATTAGTTCAGCCACTGTGGAAAGCAGTGTGGAGATTTCTCAAATAACTTAAAGCTATTCAACCCAACAATCCCACTACCGGGTATGTACACAATGGAAAATAAATTATTCTACAGAAAATAGACCTGTACTCATATGTTCATTGCAGTACAGTTTATAATAGCAAAGACATGTAATCAACCTGGATGTCCATCAGTGGTGAACTGGTTAAGCTGGAGCTAAACATTGGGTAAATACCGGACACAAAGATGGCAACAATAGACCCTGGGATTACTAGAGGAAGGAGGGTGGGAAGGTTGAAAAACTAGCTGTTGGGTACTCTGCTCACTACCTGGGTGATGGGATCATTTGTATACCAAACCTCGGTGACATGCAATTTACTCATGTAACAAACCTGCATATGAACCCCAAACCTTAAATAAAAGTTAAAAAAAAATGCCTCTGCAGACCAAATATTTCTCTTGGTTTCTGATCTACTTTTTAGGTACTATCCCATGTATTTCCTGCCAGTATCTTAAACTTACCAAAAACAGAATCCATTGCCTTTATCCCCATATTTCTGTATTTGTATTCTGTCTGTTGGTTAGTGGAGACACCATATATCTGGTTTCTCAAATAGAAATCTTATTGATAATGCCAGCTTCCCTCATTCCTTGAGGATGTTTGCTCCTGGCCCACCCACACTCTCAGCAAAATGACCTTGCTTGTCATTTCACCACCAAGAAATATAAACAACCAGTAAAGAACTACAAGTCAGCCACATCTACCCAACTACCAGCATCTGTGCCTATATGACTGCCTTCCTTCCTTTGCTGTGGACACATTTTTTCTGTTCCTGTTTTGTGCCTCTTTCCTCCACTTGTACTCTGGATCTTGTCTCCTTTCACCTGCCCAGTCACAACTTCAGTGGTCTCTCTGTGCTGCATCAACAGTTATTTTCTTTACTGAGTCATTTCCATCAATATGGAAATGCTGTTATTTCTCCCATCCGAAAAAAAAAAAATCCTCTTAGGCTAGGTGTGGTGGCTCACACCTATAATCCCAGCACTTTGGGAGGCTGAGGCAGGCAGATCGCTTGAGCCCAGGAGTTTGAGACCAGCCTGGGCAACATGGTGAAACTCCCTCTTTACAAAAAATACCAAAGGTTAGCAGGGCATGGTAGCACATGCCTGTGGTCCTACCTACTGAGGAGGCTGAGGTAGGAAGATTGCTTGAGCCGGGGAGGCGGAGATTGCAGTGAGCCGAGATCCAGCCACTGCCTCAAAGAAAAAACAAAAACCTCTTGACTACTCTCTTTGAGGCATTGCTCCTGTTTTACTTGATCTGTTAGCAGCATTTGACACAATTAATTCACTCCCTTTTGTTTGAAATACCTTCACTTAGCTTCTGTGACTACTCTTCTGATTTTTCTTCTTTTTCTCTGGTAAATTCTTGATCTCCTTTGCTGGTATCTCATTTCCCTGACCTCTATACAGAATTTTAAAGATCGGGACTTCTACCCTCATTCTCTTAGTGGTCAAATCCACTTTGATTGTCTTAAAAAATACTGTCTGTATTGGTGTTTTGCAAACTTTTTTTCATTATTGCTCTGCCTGAAAAGCCTTTTGACTACTTTATTGCCTAATCACCCCATCGCAGTGAAATTTCTCTGCATCTGTTTATGGGTTGTAGCCCTTCGGAGGGCCACAAACCATTGTAATATCTAAGATCTGCCCTTCCAAAGAGCCAGTTTTTATCACCTTGGGGATATCACCTCTGCTGAGAATGCATGATTTAAATTGACAATCCCCAAGCTTTTTTCTTCAGCTTTGACCAACTTCAGTCTATTAGAGAGCCTACTTCATATCTCCACTGGACAGATATCTTAAACTTCATACGTACAAAACCAAACTCATAATCTGACTTTAGCCTTTCTTGCCACATGGAGCTTCAGTGATCTCATTCTTCTTTATGTACCTTTTGTTCTGGCAGCACTGAATTTGAAATATACATTTTACCCTAGTGGTAAAAGGGCTTAGAAGAGTGATCATTTATTTTCCTAACCGAAATTGGCCAGGCTTTGAAAGTAGAAATTTCCACGACTCAGGGCCACTATCATCATAATCTTCCTGTACGTAGAGTGGAGCAGGAGTTGGGATGACAGAGTCCTGGGGGGAATAATAACATTGCACTAACTGTTGAAAAACATTCCACAAGATCCCTGTCTCGTTAGGATGTATGCATAAGAGAAGATGCTATGTACATGTAGCTGTGAAAAGTTCACAGAATAGCACTGCTGTATTGGTATGGAATTCCCTTTTGGGTAAATAAGCCAGGGAACAATTAGATAGCATCGTTCAGTGTATTCAGGAGAATACCTGGGAAAGACAGTTCTTCAGAATTTTGAACTATTGGCAACATGTTGCTTTAACAACACCACTGTAAAAGTCTTTGGTATTCTAAATAGGAAATCTTGTATTCTTTAACACGTAAGTAAAGATACATTTGGTATATATTCTGTTATCCAAAGGAATGTAGATACGAAGAATAGCCTTTTAATTAAGGCTAATAGGTTTTGAGATTTATTTAGTTAACTTATTTAGTAAACTTCATGAAGTGTTATTTCTAGTACTGTGTGGTTTTTTTTTTTTTTACATTGTTACTATTTCAGCTAGAATTGTAATCATATTACATCGTGATTTTAGAATTTTGGTTTTTATGTTCTCTTTACAAGTGGTTTTGGACGGTGTTTTAACCTTCCTTTTCCCCAGCCCCAAATATGCTGAACAACATCAGGAAACTACAGTGATTTAATACTCTTTTTTTTGAAATGGAGTTTTGCTCTCGTTGCCCAGGCTGGAGTGCAGTGGTGCGATCTCGGCTCAGTGCAACCACTGCCTCCGGGGTTCAAGTGATTCTCCTGCCTCAGCCTCCCAGGTAGCTGGGATTACAGGCATGTGCCACCATGCCTGTCTAATTTTGTGTTTTTAGTAGAGACGGGGTTTCTCCATTTTGGGTCAGGGTGGTCTCAAACTCCCAACCTCAGGTGATCCGCCCGCCTCAGCCTCCCAAGGTGCTGTGATTACAGGCGTGAGCCACCGTGCCCGGCCTGATTTAATACTTTTTAATGGTATCATAGCTACTTTATGACATTTTTCTTATTACTGTTACGCAAATTCTGAATGAAACTTTTCTAAAAAGCTGCACAACGGGCCCTTCTAAATAATAATGCTACCTTAATTGTTAGTGTGCAGCTCAACAGATCCGAAGTTTCCCCATCACCCTATAGAAACTGAGCACTATTTTTTACATCCCTTTTCAAAACAATAGATGAGGTAAGAATTTGAAAATTCATAGTTTGTTTTCAATATGAATAAAATTTGTCCCGTTTTTAAGTTGTATTTTCGTAATGAAAATCTTAGCTATATCATTTTCTTTTTTCTCTCCTTGTTCCAAACTTTCAGGTTTGTGTTTAATGTCTAAGAAAGGAAATACTAGAACTTTCAATTTAGTTAAAAAACAGTAACATCTTAAGTGTGATAAACCAAACAGAAATGTCTCTATGTTTGGCAAAGTCACATTCCCCAGAGATTTACTAAACAGCAACAGCACTGTTACCAGTGTCAGCTGAGACATTATTTATGTCCTTCTCTAATGGCTTCTTGTTCCACTAAAGCTATTGAAGAAGGTGTAATGCTACATAGTCCTCATGAAGGACTCTTTTCCTCACTGCTTAGATTAGCTAACACAACCTGAATATCAGAATTTGAGACTTTGAATTCTGCTGCTGATCTGCTGTGTGACTTCCAACAAATCAAATTGCTTTCTGTCCTCAGTTACTGGTCAGTGGCACCTAGGAATAAATTGACATTTACTGTTAGATTATAAATAATAACTGCTTTGAGGTAGTTGGCAAAACCAAGATATAATGTGTGACTGTTAGTGTAGTTAACATTACTGTGAATATTACTGTGTAGTTAACTTCCATTTTCTAAATAATGCTTTTTTGTAGCATCCTTGTCCTTTTAGTCTATTTTAAAGCAGCATTTGACAATCTTTGTTTTCCCAACTTTTCTCCATTTTGTGGTTATGATAAAATTATAATATAGACATTAAAGAGGGGAATTATTTTCATGCGCTTGAAGGAGCATCCTTTTAGAATTCTTTTAATAAGCTGAAGAAAGGAATTGTATCTGTTTTAAAAGACCAATCTTAAAACTCTTTAGACAATGAAAGCTTATTAACATGTTTTTCTATGACTTAACTTGGAAAGATGGCAGTAAAATTTTTGAATTTGCATTCTACAGTGGCAATTGGTTTACTAAGTAAATATACAATTGATTGGAACCACTATTTTATGTACCTAATTATTATTTAAGAAAAATGGGGCCGGGCACAGTGGCTTATGCCTGTAGACCCAGCACTTTGGGAGGCCGAGGTGAGCAGATCACTTGAGCCCAGGAGTTTGAGACCAGCCTGGGCAACATGGCAAAAACCTGTCTGTACAAAAAATACAAAAAATAGCCAGGTGTGGTGGCAGGCACCTCTGGTTCCAGCTACTTGGAAGGCTGAGATGGGAGGATCACTTGAGCCCAGAAGGCAGAGGTTTCAGTGAACTAAGATTGCACCATTCAACTCCAGCCTGGGCGAGAGTGAGAAAAAGAAAGAGAAAAAAAAGAAAGAATAATGGAAAACCTGTTATTTAATATAGGTTTTGATCAATCACCTGATATGAAGTGGCAAAGGTTTTACCATCAATGTGTTCTGAGGTAATTTATCTGGTGTGGAATGACTTGGAAGAAAGTATTTCCTTCAAGCATCTGTTTACCAACCACTTTGAGTAAACTTATGTATTTTACTCATCTTCTGGAAACAACATTGTTCTGCCAGACACTTGGTCTGAATGTGTGATTTTGCAATTCAGAGTAATATTTCTTTGTTCTTCTGAGAATGGATATTTATGCATGTTTTCCTCTTAGTCTCTGCTTGAGAGGTACAGGAGATAACTAGATTTTATTAGCATATGTTTAAAAGTCTATTAAAAATGCTTTTAAATTATTTGGTGGTATTCTGATTGAAAATGGAAGGGGTTGCTAGAGGTTTTATCAAGAATAGACACACTATATATTTTAATTTATTGGCAGGTAAGCTAGATTTTCCTATTAGTTTTCATTACATGGCTGTATACATATGAATCACCGGTGACTACTTTTTAAAAATATGTGTACAAATTTTTAAATTATATTTTTTGTAGTAATATGTTATAAAGCATTGATTTGTTATATTTTTAAATTTATCATACTTTAAACAAAACAGATTTAAACAACTTCAATGGATTTGGAAATAGCCATTATAAACAATCTTATAACTGAAGTTTTATTTTTACTAATAATTTAAGTTGTGTTATTCTTATACATATTTAGGTTTTGAAATTTTTATAAAGGTCTAGGCTGGGCGCAGTGGCTCATGCCTGTAATCCCAGCACTTTGGGAGGCCAAGGCAGGTGGATCACCTGAGGTTGGGAGTTCGAGACAAGCCTGACCAACATGGAGAAACCACATCTCTACTAAAAATACAGAATTAGCCAGGCGTGGTGGTGCATGCCTGTAATCCCAGCTCCTCGGGAGACTGAGGCAGGAGAATCGCTTGAACTGGAGAGGCAGAGGCTGTGGTGAGCTGAGATCGTGCCATTGCACTCCAGCTTGGGCAACAAGAGCAAGACTATGTCTAAAAAAAAAAAAAAATTATGTTTTCTGGGATTGCAGGCACGGTGGCATATGCCTGTAATCCCAGCTCCTTGGGAGGCTGAGGCAGGATAATTGTTTGTTGAACTTGGGAGGCAGAGGTTGTGGTGAGTTGAGATCGTCCACTGTACTCCAGCCTGGGTGACAGAGCGAGACTCCGTCTCAAGAAAAAAAACAAAATTATAAAGGTCTTAATGTCTTAAAAGTATGAAGAGAAATTTTTATAGAAACGTCTAAAGGGGAACTGATAAAAATAATGTTCACTTTGGGGGAAGACTTGCCATATGTATGGTCATATACCACAATCCTATGATTAGGGTAGTTAGAAATAGAAACGAAAAAAAAAAAAACAACATAGAGTTTGTAATCCTAGGTATGTCAGAAACAGCTGCAACCTTTTAAAAAACTGCTTGGATCTGAAAAGAATTGATTGTTGCTTTTTTGTATTTTTCCTAACGTTCTACTACTATATTTTCTTAATAAAATACATATTTTTGTTAGATTTTTAATATTCTGACTTTTAAATACTTGTAATGAAATTTTATTAGTATTCTTGGCTGACTTATTTTGGCTCTTGTCTCCTCCATTTGCAACCAAATTATACTTTATATGCTAGACAAGGTTTATGCCAGCCTAATTGGTTGCTGGCATTTCTTAGCCTCACAGCTGCTGTGAACTCAGCTGTGAACTAGAAAACATATAATAGGATCCTGTTTTCAGAGACCAAAAGGCAATTGTCAACATGTAAAACTTGTTTTTGACAGCTCAATGAATATATGAGCTTTTATGACAAATAGCACTAATACCAGATCTTAAGTAACTATCTTAAAGATTAGAAAGTCTTGAAATATGAATTCCATGTATTTATTTTTCTTCACTGAAGCAAAGATGGCTTAAATTTGCATGTATGTGCTGTTCAGTCATTTGTGGCTTTTTTCTTTTTAAAAATCATGTATCTTGATATTTACCAACAGATATTAAAAGTTGAGATGTGAACTGTTTTCCCTTTAATTTCGTCCTAACAAAAAGTTGAGCCTTAAGTGGGGTAAAAATGTTTCTGAAAATGAGCTAAACATGAAATGGCTTTGATTAAAGATTATATTTCAAAATATTTATTATATTTATATTTGATTTAGCAGATTTTATTTATATAAATTTTTGACATCTAAGTTTGGGGTGAACATTATTTTTATGTTAAGTTGGACCATATGAAATTGTCATTTTTTTAGGTCAAATGGTTGAATGTAGACTAAATGGGAAAAAATGGCAGTGTATCAACACGAACTCCCTAACCAAATTCAGAAATGTAACTAACCACTGTGAATTACCTTTGTATAAGTAAAATATCATCATGTGTGATCAATACAATGAGATTAACAAATCAGATTTATATATAGTAAAATCTTTTCTTCCAGTATAATTGCTTTTTGCCCATTCCCACTGTTCTCTTCAACATTTTCTTAAATGTTTAGGGACTCTCAGCAGTAAGCAAAACAGGCTAAACAAGTATATGAGAGGCTGTAGAAATACATTGAGGACAAGCAAACTGTGTTAGTAAATGGCTCATACTGAATATGATAAAAGCATCATCCTATACCTACATTTTGTATCACTTTGATACTTCGCATGATTTTTTATGTCTACTGTGATTCTAACAGTCTATCGATTATATTTGGAATGTAGCTCCAAACTTTTCTTGCACAATCTTTTATTTAAAATGCGAATTGAGTTTTGTCACATACAAATATAAATCTTTCCTTACATAAATATTTGCCAGAACAATCTTGCATTGTGAGAAAAGCACATTTTAGGAGGTTTTGGTATTAAAAACCAAGAGGTGTTCTATTGGGAAAATAATGATTGGGGAGCTATTCTGCAGGGTTTGCCTGTACTTTCCAAAACTGTTTGTGAGGCTGAGGCGGCAGTCGCTGTGGCTGGAATAGGATGCTGGGAGGTGTTGAGGGAGGAACAGTGGCTTGTACTGGGAGGGTGTCAGGAAGGAACGGGAGGAAGATGGCGACATCAGGGGCAGGGCAAATGAGCCTTGTTCGGCCACAGCCTTGGCTTTCAATCTGTGCAAGTTTAGTGAGATCACGCTGCAGAAGCAGTGTCAGGCTGAGGACACAGTGGCCCTCGAGGAAATGATAATGGACATCAGCTCCACCCAGTTACACACCCAAAAACTGCAACTGCCATACACAAGGAGCTCCCGTTATGGTGGTTCTCTGCCAACACCCTACCACACTGACAGCTCTCCCTATAGTCCTGCCTACTTATCTCCTCCCCAAGTGTCCAGCTGGTGAAGGACTATCTCCTGGGACAATTTCCCTGCAGAGAAGGGGTACCTGTTTTGCCCAGCATCTGCATTTAACAGGACAAGCTCTGACTCTGCCCTTCACACAAGTATGATGAACCCCAGTCCCCAGGATACTTATTCAGGCCCCACACCTCCCAGCATCCTGCCCAGCCAACATTTCAGGTTGGTAAAATGGACTCCAAAGTACCTGCTATTGAGGAGAAGTTCTCCTAGGTGACAAGCATTTGCTGAAGCCATGGGATACTTAGAAGCTGTCGTCACCCTCCTCCTGACCCCGGTCCTAATGAAGTCCCTGGAATTAATATCTTTCCATTTCCTGGCCAGCTTGCCAATGTTCCTGTCCTCCCACCTGCCATGAAGACTGGATGTGGCAGGAGGTCCCTACCTGACCTCATCAATTTGTACTTTCTGCCAGCACTGCCCACCCCCCGGACCCTGAGGAGACAGCCTACTCTAGCCTGAATAGGGGCAACAGTACCTCCAATTTGACTCACATCATGACTCACCTGGGCATTAGTGAGGGCCTGAGCCTGGACTTGGGTCCAGGTCATGATGCCCCAGGACTTTGTTCACCTCTCAGCCACCCATCCCTGCAGTCCTCCCTAAGCAATCCCGATCTCCAGACTTCCCTGAGCAGTCCTCAGCTCCATCTTCAGGGCATCCACAGTCTCCCCTCACTATCTCCCTCTTCCTTGGCCCACCATGCCCTGCCTACTACCTTCCTGGGCCAGCCCTCACTAAGTACCCTGCCCCCCACTTCTCCTCCTCCTCCCCCTCTTCCTCCCCCTCTTCCTCTTCCTTCTCCTACTCCTCCTCTCGTCCTCCACTTTATTCTTCATCTGCCCCTACCTTACTCAACCTCTACTCCTGGGGCCTCCCCACCACCACTGCCTTGTACCCCTCAGCCCCCTAAGTTTGCTCACAGGTCCAGCCGATGCCAGAAGGTCGCAACAGCAGCTACCCAAACAGTTTTTGCCAGTGTCACCCACCCTGTCTTCCATCGTTCAGGGTGTCCCCCTGGAGACCAGTAATCTGCACACCCAGCCACACACCCCAAAGTCTCTACAGCAGCCAGAGCTGCCCTCTCAGGCCTGCTCAGCGCAGCCCTCAGGTGGGTAGCCCCTGAGCAGGCAATTGGATTATGGAATACTCCCCGCCTCGGCCCACTGGGCTTGGGCAAGTCTTCACTGGCCGATGAGTGACTTCAGCCTGGGGAACTGGAGCAGTTCAGCATGGAGAGCCCATAAATCAGCCTGGTGATGGGTCCCCCTGGCTTTTCTGAAGGGCCTGGATTTTTAGAAGGTGAGGGACCAGTGGCTGGCCCTCAGGATTCCCACACCCTCAACCACCAGAACTTGACCCACCACTGCTCCTGCTGTGGCTCAAGGCTGAACATCATCCTCATAGGAGACTCCTTCCCAGGTTTCTCTAAGGAGATTGCAGCAACCCTGGCTGGAGTGCCTGGCTTTGAGGTGTCAGTAGCAGGGTTGGAGTTGGGGCTAGGGCTAGAAGATGAGCTGCGCATGGAGCTATTGGGCCTGGAAGGGCTATACATGCTGAGAGACCCAGTGCCCTGCTACCCGATCCTGCTCTGGAGTATTCATCACCATCCCTCTTCTTGGCCCTGTCCCCCATTACTGTCCATTTCCTCCCTTACCCCAGCTAGTAGAGACGCCACTCTGTCCCTCAGATCCTCTTTGTAGCATGAACGAAGGAGCCCAAAAATGAGAAAAAGCAAGGAGTTTGTTCAGGTGGCCCTTGAATTCTGTACAGGGGTGGGCCTGGAGGAGCTCAAGGGAGGGTCACAAGCACTTGTAACTTTGAACCAACTGCCTGGAGGTCAGAACCTGTTGGAAAGTTGGGGATATAAACGGGAACCTGGGAGGCAGGGCTTGTCCGGATTCCTAGAGATGGGCATTGCCAGCTCCTCCTCACCACCTTTTCACCTCTCAATGGAGGACAGTGCCACAGTGGGTATTATTTTTAATTAAATATTTTAATAAAAAATTGAGAAAACTCCTTGCAGGTGTTTTTTGTTTCACTTTACCCCTAACAGATGACATTTTCTGTACTAATTTATGTTTACAACTAGATTGAAACAAAATGGAAGACTTTTAAATATGTCTCTGGATTTTAAGTTTTAAAAAGCCATAGAGTTTTTGAAACTATAAGTTATCTTTTATATGGTAGTATTGATTTTATATAACAATGTAAACTTAGAATTTTCAAATCTGACCTCATTTTCTATGAATATGACTTAGGACTTAAAGATGGATTGAGGCTTCTGGTTCAAAATAGTATAATAAAGTTCATGTATTGGCATCCTTCTGTCCCAAACACATAAGAGGAAACCAAAAAGGCATAGCTGAGCTCAAAAACAAGATCATGGATTAGTAATGGAACAGGAATTCTAAGAGATGGATGAGGCTGAAGCAGGCATGGATGTCAAAAGTTTGATTCCTATAGGATGATGCGGGAGAAAGAGACTTTAAAGGAGAATCAGAGTCAGGTCCACTGTTTGAAGACAAGGACTTCTGCGGCTCCTCTTAAAAATGCTGGTTTTTAAATGCCGCTGATTTGCTCCTGGAGCTAGATTTATAAGAAATTTTCCATCAAGGAAGGCAGCCCAGTACAGTTATGGTAGAAATACAGGGGTATTCAGCCACTGTGCACTGGGAAAAGTCATACCAATTATTGTGACTCTGTCTGTTCTGATTGGTCAGTTATCTCACCTTTAGAAATCATTAACAGGATACCTAGAAAACCCCCATGTCTGGAATTTGAGAAACATTTCTAAATAACTCATGAGACAAAGCATCATGAAAATTAGAAAAATAGGTGGAACTGAACAATAACAAAAAAACTACATGTAAAAACTTGTAAGATGCTGCTAAAACAGTTCTGGGAAAGAAATGTGTAGCTTTAGCGGCTTATAAAGAAAATAGAATAAGGATGGTGAATGACTTAAGCATTCATCTTAAGAATTTAAGGGGAAAAAACAGTAAAATATGCCCAAAGTAAGTTGAAAGAAAGAAGTAATAATAGCAGAAATTAAGTACATAATAACACCTAATAAAAAAGACTCAACGAAGTCAGGTTTATTCTTGGAAAAGACAAATGAACAAATCCCAGGTGAGATTAAGAGAAAAAAGTTTACCAAAATACTAGGAATGAAAATGTGGACATCATATCAGATGCCAGAGGCATTAAACAGATATGAACTTGATGCCAAAAATGTGGAAACTTTATCTAAAACTCCTAGAAAAATATAATTATGAAAACAATAAAAACTAATACTATAATTATTAAGGAAATTGGATCTTCTTATAATAACGCAAAGCAAGATGGTTTAACAAGTGCCTACCAAATACTCAAGAGTTGAATAATCTAATTTCACACCAACTATTCTAGAGTACGGAAAGGGAAAACTCTGCCATAGAAAATCATTTTATGAGATTAGTATAACCAGCCGGGCACGGTGGCTCATGGCTGCAATCCCAGCACATTGGGAGGCCAAGGTGGGCGGATCACCTGAGGTCAGGAGTTCCAGACCAGCCTGGCCAGCGTGGTGAAACCCCCTCTCTACTAAAAATACAAAAATTAGCAAGGTGTGGTGGCGCGTGCATGTAATCCCAGCTATTCAGGAGGCTGAGGCAGGAGAATCACTTGAACCTGGGAGGCAGAGGTTGCAGTGAGCCGAGATCACACCATCGCACTCCAGCCTGGGCAACAGAACAAGACTGTCTCAAAAAAAAAAATAAAGATTAGTATAACCATGATACCAAAATCTAATAAGATTGTTATGAGAGGCTGGGAGCAGTGGCTCACACCTGTAATCCCAGCACTTTGGGAGGCTGATGCAGGGGAATTGCTTGAGACCAGAAGTTAAAGACCAGCGTGGTCAACATAGCGAAACCCTGTCTCTACAAAAAATTTGCCAGGCATAGTAGTGCATGCCTGTAATCCTTGCTACTCGGCAGGCTGAAGCAGGAGGATCACATGAGGCTGTAGTGAGCCATGATCACACCACCGTACTTCAGCCTGGGCACAGAGAGAGACCCCCGAACTCTTAAAAAAAAAAAAAAAGTAGCTTTGAGAAAGGAAAATTGCTGGCCAGTATCAGTCTTAATTAATGATATAAAAATCCAGAACAAAACAGACAATGCAATTCCAGTCAGAATCCCAATAGGTAGTGTTTTGTGATTATTGGTTTATATGATTTTTGGAACTTCACAAGCTGATTCTAAAGTTTATACAGACATGCAAAAGGCCAAGAAGATCAAAGAGACTCTTAAAGAACAATAAGACAGGAGGGCTTATTCTATATGGCAAGACTTAATAATAAGCAAAGCTATAATACTAAATGTAATTTTAGTTCAGGGATAAATAAACTCATGCATGTATGCTTGAACTATGACACAGGTAGTATTGCTGATAAGTAGAGGGGAAAGGGAATTTTCAGGAAATGGTCCTGGAAAGGAAATTGTGTTATCATATAAAAATAACAAAATGCCAACGGATTAAGGTCCCAAATATGAAAGGTTTTGTAAAATTTTATTTATTCGAGTCGGAGTCTTGCTGTGTCACCCAGACTCGAGTGCAGAGGCACAATCTTGGCTCACTTCAACCTCTGCCTCCCGGGCTCAAGCAATTCTCCTGTCTCAGCCTCCCAAGTATCTGGGATTACAGACACCCACCACCACACCTGGATAATTTTTTGTATTTTTAGTAGAGTTAGAGTTCCACCATGTTGGCCAGGGTGGTCTCAAACTCCTAATCTCAAGTGATCTGCCCACCTCAGCCTCCCACAGTGCTGGGATTACAGGCCTGAGCCACCACATCTGGCTTATAAAACTTTAAAAGAAAATGTAAGAGACTGTTTTAGGGATCTCAATCTTAGGAAAAATTTCATAGCATACCAAAAAACAACAAAAAAAATCCATAATGGAAAAACATACATTTGACTACATTAGAATTAAGAATTTAAATGCATCAAAAGCACCATAAAGAACATGAAAAGATAAGCCACAACTTTGTAGAAAATATTTGCTATACATACAACAAAAGATTAATATCAAGAATATATATAGAATTCCTATAGAGAAATAGCCCAAACAAAGAGGCCCCAACACTCAAGTCAGTACTCAAAAGGCCTGAATGGCTAACAAGCACAAAAACAGGCAAAACCTCATTAAATCAGAGAAATTAGAACCATAATATGATACATTAAATCTGACTAATATTGTTTTCATGAATGTGGAGTAATTGCTAGGGGGATTACAAATCATTATAGATACTGTGTGTTAGGCCCATCTTTCATTGCTATAAATACTTGAGACTGGGTAATTTATAAAGAAAAGAGGTTTAATTGGCTTGCAGGTCTGCAGGCTTTGCAGGAAGCATGATGCTGGCATCTGCTCAGCTTCTGGGAAGGTCTCATGAAGGCTAAGGGGGAGCAGGAGCAAGAGAGAGGGAGATGCCACACACTTTTAAACAGCCAGAGAACAGAACTCACTGTCATGAGGACAGCACTCATCACCAAGGGGATGGTGCACTCATCACCAAGGGGATGGTGCTAAACCATTCATGAGAAATCCACCCCAGTGATCTAGTCACCTCCACCATCCAATCACCTCCACTGGGCCCCACCTCCAATATAGGGATTACAATTCCACGTGAGATTTAGGCAGGGATGAATATACAAACTATCACACAGCCACTATCGATAGGAAGCATCATGGCACCGAAGAGAAAAGTTTTATATATGTGGACTCAATTATTCTGTATTTCTTCTCTTATTATGTATCTTAGAGAAATTATTGCACATTTGTACCAGTACACATATGTAAGAATGTCCATAGCATCATTGTTCCTAATAGCAGAAACATAAAAACAACTCAAATGTCTGATAGTAGAATAGATAAAATGTATATTTGTGCAATGAAATACTATATTGTAGTGAAAATGAGTTATATACATTTTATATATACAACATAAATGAATTGCAAAAAATAGTATTGAGCAAAAAAAAAAAACACACAGGTCTTAAAATAGTGTTAATCCATGCATATGCAATTTAAAGAGAAGTAAACTGTTTAGATTTCTGTGTGTGTGTGTTACATTTAAAGGTGATAAAACTATAAAGAAAAGCCAAAATATGATTATCTCAAATATCTGGGTAGTTACTTTTAGTACTTTTTTTTTTTTTTTTTTGAGACAGAATTTTGCTCTTATTGTCCAGGCTGGAGTGCAATGGCGCGATCTTGGCTCACTGCAACCTCTGCCTCCCGGGTTCAAGCAATTCTGCATCAGCCTCCTGAGTAGCTGGGATTACAGGCACGCACCACCATGCCCAGCTAATTTTTTGTGTTTTTAGTAGAGAGGGGGTTTCACCATGTTGGCCAGGCTGGTCTCAAACTCCTGATCTCTGGTGATCCACCCACCTCAGCCTCCCAAAGTGCTGGGATTGCAGGCGTGAGCCACTGCACCTGGCAGTTGTTATCTTTGGGAGGGGAATGTATGGGGTTTCAAAAGTGTTTTTTAACCTAGCTGGTGGTAGTTACACAGGCATTTGCTCTATTATTATTTTTCTTTAATGTGGAAGTATATGTGATATAATTCACAGTAAAGTAAATGGTGAATCAGAGAGAGTCAAAGGGCAATGAGTTAGTGAAGATGGAATACAGGAGTTTTCTCAGGTGGATCAGAGAAATGGGATGGTATTGGAAGGCCACATGGAAAGATTGTTGCATTTTCTAGGGAAAGATATTTCTAGTCCTGATTAGTCTTATTAACGTCTATGCATGATCCCTATTAACAACTGAGACTTGAGCATCTCATTGTTCTCCCCCTAGTGGCATCATTCTCCCAGTCATCCAGGCTTGAAACCTTCTTGTTATGCCTGTATGTTGTCACCATATCATGATTTTTTCCTTTGAAAAATTTTTCATGTATCTTATTATTGTTTCTCTTATTACTTAACACCTTTGTTAACAGGTGTTTACTACTTAACTTTCTAAATAAATCATTGGATGTCTTTGTTAAAGAAAAAAATTAAAATTTAAAAAGAAAAATTATAAATTTGTATTATAATTTAAAAAGAGGTATTTGAGTAGCTCAATGAAAAGCCATATATACGACAATTAAAAAATATTTAAAGTCATATTGGGTAAAGTTGGTTTTTAAAAAGAAAATAACATTTTTTAGAGACATCTTTTGGTGCAAATAAAAGCCCCATGCTGCATTGGTATTGTAGGTAGTGTAGATGGTTCTAGTTATCTGATTAATTGGCAAAAAGCAAATGCTTAAGACTTTGTCTATTCATTTCTTATTGCTGGAATTTCGTATTCACTTCTTGTTGGATGAGTAAACTGGATTATGGTAGAGATAAGGCAACATAATTCTCAGTCCTGCCCTGCTCAACCTCTAGAGTTTAGTCTTAGATCAGATGCTTTTGACTCTGCAAACTTGTGATTTAAGGCTTTCTGGATGTGTACACTGGTGGTTGAGGTCATAGAGGTTCCAATATTGAGGAGACTGCTGATACTGGATGTTGTCTCCTTGATTTTTTTTTTTTTGGAGACAGGATCTCACTCTTGCCCAAGCTGGAGTGCCGTGGCACAATCACAGCTCACTGCAGCCTTGACCTCCTAGGCTCAAGCAATCCTCCTACCTCAGCCTCCCAAGTTGCTGGGCCTGTAGGTGGACACCACCATGCCCTGTTGATTTTTAAATTTTTTTTATAGAGTTGAGGTCTCGGTATGTTGCCAACCTAGTCTCAAACTCCTGGGCTCAAGCCATCCTCCTGCTTCTGCCTCCCAAAGTGCTGGGATCACAGGTGTGAGCCACTGTGCCCAGCCTCCTTGATTTGCTTTATCCTCTCATTGCCAATCTCTCTAGCCTGTCTTTGGAGATTAAAGTTTCTGTGAATTTGCGACCTGTAGTCCTGGTACGAATTTTGCTCCACCGGCCCACCTTTTTTTCGCACACCTAGTTATGGTACATTAAGTCACTCCTTGCCTAGAAGGGTGGGAATACCATGGTAGATGCCCAACAATAAGAATGGTTGTGTTGGTCTTGCCTTTTGGAATATCCACATATTTTTCCCCATTCTCATTACTGTGGTAATTCTACTGGTAATTGCATGGAGATCCACCTTGGTAACTCATTTCTTTTTTCTTTTTTTTCCAACTAGATTTGATAGCTAGGTGTCTCATTTCTTTAACCTCAACCACGGCCTCTTCATTTCCTGCTGAGGGTTATTCTTCACAGTAGTCTGATTAAAATGCATCTTCCTTAGGCTGAAATATTTCCTTCCTTTCTGCTGATAAAACCATATCAGTGTTTTATTAAACTCTTTTACTTTCTCCAAAACCTTTGTTGCTATAATCTTCTTGTCCCCACTAGTGGGTATTAGTATATTGTGGGGCTGCCACGGGCAGTTGGGGAAAGGATGGCTGCCAGGTCTTAGCCTCACTACTCATGTTGTAGAGATGGTGATTGATGCGGGGCTTGATGCAGCAGCGGTAGGCTCCTCCCAGATTGTGATGGTGACTGGGCTGCTTATGGCTCTCTGGGGTCCACTCTTCATTCCCACTACCAGTTAAACTCATCCTCTTTCTCATATGCTGTGGCAGCCATGCAGGTGCACTGCTTAGATGTCTCTCTAAGAAAGAATTTCAGTTTCAGGGAGTGCAGTTAGCTGACAACCTCCAGTTGTTAGTACCTTCAGGGCCTTTAGGTTTGGGGTTGAGAACTTGAATTTCCTGGGAAATCCACAGCCAGTGATAGAGCATGGCATGGGTAATAGGACATATCCATTTTGGCTCAGTGCAGGACTCCTCTAATGGGCAGTCTTGCTCTGAAGCACCCTACTGGGTTGACCAAGACTTTGTTAGATCTGCATCAAGGTCTGAGGCTTTCTCTGCTCAGTCCTGCTTCACAGCCACTTCCTTCATAGGTTTCAAATCTGCATCATGGTCTGAAAGTTTTCATTATTTTTTATTTTAATCTTAATTTTTTTTTTTTTTTGAAGTGGAGTCTCGCTCTTGCCCAGGCTGGAGTGCAGTGGAGCGATCTTGGTTCACTGCAACCTCCACCTCCTGGGTTTAAGTGATTCTCCTGCATCAGCCTCCTGAGTAGCTGGGATTACAGGCGCCCACCACCACACCCAGATAATTTTGTATTTTTAGTAGAGACTGTGTTTCACCATGTTGGCCAGGCTGGTCTTGAACCCCTGACCTCAAGTGATCTGCCCGCCTCAGCCTCCCAAAGTGCTGGGATTACAGGCGTGAGCCACCGCACCCAGCCTGGTCTGAAAGTTTTCTGTGCTCAGTCCTCTTTCCTCCCCCTTTTATCTTTAGCAGTAAACCTCTTGTACTCCCAACTCTCTCATCTGCTTCTCAGAGGACTCCAAATGACACATATCACTTCCACTGGTTATTTACCTAATTTGTCTCTGAAATTGAAGTAAGGATTATTTAATTTCCCTTTTTTAACTCCCTTTTGACTCCTCCCAGTATTTTTTTAGGTCATCAATTTCACCCACCCCCAGCACCTGCATCTCCTCTAATGCCCATCTGTATTAGTAAAAGGCACCACTATTTACTCAGTTGCTTTTACATCTTTCACATTTAAGTTTGTGACCCATCTTTTGGGGAAGTGGGGGGAATGGAGGTGGTATTGTGTGAGATAGGAATCAGACAATTAAAAAGGAGTGACTTTAGTAAGGCATGAATGAGGTCACAGGTAATGCGGGTCAGATCATGTAGGGCTTTGTTGTAAGTCATTAATAGGTCATTGAAAGGACTTTAGCTTCTACTCTGTGTGAGATGGGGGAGTCATTGGAAGGTTTTGAGCAAAGGAGTAATATCTGACTCACTTTTTACCAGGAACATTTTGGCTGCTCTGGAGAACAGACAGAGGGCAGATAAGTTGGAAGCAGGAAGACTAGTTGGGAGAGTATCACAGTAATCTAAGTACAAGGCATTGGTAGCTTGCACCAAGATGATAGCAGTGAAGTTGTTAAGAATTGGCTCATTATCTGGGGGCAAGACTCAAGCAATGTCATTTTATTTTGTGAAAGCTCCCTAGGAGTTTCTGGTACACATGAGGGTTGAGAATTTGTGTTACCGTTTATACATTTTTATAGGAATGCCTGGACTTAAGACATATAGACATCTTCATCAGCTTAATTGAAGTGAGTAGAGAAGCATAGTGATTAATAGCAAGTACTTTTACATCTGACCAAGGTTTAGACCCATGCTGCTTATTCACTGTGTAACTTTGAGCTTTATTTTTCTCATCTATAAATGCAGTTACCGGCTGGGCGCAGTGGCTCACGCCTGTAATCCCAGCACTTTGGGAGGCTGAGGCGGGCAGATCATGAAGTCAAGAGATGGAGACCATCCTGGCCAACATGGTGAAACCCTGTCTCTACTAAAAATACAAAAAATTAGCTGGGCGTGGTGGTGCGCACCTGTAGTCTAGCTACTCAGGAGGCTGAGGCAGGAAAATCGCTTGAACCTGGGAGGTGGAGGTTGCAGTGAGCCGAGCGAGATCGCACCACTGCAGTCCAACCTGGTGACAGAGCGCGACTCCATCTCAAAAAAAAAAAAAAATGCAGATACCTACTTTGTAGGTATATTTGTTATGATTAAATGAACCAATGTGAATTAAATGAGCTAGTATCTGACATATTCATACTTAAAAAGTAGTAGCTTAAAGAAATCTGACACATGAGATGATAAAAGTGTTAGGATTGATAATGCTCAGTGTTGTTGAGGGTGTGGAGGAATAGGTCCCACTGTTGGTGAGAATGTATACAAAGGGCGGTTCAGGAATATCTATCAAAATTTCAATTTTCTTGACCCACTAATTCTCCTTCTAGAAATTTTATTTGTGGAAGCATTCACACCTATGTTCAGATATTCAGTGCAGCATCTTTTAATGGCAAACAGTTGGAAATAATACTCCTAATAAAGGAATAAATTGTGATATATTCATTTATGGAATGCTTTGTGGTTATGAAAAATAATAGGTAGGTCTATACATATTGTCATGGAAAGATCACTAGTATGTATTTTAGTTTTTTCTTTAAAAAGCAACACCAGTATATCATTTGAGAGTACTTAACATCCTCACTATTTGAAATCTATAAGATTATGTTCATTTATTACTTATATGGATTTTTATATGAGCTCATATAAAAGGTAGGCCACAAGGCCGGGCGTGGTGGCTCACGCCTGTAGTCCCAGCACTTATGGAGGCCAAGGTGGGCAGATCGCCTGAGGCCAGGAGTTTGAGATCAGCCTGGCCAACATGGAGAAACCCTGTCCTCTACTAAAAATACAAAATTTAGCCAGGGCCAGGCGTGGTGGCTCATGCCTGTAATCCCAGCACTTTGGGAGGCCGAGGAGGGCAGACCACTTGAGGTCAGGAGTTCGAGACTAGCCTGGCCAACATGGTGAAACCCCGTCTCTACTAAAAATACAAAAATTAGCCCATTGTGGTGGCACGTGCCTGTAATCCCAGCTACTTGGGAGGCTGAGGCAGGAGAATTGCTTGAACCCCAGACACGGAGGTTGTGGTGAGCTGAGATTGCTCCACTGCACTCCAGCATGGGTGACAGAGCAAGACTCTGTCTCAAAAAAAAAAAGAGCTGGGCATGGTGGTGCATGCCTGTAATCCCAGCTGCTACTTGGGAGGCTGAGGCATGAGAATCGCTTGAGACTCTGTCTCAAAAAAAAAAAAAGAAAAGAAAAAATAGAAGGTAGGTCGGGCACAGTGGCTCACACCTGTAATCCCAGCATTTCAGCAGGCCAAGGCAGGTGGATTCCCTGAGCCCAGGAGTTTGAGACCAGCCTTGGCAACATAGTGAGACTCTGTCTCTGTTGAAAATAAAATAAAAGGCAGTGATAGTAATTTCATAAACAATAATACTTATTAAATTATTATAGTGCCCATGTTTTAACAGTATTGAATGCCTCATTATAATAACATTGTTTTCTGTACTATATATCTGTTTTTAGACATTTAAGGAGCTATAAATTATCTTAAGATAAATTATAGATGCCCCCAAGGATTTCTATTAGGAAATATTGAAGATGCAGTATATTGCATAGTTTCTGTCTCTACTTGAGTAACAACCAGATGGATCGGTAAGATGAAAACAGATGAAATAAATTTTTTAAAAAGTATTTTATATATGTATATATTCTGTTGGTGTGCTTCTAGGAATTTGTCCTAGGCAAATAATCCAACAAGTACATAATGACAAATATACAATAGTATTCATTGCAGTGTTTATAATAATAATAATAAATGGCACATAACCTAAGTGACCATCAATAGGTATTAAATAATTTATGATAAACATAATGAAATATTATGTAATAATTAAAAATAATTATTTAGCTCTGTAGTTATTATCAGATAAAACCTACAGTCTACTAAGAAGGGAAAATAAGTTTACTACATTATATATAATATCTTCTCTCTACAGATTGTAAGACTGGAGTAGTTAGGGAAAGTAAGGAATAGAATAGATTTGGATAGACAACATATAGAAGAGGACATTTTAAATGAGCATTTCCCAACCTTTTTGGAATCACATTTCTTAATTTTAAAATTTTATCAATTTGCATCGTATATGGTAAAAAGTGGTTTTTAAGTAAAAAGTATTTTATATCAGTATAATATTTAAAACTGCTTTCTGAACCAGGCACAGTAGCTCATGCCGGTAATCCCATCACTTTGGGAGCCCGAGGTGGGTGGATCACTCGAGGCCAGGATTTCGATACCAGCCTGCGCGATATGGTGAAACCCCGTCCCTACTAAAAATACTAAAATTAGCTGGGTGTGGTGATGCATGGCTGTAATCTCAGCTACTTAGGAGGCTGAGGCACAAGAATCACTTGAACCCAGGAGGCAGAGGTTGCAGTGAGCCAAGATCGCATCACTGCTCTATAGCTTAGGTAACAGAGCGAGACTGTCTCAGGAAAAAAAATTTTGCTTTATACATTTTTGTTCTTTGTTCTACAGAATCATTTTTGGCTCATAGTAAGGACACTTTCTAATGATTAGAACTGTTTAACAGTTTAAGATTTCAGGCATTGTATGTCACTGTGTGACCATTTATCATATATGCTGAAAATAAACTTTAGGTCTTACCTGATTTACTGATTTACTGGACTTGACAAGTAGCAAATTGATTTATGGCCCCGTGGACAAAGTTCATTCCCTGTTCCTGAGGGTCTGTGGAAATCTCTTGTAAGGAAAAGTAGTGTCATTTTTTTTTTAATTTCCAAGTTATAAAATTGTATTTCACAGTGTTTAGGAATGCCATAATTTGTGGCATTTTTAAGGTGTATACTTTATTCCCACATAGGCCGAATACATCAAGCAATGGTAACATCTTTAAATGAAGATAATGAAAGTGTAACTGTTGAATGGATAGAAAATGGAGATACAAAAGGCAAAGAGGTAAGATCACTGAGTTTAATTTTATTCCTAGTCCTGCAATCAAGATTCTGAATATAAAACAAAACAGAAAAGTACATAATGTTATTTTATTTAGTGCATATATTTTTATTATTCCTTGAAAACTTTCAAATGATTAAAAATTTTCACTTAAAGGTAGATTCCTCCTGTATCTCTTATGTGATTGCACATATCAGTCTTAATTATTTGATAAAATATACTATTCTTTAAGTCTAGCTCACACAGTTTGAAAATGTGCTATAATATTTAATTATGTGGTTCTATTGGTCACTGTGTTGTTAGCAATTCATAGAGTCAAGACTATAAAATGATATTTTAAGAGAGATTCTTTAAATTTGTGGATTATAATTCTAAATCTCATTTGTAAGGCTAAGGCACTGTATTCTTTTTTTTTTGTTTTTGAGACAGGGTCTCACTTTGTCACCCAGGCTGGAGTGCAGTGTCATGATCATGGCTTACTGCAGCCTTGACCTCCTGGGCTCAAGTGACCCTCCCACCTGTCTCCAGAGTAGCTGGGACTACAGGTGTGCACCACCACACCTGGCTAATTTTTGTATTTTTTGTAGAGATGGGGTTTCACCATGTTGCCCAGGCTGGTCTCAGACTCCTGGGCTCAAATGATCCGCCCACCTTGACCTCCCAAAGTGCTAAGATTACAGGCATGAGCCACTGCACCCAGCCGAGTTACTGTATTCATTAGGCTAAAGTAATTTAAGAGTTATTTACTTCATCAATTTACTTGAAAAGTAAAAGGTTAATTGTCAAAATATACTCTCAAAAGACTATGTGTATGTGTTGTGAACAGATTGACCTGGAGAGCATCTTTTCACTTAACCCTGACCTTGTTCCTGATGAAGAAATTGAACCCAGTCCAGAAACACCTCCACCTCCAGCATCCTCAGCCAAAGTAAACAAAATTGTAAAGGTTAGTGATGAAAATTCAGAGTGCAGGACACTGGGAGAGAGCGGGAGTTGTAGATGTGTGTGTGTTCTAGTTTGAAATTGGTAGGCTTTGAAGAGTTTAAGAATTGATTAATTTGCTTTTTCTGCCATCATATTCATATATATACATACATATTTTCAAGGATTGAGGTTGTCTAATTCACAATTATGACCATCGTTGGATAAGGTCTTAGAAATTTCTCACCTAATTAGTATTTTTCCTGAGACTAAGTTTCTCAGGAGATATAGATCAAAACCATTTGCTTGGTGTTTGTTGAATGAAGACATATGACTTTGACAAAGGCATAATAGCTGTTTCTTAGGAATAATAACTACCAACTCTGATAGTCTTTTGAAAGTATAATTCTGCTATTTGTTTCTTAAAGAAAGATGGGAAATGATAGTGTAGTTCACTTCTATATTGACTGTCATGATATACCTTAAAACTGTGCTAAATCCTCCCTAGCAGTTTTATCTTTATAAAAATTAAAAGCACATTATTCTTCTGGCTTTTAAAGATAATTCTCCTTCCTTTCTCTCAAGACCTTTCAGTATTAAATTTTTGTTTCAAAATACAACTCTTTTTAAAACAGGTAGTATTGCAAAGTTGTTGAATCTGCGGTTCTTTGTGTTCATCTCAACAAGCATTTGTGGTTTTGTTGTTGTTGTTTTGCTTTTTTACATTGTGCCAAATACTATGCTGGACAAAATACAAAGATGAATGATGACATGGCTTTCAGCCTGTAGGAACTTGATATCTTTCAGGGAGGACATAGATAAGCATTTAAATATAGTATAATAGAAGCAACAAAACTTTGTTTCATAAACTATGCAGTTGAACCTGAGGCATATTTTCAACTCATGAGTTTAATCATATTGAGAGTCACCACTTAGAGGTTATTAGTTACCACTTATACATGGATTATTTTTTATATTCATCTTCAAAATGAGGGATCTTCATTGGAGGATTTTTGTAGTTTATTCTTCCTGGTATATCATTAGCAACCTTTACTGTACATTAGAATTACCTGGAATAGATTAAATCAGTATATTTTAAAAATAAATATTTATTTTAAAAATAAGGATTTATTTTAATTATAAATAAGTATTTTTAAAAGTATTAAAAATATTTTTAAAGTATTAAAATAAATCAGTATTTTTAAAAATACTGATTTATGGGCCCCACTCCCAGAGATTCAGTTTTATTTTACCTAAAGGGAGACCCTGGCATCAGTTTCCTTTTAATAGTACTCATCTGATTTGAATGTGCATCCAAGGTTAAGACAGCTACATTATTTGATATCTTTTTTTGAGGTGAATAAAAGGAAGTCTTCATGAATGAATTAGAGGACCAAAAGTTTGCTGCCTTAATCTGTACAGTGTCCAAGTCTTAGAAACTCTTATGAAACCTTTTTAGGATAACTGACAATGTACATTTTATAGTATTCTGATATTTCAGTTTAACAAGGGGTTCTAAGCTGTCTAGAACTAATATTTTATAAATTACCCCCTATTATTCAGAAATGATGATTAAAACACATATTATTGTGAAGCTACTTAACCTCTCTTTGTTTCAGTTTCCTCATCGATGAGATGGGAATAGCAGTAGTAATGACCTCATAGGTTGTTGTGAAGAAAGTCCTTAGATCAGTGCCTGGCTCATATTAATTCCTGAATATTTTTGGAGGGTAGGGGAAAATATATAAAGGAACTTGAATATTGATAGCATTAATAGTAATTCATTAAGATTATAGTTTTTCTTCATTTTGTTTTATATTCTTACATGTCTGCCTACTTTTGTTTAATTGAAAGAAGCTCAGATCATGATACATATGAGGGAGTAAAGATAGAAAACATAATGAACATTTTTTCCTTTCATAGAATCGACGGACTGTAGCTTCTATTAAGAATGACCCTCCTTCAAGAGATAATAGAGGTAAAGTAAAAATTTATCTCTTAATTTTGGCTATTGACTTCTTAGTATGTTCCTGACAAGGTAAATCAAAAGTAAACATTACCCTTGATGTTGGTATTTATTTAAATTTTACCTGGCTAATTTTAAGAGGTGCTTTTTTGTTTTGTTTTGTTTTTTGTTTTTTGGTTTTTTTTTTGAGACAGGGTCTTGCTCTATCACCCAGTCTAGAGTACATTGGCATGAACACAGCTCACTACAGCCTTGACCTCCCAGGGTCAGATGATCCTCCTGCCTCAGCCTCACATGTAGCTGGGACCACAGGCATGAGCCACTATGCCCAGCTAATTTTTTGATTTTTTAGTAGAGAGTCTTTCCATGTTGCCTGGGCTGGTCTTGAACTCCTGGGCTCAAGTGATCCTCCTGGCTTGGCCTCCCAAAGTGTTGGGATTACAGGCATGAGCCACTGTGCCCAGCCTAGTGTCTTCTTGATCTCCTAATACAATATGCCAGTAATACTGAAAAATGATTTTGTCCAGGTGCGGTGACTCAGGCCTGTAATCTCCACACTTTGGGAGGCTGAGGCGGGTGGATCACCTGAGGTCAGTAGTTCAAGACCCCCCTGGTCAACATGGTGAAACCCCGTCTCTACTAAAAATACAAAAAATTAGCCAGGCATGGTGGCAGTGCCTGTAATCCCAGCTACTTGGGAGGCTGAGGCAGGAGAATTGCTTGAACCTGGGAGGCAGAGGTTGCAGTAAGCCAAGATCGCACGACTGCACTCCAGTCTGGGCGACAGAGCGAGACTCCATCTCCAAAAAAAAAAAAAGATTTTTAAAATGTATGGGATGATGGCTGGGAACGGTGGCTCACCCCTGAAATCCCAGCACTTTGAGAGGCCGAGGCGGGCAGATAACCTGAGGTCAGAAGCTCAAGACCAGCCTGGCCAACATGATGAAACTCCATCTCTACTAAAAATACAAAAACTAGCCAAGTGCAGTGACACATACCTGTAGTCTCAGCTACTCGGGAGGCTGAGGCAGGAGGATCGCTTGAACCCAGGAGGTGGAGGTTCAGTGAGCCGAGATTGTGCCACTGCATTCCAGCCTGGGCAATAGAGTGAGACCCTGTCTCAATAAATAAATAAATAAATAATATAATAAAATAAAATGGATGAGATGAATATGAAATTATGAAATGCAATTTTTAATTCATCTTATTTACTAAATAATTTTGCAAATTCGAGAAGAATATTATGAGAAAGAAAGGAATGGGGAAAGAGTCAATTAGTTGGCTGATTTCACTAGCTAAAGAAGTTGAACAGACATAAAAATTGTGTAGTTAACTGAAGTCTCCCATATATTTTCAGCCAGGACATGAAAAGCATAATGAATTTATTTTCTATTGTTAAGTAGTTCAGAATTGTCTTTTCTGGCAGTATTATTTCTCTGTGTGTGGATGGTAGAACAGGATGGACAGAAGTATTAAATGAGAGATTGGAAGTGGAGGGACAGTCCTTCAGTTTAAACACTATCTTTTGAGTCTTATGTAAATTTATATTTCTTTTAAAATTTGATATTTATATTTAATTTTATATTCTTTTTTCCACTTGTATAATATCCACATTGGGAAATTCTCTGCTGAAGATTTGCATATTTGAGGAGCAAAGAGTGGGATTTGGAATATAGGGAGGGTTGAAGCTAAGTTTTTACTCTCTGTATATATTTGATTAGTGTACATTTTTAAAAATGAGAAGGCATGTAAAATTTATATTTTGCCGGGTGTGGTGGCTCACGCCTTTAATCCCAGCACACTGGGAGGCCGAGGTGGGTGGATCACCTGAGGTGAAGAGTTTGAGGCCAGCCTGACCAATATGGTGAAACCTCGTCTCTACTAAAATTACAAAAATGAGCCAGGTGTAGTGGCGTGCGCCTGTAGTCTCAGCTACTCGGGAGGCTGAGGCAGGAGATCACTTGAACCTGGGAGGCGGAGGTCACAGTGAGCCGAGATTGCACCACTGCACTCCAACCTGGGCAACAGAGCGAGACTTCATCTCAAAAAAAAAAAAAAAAATTATATTTTACACACATATTTTAGGAGGATTTCTTTGCAGTTTAAAGTTTTAAGACGTGGAGCGGTTTATATATACATATATATTTTGTTTTCACATATATATTTTAAAGGATTATTAAAAAACAAGCTTGGCTTTGGCTTTTATGTAAATTATTTAGATTGAATTTTGTAGCTAAAATTACATTGGTGAAAGCTAAGTCTGCACGTATTACTTTGAAAGCC
Source organism: Homo sapiens (assembly GCF_000001405.40). NCBI lineage: Eukaryota > Metazoa > Chordata > Mammalia > Primates > Hominidae > Homo > Homo sapiens. Next base: position 62,352,392 of record NC_000005.10, read on the forward strand.
TCTTTTAGCTTATGTCAGTTTATTGAACAGAATTATTATAAACTATATTATATTTTACATACATAAATAGAAAACCTGGCAACTTACTAATGTAACTTTTAAGTATCAGGTTTTGGGGGCTATCTCTTCCTTTTACTAAGGTTAGCTTTTACTAATTTTCTATCCTGAATTTAAAATTTTTTTTTTTTACTTACAGTGGTTGGTTCAGCACGTGCACGGCCCAGTCAATTTCCTGAACAGTCTTCCTCTGCACAACAGAATGGTAGTGTTTCAGATATATCTCCAGTTCAAGCTGCAAAAAAGGAATTTGGACCCCCTTGTATGTAAATTATGTATCAAGGATTTAGTCATTTTAGGCATACATGTATTCTCTCTTGGTCATCCTTTTAAGTCCTCAAAGAGTAAACACTCTAAATACAAGCTTGATTGCAGATTTCATTTTACCACTGTGGAAAATTTAACTTCTTCTTATTAGTCTGTTAATTGGGTTTTTTAAAGTATATTTTGGAGCAAAAATTTTTTTGTGAAATTATAGCAATGTTTCAGTTTGAGTTTAAAATTCTGGGCAGATGATAATTTGTCAGATGTTACAGAAGAATGTGTTGGGCTCCTTGATTCTTTGAATTAAAAAGTCTGTGTTTCTAAACCAAGAGATGACATGTATCAATATGTTTGAGTCATTTTTCTGGACTCTCATCTGTACATTGTCCTATTTTAGTTTTGGTAAAGCAGCTCATTAAGTAAAGCTCACGTAGTTGTTATAGGCATGCTTTGTCACTGTGTACCTTTTATGTGTGTGTGGTGAAGTTATACATAAAAAAAGTTTAATATTAGTACTCTAAAAAAGAAAACTATACTTCTACAGCTCATCTTTTCTTTTCAGCACGTAGAAAATCTAATTGTGTGAAAGAAGTAGAAAAACTGCAAGAAAAACGAGAGAAAAGGAGATTGCAACAGCAAGAACTTAGAGAAAAAAGAGCCCAGGTTCGTAACATAAACATATATTTTGTTTATGTACCAACCAGAGATTAGATTATATCAGTGAAGGTGATTGATGTGAACAAAATAATTAAGGCATTTTTTTTGAAGAATTTTAAGAATTCCTTAAATTGATATTGAGGAATAATATAAACTCTTGTGCAAATAAGTTACCGTAACACATTTTTACTGCATTGTTCTTTTCATGTTTTATTGGTATGTGTTAACGCTAAAATTTGTTCCATTAAGAAAAAGCCATTGTGTTACAGAATTCTAATGTGTATGGTGTAACATTTAAGAATTTTTATTTTAAAAAGACCTAAAAATACATTGGGAAAAATACCCAGTTAAAGTGCATGATTAAACTATAAATTTTATTATTGTTTTTCTATGGTTAGTAAGTTCACATGTCTTAGTGAAAGGGGGGAAATTCCTTGGATTTTCATTTATGCCACATATGAAGAGTGGATCTCTATTGTGTCCCCCTCAGGGTCCCTTCAGATGGTAGCAAGACTGTTTAATAGCAGTGGGAAAATTGCATAGAAAACTGGTCTTTTACTCTTCTACAGGTCTTTACATATTAGACATTTTGTTATTATACATAACTGCACCATTGTGCTTGTATGGCATCTATTACATTTTCAGAACTACTTTTCTCTAATAAAACATCAAGATTATTTATTTAATAGTATGTTCAAATGCCCTTAATCATGTTAAACTACCAGTTCAGATGTTGTGTTGTGGAATTGTGGACCTAGTATTATATCCAACCTGAATGAATCAGCTTTTATCTGAAAGTGACCTGAGAATGACCAGTTGGGTTTTGAAATGAATAATAAAACATATTATCTACTAATACTTAGCATAGATGCCACCTGGTGTTTCCTGTGGGTACTTCATAATACTTACACATCTCTCTGTGATCTCTTAATTCTCACTTCACAGTCTGCTTCTCAGTTGACATAGGTGGTATTATTTCCTAGAAGAAGGTTAATTGAAAGTAAGTTTCAGTAACAGTTTGTAATTTAGTTGCATTCAAAACAAATCTGAATATGATGTATAAAAAAATGTGACTTCTTAGAATGATTAATAATTTATTGTTCAAGGCTAGGAAAGACTGTTGACTATTGCTATTTGTATCTTAATCTGAATTTCTGTTTTGAAGCCAAATAAATTGTAGTTGGCATTCAAAAATTTGAATTTTAAAGTTTTTTTAAAATGATCTTGGCTTCTGATTCCTTTAAGTTCTATGTTCTGTTGATTTGGGGCAGTTTTGTCATTACTTAGTATTTTTTAGAAGGTCAGCAAAAATAGAAAATGAAGACAAATGAATCTGTATTTATACTTTGCTGAAACACTGGATTAAATTAGAAGATGAATCTGATTAAATGAATTTTCCTAGAATTTCAGCTTTTCTAGAGTTATTTGCCAGTGGTAACATGAGCATTATTTCTCTGTTGCTGCATTTTATAGGATAATTAAGGTATATGTATAACAGATGGATTTTTGAAATAGGTGAAGGGTAACTTCAATGAAGAGTCCTTAATTTGGAGTTAACAGAATGCATACCGACTAAGAGAATTGTGTTTGTAAAACACAATTTTACAAACACAAAGTGGTTCAGAGCTTATTATGAAACCACAACTGTGAAACTATATAATATCGTCAGTTTAAGTTTAGGCTTGGTTATGACAAATGGCACAATTTAATTTTAATTTTCAAACCAAATATAAATGTAACAAATACATTATTATATTTATAATGGTGAATTCTCTCTGTCTTCTAATAGGACGTTGATGCTACAAACCCAAATTATGAAATTATGTGTATGATCAGAGACTTTAGAGGAAGTTTGGATTATAGACCATTAACAACAGCAGATCCTGTAAGATTCTTTGTAAACCATTATTCTGGAACTTTTTATGCTTCAAATAAAAACGTGTTTGACACTTGCTAAATTCATATTGTGTTCAGCTATGTAGTTTTTCCTTTCCTTGTGGGTGCTCATTCCCCATATTTTAAGAAGAAAATCAAGAAATTATCCACATTAATGCTTATTTTCCATAATTTGGTATATGAGATATGCTCCCTATAGAGATGTCCTTCTCGAAGCAAAACCTCCCTGTCTTTGGGAGGGCAAAGCAACACTTAAAGGAGTGATAGCAGAAGACTCACTTTCCTTTCTGACTGTGAGTTATACTTTGATCTCAGTTCCAAGCTTATCTTTGTCTTGGGCTGTAGATCCCACCATCATTTCTAATTTACTATTGGTAATTTGTTAGTTTTAAATGTTATTCTGGCTTTTAACAATAAGTGATGGTTGTTGAGGGCTGCAGTGGACCAGAAATCTAGAACTGGAAAAAATCCTCTGCTGTTATTACTCAACTCCTTTGCTGTTGATGAATGAGAATTCATTGGACAGGGAGTGCCTTTTTTTTTTTTTTTTTGAGATGGAGTCTTGCTCCATCGCCCAGGCTAGAGTGCAATGGTGTGATCTCCGCCTCCCAGTTCAAGCGATTCTCCTGTCTCAGCTTCCCAAGTAGCTGGGACTACAGGCGCCTGCCACCACGCCCGGCTAATTTTTGTATTTTTAGTAGAAACGGGGTTCACCTTTTTGGTCAGGCTGGTCTCGAACTCCTGACCTCAGGTGATCCACCCGCCTCGGTCTCCCAAAGTGGGAGGCCTGTAATCATGCCTGGGATTATAGGCGTGAGCCACCACGCCCAGCCGGGAATGCTTTTATAACTAATTTGTACTTATAAAAATAATCCATCTGACATAGCATATACAGAATGTGTTAGTTACAAAAAAGACATTTGTGTTAGATAGATGTATTATATAGAATTGAATAGAATTGTTGATAATACTTGTATCCCACATATTTTAGGCCTTGCTATTCCTTCATGTGTTTCACTTACTGCATTAGAGCTCACCCTTTAGGACAGGAATTGGCAAACATTTTCTGCAAGGGTCTTTGGCTTTGGAGCTATATGGTCTTTGTCACAACTACTGAACTCTGTCATTGTATTGTAAAAGCAGCCATAGACAATACATAAATGATGGGTATGACATTTGTTTCAATCAATGTGTGTCAGTAAAATTTTGCAGAAGCAGGTAGTAGCTAAATTAGACCCACAGGCCATACTGTGCTAATCCTTGCTTTATGTTAATTATTATTAAAATGAGGCATGTATTGGGAACAAAATTTTTATAAAAAATACTTATGCATAAGAATTGGCATATTTATAAAATAGTTCAAATTATTTGGCTCAGTAATCGTCTGAGAATCCTGTTTCTTGCCATAGTTATCTTTGCTAGCAACTTTCCCTATGATCAACCTATGAAAATATGTCACTTAGTAGAATAGAAATGTTGACTTTTGTTGTGTATAGCACATCTTGAAGTGGATAATACAGCTTTTTTTTTTTTTTTTTGGAGACACAGTCTTCTCTGTTGCCCAGGCTGAGGTGGAGTGGCAGGATCTCGGCTCACTACAACCTCCACCTCCAGGGTTCAGGCAATTCTCGTGCCTCAGCCACCTGAGTAGCTGGAATTACAGGCATGCACCACCATGCCCAGCTAGTTTTTATATTTTTAGTAGTGATGGAGTTTTACCATGTTGGCCAGGCTGGTCTTGAACTCCTGACCTCAAGTGATCCACCCACCTTAGCCTCCCAAAGTGCTGGGATTACCCACCATGCCTGGCATCACAACTTCTTTTTTTTTTTGGTCCAGAGATAAAGTCTCACTGTCACCCAGGCTGGTGGGCAGAGGCATAATCTCGGCCCGCTGCAACCTCCACCTCCCAGGTTCAAGTGATTCTCCCACATCAGCCTCCCGAGTAGCTGGGACTACAGGCATGCACCACCACTCCCGGCTAATTTTTATATTTTTAGTAGAAATGGGGTTTCTCCATGTTGGCCAGGCTAGTCTCAAACTCCTGACCTCAGGTGATCTGCCCACCTTAGCCTCCCAAAGTGCTGGGATTATAGGAATGAGCCATCATGCCCGGCCTCCTCACAGCTTCTTAATGTGAACTTAATGCTACTAACAATAGTAGTACCCTCTACAGAATTATTTCCTAAAGTGATGGTTTTCCAAATAACAAAATAAGCAAGTTTCCATTACACTCAGAATTTTAGAAGTAATTATATCTGACAACCATTAAAATTTGTGCAAAGCTAATTTGTTTTTTAAGCTTACCTATCATTTATGCTATGTATAAATTTCTAAAACCCCTGGAGGAAATATTACATAATTTACGTTTTAGTGTTTTACATGACACTAATAATCACTGAAATAAAATACTTTTTATTTCTAGATTGATGAACATAGGATATGTGTGTGTGTAAGAAAACGACCACTCAATAAAAAAGGTATGGCACTTAATGAGCTCTAATAAAAGATTGATTTTATCTTATTTGTAATGTATTTTTATAATAGCAAATCAAATTGGTTTGGAAAAAATGTAAATCATTTCCTTTGATTTGTATGTAACCATTATGCAGATTTCTATGGCTAAACTTGTCAGTTTGTTATTGCTCTGAATCATTGCCATTCCGAGTCTTGCTTCACAGAAATCTTGATTTTGTTTTTACTTTGCTGTTGAAATATTTTGTCTTAGTGAGTTGCATTTTTATGGGATATTATCTTTATATGTACAGAACTTACTACTTGTATCTTAGTTCTTACTACTTAAAATAATTTTGTACATGAACTCAAATGCTGTGAAAATTATTGGGCATTGATTTTCATTTATTCTTTTAGAAACTCAAATGAAAGATCTTGATGTAATCACAATTCCTAGTAAAGATGTTGTGATGGTACATGAACCAAAACAAAAAGTAGATTTAACAAGGTACCTAGAAAACCAAACATTTCGTTTTGATTATGCCTTTGATGACTCAGCTCCTAATGAAATGGTTTACAGGTAGGTAAATTCATTTTAAATCAGAATTTTGTTCTTATGCCATGTGGTCATCAGCACCTTGAAATTTACATTGATTGTGGGATATTTCTTAAGAGGTGCAATATGCTGTTTTATTCTGAGTTTAAACAAAGAGAATGTAATAAATGCTGTAATGAATATTAACACTTGTTCTCTGTAATGCTCCCCAAAATCATAGTTTCCATTACTATTTGCTAATTAGCTTATTACACATATATATACATATATATACATATCACACAAACCATGTATATGGATAAGAAATTTCGGGAAAATGTTAACATTACCTCTAGGAATAGGATATGATAAGAAGACTTTTAATTTTTACCTTTTAATCTCTGTACTAATAAAGAAACTTGAAATGTTTGTTTGAGGCATGGTCTTGCTCTGTTGCCCAGGCTGGAGTGCAGTGGCACGATCACAGCTCACTGCAGCCTCGACCTTCCAGGCTCAGGTGATCCTCCCATCTCAGCCTCCTGAGTAGCTGGGACCACAGGCATGCACCACCACACCCAGCTAATTTTTGTACTTTTTGTAGAGTTGAGGTTTCGCCATGTTGCCCAGGCTAACCTCAGACTCCTGAGCTCAAGTGATCTGCCCGCCTTGGCTTCCCAAAGTGCTGGGATTACAGGCATGAGCCACTGTTATGCCTGGCCAAAATACCTGTTATCAGTTAATTATTAATTTATCTAAATCTGTATTTAGTATGTATTGTCACTTAAGGCGAAAAAGTTCCGTACTTGTATTTAAATTTGTCATCTTTAAGCTTGGAGATAGTTTTAGTACATGAGATTCTTGTATGTTTTCTGTATTCAACTTAAAAATAATTCAAATTTATCTGTGTTATACATTGGTATCTCAAATTTTTATGCCAGATTTAGATTTTCATACGTAAGTTTGCAAACATTCATTTCTAATAATTATAACACCAGTTTTAGCAGTATTGTTATTTTGGTTTATCTAGGAATATTACTGTCTTTGTAATTGCTTGAATACTATATCTGATTGCCCTTTTTCATAAAAATGCCTAGAAAGGAAAAAATTAGAGTTAATGAGACTAAGAATTGAAGGTGTTACAAAGGAAATACTTTTGAGACCAACTCTTTTTGTCTTCACCAAGTGTACTGGGTAGTCAGTTGTAAAAAAAAAAAGGATCAAATTAAAGGACATATGAATACTAGATAGAGATATTTGTGAAGAATATGTTTAAAGGGGAATCATAATTGTTAATTGTAGAATTTTTTTTTAGCTTTCTGAAGAGTCCACTTTTCCTTTTCATTCCCTCTTTCTACTCCTGCCTCATAAAATATAAGTTTGACTTTTATAATAGTTTTTAAGAAATTATTACAAATACAGGCATGTTTCTGTGTGTATGATTTAGTAAACATTGTGTTTTTACCCTATGTTTATGTTTCTTAACTTTATCAATATTTATCCTTCTCCTCTATCTCTTATACTTAACTATTATGGATTGAGGAGTTACATGTTTTTTTGTGGGTAGGGTTGGGAGGTAGGGGTTTGATCTACTTAGCAGGCTCATCCCTAGTTCTGTTTGACCAGAACTTTTTCCTGCTCCTTTTGTTCTGTACTTTCTTCAGTTTTGCCTTTTACAAAACAAAACAAAGACAGCAGTTATATAAAATGTTCTACTTGTAGATCTGTTTTCCATCTTTTTTTTTTTTTGTTTTTTTGAGGCTGAGTTTTGCTCTTGTCGCCCAGGCTGGAGTGCAGTGGCATGATCTCGGCTCACTGCAACCTCTGCCTCCCAGTTCAAGCGATTCTCCTGCCTCAGCCTCCTGAGTAGCTGGGATTACAGGCGTGTGCCACCACGTTCAGCTAATTTTGTATTTTTAGTAGAGACGGGGTTTCACCATGTTGGTCAGGCCGGTCTCGAACTCCTGACCTCAAGTGATCCACCCACCTCAGCCTCCCAAAGTGTTGGGATTACAGGCATGAGCCACCACGCCTGGCCTCCATCATACTTTTTAGTGTACTGCTCAGGGGAAAAGTACTTCTTATACCTTCCCACCTTTTTATTTTAACTCTAGCAGTGGGTTATACCAATACATTTGAAATATAATTCAAGGCCGGGTGCGGTGGCTCATGCCTGTAATCCCAGCACTTTGGGAGGCCAAGGCGGGCAGATCGCCTGTGGTCAGGAGTTTGAGACCAGCCTGACCAACGTGGTGAAACCACGTCTCTACTAAAAATACAGAAATTAGCTGGGTGTGGTGGCAGGTGCCTGTAATCCCAGCTACTCGGGAGGCTGAGGCAGGAGAATCACTTGAACCCGGGAGGCGGAGGTTGCAGTGAGCTGAGATCGCGCCATTTGCACTCCAGCCTGGGGGACGAGAACGAGACTTCGTCTCAAAAAAAAAAAAATGTAATTCAAACCATAATATTTAGGTATCCTTTTCCTAAATTGAGAGTGTCAACTTACTAATAGAATTCATTTTCCTACAAGCACAATTTATATTCTTTTTGCTTAAGTATAAATTACTTGTCTAAATTCAAGGTAATCAACATTTTTCTATTTATTTAGATGGTCTATAGATAATATTTTTGCAGTTTTTTTCCTCTATTAACTTTTTAAAATTGAGATTACCACTCTTGTTTATTCTGTTTCTGTTGAAATTATAATACTTTGTGTTTGTTTTTATTGTATATGCCTTATTGTGACCATTATTTATTATGGAAATATTGCTTGAAATTATGCTTTAAGTAGTTTAAGTAATTTTAGCATATGATATTTAAAATTCTTAAATCAATTCTTCGATATTGTTATTTAAAATTTTTAACAAAGATTTGTTTAGAATCTTGCTATTAAGTTTTATTTATTAATAAAATACTTTGTATTACTCAGCATTACTATTATTCATCAAAATATTGGTGACACATTCTGACTGATGCATTTTATTTTTAAGGTTTACTGCTAGACCACTAGTGGAAACTATATTTGAAAGGGGAATGGCTACATGCTTTGCTTATGGGCAGACTGGAAGTGGAAAAACTCATGTAAGTAATTTATTAAAGTTACATTCTGGTACGAAGCTACAGTTTCTTTTCCTTATAGCTTAATTCTGTGAACTAAATTCTTAAGAGTTATTCCTGAGTAATGTCTGTTCTTTATTTTCTTTTTAAAATATAGACTATGGGTGGTGACTTTTCAGGAAAGAACCAAGATTGTTCTAAAGGAATTTATGCATTAGCAGGTAACTGTCCTTTTTCCATAAAATTTGGAATATTCTTCTGTGGTATTATTCAGGTAACTTTGAAATAAGGCTTTAAAATATTGTTCAGCAACTATAATGCTATATTAACTGTCTATTATGTCAATTATAGGTTATTAGATTGCTTGAAAAGAACTATAAGATTATATATTCACAATAATTTTTTTTTTTTTTAAGAAGACAAGAACTGTAGGCTGGGTGTGGTGGTTCATGCCTGTAATCCCTGCACTTTGGGAGGCCAAGGTGGGTGGATCACTTGAGGTCAGGAGTTCGAGACCAGCCTGGCCAACATGGTGAAACTCCATCTCTACTAAAAATACAAAAAAAAACTTAGCCAGGCGTGGTGGCGGGCGCCTGTAATCCCAGCTACTCAGGAGGCTGAGGCAGAATTGTTTGATCATTTGAACCCAGGAAGCAGAGGTTGCAGTGAGCCAAGATCATGCCACTACACTTCAGCCTGGGCAACAGACCAAGACCCCATCTCAAAAAAAAAAAAAAGAACTGTAAGATTGATTTTGAGGGGGCAGAAATCTTGATTATATTTGTCAGTGCATTCTAGCACATTGTTGGAGATGAGTCTCAATTGTTGAATTTCTGAACTGTAAAAAGCTACTAGCTATGGTATAAGAATAACCTCATTATGACCACCTATAATTTTATGCTATTTATAAATATAAATATTAATATATATAAATAAAAGTAGCACCCTTTTATGGCATATGAAAGAGAATAGCTTCTATTAATACTATTTTTTGTAAAATTAATATTCACTTTCTCATTTTTATTATTGATACTGTTATCCTAGGTAAAGAGTAACTGATTCCTCTAGAAATAGAAAATTTGAGTTGCTTTTTAAAAATATTTGTTGGATCTCAATTTTCTGTATATGAAATTTTTGACAGCTCGAGATGTCTTTTTAATGCTAAAGAAGCCAAACTATAAGAAGCTAGAACTTCAAGTATATGCAACCTTCTTTGAAATTTATAGTGGAAAGGTAAGTGGGAACTTTTTTAATTTTAATTTTTTAAAATATATATATAACATAACATTTGCCATTTTAACCATTTTTAAGTTCAGTGGCATTAAATATATTCACATTGTTGTGCAGCGTTTACCACCATAATTTATGTGTATTTAGAACTTTTATATTAGAATTTATGTTATGAGATTTTTTTAAAAAGTCCTTTGAAACTTTTCAACTTCAGTGTTGAGAATTCTTATTCCAATTATTATTTTAATCTCTGAAATAATTCTTAAACTCTGGGTGACTCATTTTTATAGAACTGATATTTTAATTGCCACAGGATCTCGCTGTGTCACCCATGCTGGAGTGCAGTGGCATGATCACAGCTAACTGTAGCTTCAATCTCCTGAGCTCAAGTGAGCTTCCCGCCTCAGCTTTCCTAGTAGCTGCGACTATAGGCATGCACCACCATGCCCAGCTAATTTGTTTTATTTTTAGCAGAGACAAGGTCTCACTATGTTGCCCAGGCTGGTTTTGAACTCCTGAGCTCAAGCCATCCTCCTGCCTCAGCCTCCCAAAATGCTGGGATTACAGGCGTGAGCCATTGCACCTAGCCTGTTTTTTACTTTAAAGCTAGTTTTCTAATTTGAATATGGTTTTTCATAGGTGTTTGACTTGCTAAACAGGAAAACAAAATTAAGAGTTCTAGAAGATGGAAAACAGCAGGTTCAAGTGGTGGGATTACAGGAACGGGAGGTCAAATGTGTTGAAGATGTACTGAAACTCATTGACATAGGCAACAGTTGCAGGTAAATCTCATTTTGATTAAGAAAGGAAACATCAGTTTTAGAAACTTTGGGTACAGTATAACAAAATGAGGATGTTATCTATCAATACATCTTGGAAGTAAAAATCATTGTTCATAAAAACTTGTGTTACATGTAAATGTGAGTGACAATTATTATATTGATACTACATTACAAATATATTAGAAATATGCCGGATTAAATTGTATGAATCTGGTTCTATTTAAGTGTTATAACTCAGTGTCTCATCTGTATTTAAAAGATGAAAACTAGCTAAATCGATGTTTTTGCTGCTGTTGTTTTTAATGAAAATAATGTGGTTTGAACATGTAAATTGAAGTTTTTAATGTATCAAGATGTCCTTAATCACATTGTAGAACATCCGGTCAAACATCTGCAAATGCACATTCATCTCGGAGCCATGCAGTGTTTCAGATTATTCTTAGAAGGAAAGGAAAACTACATGGCAAATTTTCTCTCATTGATTTGGCTGGAAATGAAAGAGGAGCTGATACTTCCAGTGCGGACAGGCAAACTAGGCTTGAAGGTGCTGAAATTAATAAAAGCCTTTTAGCACTCAAGGTAAATAAAATGTATTTTATCATGAAAGGTCTTTTACTTTTGACTTTAATTTTCTTTACTCAGTTGCAAAATAGTAGTACTTGTTTTACCTAATAAAAAGAGGTTTTCAAAATTCAGATGCTTGTAATGTATAGTGTGATTTTATTATACCCAGATTTTTTCCTTGCACACATTCTTTATTCTTTTTAGATGGGATAAAGGATATGTGAGTTAGTAGGTCAGTTCTGGGGCTACATAGGTAAACTCCAGAGGTTTTTTTTTTTTTTGAGACTGTGTCTTGCTCTTTCGCCCAGGCTGGAGTGCAGTGACACAATCTCGGCTCACCGCAACCTCCACCTCCTGGGTTCAAGCCATTCTCCTGCCTCAGCCTCTCCAGGAGCTGGGATTACAGGCACGCACCACCACACCCAGCTAATTTTTGTATTTTTAGTAGATATGGGGTTTCACCATGTTGGCTAGGCTGGTCTTGAACTTCTGACCTCGTGATCTACCCACCTCAGCCTTCCAAAGTGCTGGGATTACAGGCGTGAGCCACCGCGCCCGGCCCAGAGGGTCTTAATTAGTCATATTTTCTAGGAGGAGGGCAACGAACCACTGAATTGAGCTAAGAAACAGTTTCTCAGAAAAATGTGGAATGGCTTTCAAAATGTTAGGCCAGGTTATTACATCTTTTCCTTGAGTAGAACACCAAAGGTTGGAAAGACTAAAATAAGGCATTCTGTGTTTTTTTCTTTTGGAGTGCCATGTTAAGAAATTAACTTTTTACAGTTATCCTACTGCCTGTCACTTTCAAACACTAGTCATAGTTTCCAGAAATATCTGTTGGAAGAATAAAGTAGGTTTTTTTGCTGTCATTTTTTATTTTCTTGAATTAGCATTTATGGGAACATCTACACTATGCTTTAAAACTGTTGGCCAGGCGCAGTGGCTCACGTCTGTAATCCCAGCACTTTGGGAGGCCGAGGCGGGTGGATCCCCTGAGGTCAGGAGTTCGATACCAGCCTGGTCAGCATGGTGAAACCCCATCTCTACTAAAAATAAAAAACAGCCAGTCGTGGTAGCAGGCGCCTGTTATCCCAGCTACTTGGGAGGCTGGGGTAGGAGAATCGCCTGAAGCCTGGAGACAAAGGTTGTAGTGAGCCAAGATTGCGCCACCACACCCCAGCCTGGGTGACAGAGCGAGACTTTGTCTCAAAAAAAAAATAAAACTGTTAGTAGAATTTTCAAAACTGATCAGACCCTTAAATGTTCAAGTTGTAGTAAGAGACCTTTTAAAATATGTTAATTAAGATTATCCTTTATAAGAAAGACTAATCTGTGAGACTTGTTTTCTTAATTTTCAGGAGTGCATCAGAGCCTTAGGTAGAAATAAACCTCATACTCCTTTCCGTGCAAGTAAACTCACTCAGGTGTTAAGAGATTCTTTCATAGGTGAAAACTCTCGTACCTGCATGGTAAGTTTATGTTTATTTTTTGTTTGTTTTATTTTAATCCTAAAGGAATAACTACACAATATTTATGGAAAATGTATTTGTTAGTGACAATTATTTGAATCCTTCTATTTTGAGTGATATGGTGATATTTAAGATGTGGTCCCTGCCACTCTGATAGAGAGGATTATATTGCAGTTATATAATTCCAGCATCTAGGTGTTATTGAGGGCTGGTCTTTCTTGATTTTCTTTTTCTTTTTCTTTTTCTCTTTCTCTTTCTTTCTTTTTGAGTATAGGTCACACTTTTCTTTATGGTCATATGTCTGGTAATTTGGGGTTATATCATGTGCATTATGAATGAACATAGAGACTGGATTCTGTTATGTTCTTCTGAAGATTATTGGTTTTTTGTATAGCAGAAATTTAACTAAACTTGCTCCAAACTCTTATCTCCCCTGGGCAACAACTGGAATTGAAAGCTTTGTTTAGTCCTTTCAGATTTAGCTATGTTGCTTATAGTTTGCCTTGTATAATATATGTCTAGGTCTGGAATCAGCTAGGGATTTGGGCAGTTTGTATATAAAAGTTTGTCCCAGAAGGGAGAGTACCACACTCTCTGCAGCACTTTCCCTTCTGGGACAAACTTCACTTTTCCAGCTGCTATGAACTCCACTCCCAAACTATATCCTTTCATTTCTTTACCAGAGAGACTGCAAGTTTTCAGTCAAGTTTTAGTTGCCCTGTGTGACAGCAGCAAAGCTTGCCCTCTGTCAAAAAGCTGTTTAAAAAAAAAAAAGTCAGGTGGAGTGGGGGTCAGTCAGTACTATTCCCTTCCAGGTATTAACCTCCTCCATTTCAGCTGGAGTTTGATTGTTTTCTAGTGCCTTCAGAGTTTGTATTTTAACTAGACTTTATCTGATTATAGATATGATAACAAATAATCTTGGAGTTGAGATATCATTAATAAGTCTTTATTTTTAAATAACCATGGTAAGATTAGACCTAAATGAGCTGTATGTCAGTATTATTGTCTTGATCATTTATAACATTTTGTTTACCTTTGCATTTTTTTTTTCCTGTAGATTGCCACAATCTCTCCAGGAATGGCATCCTGTGAAAATACTCTTAATACATTAAGATATGCAAATAGGTATGAGAGATAGTTCTCCATTTTGAAATTTGAGGGGAGTACAGCAGTACATAGTATAATTTAATATCTGCCTCGTGCGGTGGCTCACGCCTGTAATCCTAGCACTTTGGGAGGCCCAGGCGGGCGGATCACAAGGTCAGGAGATCGAGATTATCCTGGCTAACATGGTGAAACCCCGTCTCTACTAAAAATACAAAAAATTAGCCAGGCATGGTGGTGGGTGCCTGTAGTCCCAGCTACTCGGGAAGCTGAGGCAGGAGAATGGCCTGAACCCGGGAGGCAGAGCTTGCAGTGAGCCGAGATCACGCCACTGCACTCCAGCCTGGGCAACAGAGTGAGACTCCGTCTCAAAAAAAAAAAAAAAATTAATATTTGATAGGGTAAATCTTACTACATTGTTCTTTCAATTTTCAAGAAAAAAATGTTTTGCATATTATTCCTTAAGATGACAATATAGAATCATTTTGTCAAATTCTAAAAATAAGTGGAAATGGGTAATTTGGGAAGGGATTGATAACTTTAGTAAAGTTGGTCTTTTTATCCTAGAACAAGGTTTCCATTTCACTGTTTTATTTCCTAATATTTTACTGCATTTAAATCATGCAAATTCTTCTTATTACATTAAGACTCTGAAGTAAATGAATGTCAGGGGCCAGTTTGTATTTCTTGAATTGTTTTGGTATATGTTGCATATTATTCCTGATAATATTAAATGCTCTATATGGGGAATCTAGGATTTGAGTAAGAAGTGATAGCACAGTTCTTTCTGGTGTTTTTTTTGTTTTTTGTTTTGGTTTTTTTTTGAGACAGAGTCTTGTTCTGTCACTCAGGCTGGAGTGCAGTGGTGTGATCTCAGCTCACTGCAACCTCCACTTCCTGAGTTCAAGCGATTTTCCTGCCTCAGCCCCCTGGGTAGCTGGGACCATAGGCGTGTACCACCATACCCGGCTAATTTTTGTATTTTTAGTAGAGGCAGGGTTTCACTATGTTGGCTAGGCTGGTCTCGAACTCCTGACCTCAGGTGATCCACCTGCCTCGGCCTCCCAAAGTGCTAGGATTACAGGCGTGAGCCACCCCGCCTGGCCCTTTCTGGTGTTCTATATGGGTTACATTTTGTTATTCATATTAATAGTCTTATAAACATTATAAACATTATAACTGGGTTTTTACAGATAGAAGGACAGAATGCATTACAGACTACTAAAGCAGTTTATTCTGTATAGTCATGAAATGCCTTTGGAACTTTGAATTATAATGGGCATATTTATATTTGATCCATAGATTTTTTTTTCCCACTGCTCTTGAGTGACTTTATTTACCACTGCTCTTATTTTGAATGACTGTTTAGTGTTAAATTTCTCTTCTCAAATGTTAAATTTGTGATTTTAACCTAGAGACAAAATTCCTCTTTGTAATCCATTTCTAGTATAGCAGTTCTCTTAATTCAAGTATAGCAGTTCTCTTAATTTTGCTGGATAAAAGTATCTGTCCTATATCTTTGTTTTAATCACTATGGAAATGTTATTTTTTAATCTTTTATTAAAATGTAAAATACTTATGCATATAGAAAAGTACCTAAAGTATAAGTGATTAATTAAATGGATAATGGATACTTATAAAGTAAAAACTCCTGTCATTGGTTTGGGAAATAGAGCATTATTGGCCCCCCAAAAGGTTCCCCATGTGCTCCTTCCTGTTCACAAATCCTGAATAACATGCCTTATTCATCTGTCTCTACCCTGATGTAACCCATGGATTAACTTCTGTGGAATACTTTTCTTGTTTTTTTTTTTCCTCTTTTTAAAAATAATTTTACTATGAATCTATTTCTGAGTAACATAGGTAGCTGATTTGAACATTACACAATGGTATTATAACCCCCCGGGTTTTTTTTGCATCTTGTTTCTAAAGGGATTTTCTTAATGGTAGTAAACACTGTTGGACAATATCAACCTATTGAGCTTTTGCAAAAAAAGTGATTAAAATATAATCACTTCTTTAAAAATGTAATAGGGCCAGGCGCGGTGGCTTACACCTTTAATCCCAGTGCTTTTGGTGGCCCAGGCGGGTGGATTGCTTGAGCCCAGAAATTCGAGACCAGTCTGGGCAACATAGCAAAACCCCGTCTCTATAAAAAATACAAAAATTAGCCTGGCATGGTGGCATGCATCTGTAGTCCCAGCCACTTGGGGGGCTGAGGTGAGAGGATTGCTTGAACCTGGAATGTTGAGTCTACAGTGAGTTGTAATTGCACCACTGCACTCTAGCCTGGGCAACAGAGCAAGACCTTGTCTTAAAAAAAAAAAAAGTAATAGAACTACATTTCTAAGTATGAACTATTATATTTTGTAAATTTAATCCCTTTAAAGTTTGAATTATGAGCTCCTAGCTGCAAATCCTTATTGTGTTAGTTTTAATTGATCTTGGTAATTAACGTTTTTGATATGTGGGATTTTTATCATTAATTTAAAATGTTTCTTATTTCAGAATAATTCTTGAGAAAGATGAGGAACAGCCTAGTGTAATAGATTCTTGCCATGTTGTAGAATTAAAACAAACAAAACCCCTCTGTTTCTTAAGATTTGAAACTACAAAAGATTCCTCCCTAATATTGTGAAAATGCTATATCTAGCTGTTCCTCTAGTTCACTTAGGTCAAAGTAAAATGTTTTAACCTACTGTTATATCATGTAACTCACTTGCAACATGACTAACCATCTGGGACACTGTATTAATCGGTTCTCACACTGCTACAAAGGAATACCCGAGACTGGGTAATTTATGAAGGTTTAATTGACTCACAGTTCAGCATGGCCACAGAGGCTTCAGGAAACTTACAGTCATGGTGGAAGGTGAAGGGGAAGCAAGGCACCTTCACCAGGCAGCAGGAAGGAGAAGTGCCAAGCAAACTGGGGAAGAGCCTCCTATAAAACCATTAGATCTTGTGAGAACTCACTATCACGAGAACAGCCTGGAGGAAGTTGCCCCCATGATTCAGTTACCTCCACGTGGTCTCTCCCTTGACACTTGGAGATTATGGAAATTATAATTTAAGATGAGATTTGAGTGGGGACAGAAAGCCTAACCATATCAGACACATAATTGTTTCAATTTTATTTCCAAATCTCTAGGAATAAAGATTTTTAACCTTCCTTGATACTCATACCAATGTTTTGTGACCTTAAGAGTCAGTAATTTTTTTTTTTAACAGCCAAAAATAATTCATTCCTCCTTTATACTAAATCTGCCTTATTTTTTTTAGGCCAATACTTTGAGGTGGTGGGTAGGTGGCATTACATTAAAATTTCATATTTTTAGGAAACTATTTCTGTCTTAAGTGTTTAAACTTTTTTTGTATTTAAGACATAGCTTAGTGATTGAAGTGTTATTTCTCAGGACAAAATAGGTTTAATAACTTCCTTACTACTTAATGGTATCAAAGCCTCGGGAAAGTTACTTAACCTCTCTCTGTCTTTATTTCCTCATCTTTAGAATAGACAGCTAATGACCATGTCCATCTTAAAGGATTGTTTTTGAGGACTAAAAGAAGTGATCTGTGTAAAATGTTTAGCACAGTACCTGGGATATATTAATAGGAATAGTTATCCCTATTGCTACTTTAGTGAGCAGTTCTGTCTAAAAAATTCGGTTAGACAGATGTGAAAGCAATGTTTTTTCATATCCTTATATTAGAATCATATACTTTGAAAGTTTTATATGGGAATTGTGGGATAGTTTGTAACAGTACACATTGCTGCTAAGTGATTAAGTTGACAAGTCTAGTTCATCAGATGACAATTAGAGATACTTTATTTATTTATTTATTTATTTAAGATGGAGTCTTGCTATGTCACCCAGGCTGGAGTGCAGTGGCACAATCTCAGCTCACTGCAGCCTCTGACTCCGGGGTTCAAGCGATTCTCCTGCCTCAGCCTCCCGAGTAGCTGGGATTACAGGCGCCCGTCACCACGCCCAGCTAATTTTTTTGTATTTTTTAGTAGAGATGGAGTTTCACCATGTTGGCCAGGCTGGTCTCGAACTCCTGACCTTAAGTGATCTGCCCGCCTCAGCCTCTGAAAGTACTGGGATTACAGCATAAGCCACTGCACCCAGCCAGACAATTAGAGATATTTTAGAGGAGAGTACAAGGGAAAACTTTCAGAGTGGAAGGAATGGTTGTCTCAAGGAAAAAAAATTTATAGGATATATGAGAAATAGACAGTGGCCTCTATCCTGAAGCAGAGATACTTAATCTTTGGGTAATGGAAGAGGTTAGAGTGATTGGGTCTTGGGTAGAAGAGTGATTAGAGTGATTAGGAGTTTTTAGTAACATGTTTGAAGAATGTGATTCTTGTATGTAGTATAGTCTGGCTTGGGCAAGAGGGCTTTGGATAGAGGAAAAAATGTGTGGATGAAGCTAATAGGGTGTCTAAATTAAAAGATTTAGATAAGAAATGGGGTGGGAGTGAAAATAGTTGTTTGTATTAGAAATTTAGATTTTTCAGGCCAGACGCTGTAGCTCATGCTTGTAATCCCAGTACTTTGGGAGGCCGAGGCAGGAGGATCACTTGAGTCCAGGAGTTTGAGACCAGCCTGAGCAACCTAACGAGACCTCATCTCTACAAAAAAATAAAAAATTAGCCGGGGGTGGTGGCACACCAGTGATAGTCCCAGCTGAGGTGGGAGGATCACTTGAGCAGGAGGTCAAGGCTGCAATGAGCCATGACTGAGCCACTGCAGTATAGCCTGGGTGATATGGTGAGACCTTATCTCAAAAAGGAAAAAAAACATATTTAGATTTTTCAGCATGTGTGGTAAATAAACTTTAAGGATAAAAGGCAGATGAATCCAATATTGAACCTTTGACAGTAGATATTAACCAATAGGTCAAAGAAAGACTGTTAGTAGAGGAAACATATTAGTTTGATTTATATGAAGATATTGATACTTGTTTTTGACCTAAAAAGAAGGGAATTTCATTTAGTTCAACCTAAGAGAAATGACAAGAAAATCAGAGAATATGGTTATTATATTGAAGTGTTTAAATAACATAGGCTTTGTACTCAGGGCTAGGTTTTAACCTCAGTTATGCCACATTCTCAGTGAATGACCTTAGAGAAGATACTTTATTTCTGAGTCATTTTTCTCATCTATAAAATCAAAGATGGTTGAAGGACTAAATAATATAATGCCTAAAAATGACTAATCCTAATACCTGACATACAGGAGGTACTTAATAAATATTTTATATGGGTATGAAATAGGGTTGGCCCAAAAGAGACATAAGGAATTACATAGATGGGGTGAGAAAAGTCATAATTTGGTTAAATATAACTATTGAAGATGTTAGCAAAAGCAATTTAAATTTCATTGCTAAAGGCTGTTCTCAACCAGAGTTCTTCATCTGAATCACCAACCACTGAAAATAGAGTGAATATTTTCTCAGTTATACCAAGGACATTTCACAGCTAATGCCATTCTGGATGCATAGGAAAGAAGTTAATTCATTACAAACAATGGATGCCTTAAGACATTAGGACTTAATTCCCTTGTGTCCTGTTTGGAAAAGACTGCAAAAATGTTGAAGACTCATGAATGCTAATAAACAAATAGTCATGGTACTGACTACATGAAGAAATTAGATTGAGTGGTCATGTAGTTAGGGGGGCATTTCAGATTTAAGTGACTTAGTTAAACTTCTAGGAAGGATTATGAGAAAAGAGGAAAATACACCAGAAAGGAAAGACTTAGGACTATAGAGCAGGGGATCAATAGAACAAAGATGTTCAAAAACCTCTTAAAATTTGTTATTTGTAAAATAATATTCTAAATACATTGTCACAACAATATCAATATCCTTTTCTAAACAAAAGTGAATACTAAATGAAAATGTGCAATGTGCATTGCTGTCTTTCAAGAGCATTTTCTTTTAATTTGTTGCTCTTTTGGTGCTGCAGAGTAAAGGAGTTTGGAATTAGTCCATCAGACATTCCCTTCTCACAGGGTAGTGGCAGTCGCCCTGATCTCTCTCCTTCTTATGAATATGACGACTTTTCTCCTTCAGTTACCAGGTCTACTTCATTCTATACATAAGATGTTTATTTGTATACTTTCTTTTGAATTGTGCTTTGTATAAACATTTCATTTGCTATTTTTGTCCTGAGCCATTTTAGTTTTCATTGTCATTTCATTTGGCAGGTGGTGGTTGTACTGCATGATCTGCATTCTTACATCTTTTATTAATTTGTTTGCTTTAAAATGTTGATTTAGAATTCAGGCTTCCTATTTCCCCCTCATATTTTTAAGGATGATGTCACTTTTGCATACTTACCATTAAAATTACCATACTTACCATCGAATTGTTAAAAGATAAATTATCTTGCTTAAAATGAAGAGATTGCCTTTATGCTGTATGATCTTATAAGTTTCCTTGTCTGCAAGGAGCCTCTTGACATAGAAAGTTTACCCTCTTTTGGCCGGGCGTGGTGGCTCACACCTGTAATCCCAGCACTTTGGGAGGCGGAGGCTGGTGGATCACCTGAGGTTGAGAATTCCAGACCAACCTGGCCAAGTGGTGAAAAAAAAAAAAAATTTTTTTTAAAGTAAGGAAAGTTTACCCTTTCCCAAATGTGTAAGTTTAAATATAATGAGTAAACACTTTTCAAATGATAAAACTTAAAATCTTATAATCTTTATACATTATAAATAAAATTATTTTACATGTAGCTATTTTAATTGAGCATGATAACTACCAGAAATCTGCAGGGTTTTTTTGTTTTGTTTCAGCAGTGATCCATTTATTGGTCTAATTGTTATTGTTTACATTTTTCTGTTCATATAATTTAATTGCAATAACATCAACTTTGATGAGCCAGTAGTAAATAAAATGGAAAATTTAAAAAATTTTTTAAATCATAACAAGTTTTTTTCTTTGAATACTGAATCTACATACTGTTCTCATTTAATTTACACAATAATTATATTTGATATAATATAATATGAATTATATAAAGTTACCTAAGCAGATTTCCTAAAACTAAACAACCACTTAAGTGTTTCTACAGATTTCAGATAAATTTTACCTATAAAGGTGACATCATCAATCTTAGTATGTTAACTGAATTGCGTGTATATTGAATAGGCTGGTATTTTCTCGTTCCTCTGCATGAGTGTTTTTAACTTTAGATACCTCTTATGTATTTATAGGGTCAAAGAATTGACTGTAGATCCAACTGCTGCTGGTGATGTTCGTCCAATAATGCACCATCCACCAAACCAGATTGATGACTTAGAGACACAGTGGGGTGTGGGGAGTTCCCCTCAGAGAGATGATCTAAAACTTCTTTGTGAACAAAATGTGAGTGTACTATGGTTGTAAATGTTATAATCTTAGTTCATTTCATCAGTAGCAGAACTTAACTGAAAACTATCATTTAAATGAGGTGTCAGGCTGTGGGTGTGGTGGCTCAAGCTTGTAATCTCACCAATTTGGGAGGCTGAGTGAGAGGACTGCTTGAGGCCAGGAGTTCAAGACCAGCCTGGACAATTTAATGAGACCCTTTCTCTACAAAAAATTTAAAAATCATCCAGATGTGGTGGTATACACCTGTAAGTCTAGCTACTAGGCAGGCTGAGGTGGGAGGATTGCTTGAGCACAGGAATTCTGGGCTGTAGTGGACTGTCATAGCATCACTGCACTCTAGCCTAGGTGACAGAGCGAGACCTTGTCTCTTAAAATAAATGAGTAAATAAGTCAGGGGTCAGCAAACTACAGCCTGTGGGCCAGCCATCTATTTTTACAAATAAAGTTTTATTGGAACATATCCATGTTTATTCTCTTAAGTGTTGTCTGGCTGCTTTCTTACCTACCATAACAGCAGTAACAGAGACTGTTTGGCTCATAAACCCAAAACATGTATTATCTGGCCCTTTAAGGAAGTTTCCAACTCCCAATCTAAACCATTCATTTTTTTCCCTTAGATTTTTGTCTGATATTAAAATTTGGGAAAAATTTAAAGTAATATAGGGAAAAACAACTTCCAACTCCCAATCTAAACCATTCATTTTTTTCCCTCAGATTTTTGTCTGCTATTAAAATTTGGGAAAAATTTAAAGTAATATAGGGGAAAACAACTTTAAAAATTACACATATAATAAATATTATAAAGCTTAAAAACAAGCCAGGCGCGGTGTCTCACGCCTGTAATCCGAGGCCGAGGTGGGCGGATCACTTAAGGTCAGGAGTTCAAGACCAGCCTGGCCAACATGGTAAAACCTGTGTCTACTAACTACAAAAATTAGCTGAGCATGGTGGCACACGCCTGTAGTCCCAGCTACTCAGGAGGCTGAGGGATGAAAATCGCTTGAAACTGGGAGGTGGAGGTTGCAGTGAGCTGAGATCCCACCACTGCACTCCAGTCTGGGCATCAGAGTGAGACTCCATCTCAAAAAAAATTTTTTAAAGCTTAGAAACAAAAGAACTGTGGACATATGCATCTATATTGAAAGGATGTATGCACTATATTAAAATCAAACAGCAAAATACTAACATTTGTTAAATCTGATTGCTTTTCTGTATGATTAAAATTTTTAATGATACTTTATAATTTAAATTTTTGATTTCCCAATTATAAAAATAAATACATGCCCATTGTATAAGGATAGAAAGAGATAAAGAAATAAAAAGGTATATATAATACACTTTCACATAATTGCTTTTAATGTATTGAGAGGGTTCTTTTCTGTGTGTGAGATGTAAAGGTGTGTTTTTAAAATGCATATTCTGCATAGTTTGGTGTCATTCTATTCCCACTAAGTCTTATCATGGCATTTTCTCATCATGTTAAGTTAGCATTGATTAGTTGCTTACTACATGACATACATTGCTAAGCATTTTATTTATTATCTGATCTCATTATCACAACTCATTGTAGTGGGTACTATAATTATCCCTACTTTATAACTGATATTCTGAGGTTTAAATAATTTGACCAAGATTTTACAAGTAGTAAGTACTGAAGCCAGGATTGAAATTTAGATCTTATTCCAGCGCCAAACCTTGTATCAATTAAACTCATTGCTTCCTGCAATACAGTATTCTTTGTAAACAATGTTAGTTAGTTCTAATACTTTGTAGCAGATACTTAGCCCAAAATATTCTAGAGTAACAGATACACTTACTACTTTTTGTTACCATGTTCCAAATCACTGTTACTAAAGCAGGGCTTAAAGCAGTGGTCCTTAACTAGGAGCAGTTTGGCCCCCAAAGCAAAATGTATGGATATTTTGCTTGTCACAACTAAGGTGATGCTGCTAGCATATAGTGGGTAGAGCCAGGAATGCTGCTGAACATCATACAGTGCACAGGAGTGTCCCCCTCACCTTATCCCCATACAATGTCAGTAGTTCCAAGACTGGAAAAACCTGGTTCAAACTAAGAGTTCTAAACTTTGAACCATAAAAACTAAAAATGAGATTCTGGCCTCAGTCCATCACTTATGTCCAGAATTTTTAAGAGAGACTGTAGTTGCTTTTAGACTCTTTAAAGTAAACCCTGCATTGCATCTAGATATGTTACCTCCCAAAGATGTGGAAAACCAGAGCAAGATAAGTACTCCCTATACATATCTTTCCATTTTATTATTGCATCTATTGGGCCTCTGTAGAGCCTTAATTTGGAGAGGTTAGATGACCAGAACTAATCCAGGGGAGTATGACATCATGAGTTTTTACAGCCTCCATGTTTGAGAGAGTGTGCATTTCTGTCACCTTTGCCACACCCAGGGAATTATCTTGCCATGACTCAGCATTAGCCTTTAGTTAAGTATTGGTGCGTGTGTACATATTATTATTGCTATATTGTCTTAACAAAGTAGATTAAAATGGAACAGCATCTAAGACACGCTCTAGAGATCGGAGAAGTTTTTTTTGTTTGTTTGTTTGTTTGTTTGTTTTTTTGAGGTGGAATCTTGCTCTGTCACCCAGGCTGGAGTGCAATGGCACGATCTCAGCTTACTGCAACCTCCGCCTCCCGGGTTAAAGTGATTCTCCTGCCTCAGCCTCCCGAGTAGCTGGGATTACAGGCGCACACCACCATGCCCAGCTAATTTTTTATATTTTTAGTAGAGACGGGGTTTCACCATGATGGCCAAGCTGGTTTCGAACTCCTGACCTCAAGTGATCCGCCCGCCTCAGCCTCCCAGAGGGCTAGGATTACAGGAGTGAGCCACCACACCCAGCCGAAGTTTTTTTTTGTTTTTTGTTTTGTTTTGTTTTGTTTTTTAATCATCATCTGAACATGGCCTGGAATCAGAGAAGCTCTGACTTGCTATAGGACGAAAATATGAATATATTGTATATAGTTGTCCCTCAGTTATACATGGAGGATTGGTTCCAGGACTGCCTGAATATACCCAAATTGCGCATACACAAGTCCCACAGCTGGCCCCGTGGAACTTGCAAATATGAAAAGTTGGGCCTCTGAATATGAAGGTTTCACATCTCTCAAATACTGTATTTTCAGTCTGCATTGGTTGAAAACCAGATATAAGTGGACAAGCACTGTTCAAACATGTATTGTTCTAGAGTCAACTATATGTTTTTTGTTGTTGATGAAGTAAAATTGTGAATTGTCCATTGAAATTTCTATAAAAACTGGTATAAATATATTCTGTAGTATATTTAAGAAATTAGTTAAGAGTTAAGTCCTTTACAACACTAATTTGATAGTCATGAAAGACATTTTCTTTACATCATCTAAAGATACTATCTTCATATCTTTTTTAACAAAAGAAACTTAAACATGTAAATTAAATTGTTAGTGAAAAGTAGACAATACTGAGGAAATATTTCATACATTTACAGCCTGCAATAACTGTATTTTTGAAAAGTTGGGCTGTTCCAAAAGAGAGTACTCTTTCAGCATAGTTCGGCAATAAAGCTTAGGCTAAGTGAAAAATATTCCCTACTCATCTAAGTTTTAGTTGTCTTATTGAGAGTTGCATAAATATTTTTACCCAAAGAAAGAAATCGTGGCTTTGCCTTTTATATATATTTTACTAGCCTTTACCATTCAAGCCTCTTCAATTTCTAAATGATATTTTTCTAAATTAAAAAAAACTACTTTTATAACATTTAAAATACACACTATATCATAATTTCTTAACTATTTTTATTTTAAGGAAGAAGAAGTCTCTCCACAGTTGTTTACTTTCCACGAAGCTGTTTCACAAATGGTAGAAATGGAAGAACAAGTTGTAGAAGATCACAGGGCAGTGTTCCAGGTAAAGTAAGACAGGACTTTCCTTCAAAATATTTCTTGAGATAAATTAAGAATTTGTCATAATTCCTTAAATATCACACTATTCCTTAAAAAATACTTGTTTGTATATATGTATATGTGTATTTGTAGGGCATGTGACATGGCAAATTTTTAATACAATGAACGATGGCTACAAATAACATTTCTTTGCACCATGGTGAAACGTTCTACTTTATTTACCTCCCGTCCCCCTTATTGGTTTTTGTCATTTGTCCATTTTTAGGGAAGAGTGTCACTTCTGCCCACCAGTACTTCCTTCTAAATGTTAGGCCAATGTATTTGATAGCAGTTAAGAAAAACTCTTTTAAAGGGTTTTGGAGCAGTTGAGGAAGTATCAGTTGTTGCAGAAAAGAGAGACTACTTACTTCAGGAGATGGAGAGTTACTGCTCTGAGCTGTCAGTGGCAAGTTAAGGGAAGGGTGTTATATCACCACCTGTAGCAGTAACTCCTTAGGCATTCATTCCATTATGCATTCAACCTGTTAAAAGTATTTACTATATGATACTCTACTCCCCTTTTTTTAAACAAGAAAATGTCCTATCATGGTGATATTTGAGGGAGTGAAGATATCATTTGGACATCTTTATGAAGACTGTACAATTGACTGGCAGCCGCCCCCACCCTCCTGTAATACTATGAACACTTCTTGAGAAAAAAACAATAACTGCCTCCCTTGTTGACTTGTATTCCTTCTTTGATGTTGAAGGAATCTTTGTCATTAAACAAAGGAACTTCAGCTCTAGGCCATTCAAGAACCTGGATAAAGGGCTCAAAAATGACAGAGAACACTTTATGTCAGATTAGGATACACGTTCATTAAAACTATTAGAGTTTGGCCAGGCGCAGTGGCTCATGCCTGTAATACCAGCACTGTGGGAGGCCCAGGAGGGTGGATCACTTGAGCCCAGGAATTCAAGACTAGCCTGGGCAACATGGTGAAACCCTGTCTCTACAAAAAATACAAAAATTAGCTGGGTGAGGTATAGCATGCCTGTAGTCCCAGCTACTCGGGAGGCTGAGGTAGGATTCCTTGAGCCTGGGAGGTGGAAGTTGCAGTGAGCTGAGATCACACCACTGCACTCCAGCCTGGGCAACAGAGTGAGAAAAAAACAAAAACTCTAGAGTTTTAGTCAAACTGTTATTATGAGACTCTCTTTAGAAGCCAAGGTGTTTAAGTAGAGAACGGATGCTAATAATTTAAGAAAATTACACACCTGTAATCCCAGCACTTTGGGAGGCCAGGGTGGATGGATTGCTTGAGCCCTGGAGTTAGAGACCAGCCTAGGCAACATGGCAAAACCCCATCTCTATTTAAAAACAAAAAGAAAAGTGTCATATGTGCCCTTTTGGAACAAGGTATCCTATAAAGACCATCATTTCCCACTCTGCCATTTTTTAGATAAAATCTTACAGCTGTTTATTGGTAAAATTAGGTGTTCTGACTTTCAACCCAGTATTCTTTTTACAATTCTCTATATCATTCCTCTGTATTATGATCTGCCATTTCACAAAATAAGGTTTTGTTAAACCAAAATTAAGTGTACAGCTAAAGGAAAAGGAAAGAAAAATTGGAGTGTATGACCAGGCGTGGTGGCTCACACCTGTAATCCCAGCACTTTGGGAGGCCGAGACGGGTGGATCACCTGAGTTTGCGAGTTCGATACCAGCCTGACCAATATGGAGAAACCCTGTCTCTACTAAAAATACAGAATTAGCTGGGCATGGTGGCGCATGCCTGTAATCCCAGCTACTTGGGAGGCTGAGGCAGGAGAATTGCTTGAACCCAGCAGGCGGAGGTTGCAGTGAGCCAAGATTGTGCCATTGCACACCAGCCTGAGCAACAAGAGTGAAACTCAGGAAAAAAAAAAAAAAGGAAAATTGGAGTATTTTTGCATTTTCTAATTAATATGTTTCCTAATCAAGACACATACCTATGTTAACCAGTTCTGTCTGGTGCTATATAGTCTAATTATAATTAGTCATTAAAGTCAATTGATGTTCGGAAAATTGAGATTGTATGCATCCTAAAAGCAAATCCACGTATAAGAGCTTTTATGTCCAAATAGCTCTTTAATTCAGAAAGATCTGGTCTTGTTTTGTTTTTTGTTTTGAGACAGTCTCGCTCTGTCGCCCAGGCTGGAGTGCAATGGCGCGATCTCGGCTCACTATAACCCCTGCCTCCTGGGTTCAAGCTATTTTCCTGCCTCAGCCTCCCAAGTAACTGGGATTGCAGGCGTGTGCCATCACGCCTGGCTAATTTTTTGTATTTTTAGAAGAGACAGGGTTTCACCATGTTGGCCCGGCTGATCTTGAACTCCTGACCTCAAAGTGATCCACTTGCCTCAGCCTTCTGAAGTGCTGGGATTCCAGGCGTGAGCCACCATGCCCAGCTGGAATTTATTATTACCTCTTGGCCCAACCACTGTGAGTCCCTAATTGGATATGTTAGTTTGTCAGGTTCTAGGCTACCATAGCCCCCATCAAAGTGCTCAGTAGCTTTATTATGCACATTCTTCCCGTTTTAGGGATGGATATTGAGGTTTTGAGACTTACTCTCCTCTTTAATATTGATGTATTTGATGCATTCCCTCCCCAAAATTCCCATCCAAAGTAGAGTAAAGATAGAGAAATGAAATGATGTTGCTCAGCCCATCTTTCATGTGTTTGTGTTAGATTTTGAGGACATACAGTTGACCCTTGAAAACTGCAGGGGGTTAAGGATGCTGACCCCCAGCACAGTTGGAAATATATATAACTTTTGAGCCCCCCTAAAACTTGACTATTGACCAGAAGCCTTACCAATAACATAAAAGTCTATGAGTACATATTTTGTATGTTATATATGTGATATAAGGTATTCTTACCACAAAGTAAGCTAGAGAAAAGAAAATGGTATTAAGAAAATCGTAAGAAAGGAGAATTATATTTACTATTAAGTAGAAGTGCATCATCATAAAGGTCTTCATCCTCATCATCTTCACATTGAGTAGGCTGAGGAGGAAGAGGCAGGCTGGACCTGGTGTCTCAGGGCTGGCAGAAGTGGAGGAGGTGGAAGGGATGGCAGGAGAGGCAGGCATACTCAGCGTAACTTACATTGAAAAAAATCCACATAAGTGGACCCAAACAGTTTAAACCCATGTTGTTCCAGAGTCAACTGTATTTCTTAATTATACTGTCTGTGAATAAAGATGTTTTATGTCTATTGACATTTTAGAGAATACTATCTTAAGTATGTTTGATTATATTTAACAGAATTGTAATTTGGTTTCTGTTGCACAAAGATGCTTATTGGATTATCGAATTTTTGTCCTTGTAGGAATCTATTCGGTGGTTAGAAGATGAAAAGGCCCTCTTAGAGATGACTGAAGAAGTAGATTATGATGTCGATTCATATGCTACACAACTTGAAGCTATTCTTGAGCAAAAAATAGACATTTTAACTGAACTGCGGGGTAATTCTTTTTCCATTTTAATGTTTGAAATCTGATTGGTATTGGTATGTATATTGGTGAGAGGGCTTCTTCGTATTGCAAGAGGACATACGAAGTGAAAATTAGGGGCACTGTTTAGCATCTATTTTCCAGAGGTATAAAGACAACTAACCATTGTGGTTTTTCTAAAAGTCATGGCATAGCATTTCAAGTTTTCTCTCATATTTTAAGAAGACAGTCATCTTAAAGAGAGAAAATGTATTTTTAACAAATTTATAAATTTTATGTACCTATTCAGATCTTTAGTTTGGTAGGCTGATGCTTATGAGAATTATCTTCTTTCTGTGCCTTTTTTCGGGTCTCATTCTGTTGCCCAGGCTGGAGCACAGGGGCGTGATCATGGCTTACTGCATCCTCAACCTCCTGTGCTCAAGCAGTCCTCCCACCTCAGTCTCCTGAGTAGCTGGGACTACAGGCGCAAGCCACCACACCCAGCTAATTTTTAATTTTTTGTAGAGATGGGGTCTTGCTATGTTGCTCAGGCTGTCTCAAACTCCTGGGCTCAAGCAGTCCTCCTGCCTTGACCTCCCAAAATGGCGGGATTACAGGCATGAGCCACCACACTTGGCCTCTGCCACTTTTTTTTAAATGAAGGAGGTGTCAAGATGACTATCCTCTGTACCTTACTCATGAAGGGAAGCATGTGCCTTACCTACTAAGTCGTGTCTTTTTGGTTTTTTAGTTAGCTTATCTGTGTAGCTTCAGCTATGTATTTCTTTATGTGTTAATTTCTTAGGCATTTGCACACTGTTGGCTTTGTTTAGGTGTGAGTGACCATCTGGATGTGTGTGTACACGCAATCCAACATAAACCAGAATGAAATTCCTAATTTGGGGCAGTAAATAAGCTGCTTAATTTTTTTAAGGAGGCCCTCTGTGATGTTGATTAGTTGTTTTGAAGGGTTATTTTTCTTTTAAATTTATTCATTTATTTAAATTGACATCCCAGCCTGGGCAACATAGAGATCCCATCTCTAAAAAATAATTTAAAAATTTAAAAATTAGCCAGGTATGGTGGTGCCTGCCTGTAGTCCCAGCTATTGGGAGGCTGAAGTGGGAGGATCACTTGATCCCAGGAGTTTGAGGCTGCAGTGAGCTAGGATCACGCCACTGCACTCTGGTTTGGGCAACACAGTGAGATCCTGTCTCAAAAAATTAAAGAGTTGACAGATTAAAATGTATGTAATAGGTACAACATGATGTTTTGAAGTATATACACGTTGAGTATCCCTTATGTGAAAAGCTTTGAACAAGAAGTGTTTTGGATTTCAGATTTTTTCAGATTTTTGAATATTTGCATTATACCAAAAGTTTGGGATTTTTGGAACACTTCAGGTTTCAGGTTTTTTTTTTTTTTTTGTCATGGAGTTTTGCTCTTATTGTCCAGGCTGGGTTACAATGGCACGATCTCAGCTCAATGCAACCTCTACCTCCCAGGTTCAAGCAATTTTCCTGCCTCAGCCTCCCGAGTAGTTGGGATTACAGGCACGCGCCACAATGCACAGCTAACTTCTGTATCTAGACGGGGTTTCACCATGTTGGCCAGGCTGGTCTTGAACTCCTCACCTCAGGTGATCCACCTGCCTCGGCCTCCCAAAGTGCTGGGATTACAGATGTGAGGCACCGAGCCTGGCTTTGCTTTTTTTTTTTTTTTTGAGATAGTGTCTTGCTTTATCGCCCAGGCTGGAGTGCAGTGGCAATCTCAGCTCACTGCGACCTCCGCCTCCCAGGTTCAAGCAATTCTTCTGCCTCAGGCTTCTGAGTAGCTGGGATTACAGGCGTGTGCCACTGTACCCGGCTACTTTTTGTATTTTTAGTAGAGACCGGGTTTCACCATATTGGCCAGGCTGGTATCGAACTCCTGACCTCACGTGATGCACCCACCTCAACCTCTCAAAGTGCTGAGATTACAGGCATGAGCCACCATGCCTGGCCAGATTTTTTTTTTTTTTTTTTTTTTTTTTTTTTTGAGATGGAGTCTCACTCTGTCACGCAGGCTGGAGTGCAGTGGAGCGATCTTGGCTCAGTGAAAGCTCCGCCTCCCAGGTTCATGCCATTCTCCTGCCTCAGCCTCTTGAGTAGCTGGGACTACAGGCGCCCGCCACCACGCCTGGCTAATTTTTTTGTATTTTTAGTAGAGACGGGGTTTCATTGTGTTAGTCAGGATGGTCTCGATCTCCTGACCTTGTGATCCGCCCATCTCGGCCTCCGAAAGTGCTGGGATTACAGGCATGAGCCACCACGCCCGGCCTGCACAGCCAGATTTTTGGATGAGATGTTCAACACATATATGTTGCTGACTGGTTATGAAGTTGGTTATTTGAAATCATATTTTGTAAAGTCAGCAGTGACTGTTGAACTAAAATTTTCATTTGTTTCTCATATTGTTCATATTCAACCCTTTATTTAAATTGTTTTGATCATTTTTCTAATCTGCAATAATTCACAATCAGCTTCTGTATCCATTTTATTCAGAAGACAGATCCTAATGCACTCTGGTATTTTTTCTTTGTAGCATTCAACTTAATTGACTTCCTTTCCTTTTCTCAAATTTCATGTGTATCAAGCATATCCATAACTTTTAAGAAATTACTATCTAGATATATTGCATTATTCAGTCCTTAGAATTTTTTTAACCACCCAGAGATAAATTTGGGATTTATAAGAAAAATTTGGGCCAGACACCTGTAATCCCAGCACTTTGGGAGGCTGAGGCAGGTAGATCACCCGAGGTCAGGAGTTCAAGGCCAGCCTGGTCAACATTGTGAAATCCTGTCTCTACTAAAAATACAAAAATTAGCCAGGCATGGTGGCACATGCCTGTAGTCCCAGCTACTCAGGAGGCTGAGACAGGAGAATCACTTGAACCCGGGGCAGGGGGCGGAGGGCGGAGGTTGCAGTGAGCCGAGATCACGCCACTGCACTCCAACCTGGGTGACAGAGTGAGACTCCATCTCAAAAAAAACAGAACAGTAACAGTTTGAGAGCACCAAATCTAGAAGTTCTTAAATTCATTTCAAAATTTCAAAAAAGTTAACTTTTTAAACATCACTGTACTTTCAAAAAGGGGAGGAAAATTGAGATTCCAACTTTATTCTGAAGTCTACAGAGTAGGGTTTCGTAACCTTGACACTGTTAACATTTGGGGCTAGGCCTTTCTTTGTTGAGGAGTGTTATCCTGTGCCTTGTACAATATTTACCAGCATCGTTGGTCTCTGTCCACTACATGACAGTAGCACCACACCAGTTGGGATAACCAAAAATGTCTCTAGACATTACCAAATGCCCGCTGGGGGCCAAAAATCATATCCAGTTGAGAGCCACTGTTATTGAAAGATAGCTTATCTTCACAGCTGCATGTAATTTGTCTGACAATTTACTAACCTATTTCTAGTTTTTACATGACTCTAGAGCAGTACATGACCAGAAAATGCGTAAAATCAAGAAATATATCATTTAGTCATCCCCCCTTCACAATCCCCCTTCCTCACAGTGAGGACAAAATGTAAATTTCTAAAAATTCAAATATATTTTACATGTTCATAGCTTTAAAAAGGTAAAATAGGGGGTGCTGAGCACGGTGGCTCATGCCTATAATCCCAGCACTTTGGGAGGCCAAGGCGGGCAGATCACCTGAGGTTGGGAGTTCGAGACCAGCATGGCCAACATGGTAAAACCCCGTATCTACTAAAAATACAAAAATTAGCTGAGCGGGTGGTGCACGCCTGTAATCCCAGCTACTCGGGAAGCTGAGGTGGGAGAATTGCTTGAACCCATGAGGTGGAGGTTGCAGTGAGCCTAGATCGCACCATTGCACTCAAGCTTGGGTGACAGAGTGAGGACTCCATCTCAAAAAAAAAAAGGTAGACTATGTATTTTACAATGTGAAACCTGCCTATACTCTAGGAGGAATTCCAATAAATTAAAACAGAGAACTGTAAATGTGCCAAACAGAACAGAAAGCTATTGAAAGATACAGAAAAACAGGTATTTCTGGAAATCTGTAACAAAAAACTTTCGCAATAGTTGAGCATTCTATTTAGTTCCGAGTTTCTAGACAACAAAGAACAAAAGGAAAAATACTGAGTTACTGTTAGGAAATAACACAGCTGACTTGATTGAACCCATAAAGTTGTAAACTCTTACTGCGTGTAATACAATACTTATTCCCTCTTTCTTTTCTTTTTCCAAGATAAAGTGAAATCTTTCCGTGCAGCTCTACAAGAGGAGGAACAAGCCAGCAAGCAAATCAACCCGAAGAGACCCCGTGCCCTTTAAACCGGCATTTGCTGCTAAAGGATACCCAGAACCCTCACTACTGTAACATACAACGGTTCAGCTGTAAGGGCCATTTGAAAGTTTGGAATTTTAAGTGTCTGTGGAAAATGTTTTGTCCTTCACCTGAATTACATTTCAATTTTGTGAAACACTCTTTTGTCTACAAAATGCTTCTAGTCCAGGAGGCACAACCAAGAACTGGGATTAATGAAGCATTTTGTTTCATTTACACAAATAGTGATTTACTTTTGGAGATCCTTGTCAGTTTTATTTTCTATTTGATGAAGTAAGACTGTGGACTCAATCCAGAGCCAGATAGTAGGGGGAAGCCACAGCATTTCCTTTTAACTCAGTTCAATTTTTGTAGTGAGACTGAGCAGTTTTAAATCCTTTGCGTGCATGCATACCTCATCAGTGATTGTACATACCTTGCCCACTCCTAGAGACAGCTGTGCTCACCTTTTCCTGCTTTGTGCCTTGATTAAGGCTACTGACCCTAAATTTCTGAAGCACAGCCAAGAAAAATTACATTCCTTGTCATTGTAAATTACCTTTGTGTGTACATTTTTACTGTATTTGAGACATTTTTTGTGTGTGACTAGTTAATTTTGCAGGATGTGCCATATCATTGAACGGAACTAAAGTCTGTGACAGTGGATATAGCTGCTGGACCATTCCATCTTATATGTAAAGAAATCTGGAATTATTATTTTAAAACCATATAACATGTGATTATAATTTTTCTTAGCATTTTCTTTGTAAAGAACTACAATATAAACTAGTTGGTGTATAATAAAAAGTAATGAAATTCTGAGAAGAGTTTTATCTTAGGAAAATACATATATATGCAGTGTGTGTGCCAGTGTGGTATTAACAAGACTAATAGTGCAGTTTGATCCTTACCAATATCATTACTTAATTTGAAGTGTTCATTAGCACCCCAAAATATACCTTTTCTATGTACTGTTAAAAGAAATTGGCTTCTGATGCATGAACATTTACATGTACATTGAAAGTAGTCCATAATAGAAGTTAGTTTAAGCCAAGTGTAGACAGTACATTACTCCCTTGAAAAAGAATTAAGTTGAAAGAGTTGACTTTGCCTTAAAAGGCAGATCTAACCCAAGCTCCATCCAGTACCAAATGTGAAACTTCATTGTTGTTTGGTGAGAATCGCCAAATTCTCACTAATACATTGGTATGGTGTAGGGCATGCTACTTTTTAAACAGCAGCACTTATTTTTACAGATTGCTACTCCAAGGAAGAAAACTGGCCACTTTTCATGTAAATATTTTGTTCAAAGATTTGTATATCTCTCTAGGAGTTTTCCCTCAGTTCCCAGGATGGGGTCCAGGAGTAGATTAACAGCTAAAAATCTCCCAAGGATATCTTGTTTTGATTTATTTACTCCAGGGAACTATCAGCTCCTTCACAGGAGCCAAAGGGGAGCTATGAATAGAGGGTCACATGAGCCAGATTCTTTACTGTTCATAAAACCCAGAGAGTAGTTGTGAAAGATCCTAATACAATTGTGAAAAGCTCTGTAAACATGAAATCTAAAACAAATGTAGATTTTCACAATATGCTTATTAATAAATGAAGTCTATGGAATAAGTTTTAGAGATAATTTACTTCAGTCACCTTTGTTTTGGAAAGGACTCAGGTTTTCTTGCAGCTGTAAGATATATTCTATTTGTGTTTATTTCAAAGGGAAGAGGAAGGATGGAGAACTGTTACAATTGACCTTGCAAAGGATATTTAAAAAAAAGGTAGTTTTTGAGATTAACCAACTTTCAAAGGGCAATAAAGACATGTGAATTTGCTCATTTTAAAGCACAACAGATGATTAGCTTCAAATTTATTATTTGCATTGGATGGGTACTGTCTTTGGAAAGTCTCCTTATAGACAAATATGCTGCCTTACACTATGATGGCTTCATTCTGATCAGGTATTTTAAAAATTAGTACCAGAAAAGATACTGGAGGTAATATAATACAGTCCTTCAGCTTTACAGATAGTGAAAACTGAAGGCCAGAAAAGGAACTAAAACTCAGCAGTTCATAGGGGTAGAGGGAAATAACCTGAGAAAGCCGAGTTAAATCTTAAAATTTTTACTATAAGGATAGAGATGATACAAGTGAACTCTGCAAAATAGTTTTGTGAAATTAAACAAAAAAATCTACTCTTAATGTATATTATTTCATATTTGTTTAACAAAAGCAGCTTGATGCCTTTGTTCTGGATTATACATTAAGAACAAGCATTATTTTAATTATGTAGTAACATTTACTATGACTTTGAAGCCAGATTTCAAAATCTGGCTTTGTTAAATTAATTGGAAACACTCTTCTATTAAGTTAGGTATTAAAAAAAGCCAAATATCAATAAAGATATTTTTATTAATTTTTTATAGAAACAAAATAGCTACTATAACTCTATTATAGTATATTAACAGCACTTAGTATTATATTGACTTAAACATAGTAGCTAATAAAACTAGTTTATGACATCTATTGAAATTCTCAGTCTGACAGTTTTAAAATAGCTTAAAACTAAGCACCAGGTATATGAAAAAGGAACTGGAAATTTTAATTGTCCAGAAATCATAGGAATACTGGGAACCTGTAGTTATGGGAAATGGCTGTTTTTCTGAAGTTGAAACCAGTTTCAATTACAAAACCCTCTGAAATTTTGCTAAGCCTATAGTTATCTCCCTAAGAACCATAAAAAAAGATAATTTTATTGTTAATTTCATTCCAGTTTAGCTTCCTCATTTTACATGTTGGGAGTCATGCCCTTTAATATGCCTGGCACTGCACGGTGGCAGTAGCAGACTTGGGCTTACCCAGAACCCTAAGTCTCTGACGCTATAGGATAGCGAAAGAGGTAGGCAATCGTAACAGACACTGTATAGGATAAATAGGGAAGAGAATGAGAGAACCAAAATAAAAATAATTTAAGAAACAATTGTTTTACTGTACATGTGAATAACAAGAAATGGTACGGGGAATGTGAATAACACGAAATGGTATGGGGAATGTGTGACTAGTGAAGCATATTTTAACTTTTTTATTACTGGAGGAACAGAGCTAAAGGCCTAAAGAAGGCCTTACAGTATATAACAGTAAATAGAAGAGTAACATCTTTATACAATAAACTGTTAGAAATGATAAGTGTAAAGTTGTGCGTCTCTGCGGCTCCTGAACTTGAAGATTATTATGAATAGATTGGACCAGCATTATATATTAAAAACTTTGATACTTAGAACTTTCCAACTTTAAAATTCAGAATCATAAATGGTGACAACAGTAGTAGTATTGAACCAAAAATAGTCAAGTAAATAATGTCTCAGTAAAGCAAAAGCATTATCTTCTCAAATACAAAAAATACAAAATTCATTTCTTTTCTTGACCTTGAAAATTTCTGTTTTCCAAATACCTAGGAAAAATGAATACCTTCTGCGTTGAATCCATGTAGCAATCTGAAAAAAGAAATCAAAATGGAATGGTACTGAAAAGCTAATTTGTAGCACATAACGGTATATAGTTCTATACCATTAATACTAAAACATGAATACAGCATGCTTACAGAGCCCACCCACTCCTAATACTAGTTATTAAAGAAACGTTACTGGCTGGGCGCAGTGGCTTATGCCTGTAATCCCAGCACTTTGGGAGGCTGAGGCGGGTGGATTACCTGAGGTCAGTAGTTCGAGAACAGTCTGGCCAACATGGTGAAACCCCGTCTCTACTAAAAATACAAAAATTAGCCTGGCATGGTGGCACATGCCTGTAATCCCAGCTACTCGGGTGGTTGAGGCAGGAGATTTGCCTGAACCCAGGAGGCGGAGGTTGCAGTGAGCTGAGATTGTGCCACTGGAGTCCAGCCTGGGTGACAGAGCAAGACTCTGTCTCAAAAAAAAAAAAAAAAGAAATGTTATTGTCTGACTAAATTTATAAGATATGTATTGGTTAAAACCATGCCATGTTGGTGCCTCTTTCATTAGAGCCTTTATGTCGTAATGAATTTGACTAAAATTATCTTAGACTTTCATTATCCCAGGCCTAAGAACTCACTGGCATTTGTTTCAAGGTAACTGAACAAGAAGCTGTTTGGAATTGGCAGAAGTCAGATGAAAAACCAATCTTACATGCCCCTTCTTCCTCTCTTGAGCTGTTGTTTATATTCAAATTAAATACACATTGTTTCTCTCTGTAGATACCTATGTACTTAATAGATTCTAGTTAGTAAACTGCACATGCCCAATAACTTTGAGGAAATTTAGTGAAAATGAAGAAAAAGAGAAAATATTTCTCTTTAGACCTGAGGTTATGTTTAGGCTGGCCCATAGAAACAGGTCCAGATAAATTTCTAAAAAAGCAAAGTAGATATTTATGAATAGTATTCAATGCCTAGGATTAACATCTAAAATGACTCAGTAGTACTGCTAGCCAGCCAATAAAATATAAACTCCATTTGTCTTAGTTATATAGAACTGTGTTTCCAGCTTAGAAAAAGTCAAACCAATGACTTTTAGAACAATCTACTCTCATTTTTTATTCAGCCTCTAGAACATGGAAGCTTTAAAAGTGAATTGGCTAAATAGGCAAGACCTTCTGAAAGTTAACATCTTAATGATTAAAAACAGTAAGTACAGGTTAGTAATTACCTGGGTAATTAATTGAAGCCTTATTCTGTTTTCATAAGACTTACTTGCTTAATTCAAGCAAAACAAATTTTGGTCTAAATTACCTAGATAATTATGACAGCTTTTTACTTGAGAAGTGTAGAACTTGCTTCAGGCTACAAAACTGTATTATTCCTAAATGGATAACCAGGTAGGATTCTAACTGGCATTATTGTATGCTTAAGATTGATTTAACAACAGCTATTCCCAGTAAGGAAATTTTAAAAATCAGATCCAGTTACATGTATTATGATTTTTCTACCTTATGGACTATTTTGGAGGGATAAGCTATTAAGACTAAGACTATGAATGAGAGTTGGGGAAGGAGCAGGAAGGGAGGAACCTGCACACCACATTGGAACCTGCACACCACATTAACACAAAGGCAATCTTCTGGCTCGGACTGTTCTTTACTACTGTTCTTAAAGAAAATGTTCATTCTGCTGCAGCTAACTAGCCTCCATCTTCTACACCAAATACTATTCCATGCCATGGAAGTGCTATGCAATAACTCTCCCAGGTAGCACCTTATACCGCTTAAAAGCCTTTAAAATCTCCAATCTGAAGGTGTCACAGTAAAGAAATGTAAACACTTAGGAAAACAAAAATGTAATTACCTGATGAAGTCATCTATGTCCATGGAACGGGCCCGTTTGTCACTAAAACCTGTGCTGGTTAGGATTTGCTGTATTTTATCTGCTATGCTGAAATCTTCTGGTATTATCTATCAATATAAGATTCAGAATAAATGAACGACATATCTTTAATGAGGTCACCTTGACTCTTTTTTTTAGTTCAGTAAGTCATAAAATAGTCACCTTTAATATATCTGTTAATGAGACTTTGGAAAGCCTGATTTTTACATTAAGACTTGGATCTCTAATTAAAAGTGGCTGATCTTTATTAACAAAAACTTGGAATACCTTGAATTAGTAATCCTGTCTATATTAGCCATTTTCTTCTTTAAAATTCTGAAATAGTTATTAGTTTCAGACTTCACAAATAATTACAACTGTAAATTAAATTTTAAAGCAATTGTTACTCCTTTCAAAATAATGCATTTTCTTCCTACAGATTTGACCTTAACCACCTCATTTTTCTCAAAGAGGTGACCTGCCCAAGCCTTGGGAATATTAAGGATTTTACACTTAATTCACATATTTTATCCAAAAGGATTTTACACTTAATTCACATATTTTATCCAAATATTTTTCTTAATCTAGCTTAATATTTTTCTATTATACTTAGGCAGATTATCTAATGACTTTTTGCCCATAAAAGAGAAAATGGAGATAGTATTGTGATACATTAAACCATATAGGTTCTGAGTCATAAAAAATAAAAAGAAAATTGGCCTTTCTCTCTCTGTTCTAATTAAACTGGAAGCTAAAAAGATAGCAAACATCACATCGCACACACTGTTACACAAATGATACGCATGAGGCTCACAACCAGAAATCTGCTATTGAGCCATATGAACTTTATTTCAATTTCTATACAAAGAAAGTAATAACTATATTTGTAACTGCTATGTGAGCAAGAAACAAGACGTGGTCACAATTCAGAGGACAGTAAACTACACAATTATTTTAAGTTGTGCAAGCTACACATATCTACAGCTTTGAGGAACCTGTAACTGCTGAATCTGATTCTTGTTATGGCTAAAAACAACTGTCAGTAGTTAGAGGACAGGGTGGAGTAATCAAAGTTGCTCATATCTGTTTCACAGGATACACAGCAGCACTGACCTGTCAGAATTCAAGTCAAAATTGTGCTAGTTATACATTATATATTGTCTTTTAAGGATCTTATGGAATGTACAAAATAATCTCATGCTAGATCAACAAGAATAAAAATGGACATTTTAAAAGAAAACAAATCAATGAAACTGCAGGAACATTTTCTAACTTACAATATTATGGACTGAACAGTGAATTCTGTAGTTTTTTTCCAAGAGTTGTTGCACTGCACTTGATCTATAGCATAAAGAAGTGATGCCACTGTTATTATTCCAAAGTCAGAGTAATTTCTTACTTTTTTAAACTTTTTTTTAACTAATACATAAGCCATTTAAGCAATAATTTCATTTTAGATGAAATTAAATCTATATTCTGTATGGTGAAATTAAGGAATTTTAAAAGTTGTTGAATATTTAAACTTATGAAGCAAACACTAAATATATTTAAAGTGCAAAATCCTAATACCTCTTAAATTCTTAGAGAAGTTCTAGACTCTCCACAAAAAATCCCCTAAAAAAAAATCTCCAAGCCCTGTAAAACTGTGTCTCACCTCTCTTTTACCCTTGAACCCCAAATTGATGAGCTGCATTTTCCCAGGTTAATTACATGACACATATCCTTCACAAGTGTGGAAGGGGTCCATCATCACCTCATTTTTCCAACAAAAAACTAGAGCAGATATATGGTCAGAGTTTGGGAGTGTTTTCCTGTTTTGCCAAAAAATGTGATCTGACTCTCAACTCCAGCAAACTTTCTTCATTAAGTTTGCTTTAGAGCCTCCCAAGCTCTAAAGATAGTTTAAAAGGTGAAGTTTGTCTGGACCCATAATCTTTATGCTTTAGGGTAGCTGCTCAGGAAAAGGACCAAATTCTAGCATAGTATCTGGAGCACTGGCCCTTTATACATTAGAAATTAGTGTAATACTTACTTAAATGCAGCAGAGAGTGTCTTGTTTTTCCTAACAAAGGTTATCCTTACTAGACCATCCCATTCCTGAAATAGAAGATAGACATTTTCTTCAAATTACAAACTTCTTGTTCTTGTCTATGCCCACTAGGTATTATTTTGTCTTTTAATATATACAATTGAAGGAAACTTTCTGAAGTGAAGAAAATGTTCTGTAATCTTGATCTGGCTGGCACACACATGCAAAAGTAAGACATACATTTGATTTTTGCACTTTGGCGCATTTCACTGAATATGTCTTTTCCTCAGAATTTTTTTTTGACAAAGCATGACAATTTTTTTTTTTAATTTGAAAAAATAAAGCCAGGCACAGTGCTGCATGCCTGTAGTACCAGCTACTCAGGAGGCTGAGGTGGGAGGATCGCTTGAGACCAAAAGTTCAAGTCCAGCCTAGGCAACATAGTGAAACCCCATCTTAAAAAAAGAAAGGGAAGGAAAAACAAAATGGTCCCACATCTGAACAAAGAACATGGCGTTTATTTAAATCTAAGTATCATTTTCAAAAATAAGATTCAAAACAGACATGACTTCAGATACTTCCTGTGTAACACACCTAAACCTCCTTGAAGGAGTTATTGACAAACCACTCCATTTACCACCAGTTGACCACACACACAATCACGTTTTTCTCTAATGTGGCTGTAGTAAGGTTTTATATCAAGTGGTCTTCTTTCTTGTTTTTAAATCTCAAAAAACAATTACAATGAAAAGATGTTACCCATAATACTACTTTAAAACAACTATTTTCATTTTACCTTGTTTTCCTAGTTTTATTCCATTTTTTCTTTTTTTTTTTTGAGACTGGGTCTCACTTCAAAACTACCTTGCATCAAATTATTCCATCTACTTCAGCACAGGGATGTGTCCTAATTAACATTTTCCTATGTTTGAATATTTAGGTTGATTCAATATTTTTCTGCTGTTATAGGCACACATCTTCCCGCCTGGACTTTTTTTTCCTTTATTGAATGAGCTAGTATTTTAACCTCACCTGAAAATTGATGGGTGGTGGTGGATTCT
This sequence comes from Homo sapiens, assembly GCF_000001405.40. NCBI lineage: Eukaryota > Metazoa > Chordata > Mammalia > Primates > Hominidae > Homo > Homo sapiens. Next base: position 62,393,984 of record NC_000005.10, read on the forward strand.
TAGGTTCTATCCTTACAACACTGGATTCCACCTTGGGCGGTGGTCTGAAGTTATTCTTTCCCACCTGTTAATGAAAAAGTATTTAAGTAGTACTCACAAAGGCAACTTTTATTTAGTAACCAGATATGCTATCCTCACAGAAGGCACAACTGGATGCTCAAGGATGAATTAAGCTAGATTATTTCAATAATAAAAATCACTGGCTGGGTGCTTTGGCTCACACCTGTAATCCCAACACTTTGGGAGGCCAAGGCAGATGGATCATTGAGCCCAGGAGTTCAAGACCAACCTGGGCAACATAGCAAAACTCTGTGTCTACAAAAAATACCAAAAAATTAGTCAGGCGTGGTGACGCACACCTCTAGTCCCAGCTACTCGGGACTCGAGAAGATTGCTTGAGTATGGGAGGCAGAGATCGCAGTGAGCCACTGCACTGCAGCCTGGGTGACAGAGTGAGATTCTATCTCAGAAAAAAGAGAAAGAAAACAAAATTCACTTACTTTCATTAGATGGTCCACACGTGCCAACAGCTGTGTATTAATTGAGAGTCTGCAGTATAACTTATCTCCAGGTTTTGCAACCAGTCGGAGGGCAAATTCTCTTTGAAACATAAGTATAGCACACCTGAAAAGAAAGCAGAAAGGAATAAGGAAAATGGTCATTGTCAACTATAAATGAATTTTAACTGCAATGAATTTTCTTGGGAGAGAAATAGCAAAGCATTGGCAGCTGATTATAAGGTAGGAGAACACATTCAGCCTTTTTTTTATTGCCACAGAATGAGAGAGCTGGCTTTGTTTTTATAATTGCTGTACTCCTCATGGCAAGATAGCTTGCAAATATAAGCCTTTAATGACTGGATGAGATGTTTCAAATCAGCACTAGTCCATCACCTCTTCTATGAAAACAAAGTGAAATAAAATTGTTTCAGTAGCAGTAATATATTTATGGGGTAGCAAACACCTTTAAGGAAGAGGTGAGACTGAAGAGGCAGATTGTGACGTTCAATGTTTCCTTGATTTGACGGGTTAAAAGATGTAGACTTTTTTTTTTTTTTTGAGACGGAGTTTCGCTCTTGTCGCCCAGGCTGGAGTGCAATGGCGCAATCTCGGCTCACTACAACTTCCGTCTCCCAGGTTCAAGTGATCCTCGTTCCTCAGCCTCCCGAGTAGCTGGGATTACAGGCGCACACTACCACCCCTGGCCAATTTTTCTATTTTTAGTAGAGACAGTGTTTCACCATGTTGGCCAGGCTGGTCTGGAACTCCTGACCTCAGGTGATCCGCCCACCTCAGCCTCCCAAAGTGCTGGGATTACAGGCATGAGTCACCACACCCAGCCAAAAGATGTAGACTTTTTATTCAGCAGGCAATGGGGAAGACTTTGTAGGGGTTAACGAACAGAAGAGTATCTTCAAAGCTACACTTTGACATTCAAACTTTTGACAATGAGTCACACTAAAAATACATTTGGCATTGCAAGCCAAGCCACAAATGTCTGTATGTATATGTGTTTATATTGTATTTCAAAACAAAAGTTTCATGAAACCATAATCACCTGGACTACATGCAATGCCCTGTGATATATTCTATTCCATGTGATTACAAAAAAAAAGAATGGTCATGACTCATTAATTTTATAACCACTAGTTTTTGACTTGCAGTTTGAAAGCCACTAGTATATAATATAGAAAGTGACTTCAAAGTTCATGGAAATATTGAATTAAAAGATAAAATAAGGCTGGTGTGGCGGCACACACCTATAATCCACAGCACTTTAGGAGGCCAAGGCGGACAGATCGCTTGAGCTCAGGAGTTCAAGACCAGCCTGGGCTGAACATGGTGAGACCCCTTCTCTAAAAAAAACACAAAAATTAGCTAGGCATGCTGGTACACCCCCATAGTCCCAGCTACTCAAGAGGCTGAGGTAGGAGAATCATCTGAGCCCAGCCCAGGGAGGCTGAGGTTGCAGTGACCTGAGATGTCACCACTGTACTCCAGCCTGTCTCAGAAAAAGAAAAAAAAGAAAAAACATAAACTTTATTATTCAACATAAGCTCCATCAAGTTCAAGACACTTTTGTAAGTGATGATACCAGCATTTTAGTCTATATCAAAAAAACTGAGGCTCTGGGGAATTTAGCCATGTCACTGCAGGTTTTTTTTTTTTACATTATTAACTGAAGAAAAAAGAGTGCCCTTTCAAGATTTTTTAAGACTGGGAAACGAAAATAAATCAGAAGGGCTGGGCACCATGGTTCATGCCTGTAATAATCCCAGCATTTGGGGAGGCTGAGGTGGGCAGATCACTTGAGCTCAGGAGGGGGAGACAGCCTGGGCAACATGGCAAGACCCATCTCTAAAAAAAATACAACAATTAGCTGGGTGTGGTGGCACATGCCCGTAATCGCAGCTACTTGGGAGGCTGAGGTGGGAGGAATGCTTGAGCCCAGGAAGTGGAGGCTGCAGTGAGTGCAGATCATACCACTGCTCTCCAGCCCGGGCACCAGAGCAAGACTGTCTCATAAAATAAAAAGAAGTCAGAAGGGGCCCAATCAGGACTGTAAGGTGGATACCTAACCATTTCCCATTGAAACTCTCGAAAAATTGCCCTCGTCTGATGAGAGGAAGGAGTAGAAGTATTATGGTGGAGGAATCTCTGGGGAAGCTTTCCCAGGAGTTACTCTGCTACATCTTAGCTAACTTTCTCAAAACACTCTTGTAATAAGCAGATGTTTTCATTCTTTGGTCCTAAAGAAAGTCAGCAAGCAAAATGCCCTGAGCATTCAAAAAAAAACTGTTGCTATGACCTTTGCTCTTGACTGGTCTGCTTTTGCTTTGACTGGAGCCACTCCGTTTCTTGGTAGGCATCACTTTCACTCTGCTTTGTCTTTAGGATCACACTGGTAAAGCCATATTTCATCTCCATTACAATTCTTTGTAATTCTTTGAAGAAATGTTTCAGGATCTTGTTTTCTTTTTTGACAATCTCGCTCTGTTGCCCAGGCTGGAGTGTGGAGTGCAGTGGCACAATCTTGGCTCACTACAACCTCCGCCTCCTGAGTTCAAGCGATTCCCCTGCCTCAGCCTCCCGAGTAGCTGGGATTATAGGTGCCCACCACAATGCCCAGCTAATTTTTTTATTTTTAGTAGAGATGGGGTTTCACCATGTTAGCCAGGCTGGTCTCCTGACCTCAAGTGATCTGCCCGCCTCGGCCTCCCAGAGTGCTAGGATTATAGGTGTGAGCCACTCCACCCAGCCATGTTTCAGGATCTTGATCCCAGTTATGTAAAATTTCCACTGGAAGCTCTGCTTTTATCTGCAGCTGATTTGAGTACAATGTTTTTTGTTTTGTTTTTTCATAAAATCTTTCAGAAAAGAGGGTATGACAGTTTTGGCATCTATCAAGTACAAAGTTTGTTTAACTTTGATTTTGCAGTCAGAATTGTGTAAGCTAAACCAACTGTGATGTCTATGGTGTTGGCTATTGTTTGTGCTGTTGAATGTTGTTCCTCGTCACTTAGGGAACAAACAAGATGAATGTTTTCCCACAAATTGATATGGCCAGTGTGCCACTGTAGGCTTCATCTTCAACATTGTCTCAGCCCTTCTTAAAATGAGTTATCCATTAGTAAACTGCTGATTTCTTTGGGATATTGTCCCCATAAACTTTTTTTTTTTTTTGAGACGGAGTCTCGCTCAGTCGCCAAGGCTGGAGTGCAGTGGCGCGATCTCGGCTCACTGCAAGCTCCGCCTCCCGGGTTCACGCCATTCTCCTGCCTCAGCCTCCCGAGTGGCTGGGACTACAGGCGCCCGCCACTACGCCCGGCTAGTTTTTTGTATTTTTAGTAGATGTGGGGTTTCACCATGTTAGCCAGGATGGTCTCGATCTCCTGACCTCATGATCCGCCTGCCTTGGCCTCCCAAAGTGCTGGGATTACAGGTGTGACTCCATAAACTTTTTGTAAAGCATCAATGATTTCACCATTCTTCCAACCAGGTTTCACCATAAATTGGATGTTTGTTCTTACTTGAATTTTAGCAGAGTTCATGTTGCTCTGATAGGGGCTCTTTTCAAACTGATGTCTTATCCTTCTCAGTGCCTCACACTAGATCCTGCTCAGTTAGTACAGAGTTTATTTTGGTGCAAAAAAATTTTGAAATCCATGCAAGTTTTTTTCATAATACACATTTTCCATGAACTTTTTGAAGACCTCTTATACTAGAGACCAGTTAGGAAACCACTGCAATTGTCTAGACATAAGGTAATAAAAATTCTAACCTAGACTTAACGGCAGGAAGATTCAAAAATAGGGAAAGGCTGTCTGGTCTCAGAAGCAGGACTTCCAGCACACTACCCCCAAATAACCTCTCAATTAAAGAGAGAAAGACCTCCATACAAATCAACATTTTCTACAAAAATTCTTCAGTAGTTTTTCAACTGACCTGACTCATTTTTGGCTATGTTCACCACCTGAACTGTAAGTCTTTCAAAATTTGGCAGTAACTCTAGTCTTTTGTCACAAACCTGAAAAAAGGTCGATGTAGCAACAGCTTGAAGACAAAAGGTGAAGAGATCTGTAAGAGAATTAACTAGTTATTTCCGGGAAAGACACATCAGAGGAACAGTTAGTATGATGTTCCTGAAAATGTGAGGACATACCTGATAAGGCAAATTTGCCACACAAGTATCAAAGAATGGCAAATCTGTTTTCAGCACATCACCCACCAGTACTTGAAGTTTGCTGGCCACAGGCCTGATGAGAAAAGAAGAAATGTAAAAAGAATGTTGTTTCATGAGATTGAAATGCACTTTAATTCTATTATGTATACTCACGTGCCCTGAACTCTTTTGTGAAGTTCAGCTACTAGCCTTGGGTCAAGTTCACAAGCAACAACCTAATTTAAAAAAAATAAAAATTATTTAGGTTAATTATGGAATATAAATCTTTTATTGTTATCCCAACAGGAACTCTTACATGATTTATGTGACAAACTTCTTCTCCCATTTCTACCATCAATATTCCTTTAATTATACTCGCATACTTCAAACAACAAACAAAAATGGGCCGGGTGCAGTGGCTCACGCCTGTAATCCCAGCACTTTGGAAGGCTGGGGTGGGCGAATCATGAGGTCAGGAGTTAAAGGCCAGCCTGGCCAACATGGTGAAACCCCATCTCTACTAAAAATACAAAATATTAGGCCAGGTGCAGTGGCTCACGCCTGTAATCCCAACACTTTGGGAGGCTGAGACAGGCAGATCACCTGAGGTCAGGAGTTCGAAACCAGCCTGGCCAACATGGCGAAACCCCGTCTCTACTAAAAATACAAATTTAGCTGGGTACAGTGATGGGCATCTGTAATCCCAGCTACTCGGGAGGCTGAGGCAGGAGAATTGCTTGAAACTGGGAGGCAGAGGTTGCAGTGAGTCGAGATCGCACCATTGCACTCCAGCTTGGGCAAGAGACAGAGACTCTTGTCTCAAAACAAAAACAAAAACAACACAAAATATTAGCTGGGCCTAGTGGTGGGCGCCTGTAATCCCAGCTACTCAGGAGGCTGAGGCAGGAGAATTGCTTGAACCCTGGAGGCGGAGGTTGCCATGAGCCAAGACTGTGCCACTGCATTCCAGCCTGGGTGACAAAGTGAGACTCCATCTCAAAAAAAAAAAAAAGCCGGGTGTGAGGCTGAGGTGGGCGGATCATGAGTTCAGGAGACTGAGACCAGCCTGGCCAACATGGTAAAACTCTGTCTCTACTAACAAATTCAAAAATTATCTGGGCGTGGCGGCACGTGCCTGTAATCCCAGCTACTCAGGAGGCTGAAGCAGGAGAATTGTTTGAACCAGGGAGTCAGAGGTTGCAGTGAGCCGAGATCGCGCCACAGCACTCCAGCCTGGCAACAGAGCGAGACTCCATCTCAAAAACAAACAAACAAACAAACAAACACCACCACCCAGAAAAGTAGACAACCAGATTATGTGAGAGTTCTACTCATATAATCAATAGAATCATGTTTCATCTGTCTCCATGCTTTGTAATTCAACAGATGATGAAAAAAATACACTACATGTCTCTGCAGTCAGTGTTGTTAGAGAAGAGCGTACAATGCAATTGCTCTTACTGTTAGTATGTCACATCTACTGAGATACACAATACATGGCATAGATAACTTCTCAAGTAAATGAAAATGGATGTCAAATAAGGCCGAAATTGAAATTTTATTGCAATTTCAGCTGAGGTTTCACTGACTTTATTTTTATTAAAAAATAATTTTTTTTAAGAGATGGGGTCTCACTCTGTTGCCCAGGCTGGAGTGAAGTGGCGCTATCATAGCTCACTGCTGCCTCGAAGTCTTGGGCTCATGGGATCCTCCCACCTCACCTTCCTGTGCAGCTGGGACCACAGGTGTGTACCAGCACACCAGGCTAATTTCCTTTCTTTATTTTTAATAGAGACGGGTCTCTCTATGTTGCCCGGGCTGGTCTCAAAACTCCTGGGCTCAAACAATCCTCCCACCTTGGCCTCCCAAAGTGCTGGGATTATAGGCGGGAGGCACCATGCCCAGCCTTTTTATTTTTTATAGAGATTGGGTCTCGCTTTGTTGCCCAGGCTGGTCTCAAGCTCATAGCTTTAAGCAATCTTCCTGCCTCAGCCTCCCAAAGTGCTGGGATTACAGATGTGGGCCACAGCTCCTGGCCCTACTTCTATATAGACCCTGTTTACATGGTAAACAATGTGTTTCTTACTCTGTTTGGCTCCCAGATCTATCTTTAGTTTTATTTTTATTTTTTGAGACAGGGTCTCACTGTGTCACCCAGGCTGTAGTGAAGTGGCAGGATCATGGCTCACTGGAGCCTCAACTTCCCAGGCTCAGGTAAACCTCCCACCTCAGCCTCCCTGCTAGCCAGGGCTACAGTCAGGCACCACCATGCCCAGCCAATTTTTTGTAGAGATGGGGTTTCACCATGTTGCCCAGGCTGGTCTTCAACTCCTAGGCTCAAGCCATCCACCCGCCTTAGCCTCCCAAAGTGCTGGGATTACAGGTGTGAGCCACCATGAAAGGCCCTCCCAGATCTATTATCCGCTTTTCTCTGCATCCTACAGATAATGCAGTTCAGCTCCCTTACCTTTCAACTTCTGGTTGGAATTGGCCAGTGAAAGGCACCAGCATTATAGGGTACAAAGGGGAGGCGTTGGGTATTTCCTTCCTAATTAAACTCCCTGTTGAGGCTGGGCATGGTGGTTCATGCCTGTAATCCCAGCACTTTGGGAAGCCAAAGTTGGCGGATCACCTGAGGTCAGGAGTTTAAGACCAGTGTGGCCAACATGGTGAAACCGCATCTCTACTAAAAATACAAAAATTAGCTGGTGTGGGGGCAGGTGCCTATAATCTCAGCTACTGGGGAGGCTGAGGCAGGAGAATCTCTTGAACCCAGGAGGCAGAGGTTGCTGTGAGCCAGGACTGCATCTCTGCACTCCAGCCTGGGGAACAGTGTGAAATTCCCTCTCCAAAAAAAAAAAAAAAAAAAAAAAATTCCCTGTTGAAATACCTAATGTGGTTTCTGTTTTCCTCACTGAAATATCTCATATTTTCCTTTTTTTTTTTTTTTTTTTTTGAGACAGAGTCTCACTCTGTCACCAGGCTGGAGTGCAGTGGTGCAATCCTGGCTCACTGCAACCTCTGCCTTCCGGGTTCAAGTGATTCTCCTGCCCCAGCCTCCCAAGTAGCTGGGACTACAGGCACCTGCCACCACACTCGGCTAATTTTTGTATTTTTAGTTGAGATGGGGTTTCACCATATTGCCCAGGATGGTCTCAATCTCTTGACCTCATGATCCACCTGCCTCGGCCTCCCAAAGTGCTGGGATTACAGGCGTGAGCCACCGCGCCTGGCTGAAATATCTCATATTTTCTAAGACAAAATTTCCAACAAGGGATCAGGAGTTACTACTAAAATAATAGCAATTAGTTAAAACATATTTAGATTGTAAACCAACTGAGCTTGCTAACATAGTCATTTGTGATACCAAACATTAAATCCCCTTTCTACCTTTTTTGCCTTTTCTAACAACTTTACAGTCATGTTGCCAGTTCCAGGTCCAACTTCCAGCACTACATCAGTTGGTCTTAAGGCAGCCTAAAAGCAAGCACAAACACTTTAGCTCTTCTGGCAACATCAGAACACAGAAGTTAATTTACACCTGAACATCTTTACTCATATGTGCTCCGATAAGAGCTCTTAATCTGACTCCATTTTTAGATTTCTTCATGATCTACGTGGTTAACAAAATTACCTCAATAACATTTGGTGCAAATGAAAATCTAAGACCTCTCCTAACTTGGAGGAATACTGTTCAACTTTAGGAGTCAGAAAAGCAGCAACAGCATTTCTGGGATTGGCATTCTGCTTTCTATCTGGAAATATTCCAATAGCCTCTTGTTACCTTCTCTGTTCGTATCAACAAGTTCAAATGGGAAAGGACTGTACGTGTTGGGCGAAGATTTTTCAATTTTCAACCCATGTATGGTTTCAAGGATGCAGAAGAGCAGAAACTGTACACAAAATTGAATGTCTGCACACAGCTCTAATATTCTACGGCCATAGCTTTCATCAGATGCTCAAAGGAAACTATGAGCTAAAAAGGTTAAAATAGTACATGACCCTTCTTTCTTTTTTTCTCAGTTTTCAAATGACACGAAGCCTGACAAGATCCTTTAACTATGTAATGCTCTTTCTACAGCTCCAGGATGCTTTCCTTGCTTTTAACCATAAGTGTAATCTGCACCGTGTGTATTTCACTTCCTAACACCCAATCATCCATAACCATAAGAGAACATCAATAACTCAGAAAGCAGTAATACTCCAAGCAATTTATATGTGGTACTAGCATACACCAAATAATTTATATGTAGTACTATATGTTTTTCTGGGGAACAAACTTTCTAATGTGTAGTTTAGACATAAATAGATGGAGTACATAAAAACTAAGTGATCAAAAAGGTGATTAGAAATAGAAGAATAATTATCTTGAACAAATACAAAGGTCCAGCTATAAAGTAGATAATCCACAAAAAGACACAGAATTGGGAACCAGGAGAAACTCAGACCCACAAAATGAAGCTTATCATGCAGAAGACAGCCCAAGAATCCTAGACAATTATTTGATTCATTCAACAAATATTTACAGAGCATCTAATTTACGGCAGGCAGACTTTCTGCGCTTATGTATTCATAGGAATAAAATTAATAAACCAACAACTCTCTCCCTTTCCTCTTCCACACCCACCTTATCGATAATGCTGTTAATAATGAGAGGATTTTTCAAAATGTGCTGCCCAATCCCCGTGTTGAACATGAGTCCTGTAAGAAAATACGAAACAGCATTAATTTTCCTACTGAGATTAGATATTAGGCAGTACCAGAGAAGAAAGCTGCATGGGTATGGGGAAGATTTCTGCGCCAACCAGGGCCACGAAACGTCACGCCAGGACTGACAAACTCTTTATAAGTTCATCCTCCAGCTGGAAAGGAAGTCAGCGGCGACGCGCAGGGCCTGCGGCCGAGTCGGGGACCCACCCCTGCCTTCCGCGCTCACGGGAGCGCGTCCTGACCGGCCTCTGCCGATCAGGTCTTGGTCCGCACCCCAGGCTAGGTCCTGCCGGAAGACCTGACCCGACCGACCCCAGCTTCCTCGCGGGGATCCGCACCTCCAGCGCTCTTCAGCTCCCGGCGCTGCTCCTGCCGCCCGCGGCGGCGGCCGATGGCCCCCGACTTGACCTTCGGCATCTCGGCAGAAAGCGGGCCCACAGGCCCGGGACGTCAAGGAGGACCAAAGAGGGCTAGCGTGAGAAAGCCACCACGTGGGGATCGCCGCCACGCGCCGCCCGCACCACTCTGGCCCAAGCGCCGGAGGGGCAAGGGTCCGCCCCCTCCCGTACGCTCTGAGCTCCTCCTCCAGAAAAAGGGCGGACCTTGGAGCCCACTGACTGCCGGGAATTGGAGTCACAGAGGGAGGAAGGCCGAACCGCGGGAGCCTACAGATCCCAGAAGACACCGCGCTACCGAGGACTGCAGTCTGGAGTTGGAGCCCTTGTCCCAACCAGGGCTGGATAAGAAGGTGTTGGTGTGGTGCTCTCGGTGTTGCGAAGGCTGTTTAAGTTATATGATGAGGTTAAGCCTATGGATGTTTTAGTAGCCTAGGTTCTGGGATCGCTGAGGTCCAAAGAAGTATTCACGTGCCTCGCTCCTGTTTTCCTGAAGCTTGTGGGGGTGGGAAACCCGGGATTTGGGGATGAGCTTGCTCTTTTGTGGGAATGCATTTTTTGCTGCTTGCCCTGGGGAAAAGAACTGCGAGAATGGAATTAACGTCTGGTTTCGCTAGGGCTACTGGTTGCTTCTACTAAGAATAGAAGAGCCGGGCGCGGAGGCTCACGCCTGTAATCCCAGCACTCTGGGAGGCAGAGGCGGGCGGATCACAAGGTCAGGAGATCGAGACCATCCTGGCTAACACGGGGAAACCCCGTCTCTACTAAAAATACAAAAAATTAGCCGGGCGTGGTGGTGGGCGCCTGTAGTCTCAGCTACTTGGGAGACTGAGGCAGGAGAGTGGCGTGAACCCAGGAGGCGGAGGTTGCAGTGAGCCGAGATCGCGCTACTGCACTCCAGCCTGGGCGGCAGAGCGAGACTCCGTCTCAAAAAAAAAAAAAAAAAAAAAGGAATAGAAGAATAATTATCTTAAACAGATACAAAGCTCCAGCTACAAAGTAGATAATCCACAAAAAGACAGAATTGAGAACCAGGAGAAACTCAGACCCACAGAATGAAGCTTATCGTGCAGAAGACAGCCCGTGAATCCTAGAAAATTATTTGATTCATTTAACAAATAATTCAACAAATTCCTTTTGTGCCTCATCATTCACTCCGTAAACATTTATTGAGCTCCAACTGTGTATCAAACACTGCTAGGGATTCTAAGTAAGAAACTTATTTCAAAGTGTATTATATTGACAGAGATGGACAGAAACTCCAAAACGCTGTAAATACGATAACGTATTGGTCGTTGTGACAGGACAGTGTACCTGACTATAAACTCCGTGTGTACCAGGGCCATAATATCCACATCTGTTTTGCCAGCCAGTGTAATGGCTCTTTTAAATTTTTCTGTGTGTATTCTGTTTGGTTGAAGAAATAGCTTCTTCCTGTCATTACTAAAGCTAACTCTCTTTTGAGCAATTCATTGTGTACATTCCCAAACCTTGGTCTTAGGCCCTTCTTTCTTTGATGTAGTTCTAAGTCAGAAAAAAAATCTCGTATACCCTAGTAGCATCTTCAAGTATATGTTTCATTTCATCAATCATTGTTATTCCACAATTCTAAAGAGTACACTGTGCTAGGCACTTCCAAATGTTAATAGGATGGACATGGCCTGGAGAGGTGGCTCATGCCTGTAATCCCAGCACTTTGAGAGGCCAAGGCGAGCGGATCACTTGAGCTGAGAAGTTTGAGATCAACCTGGGCAACAAAGTGAGACCCCGTCTCTACAAAAAATACAAAAATTAGCCAGGCGTGGTGGTGCAGGCCTGTAGTCTCAGCTACTCGGGAAGCTGAGGTGGGAGCCTCACTTGAGCCCGAGAATTTGTAGTGAGCCAAGATTGCACCAACCTGGGCGACAGCATGATACCCTGTTTAAAAAAAAAAAATTAACATGACACAAAACCCTGTGTGTGATTTGTTATTGTTGTTGTTGTTGGGTTTTTTGGTTTTGTTTTTTTGAGACGGTCTCACTCTGTCACCCAGGCTGGAGTGCAGCGGCATGATCTCAGCTCACTGCAACCTCCGCCTGCCGGGCTCAAGCGATGCTCTCACCTCAGCCTCCCGAGTAGCTGAGACGACAGACATGAATCATCTTGTCCAGCTAATTTTTGTAATTTTTGTAGAGGCGGGGTCTCACTTTGTTCCCCAGGCTGATCTCAAACTTCTCAGCTCAAGTGATCTGCCTGCTTTGGCCTCTAGGTTGCATTTCTTCTGTGAAATAAAAGGCAAGTTTTTCTGTAGAGAAGGAGCTGTGGAGGTGGTAGGACAAGGGGCATGAGTGCGGAGAAGGTTTGAAGATCCTTTATGCGCAATGGGAGAGGAAGATTAGAGGGAACTCAAGAAGACATGGCATGTCTTCCAGCTAAATGTGGAGCCCAGTATCTCCAATGTGTACTGCTGTGTAACCACAGCCTGGAGACAAGAGCAGAGAAGGCAAAATTGTTCTTTTGATTCATCAATGAATGACCACTATTGCTCCCTAGAATAGCATTGTAGGCCTTTCAAATTAAGTTCCTATTTACCTTACTTATTTACTTCCCAACGTTATCAAGTTCCTTTTTCTTCCTTAAACATCTTTATACCTCGGCTTTGTGAGTGCTCTTCCTTTTGCATTCTCGACCTTCCCCTGGCTAACTTTTGTTTGCTGTTAAAGACACAACTCATATATATAATATAAATATATATATTTAAATATAAATATAAACATATATAAATATAAATATATATATATATATATATTTTAAGATAGAGCCTTGCTCTGTCACCCAGGCTGCAGTGCAGTGCCATGATCTTGGCTCACTGCAACCTCAGCCTCCCAGATTCAAGCTATTCTCATGCCTCAGCCTCTCAAGTAGCTGGGATTGCAGGCGTGCACCACCACCACGCTGGCTAATTTTTTTTTTTTTTTTTGTATTTTTAGTAGAGATGGGTTTTCACCATGTTGCCCATGCTGGTCTTGAACTGGCCTCAAGTGGTCTGCCCGCCTTGCCCTCCCAAAGTGCAGGGATTACAGGCATGAGTTACCGTGCCTGGCTTCAAATGTTATATTTTTAAAATAGTGGCCCAGGCTGGGTTGCAGTGAGGCAGACGTTGCAGTGAGTTGAGTTTGCTCCACTGCACTCCAGCCTAGGTGACAGAATAAGACTCCGTCTCAAAGAAAGAAAGAAAAGAGGGAGGGAGGGAGCGAAGGAAGGAAAGGAAGAAGGAAGGAAGGAAAGGAAGAAGGAAGGAAGGAAGGAAGGAAGGAAGGAAGGAAGGAAGGAAGGAAGGAAGGAAGGAAGGAATCCTGAATACTATAAACAAGATTCTTCTATGAATGTATTCTTTAGAATGATCTAAATATGTGGCTGGGCATGGTGACTCACGCCTATAATCCCAGCACTTTGGGAGGCCAAGGCGGGTGGATCATTTGAGGTCAGGAGTTCGAAACCAGCCTGGTCAACATAGTGAAACCCTGTCTCTACTAAAAATACAAACATTAGCTGGGTATGGTGGTGTGCACCTGTAATCCCAGCTACTCTGGAGGCTGAGGCAGGAGGCAGAGGTTGCGGTGAGCTGAGATTGCGCCACTGCACTCCAGTCTGGGCAACAGAGTGAGACCCTGTCTCAAAAACAAAAACAAACAAACAAAAAAGAATGATCTAAATATTTTTAGATAATCATAAAGACTATGTTAGATTAATACAATTATTTAAAGAAGATGATTATGGTCTCTGTTTAATACCAGCATAGGTGTAAACCTTGTCAGTGAATATTACATAATTGATACCTCTCAAAAACATTTGTCAGATAAATGTTTCCACATCATTACCATTGTTAAAAGAGAAACTAAGGCACAGTAAAATCTTAAAATGTTTATTTGAGCAGACAGTGATTCATGAATCAGTTTGGGACTCTGTTAAAGGCGCACCAAAGAAAGGCTTTTATAGGGTGAATGTGGAAGCATGGCAAATAAAATACACTGAGTTGGGTTTTGGTTTGCTTCTGTAGGAACCCAGGGTGCTGGAGCAGCCTCAGTCTAATGGCCTCTCTATTAATTATTTTAACATCATAAAATAATGTATATCATGTTGCAAAATAAAGCTTTTAGAAGGTTTCCAAATACAATAAAAACCAAATTATTAGGGTACATAGAATTCTATTTGTGGGTTAGAGTCTATTTTTATTTTTACTATTTATTTATTTTTGAGATAGGGTCCTGCTCTGTTGCCTAGGCTGGAGTGCAGTGGCACAATCATGGCTCACTGCAACCTCCCTGTCCAGGCCTCAAGCGATCCTCCCACCTCAGCCTCCAGAGTAGCTGAGACCACAGGTTCATGCTACCATGCCCAGCTTATCTTAGTATTTTTTGTAGAGATGGCATTTTGCCTAGGTTGATCTTGAACTCTTGACCTTAAGTGATCCTCCCACCTCAGCCTACAGAAGTGCTGAGATCAGAGGTGTGAGCTACCACACCTGGCTAGAATCTATTTTTATATTGTATATTTATACTTATGTATTTTTTATTTTAAACAATATTTTATAGTATAAATAAATAAAAATATTTTATTTTATAAAGTGGTGCATGCTCCTAATCCCAGCTTCATTAAGGAGACTGAGATGGGAGGAACACTTGAGCCCAGGAGTTTGAGACCAGCCAGAGCAACATAGCCAGAGACCCTGTCTCTAAAAGCAAAAAAGAAAAAAAAAGCCCTTTTCCAAGTTATTACACACTCTGAATAATTAATATTGAAAACTGTTGGCCGGGCGCGGTGGCTCACGCCTGTAATCCCAGCACTTTGGGAGGCCGAGGCGGGGCGGATCACGAGATCAGCAGAACGGCGTGAACCCGGAAGGCGGAGCTTGCAGTGAGCTGAGATCGGGCCACTGCACTCCAGCCTGGGCGACAGAGCGAGACTCCGTCTCAAAAAAAAAAAAAAGAAAGAAAGAAAACTGCTACAGAAACTTTCACCTTGTGAATGCGTAAGGGTTTACTAAATCCTGCCTATTCCATTGTTCTTATAAAAATAGAGCCATAGACATTTTAGTTTATACCTGGAAAATATTTTCAGTACTTTGAATTGGTTCTCTAGTATAGATTTCCAGGCATGGAATTATTTACTCAAACTGCGTGAACATTTTAGTCTTTGAATATAAATTGACAAATTATTTTCTTTTTTTATTTTTTGAGACGGAGTCTTGCTCTGTTGCCCAGGCTGGAGTGCAGTGGCACAATCTCTGCTCACTGCAACCTCTGCCTCCCAGGACTGATTTACATAATCAGTCCTTATGGAAATAATAAACTTGTTTCAAGTTTATTATAAACAAAAATGAATCTAGGAATTATGTTAATTTATAAGCATCTAATGAGCTGTATTATAATGTAGAGTTATCCAAGACTCAATTTTATGCAAGTTAAAATAATAAATGAAGGGTAGCAAATTAGAGAGCCTATAACTTTTGAGCATATATTCTATTGCTGCTTCAGCAAAGTACCACAAACCTAATTAGTGGCTTAAAACAAGATACATTTATTAATTTAGAGTTCTGGAGGTTAGAAGTCTAAAATTGTTTTCATGTCTGAGTTTCTTCTGGAGGCTGTAGAAGAGAATCAGTTTCCATGACTTTTCCAGCTTCTATAGGCTTTCTGCATTCCTTGGCTCATGGCCCTGGCATCCCTCTGACATCTATTATACTGGCATATTTTCTTTGTCTTGGACACTCCAGCGTCCCTCTTATAAAGACCCCTCTGATTACATTGGACCTAGAGGATAATCCAGCATAATCTTCCCATAGTAAGATTATCCTGGATAATTTAATCACATTGGCAAAATCCCTTTTGCTCTGTAAAGTAACATATTCACAGGTTTTGGGGATTAGGACATGGACATCTTTTATTCTACCTACCAGGAAACATAGATCTAAATTTGTTTAGAAATGGAGAACCTCGAGCCTCACCTCAGACTAAATGAATCATGAACTGTATTTTAACAAGATCCCTATGTGATTCTATGAACACTTAAAATTTGAGAAGTACTATCTTTGTTTTTTATTTTTTTTTGAGACAGAGTTTTGCTCTGTTGCCCCCAGGCTGGAGTGCAATGGTGCAGTCTCGGCTCACTGCAACCTCTGCCTCCCGGGTTCAAACCATTCTCCTGCCTCAGCCTTCCGAGCAGCTAGGATTACAGGCATGTGCCACCACGCCCAGCTAATTTTTGTATTTTGGGTAGAGACGGAGTTTCTCCATGTTGATCAGGCTGGCCTCGAACTCCCGACCTCAGGTGATCCGCCTGCCTCAGCCTCCCAAAGTGCTGGGATTACAGGTGTGAGCCACCTCTCCAAGCCTGAGAAGTACTATCTTTCAATAAAATCAGAAGATACAGTTAAGCAAAAAGAAAATAAAGCATGGTCACAATACCCATCCAACTAGTGATAAACCCTCCTAGCATTTTGGCATTTATTTATTTCCAAAAGTGGGACATTCTGAACATAATGTTTTGCAACCCTCTTTTTTCACAATGCATTGTGCATGTGTAAACATGTCAACAAATACACTTCAAGATAATTTTATTTTGTTTAATTAATTAATTAATATATATTTTTTTGAGACAGAGTCTCCCTCTGCCGCCCAGGCTGGAGTGCAGTGGCACGATCTCGGCTCACTGCAACCTCTGCCTCCTGGGTTCCAGCAATTCTCCTGCCTCAGCCTCCCGAGTAGCTGGGATTACAGGTGCCTGCCACAAAGCCCAGCTAAATTTCTGTATTTTTAGTAGAGATAGGGTTTCACCATGTTGGCCAGGCTGGTCTCGCTCTCCTGACCTCCAGCAATCCACATGCCCCGGCCTCCCAAAGTGCTGGAATTACAGGCATGAGACACTGCGCCCGGCCTATTTATTTTTTCTTGAGATGGAGTCTCGCTCTGTCGCTTAGGCTGGAGTGCAGTGGTGCGAACTCGGCTCACTGCAACCTCCGCCTCCCGGCCTCAAGCGATTCTTCTGTCTCAGTCTCCTGAGTAGCTGGGATTACAAGCGCATGCCACCACGCCAGGCTAATTTTTGTAGTTTCAGTAGAGACAGGGTTTCACCATGTTGGCCAAGCTGGTCTTGAACTCCTGACCTCAGGTGACCTGTCCGTCTTGGTCTCCCAAAGTGCTGTGATTACAGGTGTGAGCCACTGTGCCCGACCTCAACATAATTTTAAATGGTCAATTTGTATTTTATTATGTATGGATGTATTGTGATTTAATCATTTGTGTCATTGGTGGTTGTTTAGGTAATTTTATCTTTTTACTTTAAAAAACAGCCCTTGTGTGATCGACATTCTTGGAATGCAGAGCTTGGTTCAAATCCTAACATGGCCTTTTACTAGCTGTTTGACGTTAGGTGGGCTACTTGACTTCTCTGTGCTTCAGTTTCTTCATCTGTGAAGTGGACATAAAGAAAATACCTACCTCATAAGGGTTGTTCTGAGGATTAAAATAGATAATTCCCATAAAGATCTTAAAACTGTACCTGGAATATTCTAAATTAGCAATAAAGGTTTTCTATTATTAATATTTTTGAACACTCTATTTCCTTACAACTTCTTTTACTATTATTATTATTATTTTGAGACGGAGTTTTGCTCTTATTGCCCAGGCTGGAGTGCAATGGCGCGATCTCGCCTCACTGCAACCTTTGCCCCCAGGGTTCAAGCGATTCTCCTACCTCAGCCTCCCGAGTAGCTGGGATTACAGGGGTGCACCATCATGCCCAGCTAATTTTTTATATTTTTAGTAGAGATGGGGTTTCTCCTTGTTGGTCAAGCTGGTCTCGAACTCCTGACCTAAGGTGATCTGCCCGCCTCGGCCTCCCAAAGTGCTGGGATTACAGGCGTGAGCCACTGTGCCTGGCCTTACTATTATTATTTTTAAGAAATATATAGTTGGTGTGTATTTTTAATTAATTTATTTATTTTGAGACGGAGTCTATTTATTTATTTATTTATTTATTTGTTTATTTATTTTGAGACGGAGTCTCGCTCTGTTGCCCAGGCTGGAGTGCAGTGGAGCAATCTTGGCTCACTGCAACCTCTGCCTCCAGGGTTCAAGCGATTCCCCTGCCTCAGCCTCCTGAGTAGCTGGGATTACAGGCGCCCGCCACCGCGCCAGGCTAATTACTGTATTTTTAGTAGAGACAGGGTTTCATCATGTTGGCCAGGCTGGTCTCGAACTTCGGACTTCGTGGTCCGGCCGCCTCAGCCTCCCAAAGTGCCGGGATTACAGGTGTGAGCTACTGTGCCCACCCCTTATTATTTTTGAAATGGGTGTGTGTGTGTGTGTGTGTGTGTGTGTGTGAACTCTCTATATGTCCCAGGTTGGCTTCGAATTCCTGGGCTCAAGTGATCCTCCTGCCTCCATATCTGGAGTAGCTGGGACTACAGGCGCGCGCCACTGCGCCTGAGTAAGTTCTCTTTTTAAGGATAAGAAAATTTAGGTGACTATGCTAGCTTTTAGCAGAGGCAAGCAGAACTGGATTTATGTCCTTTTACATTTTTCCACTCTTGCTATTACTCAGGAGTAAGCGCCAAGCAATTTGGGTAACTTAAAAAATAAATATTTGCGGGAGGGAGGGTGGACTGATGGGAGTAAGATTCTTTAAATAACTCTTCTCTGCTGTGACGGATCCGCTATTGATATCTAGAATATAAAGCGTGAAATGGTTCTGATTGAAGCTTCAATCAACGCAGGAAACAATTGAGCTCCCTGGGAGTCGGAGAAACCAGACCTATGGTTTCCATGGTGACAGATCCGGCTAGTCCGGACTCCTGGCTCTTTATACTGCGCAAGCGCACTGCGCAAGCGCACACAACTGATTTGGATACCCCGCGCCTTTTGGTTCAAAGACAAAGCCCCTCCTTCCCCTTCCCGCCGTTCGCCTATCGCCTTCTCTCTCTGCCGGTCGCATGCGCGCTGGTCTCCTGTGACGTAGTTTTCGCGCGTCCGCGTCGTTTGGAGCTGCGACGCCAAACATGGCGTGTTCCTAGAAGCCGCTTTCGGCATCAGTAGGCGGCGGCGTGGGGTCTGGCAGCGTGGGGAGAGGGACCAACCGACGCCACTTCGTGTTGGGAAGTGGGAGCGGGAGGGCCGGGCAATTCCCGACCGAACCAAACGGTGAGGCCCCGGCCCGAGAGCCACCGAGCGCGCGGGAGTGGAAGGGAGTGGGTTGGGCACCCGAGTCCCGAGAGGCGGGAGGAAAGTGGGGCTACCAGGAGATGAGGGATAACGGTAGCGAGGCAAGGGCGGCCTGCAGACTTGGCTGTTTGCGCAACCTTAGGAACCCGGGGAACTGGGGGCTGGCCGAGGCAGCCCGGGAGTGGGCAGCATGGTAGTGGAGCAATCAGGGTGCGGGGTGGGAGGGACCGTATGCTAGGCTGAGCAGAGGCGAGTGTACCCATCGTGACCGCGGTTGCGGACCTGGGTGATGCATTTGCCCTTGGGGGATAGGTGGTGCAAATTTTGAGATAAAGTGGTTATCTCGAGTATAAGACCGTTGTGCATTGTTACTGCGCACGCGACCTTGTTGCTAATAGCAATAGTGTGATAGCTTTAAACATTAGACCCTTACATGCTTTTAATGAAAAAGTGAAGGTAGTTGTCCGTTTATAGAGAGGAGCTTCATGGAGAGGTATGGCCGCCAATTCTCAAGCTCAGCGACTCCTGTAGATTTATATTTGGGGGTATTTGTGATTCAGCAAAACTACTTTTGCTTATTACGTGTGTCATTTTTTCTTTATTATTTTGTGACATGTTGGTGAATGAGAGAAGTACTATCTGAAAGTGATTTGACTAAATAGCAAGGACTGGTAAATTACCTACTAGTGCCAAGGTTGCAGTTGACATACCTCCTCCCCTCCATAATTTAAACGAGCTCAGTTGTAGCGCGGTAGTGCCCTTCAGATTTCGGTTATTCTTCAGAAGGAAGAATAGTTTGTAGCCATAATGCTTTTCCCCCTCCTGGGATAGGAATTTTCTTCCTCCATTTTCATGTTATTTCAAACTTCTCTGTTCAGTAGAGGAGCTTCAGATTAAGGGCAGGGTGACTCTTCTATAGGAGACATCCATTGCATGACACATATTACATCTTTCATCACTGAGGAAAATTTCGGTGAAAGTAGAAACATTTTCCCTTTTGGTTATGATGGGACTGGTATTTTCTCTGTTTCTGCAGTAACCTAGCACAGGGTATAGTAGAAACAATTAATTATAGTAGTGGCTTGTGGCCATATATTATAGTCTCAGGGTAGGAGGGTGGTCTCCGCCCTAGTTGAACTTCTAAGGCCAAAGAGAATTTTCACCACAAACACATTTGGCTGTGGTAATGTTAGAGGTTTTAAACAAATATGTAAAGATTATCTGATCATTAATAGAACAATTTTTAGATTTTGTGATGTTTGAATATATTTGCATTTGGAATCAAACCAGAATGCAGCATGATCCTTGTAGGCATGTGGCTATTAAAATACACTGAAGATTTTTCCAGAAACAAAATTTTTTTTTCTCAGCAATAAAAATATTCAAATTTTGGGTAA
This sequence comes from Homo sapiens, assembly GCF_000001405.40. NCBI lineage: Eukaryota > Metazoa > Chordata > Mammalia > Primates > Hominidae > Homo > Homo sapiens. The sequence continues at coordinate 62,414,348 of NC_000005.10, forward strand.
GGTAATGTTTGATTATTTGGATTTTGACCTTTGTGTTATATATTTGTACCTGTGTGTGTGTATGTATGTAACCTCACTTCTAATTTAGTGTTATTGATGGTAATATTTTTTCCTTTCTTTATCAGCTTCAAATAGGGACTGTTAATTTCAGAGCGTTTAAGGAATGGCAAAACACATTTAGTGCTGGTGTGAGTCTGTAGTGTGTTTGGTTTGCTGACTATCAGACTTATTACAGATAAGTCCACAGTTATAAGCTTTGTAGAGCTTAAGTTGCATCAGTGTTCTTTACCCTTGCTACTCAAATTGTGGTATATAGCATCACCTGGGAGTTTATTAGAAATGCATGATCTCAGGCTCAATCCAGAGCTGCTGAATCAAAATCTGCAATTTTAACAAGTTATCTAGATGAAAGGAATGTTCAATAAATCTTGAGATGCACTACTTTGGTTGGTAACAGTTGAAGAACACTGAGGTAATGCACAAACCGGTATAAAAATTTATAGCATCATTTATTTTAATCTGAGGTGATCTTATGCTGATTATCCAGTCTGATGAAACTGAGGCCCAGAAAGGTAAGTGCCTTGCATAAGGTCACACATACCTAGATTTATAACCCAGATTCCAACTCATTCCAGTGCTTTTCTTTTGCTGGTTACTGTCAGAGCTTGTTATATTAAAAACGGACTAAAATTCATGAATGACAATTAGGTGTTCATTCAATAACAAACGTCTATTGGGTACTGTACAGGCAGCCTAACAATCCTGTGTGTCCCTGCTAACTGCTCCTGTTTATCATGGTGGCTATTAACCCACCACCTTTCCTCTTTATTTTTTTTGAGGCGGGGTCTCACTGTCACCTAGGCTGGAGTGCAGTGGCGTGATCTCTGCTCACTGCATCTTCCGCCTCCCGGGTTCAAGCGGTTCTCCTGCCTCAGCCTCCAGAGTAGCTAGGATTACAGGTGCCTGCCACCAAGCCTGGCTAATTTTTGTATTTTTAGTAGACAGGGTTTCACCATTTTGGCCAGACTGGTCTTGAACTCCTGACCTCCCTGAACTCCACCCACCTTGGCCTCCCAAAGTGCTGGGATTACAGGAGTGAGCCCGGCCCCGTCTTTACTTTTTTTTTTTTTTTTTTTTTGAGATGGAGTTCTGCTCTTTTTGCCCAGGCTGGAGTGCAGTGGCGCGATCTCAATTCACTGCAACCTCCGCCTCCTGGGTTCAAGTGATTCTCCTGCCTCAGCCTCCTGAGTAGCTGGGATTACCGGCATGCACCGCCATGCCCAGCTAATTTTGTATTTTTAGTAGAGACGGGGTTTCTCCATGTTTGTCAGGCTGGTCTCGAACTCTCGACCTCAGGTGATCCCCCTGCCTCAGCCTCCCAAAGTGCTGGGATTACAGGCTTGAGCCACCACGCCCGGCCCCCTCTTTACTCTTTACTGGATAAAGTTCCCTTCTGCTTCATAGAGGAAATGAAATACATTGAGTGGGAACTTCATTGCTTTCTGTTCTGTTTCACCTGCAAACATGAAGACCTCTATCTGTCCATCTCTAATGATATTCTGAGTTTTTTCTCCTTACGGGCAATATTTCCTTCATGTGTTTGCTAGGGCCGCCACAACAAAATACCTTATATTGGGTAGCTTAAACAAGAGAATTTTTTTTCTCACAGTTCTGGAGAGTGGAAGTCTAAGATCAAGGTGCAGATAAGATTGGTTTCCTGTAAGACCTCCATCCTTGGCTTGCAGATGGCCACCTTCTTGCTGCCTTTTCTCGTGGTCATCCTGTGTGTACATGCACCTCTGCTGTATCTTTCTGTTTTCTTTTTTTTTCTTTTCTTTTTTTTTTTTTTTTTGAGACGGAGCCTCGCTCTTGTCTCCCAGGCTGGAGTGCAGTGGCCCGCTCTCAGGTCACTGCAACCTCCGCCTTCCCGGTTCAAGCGATTCTCCTGCCTCAGCCTCCTGAGTAGTTGGGATTACAGGCGCTCACCACCACGCCCGGCTAATTTTTATATTTTTAGTAGAGACGGGTTTCACCATGTTGTCCAGGCTGGTCTCAAACTCCTGACCTCAGGTGATCTGCCCGCCTCAGCCTCCCAAAGTGCTGGGATTACAGGCGTGAGCCACTGCACTGGCCTGCTGTTTCTTTTTCTTATAATGGCATCAGTTATATTGGTTTAGGGCCTTACCCTAACAACCTCATCTTATCTTAATCACCTTAAAAACTTTATCTCCAAATACTGAGGGTTCGGGGGTTAGGGCTTCAACATGAATTTTTAAGGAACACAGTTCAATCCATAACATTCAGTTACTCCTTTTTCAACTAGTACTAACTTAACAAGGATTTAAGCATACCCAAGTCTCTTATTATCTTTTTTTTTTTTTATTTTTTTTTTTTGAGACAGAGTACTCACTCTGTTTCTCAGGCTTGAGTGCAGTGGTGCTATCTTGGCTCACTGCAACTTCTGCCTCCCAGGCTCAAGCGATCCCTCCACCTCAGCCTCTCTGGTGGCTGGGACCACAGGTGAGGCGCAGGCCACCATGCTTGGCTAATTTTTGAATTTTTTTTTGTAGAGATGGGGTTTTGCCACATTGCCCAGGCTTGTCTCAAACTCCTGGGTTCAAGCGATCCACTGGCCTTGGCCTCCTGAAGTGTATTGGAATTATATGGGTGAGCCACCGTGCCTGGCCTCAAATCAAGTCTTATCTGAAATATACGCTCCTTACCTTAGATTCTTAGATTCCTCTTCAGCTTTATCTATAATTATTTTTCTTAGTTTTTTTTTTTCTCCTTTTTTTAAGAGACAAGGTCTCTTGTTACCTAGGCTGGCCTCAAACTTCAGGGCTCAAGTGATCCTGCCACTTCAATCTCATGAGTAGCTGGTACTACTTGTGTGTGCCACCATGCCCAGCTTATTTCCTTTAAGTTTCTTGAAAGAATTCTCTATATTCATTTTCTTCACCTCCTTATTGGTTAATTTTTTTTTTTTTTTTTTTTTTTTTTGGTATTTTGAAGGCTGACAGTCCATAGCAGTCACTGAATTTGATGTAGTGGTGATCACCATTGATATCTTTGTTGCTAAATCTAATGGAATCTGTTTAATCATTTGCCATTTTAACTACTTGTTCGTTCTTGAAATTTTCTTCTTATACTTCTGGGACACCATATTTTCCTTATTTCCTTCTTAGGTTTTAGCCAGTCTTTTGTTGGTTATTTTTCTCTTTTCTCTGACCACTTTAGATGTTTGACTCTGAGGCACTACCCTGCTCTCTTCTGAAAACCTTCAGATAAAAATCCAAACTACGTAGTTTAGGAAATAAGGACTTCAATGCACACTCTTCATGAATGGTCTCATTTGTGACTTCAACTATTGCCTCTATTTTGATGACTCCCAAATCTGGCTTTTTAGCACAGGTCTCTCTTCAACGCTGACATATGTAGTTGTCTTAAAATACTTGACATTCATGTCAAAAACGTTGTGTATTTCAACCTTCCTGACATTGTTTTCCTCCTATGAGCCATGCAGGCACCAATCAGTTGGAAAAGCCCAAAATCTTAATTCTTTCCCCTTATTAACTTATGTGTAACCCCTCCTCCAACTCTCCAACTATCTAATTATTTTATTTCCAACTCTCCAACTAGCCATTATTTATTTATTTATTTCTGAGACAGAATTTCACTCGTAGCCCAGGCTAAAGTGCAATGGTGCAATCTCGTCTCACCGCAACCTCTGCCTCCCAAGTTCGAGTGATTCTCCTGCTGCAGCTTTCCGAGTAGCTGGGATTACAGGCATGCACTACCATGCCCACGCCTGCCTAGTTTTTTTTTTTTTTTCTTTGAGAGAGAGTTTCACTCTTATTGACCAAGCTGGAGTGCAGTGGCACCATCTCGGCTCACTGCGACCTCCGCCTTCTGGGTTCAAGTGATTCTTCTGCCTCAGCCTCCTGAGTAGCTGGGATTACAGACGTGCGCCACCATGCCTGGCTAATTTTGTATTTTTAGTAGAGTATGTTGGTCAGGCTGATCTCAAACTCCTGACCTCAGGTGATCCACCTGCCTCGGCCTTCTAAAGTATTGGGATTACAGGCATGAGCCACTGCACCCAGCCAACACATATCATATAGTTTAAAATGTAAGTGTTTCCAGTACAGTAAGCTATTAACAGTATAGTGCTATGAACAGCATTCATATAGTTAATAGCATTATGCAGAAAAATTAAGGATATCGGGAACATAGAGATTCTTGGTTGAGGAGTGAGCCCTTTTAGATTGGCAGTTAGTGGAGACCTCTTTAAATAGAGGACAACTTGAGCAGAATGGAATGCTGTCAAAGAGCAAGACATGCTTTTATCTAGAGACCAGAGCTTTCCAGCCAGAGGGAACAAATTGTACAAGGGATAAGATACATTTTATACATATTTCACTAAAGATGTTCACGTATTGTCTCCAAGTCTCTGTTAATATAGATAACTAGGTCATGCAGACAACCTAGTCCTTTGTCTCCTTATTCTTATATGCCTGTGCAGGGGTTTCTGTGATTATAGCACCAGGTGTGAAACTGCTGGGTCATAGAAGATACAGTCACGAGTTGCTTAAGGCTGGGATACATCCTGAGAAATGGGTCGTTAGGCAATTTTGTTGTTCTATGAACATCATATGAACAAACCTAGATGGTACAGCCTATTATACACTTGGGCTATGTGGTATATAGCTTATTGTATCTAGGCTATAAGCCTGTACAGCATGTTACTGCACTGAATACTGTAAGCAGTTGTCACAAAATGGTAAGTATTTGTGTGTTTAAACATGTCTAAACTTAGAAAGGTACTGTAAAAATACAGTGTAGAAGTAAAAAATGGTACATCTGTACAGGGCACTTACCTCGAATGGAGCTTGGAGGACTGGAAATTGGTTTGGATGAATCAGTGAGTGAGTGGTGAGTGAAAGTGAAGGCCTAGGGCATTATTGTACACTTAGGCTAAAATAAATTTATTAAGAAATTTTTTTCTTCAATAATCTTAGCTTATTGTAACTTTTAGTTTATAAACTTTTTGTCTCTGTTGCAGTAACACTTAGCTTAAAACACAAATACATTGTGTAGTTCTACGTTGTTTAAAACAGACGCAAACACACACATTAACTCAGGTACACACAAGGTCAGGATCATCAATATCTCTGTCTTCCACCTCCACATCTTGTCTCACTGGAAGGTCTTCGGGGGCAATAACATTCATGGAGCTGTCATCTTCTATGATAGCAATGACTTCTTCTGAATTATCTCCTGAAGGACCTGTCTGAGGCTGTTTTACAGTTAACTTTTTTTTTTAATAGGAGTAGTACATTGTAAAATTATGATAAGAAGTATAGTAGTGGGGCTTGGTGGCTCACTTCTGTAATCCCAGGGTTTAGGGAAGCTGAGGTGGGAGGATTGCTTGAGGTCTGGGGTTTGAAATCAGCCAGGGCAACATAGCCAGACCCCATCTCTACAAAAAGTAAAAAAATTAGCATGGCATGATGGCTCATCCCTGTAGTCCCAAGTCTCAACTATTCAGGAGGCTGAGGTGGAATGACTGCTTGAGCCCAAGAGTTCAACGTTGTAGTGAATTATGATGCCGGCATTGCTCTCTACCTCAGGTGACAGAGATCGTAACTCTTAAAAAAAGTAGGCTGGGCGTGGTGGCTCACGCCTGTAATCTTAGCACTTCGGGAGGCCAAGGCGGGTGGATCACGGGGTCAGGAGATTGAGACCAGCCTGGCCAACATGGTGATACCCTGTTTCTACTAAAAAAATACAAAAATTAGCCAGGCGTGGTGGCACACACCTGTAATCCCAGCTACTTGGGAGGCTGAGGCAGGAGAATTGCTTGAACCCGGGCGATGGAGGTTTCAGTGAGCCAAGATCGTACCACTGCACTCCAGCCTGGGCAACAAGAGTGAAGCTCCGTCTCAAAAAAAAAAAAAAAAAAAGTATAATGTAGTAAATGCATAAACCAGTAACATAGTTGCTTATTATCACTTTCAAGTGTTATGTACTGTACCTAATTGTATGTGCTCTGCTTTTATACAAATGGCAGTGCAGTAGGTTAGTTTACACCAGCATCACCACTAACGTGTGAGTAATGTGATTTACTACGACTTAGGATGGCTATGATGTCACTATGTGATAGGAATTTTAAAGCTCCATTAAAATCTTACGGGATCACTGTCGTATATATGTGGTCCATATCTGACTGAAACTTTTTTTTTTTTTTTTTGAGACAGGGTCTCACTCTGTCACCCAGGCTGGAGTGCAGTGGCACGATCGTGGCTCACTGCAGCCTTGACCTCCTGGGCTCAGGTGATTCTCCCATCTCAGCCTCCTGAGTAGCTGGGACTACAGGTGTGCCCCACCATGCCCAGCTAACTTTTTGTTTTTTTAGTAGTGATGGGGTTTCTCCATGTTGCCCAGGCTGGTCTTGAACTCCTGCACTCTAAGTGATCCACCCGCCTCAGCCTTCCAAAGTGTTGGATTACAGGCGTGAGCCGCCATTTTTATGTGGTGTGTGACCCTCTGTGTGTCCTGGTCATAGAATACACAAAATATATACTCAATTTCATTAGAGACAGCTAGATAGCTCTCCAAAGTTGTATTAATAGATATTCCCAGTAGCAGTGTTTAAGAGTTTCTGTTTCCATGCATTCTTGCCAGCATTGAATATTTTTGGACTTTGTAATTTTTGCTAGTCTGATCATAAAGTAGTTTTTCACTGTTTGGATTTTAAATCCCTGATAACCAGTGAGATAGCATCTCTTCTGATATTAATTAAACATTTAGCTCTTCTTTTCTATATATTTTCTGCTTACACCCTTTGTTCACTTTTCTTATATATTTGTCTTGTTGATTCACAAGGGTTCCTTGTATATTCTGTATAATACACCTTTGTTTTAGTTATGTATTAATAACATTTCTTCTCTTAATCTTCACCTTGTTAACCTTGTGTAGGGTATCTTCAATGACTCCATCAATTTCAGTCTTCAGTTCTGATGTAGTATAATTCATTAGGCAGATAGGCTGTGAACTTGATGTATTTTTGTTCTTTCTCAAGTCTAAAGCTAAAAATTCCCAGTTAATTTCACTTGAGATATTAATGGACAGCACTGAACAAAAGTAAAAGTGTTTAATCTTTCGGGAGTACTGGGTGGGGACAGGAGACTTACATTTAAAGTTCTAGAAATGTCACTAATGAGCCTGTGACCTTAGAGAAGTCAGTTTATCTCCTTATCTTTTGGCCACAGTGTCTTGGTCAGTAAAACAAAATACTTAAACTGTGTAGAGAACTGATATGGGTGGCTCCAAGGTGATAGGAAAATTATATTTATTTACTTGTTAACTTATATGGACTCACAACTGAGAGAAAAATTATTTTAATGATAAAATGTAGAATAGTGATTAACTGTGGGATTATTACTTGGCATACAGCACATGCATGTTTGAACAAATGGGTTTTTATAAATACAATGACAGGCTGAGCTCTTTATAGCAAGAATGAGATTCTTATAAGATACAGCTTTATAGACAGTGATGTCTTCAACCAGTAAATGGAAACTACCAATCGAAGATGTCTATATTTGGAGAGAGGACTGATGATCTCTTACACTCAGCAAAAAGTTTTGCCTAACTGCTAGTTATAAATTATAGTCTGTTAAATTTAATCTAGGCTGTGTTGTTATCTCTATTCAGTGCCTTAATCAAAATCAGTTTTATAGCTTTTCCTTCCTATTTTTTTTCATATCCAAGAAGGAACTTTATTTATTTATTTTTTGAGATGGAATCTTGCTTGTTGCCCAGGCTGGAGTGCAGTGACACCATCTTGGCTCACTGCAACCTCCACCTCCTGGGTTCAAGCAGTTCTCCTGCCTCAGCCTCCCTAGTAGCTGGGATTATAGGTGCCCACCACCATGCTCAGCTAATTTTTGTGTTTTTAGTAGAAATGGGGTTTCACCATGTTGGCCAGGCTGGTCTCAAACTCCTGACCTCAGGTGATCTGCCTGCCTCGGCCTCCAAAAGTGCTGGGATTACAGGTGTGAGCCACTGCCCAGCCAGAGAAGGACCTTTAAAAGCAATAAGCATAACTGCTGTTCCTTAGTGGGTTTTGTACAGACATGTATTTTTGTTTTTCAGCTAAGGAGACACCAGAGGGTGATGGTTGACAGTAGTTGGTACCTCACAGCTGGGCACTGATCAGGTAGGGGGTGTCAATATTGTTTAGGATAATGTATAACTTTTCTTATTAGGGGGAGATTAGTCACGGGGAACTCTTGTATATACCAAACAGGCAAGAGACTTATTGCAGTTTATCAGTGCCATTTTACTAAAAACTCCCGGTGAGACAGAAATACTCAAGTTTTTCGGACAGGTCTTCCTCTCACAGGTCTGCCTCCCCTGTCTATTGTCTTCTTACATACTTTATACTTCACCCATTTATTATTTGTTTCCCATTTATTTGTCTCCCCACTATAAAATATGCTTCACAAGTCTTGGATTTTTTTTTGTCTTTTTAGTTAATCGATGTATCTCAAGTGCCTAGACTAGTGTCTGGCATTTGCAGGTGTTCAGTATATATTTATTGAATTAATAAATATGGAAAAGCCTAATGATAAAGCAAGAAAATATCAGAAAGGGGATTGGAGAGCGCAGGATTAGAAAAAAGGGTGTTAGATATTCCCAGTGAAAAGTATTATTAAATTTTGTTGGCTTGATATGCTCCATTTCAGTATAGGAAGATACTGAATGGACTGTTCATACATTCATTCATTTTTTTCAGCCATTCAGCACACTATTTACTCTTGCAGTGTTTTTTGTAGATATTTCTGTCTTTACTCTGATAAAATTTGTATTCCATATTGTTGTTCTTGGACCTCTGTCTCTTACCTTTTCTGTCTTCTGTCTGAGAAATCATAATTTCTGTTACTGTTTAGTTGATCATACATTTACTGAACATCCTTCACACTGTGCTAGGTAATGGCATTTATAGATGAGTAAAACATCATTCTTTCCTTTAAACAGTTCATGATTTGGAGATGAGATAGAAGTAAACAAGGAAGTAAGTACAGCAATAGAAGTGTGTACTATGCAGAACAGTAGCATGGAGGAAGGAGCGCTTTACTGTCTACAGCAGTTAAAGATTTCCTCAGGAGGTGATGTCTACCATGAACAGCAACTTTAGTGATCTCTGTGTCCGTTAGCGGCCATTTTAAAAAGCATACATAAAAGTAGACAGAATTTTATGATGAACCCCCATCTAGCCATCATCCAGCTTTAACAATTATCAACTTCATTTCGTCTTACCTCCCACATACTTCTCTAGTTACATTGATAGAAGATCTAGAAGCTTGGTCAGATTCAGGTTTGTTTGTTTGTTTTTTTGGCAAGCAGCCCTTAAGATTTTGGTTTCTCAAAATAATAAACTTCATTTCTTTAAGTTTTCTAATATACTCACTTTTCTATTTTGATTATTGTAGAACTCTTCCCCGGTCTTCACAGAAATTAATTTCTTTCTTGTCTTTGGCATATTGTATTTCTCTAGTTTGCTTTTGACTCTGGGCAGTTTAACAGTTTGCTTGTATTTCCTATCCATGATTCCCCAGTGATATATTTTCTGCCTCTTGTTCTTCTCTTTGTAGACTTGGGCTATAGATCATGATTTTTTTTCTGAGACATGGTCTCACTCTGTTGCCCAGACTGGAGTGCAGTGGTGTGAATATGGCTCACTGCAGCCTCAACCTCCTGGGCTCAAGTCATCCTCCCACCTCAGCTTTTTTTTTTTTGTTTTTTGAGATGGAGTCTTGCTCTGTCGCTCAGGCTGGAGTGCAGTGGCGCAATCCGAGCTCACTGCAAGCTCCGCCTCCCGGGTTCACGCCATTCTCCTGCCTCAGCCTCCCGAGTAGCTGGGACTACAGGTGCCCGCCACCACGCCCGGCTAATTTTTTGTATTTTTGGTAGAGACGGGGTTTCACCATGTTAGCCAAGATGGTCTCGATCTTGTGACCTCGTGATCCGCCCGCCGGGGCCTCCCAAAGTGCTGGGATTACGGGTGTGAGCCATCGCGCCTGGCTCAGCTTCTTTTTGAGAAGAAGTCTCTCTCTGTTGCCCAGGCTGGAGTGCAATGGCGTGATCTTGGCTCACTGCAACCTCTGCCTCTGCCACCTCAGCTTCTTGAGTAGCTGGGACCATAGGTGCATGCCACCACACCTGGCTAAGGTTTTTTTTTTTTTTTTAATTTTTATTTTTTGTAGAGATGGGGTCTTGCCATGTTGCCCGGACTGCCAGGCTGGTGTTGAACTCCTAGGCTCAAGCAGTTCTCCTGCTTCTGCCTCCCAAATTGGTGGGATTACAGACGTGAGCCACCACACCCAATCTGAATATTTGTTCTTATCTTAAATGTGGAATTATTGTAGTGAATCAGTAGGTGATTTTATTCCTTTACTCCTGTCACTCTTGTCTGTTCTTGTTCCATGGTTTCTCAGTCTCCTTTATGCTAGACATTGCCTTTATTATTATATTTTTAAAAATTACTTCATATTTACCTTGAGTAGAACTCAAAAACACATTCATGTCTTTACCTCAAATTTTCTTTTGGTAGAGTGATGCAATATCTAACTATAGAAGTAGAAGCAGTGCTGTAAGGAAGTTCTTAGGTGTCATATTTTGCCTCAAGGTGAGGTTTTTGTTTTTGTTTTGAATCTCATCTTTCTCGCATTGCATTACTCTCTAGGCTCCCATTCATTTCTTTCTCTCAGGAGCTCAGCATTCTTTGCTCTATCCTCCTAAACCCTGTAATCCCTGTTACATTTCCAGATGGTTGTCTTGCTCAGATGGTCATTGAGAATTCTAAAGTTCCTCGCTTCCTCCAACCCTCCTTGGGGGGAAAGGAACATACTCTTTGGAATGTGGTACTTCTTACCATCAGGTGGCACTGCAGACTATTCAATTTATTTTATTTTATTTTTTCAAGACGGAGTTTTGCTGTTGTTGCCCAGGCTGAAGTACAATGGTGCAATCTCGGCTCACTGCAACCTCCGCCTCCTGGGTTCAGGCGATTCTCCTGCCTCAGCCTCCCGAGTAGCTGGGATTACAGGCGAGCGCCACCATGCCTGGCTAATTTTTGCATTTTTAGTAGAGACAGGGTTTCACCATGTTGTTCAGGCTGGTCTCAAACTCCTGACCTCAGGTGATCCACCCGCCCCGGCCTCCTAAAGTGCTGGGATTATAGGCGTGAGCCACCACGCCTGGCCAATTCAAATTATTTTTACAGCTTTAGGAATGATAGAAACAATAGTACATTATCCGGTAAAGAAAGAAGCAAGTTGATGTGGGAACTGGTATGGAGAAGACTTAGAAATGAAAGTAAAGATACGATTGCTAACAAATACAAATGTATTTTCCTTTTATGTGATACAAGTGTACACAATATATAGAAGTGTATATAATAGGTGGAGCCTAATGGAAAGTAAATAATACATTAGACTGTTTTGGTTAGTTTGATTTTTCCAAGACTGTTTAAGTATTTTAAACTATCGTCTTTATAAACACCAAATAGTAAGAACATTAAGTACCTAATAGACATGACTATTTGGAGCTATACTGCTATTTGAGAATAAACAAAACATAAAACCCCTGCTGTTTGATTATAAGACTCAGAGTCCCCTGGGTGAGGAGAATTGACTCTTGGTAAACACTGCCTTCACAAATCCAGATAATATGACAAAATTGTTGCTTACCGGCTGGTCGTGGTGGCTCACGTCTGTAATCCCAGCACTTTGGGAGGCCAAGGCGGGTGGATCACCTGAGGTCAGGAGTTCAAGACCAGCCTACCCAACATGGTGAAACCCAGTTTCTACTAAAAACACAAAAATTAGCTGGGCATGGTGGCGGGTACCTGTAATCCCAGCTACTTGGGAGGCTGAGGCAGGAGATTTGCTTGAACCCGGGAGGTGGAGCTTGCAGTGAGCTCAGATTGTGCCATAGTCTTCCAGCCTGGGCAACAAGAGTGAGACTCTGTCTCAAAACAGACAAACAAACAAACTATTGCTTACCTACTTGTGCTACTGAAGACTAGGTTTGTAAACTTCCTCTCCTGAAATTTCATGAGAGTGCAGTTATTGACTACATTACCTACTTGATATGTGCTTAACAAGAGAAATACGTAATGATTTGCAGCTGTTTGAGAAGTTGGGATGTTTTTGGAGAAAGGAAGAGAAATAAAGCAAATATCTAATTCCTATGGAAATTTAAGCAGATGTAAAATGAAAACTCTTGGCCTTAAAAAATGTATTTTTTCATTATTAAAGTGTGTTGACTATAAGAATGATAACCCCTGGAGCTTTCTTAACACAACTATTGTTTATAATTTGATGTGTTTACTGCTTGTCTTTTTGTAGGTGTTTTTATTTTGTATAGTATTATATATATATTTTATATTTTAATTTTTATTTTTTTATATATATTTCTCTAGTTACAAAACAGACTAAGAGAGAATATTTTTAAGTTATGATTGGTTTAGGCAGGTTTAAACTTGTAGTTCAAAATGCACTTCTTTTTTCTTTCTGTTTTTTTTTTTTTTTTTTTTTTTGATACGGAGTTTTGCTCTTGATGCCCAGGCTGGAGTGCAATGGCGCGATCTCGGCTCCCTGCAATTTCTGCCTCCTGGTTTCAAGCGATTCTCCTGCCTTAGCCTCCCGAGTAGCTGGGATTACAGGCGCCCGCCACCACACCTGGCTCATTTTTTTGTATTTTTAGTAGAGACAGAGTTCCACCACATTGACCAGGCTGGTCTCGAGCTCCTTACCTCAGGTGATCCACCTGCCTCGGCATCCCAAAGTGCTGGGATTACACACGTGAGCCACCGTGCCCTCCAGATGCATTTCTAACAAGCAGGAGTTTGCAGGTTTTTTGAAAACTCCAAGCAGAAGTTTGTAGGTCCTTTGAAACTCTTGAGTAGATTTGATGTTTTAGGAGTAGGGAAGAGAAAGCAAGCAAATAGCTTCTCTCCTTGATGTCACATATATTTTGTTGTGCATTTTTTCCTCCCAAACAAACCAGTTTTTGACAGTCTGCATGAAGTGTCATAGGGCAGGTGTCCCCAGCCCTCAGGCCATGGACCAGTATCAGTCAGTCCGTGGCCTGCTAGGAACTGGGCCACACTGCAGGAGGTGAGCAGTGGGTGGAGAGTGAGCATTACTACCTGAGGTCCACCTCCTGTCAGATCAGCAGCAGCATTAGATCCTCATAAAAGCACAAACCCTGTTGTGAACTGCACATGCAAAGGATCTAGGTTGCATACTCCTTATGAGAATCTCACTAATGCCTGATGATCTGTGGTGGAACAGTTTCATCCAGAAACCATCCCCCCCTGCCCTTTACCCCTCTTCCACTGCCCTGCCCCATCTGTGGAAAAATTGTCTTCCATGAAACCAGTCCCTGGTACCAAAAAGGTTGGGGGCTGGTGTCATAGGGAATACATCAGTAGCCCTGGTGGTTCTTTTAGCTGAAGGTATTTGGGAAATATATGGAAGCATCTTTAGTCAATCTGTTTGAGGTATTAATAACGTATAGTGTGCAGGGACAGATATGCTAAACAACCTGTAATGCATGCACAGAAAAGAATTTTCTTGTCCAAACTGCCAGACTTCTGCTGAGAAACTGAAATGAATCCAGATGTTGCAGTACTCATTTGAATCCAGATGTTGTAGTACACACTAGTATCTTTGGAACCTTCTTGTCTTATGCCAGAAGTCTTACATTCTTTCACCTTGCTTTAATTTCTTGATCTTTTTGGCCCTGAGTTAACATCAATTGTTGTTGAAACCGTAGACACTTTTTTTTTTTAAAGAGACATGGTGTCATTATGTTACCGAGGCTGATCTTGAACTCCTGAGCTCAAGTGATCCTTCCATCTTGGCCTCCTAAAGTGCTGAGATTCAGGTGTGAGCCACCATGCCTGGCCTATATAAGTCACATTTTATTTATTTATTTTTTTGAGGCGGAGTCTCACTGTGTCGCCCAGGCTGGAGTGCCGTGGTGCGATCTCAGCTCACTGCAACCTCCGCCTCCCGGGTTCATGGGATTCTCCTGTCTCAGCATCCTGAGTAGCTAGGATTACAGATGCACGCCACTACACCTGGCTAATTTTTGTATTTTTAGTAGAGACGGAGTTTCACCATGTTGGTCAGGCTGGTCTTGAACTCCTGACGTCGTGATCCACCCACCTCAGCCTCCCAAAGTGCTGGGATTACAAGCGTGAGCCCCCGCGCCTGGCTATAAGTCACATTAAAAAAAGATTGAAAACATTTTTTTTTTAGAGACAGGGTCTCACTTTGTCGCCTGGGCTAGAGTGCAGTGGCACAGTCTTAGCTCACTGCAAGTCAGACTCCTGGGCTCCTCCACACTCAGCCTCCTGAGTAGCTAGCTGGGACTACAGGTGTGTGCCACTACTCCTGGCTAAACTTTTTGTTTTTTATTTTTTGTAGAGTTGAGGTCTCACTATGCTTCCCTGGCTGGCCTCGAACTCCTGGACTGAAGCTGTCCTCCTGCCTAAACCTCCCAAAGTGCCGAGATTACGCTTGCGCCACTGCACATGGCCATCTCTTGTGGATTTTGACATTTACATAATCAAAGCACTTAAAAAAACCAGCTTTATTAAGCTATAATTTACAGTCCGTGTAATTCACGCACTGAAAAGGGTATACAATTCAGTAGTTTTTAGTATATTCACAGAGTTGTGCAACCATCATTACAGTCAGTTTTAGAACATTTTCATCGTTCCAAATAGCAGTTGCTCCACATTTCCCCCCAATTCCCCAGCCTAGGGAACCACTTAATCTACTTCTTTGTGTTATAAATTTGCCTGTTCTTCATATTTCATATAAATGGGAATCATGCAGCTTGTGGTTTTATGTGACTGGCTTCTTCTGCTTAGTGTGATGTTTTCAAGGCTCATTCATGTTTTAGTATGTTACAGGATTTCATTCCTTTTTAGGTGAAATAATACTTCATTGTATGGAAATACCACATTTTATTTTATTTATTTTAATTTAATTTAATTTTCGTTTTTGAGACAGAGTCTCACTGTGTGGCCCAGGCTGGAGTGTAGTGGCGTGATCTTGGCTCACTGCAACCTCCGCCTCCTGGGTTCCAGTGATTCTCATGCCTTAGCCTCCCGAGTAACGAATTACAGGCGCACACCACCATGCCCGTCTGATTTTCGTGTGTGTGTGTGTGTGTGTGTGTGTGTGTGTGTGTGTGTATGTGTTTATTTTTGAGACAGAGTCTCGCTCTGTCGTCCAGACTGGAGTGCAGTGGTGCGATCTTGGCTCACTGCAACCTCTGCCTCCCGGGTTCAAGCGATTCTCCTGCCTCAGCCTCCCGAGTAGCTGGGACTATAGGCATGTGCCACCACACCCAGCTAATTTTTTGTATTTTTAGTAGAGTTGGGGTTTCACCGTGTCAGCCAGGCTGGTCTCGATCTCCTGACCTTGTGATCCTCCTGCCTCAGCCTCCCGAAGTACTGGGATTACAGGAATGAGCCACTGCGCCTGGCCTGATTTTTATATTTTTAGTAGAGATGGGTTTTCACCATGTTGGCCAAGCTGGTCTCGAACTCTGGACCTCGGGATCTGCCCACCTTGGCCTCCCAAAGTGCTGGGATTATAGGCGTGAGCTGCTGCACCTGGCTGAAATACGCATTTTATTTACCCATTCATCACATGATGGATATTTGAGTTGTCAGTTTTTGGCTATTATGAATAATGTTGCAGTGAATATCTGTATACGAGTTTTTGTATGGACATATTCATTTCTCTTGACTGTATGTCCAAAGGTAGAATTGCTATGTTATATGTTATTCTGTGTTTAACATTTTAAGGAACTGCCAGACTTTTCCAAAGTCGCTGTTTTACATTTGCACCAGCAATGCATGAGGGTTGCAGTTTCTCCTTACTGATGCCTCATTATCTTCTTTTAAAAAGCTGGACACCATTGATCGGATCATTATCTTTTTGATTATAGCAGTAGTAGTGGGCCTTGACCTCCAGGGCTCAAGCAGTCCTCTCACCTCAGCCTCCCAAGTAGCTGGGACCACAGGCGTGTGCCATCACACCTGACTAACTTTTTCTATTTTTGGTAGAGATGGGTTTTCGCCATGTTACCCAGGCTCGTCTTGAACTCCTGAGCTCAGGCAAACTGCCCGCCTCAGCCTCCCAACATGCTGGGATTACAGGTGAGAGCCGCCATGCCAGGCCCCTTAATCTCAGAAAGTAGTTTAGCAGTGTATTTAATTTAATTTAATTTAATTACTTAATTTTTTTTTTTTTTTTGAGACAGAGCCTTGTTCTGTCGCGAGGCTGGAGTGCAGTGGCGCAATCTTGGCTGACTGCAACCTCTGCCTCCTGGGTTCACACGATTCCCCTGCCTCAGCCTCCCGAGTAGCTGGGATTACAGGCGTGCACCATCACGTCTGGCTAATTTTTTGAATTTTAGTAGAAATGGGGTTTCACCATGTTGGCCAGGCTGTTCTTGAACTCCTGACCTCAGGTGATCCTCCCGCCTCAGCCTCCAAAAATGCTATTACAGGTGTGAGCCACGTGAGCCACCGTGCCTGGCCTTATTTTATTTTTTGAGACAGAGTCTCCTCTGTCACCCAGGCTGCAGTGCAGTGGTGCACTCTCCTCACTGCAACCTCCGCCTCCTGGATTCAAGTGATTCTTGTGCCTCAACCTCCTGAGTAGCTGGGACTACAGGCATGTGCTACGGTACGCCTGGCTAATTTTTTATATTTTTAGTAGAGATGGGGTTTGCTGTGTTGGCCAGGCTGGTCTTGAACTCCTGGCCCCAGGTGATCCGCCCACCTCGACCTCCCAAAGTGCTGGCATTACAGGTGTGAGCTACCACATCTGGGCCTTACAGTGTATTTTAAAACTCTTCATTTTCCTTCCTTTCCCACCAGGCACTTCTGTGCACAGTACTCACTTATCTAATTGTGCGCTTGCTTAGAAATTCCAGGGCAATTTTTTGTTGTTTGTTTGTTTGAGACAAAGTCTTGCTCTGTCACCCAGGTTGGAGTGCAGTGGGGTGATCTCAGCTCACTGTAG
The DNA here is from genome assembly GCF_000001405.40 of Homo sapiens. NCBI lineage: Eukaryota > Metazoa > Chordata > Mammalia > Primates > Hominidae > Homo > Homo sapiens. The sequence goes on from NC_000005.10 coordinate 62,431,471, forward strand.
CCTCTACCTCCTGAGTTCAAGCGATTTTTCCAGGGGCTAATTTTAAAACAAATCAGGCATAGAGATTCAGCTGTGGAATCCTCCTGCTTAGGAGGAGTTACAGATAGTCTACCCCCACCAGGCTAAAGTCAAGATGATGCCAGCTGTACCACCGGCTTACTCAAGATAGCCATTGAAACAAGGCATGCAGACTAGGCACAGTGGCTCACACCTGTATTCCCAGCACTTTGGGAGGCTGAGGTAGGCGAATTACTTGAGGCCAGGAGTTTGAGACCAGCCTGGTCATCATGGTGAAACCCAGCTCTATTAAAAATATAAAAGTTAGCCAGGCTTGGTGGTGCCCGCCTATAATCCCAGCTACTTAGGAGGCTGAGGCACAAGAATCGCTTGAGCCCAGGAGGCAGAAGTTGCAGTGAGCTGAGATTGTATCACTGCACTCCAGCCTGGGTGACAGAGCAAGACTCACATACATACATACATACATACATACATACATACATACGGCATGCAGACCTGTACCCTGCTGCACCACTCCCGTATGTTTTTTATACCAAGTTTTTCTTCTTAAACCCCTTCACTCAGCCCGAAAAAACTGAAATGGTTCCTTTGAGGCTTGAGCTGGGCTATTTTCCCATTTACTAACACTTAAGTAAAAGCTGCTTTCCTTTTACCACACCGTACTTTGACTGCTGAGTGGCAAACGGCCAAACTTGATTTGGGTACTTTATTTATCCTGGTGTGGTACCTCTGCTCTTTGAGCAAGCTGTTGTGGACGTGATAGAGGCTCACTATTCTTTGCCTGCTGCCCTGTGGTAGAGCTTCTGCCGCAGGAGTGGTGCCTGGATGGAAGAAGAGAGCCCTAGACCTCTAGCTGTGTTTGCCTGGTACAGAATTTCTGCAGCATATAGCTGGGGTGTATGAGAAATACTGGCTGGCTGGCTACCCATTCTGGGGAGAAACCGTAGCCCTTGGCTGGGAGTTAGGGTGAGAGAGAGCCCTGTGTTCTTGGCTGTTATGTCCCTGGAGTAGAGCTTCCTCACATTGTGGGGTAGGGCTGGGTTTGTGGCTCAAAAGCCACAGATTCTTACTGTTCCTTCCAAGATTTAGTAATATTTGTCACATAGATGTTTCTGTATTTGCTGTATGCGGTTAAGACATTTTCCAGAGACTTTGAGCTTTTTATAATTTTCACCAGTTAGGGTTGTATCCCTGAGGAGAGGGTCTGTGGAGCTACTTATGTCATCATTCCAGAAATATTCTTTCTCTTCTAATTCTTTTAAACTGGAAGTTAGGCCCAGTCTTGATTAGATTAATGTTGACCGTTTTTGATGTTTCAGAGGCGAGGCTGTGGGCTGCGTATTTCATCATATCAGGAGGCACTTAAGGTCAAGTTGTGTTGTTGTTGTTGATAACTGAATTTACTCTGTTGGTTAAGCTGGCGACTGACGATGGATTTCTTTATTTTAAAGATTTGTTTCTTCATTACAATTAGCAAGTAATCTGTGGAGTGATACTTGGACACATTGGGAACATTCTGTTCCCCAACAACTGTTCTTTCATTTAATGGTTTTAGCATGGGTTATTTACCCATGCCTGAATAAATTATTTCACTGTGGGAACCTTTTTATTTTGGAACACTCTTCTTCGGTTTTTACTCTAATTTTGGCACCTTTTTGTTTTTTGTTTTTTTTTTAAAGTCAATCTACTTAAAGTGTTGGCATTTAGTAGACTTGCTGGGGTTATTGTATGTGTGAAATGCCCTAAAACTAATGACAAACACAGATAATACAAATATTCTGAAGAACATTGTTATGTATGGCTGAAACTGAAGTCACTGCAGGTCTGATAAATCTGTTAGTAGCAGGTAAAGATGCTGAGTTTTCTTTTGTTTACTTGTTTCTTTTAAGGAGAATTTTTGTTTCCAACTGTAGGCACGTTCGTATATTGGTTCTGTGTGGGAGATATACTCTGGGCGCCAACTGGTATGGTAGAAACGTACTTTTCACAATTTGTTTTAACAATAAGAGTAGCTTCCTCTGCCTCTCACCCCAGTAGCCCACAGATTTTGGGTAGACAACAGAGACTCTTCTGATTCTTATCCTAACAACTACTGCAGTGTCTGGCACAAAATAGGTGCCCCAAAAATGTATGAACTGAGCTCTTCCCCGCCAGACTGGATGGGCTTCTTAGGAGCAAGGATCAAAGCAAGGGGAGGACCTGGATGGGGCAGATACTGGAAGGAGGCAGGGATGGGAAACTCTAGCAGATTCCACTAGAACAGGAAAAATGGTGAGGGTAAGGATTGCTTTGCTGTGTGCATTTATGTTCTCTGCACAATCTTTGCTCTAGGGGAAAATTGCTTTGAGGGTTGGCAGTAGTCAGTGATTTTTTTAGGAATAGCCCAAAGCAAGGCTGTGACTTTTATCTTTATTTCTTTGGTGGAGGGGGTGGGATGAGGATGAGTTCTGGTAGAGCTTTTTTCCTTTCATATGTTGATAGCAATATATTTATGTTCTTCCTATCCTGCGTCTATTTTTATACCTATATGAAAAGCCTAGACACCTTATTTTGCCCCATTTGTTCCTGCCCTTTTCTCCAACTTCATTTTCCGCCACTTTCCCCTTTTCTCACTAAGTGTCAGTCATGTTGGCCTTCTTCAGTTTGTTTCTAATCGCAAGGCCTTTTTTCTAGTTGTTTTCCCCGTCTGAAGCTCTGCCTTCTGATCCTTGCATGGGTTTCTCTTGTCATTCACGTCTCTCATAAATGTCACTTCTCAGAAGCCTTCACTGAATACCCAGTCTAAAGTGACACACTCAGTTGCAGTCAGTCTTTTTTTTTGTTTGTTTGTTTTGAGACAGGGTTTCTCTGTTGCCCAGGCTGGAGTGCAGTGGCGTGATCACAGCTCACTGTATCCTGGACCTCCCTGGGCTCAGGTGATCCTCCCACCTTAGCCTCCTTAGTAGCTGGGACTACAAGTGCACACCACACCTGGGTAATTTTTGTATTTTCTGTAGAGACGGGATTTTGCTCTGTTGCCCAGGTGGGTCTTGAAGTCCTGGGCTCAGGCGATCTGTCTGCCTCAGCCTCCCAAAGTGCTGGGATTAACAGGTGTGAGCCACCACACCTGGCCATGAGATGTGCTTTAAGTGTAAAATATACACAGGATTTTGAAGATTTAGTATTAAAAGTAAAATATCTCAGTATATTTAAAAAATATTGGTTACATGTTGCAATGATAACATTTTGGATGTATTGAGTCAAATACACTATTAGGCCTGGTGCAGTGGCTTACACCTGTAATGCCAGAACTTCAGGAGGCCGAGGCAGGCGGATCATTTGAGGTCAGGAGTTTGAGACCATCCTGGCCAATATGGTGAAACCCAGTCTCTACTAAAAATACAAAAATTAGCTGGGCGTGGTGGCTCGCGCCTGTAGTCGCAGCTACTTGGGAGGCTAAGGCAGGAGAATCACTTGAACCCGGGAGGCAGAGGTTGCCATGAGCTGAGATTGCACCACTGCACTGTAGCCTAGGCAACAGAGTGAGACGCTGTCTCAAAAAAAAAATATATATGTATATGTGTATATATATATGTATATATATGTATATATATGTGTATATATGTATATATGTATATATATGTATATATGTATATATGTATATATATGTATATATGTATATATGTATATATATGTATATATATGTATATATGTATATATATGTATATATATGTATATATATGTGTATATATATATATATCAGAGCAGCTGTAGTAAAATATATATATTAGGATTAATTTTTACATACTTCTTTTTACTACTTAACGTGGCTGCTAGAAAATGTAAAATTAGGCCAGATGCCATGGCTCATGCCTGTAATCCCAGCACTTGGGGAGGGATTGCTTGAGCCTAGAAGTTTGAGACCAGCCTGGGCAACAAAGCGAGACCTTGTCTCTACAAAAAATAAAAAATAAAAAAAAATTAGCTGGGCCCGGTGGTGCATGTCTGTGTTCCCAGCTACTTAGGAGGCTGAGGTGGAAAGATCACTTGAGATCGCGGCTGCCGTGAGCAGTGATCACGTCACTGTGTTACAGCCTGGGTGACAGAAATTTAAAATCTTAATCTGGGCTGCGCATGGTGGCTCGCGCCTGTAATCCCAGCACTTTGGGTGGCCAAGGACCTGGCAGGCAGAGGTTGCAGTGAGCCGAGATCGTGCCACTGCACTCCAGCCTGGGCAACAGAGCAAGACTCTGTCTCAAAAAAAAAAAAATCTCAATCTGGCCGGGCATGGTGGCTCATGCCTGTAATCCCAGCACTTTGGGAGGCTGAGGCAGGCGGATCACCTGGGGTCAGGAGTTTGAGACCAGCCTGGCCAACGTGGTGAAACCCCGTCTCTACTAAAAATACAAAAATTAGCTGGGCTTGGTGGTGTGCGCCTGTAATCCCAAATACTGGGGAGGCTGAGGCAGGAGAATCGCTTGAACCCGGGAGGTGGAGTGAGTTGAGATTGTGCTGTTGCACTCGAGCCTGGGTGACAGAGTGAGACTCTGTCTCAAAAAATAAATCAAAATCAAATCAAATCTTAATCCAACTCTATCAGTAACTTGGTATTTTTCAGATTCTAGTTATTAGGCCCTTTTTAAGATGGTACAATGAAATTTTTGTGTTTTTGATTAGCCCTGCTTTACTTACATAGGTTTTGAAATGGTTGATTTTCCCTAAAAGGTAATCTAGGTCAGATTTCTTGTTGAATCAACATTTGGAATCTTGCCATTTCACTGCAATTTAATTGTAATTATTTTAACAAAGGAATTCATTTGCTTTGGCTATATTCTTTATAGGCTAATAACTTTCAGACTTTTACTGTCTGGAACATTCTTCGGTCACAGAGATAGCCACTGTCACTAAGCTGTATCAATACAGTACAACGCTATTCCCTGTCACCCCTGCACTGAGAACTTCGACTTATTTTCTGTCAATATTTTTAGCTTTCAATTTTAATCCTTATATTTTGTACGTGTATATTGTGAATAACTATACATACTTGCTAAGTATAGAATTGTATATACAATTTTGGGGGTGATTAGAAACAGAATCCCGGAGAATTCAACAAAATCAAGAAATTGTGTGTTTGTTGAATGGCTTCAGCTACATGGTATAGGATTAGATGACCCAGCCCTTAAGATCCTTTCTGACTTAGGTTTTAGATTTTTGTTTAATAGGTCAGTTTGGCTTTTTTCCCCATAGCATTTCATTTTGTATGTTTCTTAAAATGATTTGGAGATGCACCATTGGTGGCACGTAAGATGATGTTGGAGAGTACTTTACTAACAAGTCAAAGCAATTCTTTTGCAGTTTTCTTTTCTTCCTTCTGATTTTGTCAAGGATAAAGTTAGGTGTTACTTACTGTATGGTTTAATACTTTTATAACACTTATTAATCTCCTTTTTAAAACGAAGACAGAAGACATTATGCTTAGTCTTGGGCACGTAATGGTACTTACTCAGAATTTAGAAACTTTGAAGTTTGTGTGTGTATCTCCCCTCCCTCAATTTATTATCTTCTATTTATGGAACAATGAAAGAGAGTTTCCTTTAGGAATAAATTGATTTAAGCAAAAATAATTTGATTATGAATTTTAAGGATGAGTATGGGGTATACTTAGAAAAGATAGAAAGGCAGAACATGAAGGATTAGATGAATGGGAGTAATTCAGAACATGAAAGCTTTTTGTCTCCATTTATTTTACTGTTAATTTTTTATTACTTGTAATACATATTCAAGTATGTTAACTTATCATTGCCAGGTTTCCATGGATCTCAATAGTGCCAGCACTGTTGTTCTTCAGGTGTTAACACAGGCCACCAGTCAGGATACTGCTGTGTTAAAACCAGCTGAGGAGCAGTTGAAGCAGTGGGAGACACAGCCAGGTTTCTATTCAGTGTTGCTGGTAAGTTGTTCTAAAATTGTTTGCTTTTCTTTTTAATAAAATGAGACAACATTAATTTGTTTTAAAACCCTAGTTTTATTGGTAGTTTAGTGAAATAGATTCAGATGTTTGGCTGCTGATGCCTTTGCCATTATCTTATTACTTTATGACTTCTTAAGGGTGTTAAATAAATATTTATTGATAAATATAAAAATAAGCTAGGTATATGTAGCATCTGCTCAGAAGGCAAAACTGTGATGATTTTCAGTTTTAGTACGTTAAAAGTGTCTACTATCAGGACTCTAGGTAGCACTCTTTCATATTTTGTCTTTATCCCTACCCCAGGTAATTTATGTTGTCATAGTTGTTCAGGTCTCCACATTGCAGCATCAATGTCAGGTGTACCGTGTATTTCACTTTAAAATGTTTTCTTTTCTCATCTAAAAATTTCATTCTCTTGACACAGCTGATGTTTTCTTGGATATAATGGGAAATGGTATAATTAATTAACAATATGTGCTTTAAATTAACCTTTATTGGAGTTCAAAGTTTTTGACTAATTAATCAAAATTATTTTCTCAATGCCAGAATGAAAGAAGTCTTTTTGTGTTGAACACTTTCCTTATACTTTTCTTCTGAGAAATTGAGAACTCTGATTAGTGTTTGAGGTTTAGCTTCTGGTCAGGGCAACAAAGCTCCCCGTTGGGTTAAAAACTGACTCAGTATTTGTGACCAGGTCATAGAATCAGAGCAAAATTGTTTATTATATCTTGCAAAATAAAATAAATGATAGCAGTTGTCATATATATTTTAACTTGTTGGCTAAAAAAGTTTGAGTTGTTTGTTAAATTGAAGAAGATATTGTTCATGACAGTAAGGGAAATTGTTTAAAGTCAGACTTGTTATCCTGAATATAACAAAAAAGATGGCTGTTTGGCTCAGTAACAGAATCGTAAAAAAAAAAAGATTGATTTTAAAAGATACTAAAGAAAACATCTTATTCTTTATGTAATCTTAGCATCATGTTTGTAAATTTTAGGCATAGTATAAATCTTTAGAAAATCTCTTGAGTAGGGCCGGGTGCAGTGGCTCACTCCTGTAATCCCAGCACTTTGGGAGGCCAAGGCGGGTGGATCACCTGAGGTCAGGAGTTTGAGACCAGCCTGACTGACATGCTGAAACCCCATCTCTACTGAAAATACAAAATTAGCCAGGTGTGGTGGCGCACGCCTGTAGTCGCAGCTATTCATGAGGCTGAGGCAGGAGAATCGCTTGAACTCAGGAGGCGGAGGTTGCAGTGAGCTGAGATCGTGCCATTGTACTCCAGTCTGGGCAACAAGAACGAAACTCCATCTCAAAAAAAAAAGGGGGGGAGCAGCGGGGCCAGGTGTGGTGGCTTATGCCTGTCATCCCAGCACTTTGGGAGGCCAAGGCGGGCGAATCACGTGACCAGGAGATTGAGACCATCCTGACTAACACGGTGAAATCCCGTCTCTACTAAAAATACAAAAAATTAGCCAGGCATGGTGGCGGGCGCCTGTAGTCCCAGCTACTTGGGAGGCTGAAGCAGGAGAATGGTGTGAACCCAGGAAGCAGAGCTTGCAGTGAGTGGAGATTGCACCACTGCATTCCAACCTGGGCGACAGAGTAAGACTCCATCTCAAAAAAAAAAAAAAAAAAATCTCTTGAGTATCTTTACTCTCCTTACGCTTATTTAAATGAATATGCTCTATAATTAGTCTTGTGCTTTTTCTGGCCAAAATATAAAACACTTTCAGAATTTCTTATTTTAATTACTGCTGGACCTTAAAAACCAATAGGCATTGCTTAACTGTTGTCTTTTTATGTATTAATAACTATACCTTATTAATAATACTAACTGCGTAGGTTTTTTTTTTTTTTTTTTTTTTTGAGACGTCTCGCTCTGTCGCACAGGCTGGAGTGCAGTGGGGTGATCTAGGCTCACTGCAAGCTCCGCCTCCCAGGTTCATGCCATTCTCGTGCCTCAGCCTCCTGAGTAGCTGGGACTACAGGTGCCCGCCACCACGCCTGGCTAATTTTTTTGTATTTTTAGTAGAGATGGGGTTTCACCGTGTTAGCCAGGATGGTCTCAATCTCTTGGCCTTGTGATCCGCCCGCCTTGGCCTCCCAAAGTGCTGGGATTACAGGCGTGAGCGACTGCGCCTGGCCCAGTCTTTTTTTTTTTTTTAAGTAGAGACAGGGTCTTGCTTTGTTGGCTGGTGTCAAACTCCTGGGCTCAAATGATCCTCCCACCTTGGCCTCCAAATGTCTTTATTTTTATTACCTGTAATTTTCTTCTTAGAGGGATATAACATTTCTTTTAGATGGAACAGATTATATTTACAGTAGATTAAAAAGCTGCTGTGTTTTAGTCTTCCTTTTTCCCCTATACTCGCTATCTAGGTACATTTGATCTTACCTAGCTGTCCATTCTAGTCAGGAGACTCCTGTATTTGTATACATGATCTCAGGCTTATGTTCTAGTCCTGTTTTTCAGAGTACTTATAGGACATTTCTACTTGGATTGACATCTGCAGCTTGACTTTTCTTATTTTTGTAAGTGTATTTGAGATAGACTGAGTGAGATCCACCAACTTCCACAATATTCCCACATTACTTCCATTCGTTCACTCATTTGCTCAATAGAAAGTTAGGAAGTTTCTGCTTTGCCAGGCACTGTGCTAGATTCTAGGCGTAAGACAAGACTCAATGTAGTATAGAAGGTGGACATGTAAAGTGTGAAGATCAAATGTGATTAATGTGGTAAAAGAAGTGCATGTTTTGTAATGGAGACCCAAAAGAGGGACTTGCACCCAGTTGCCAGTGGTTCGAAGGAATAAATGTGAGTTACACAACTATATTTGTAATCTTTTTTCTTTTTTTTTGTATTTAGACATGATTTTCTAAAATTGGCTGTATAGTGTACGTCCCCTTTTTTTTTTTTTTTTTTTATCTGAGGTGGAGTCTCGCTGTGTTGCCCAGGCTGGAGTGCAGTGGTGTGATCTCAGCTCACTGCAACTTCTGCCTCCTGGGTTCAAGCGATTCTCCTGCCTCCGCCTCCTGAGTAGCTGGGATTACAGGCGCCCCCCCACCATGCCTAGCTAATTTTTTGTATTTTTAGTAGAGACAGGGTTTCACCATGTTGGCCAGGCTGGTCTCTAACTCCTGACCTCAAATAATCTGCCCACCTCGGCCTCCCAAAGTGCTGGGATTACAGGCGTGAGCCACTGCGCCCAGCCTGCATTCCTTTTTAAAAAATACTTGGCTGATCACAGTGGCTCACCCCTGTAATCCTAGCACTTTGGGAGGCCAGGGCAGGTGGATCACCTGAGGTCAGGCGTTCAAGACCCACCTGGCCAACATGGTGAAAGCCCGTCTTTGCTAAAAACACAAAAATTAGCCGGGAGTGGTGGTGCATGCCTGTAATCCCAGCTATTCGGGAGGTTGAGGAAGGAGAATCGCTTGAACCCGGGAGGTGGAGGTTGCAGTGAGCCAAGATCGCGCCACTGCACTCCAGTCAGTGCAACGGGAGTGAGACTCCATCTCAAAAAAAAAAACTTACAAATGTTTTTCTATAGCAAAGGACATACTTCCACATCATTTTTGGCTTTGGGGTTTTCCTATACAAGGTTTAAGAGGTCACCTTTGGGAATTTGAGTTGTTTTTGGTCTGAGACATAGTATAATTATAGTCATTATTATTATTTGGATTAACATAATGCATACTTTTTTTGAGTAATGGTTAATGTTGAGTTGAGATTATTCACATCACATGTAGCTTTATCTCTCTTGTTTTTTGAGACAGAGTTTCACTCTTGTTGCCCAGGATGGAGTGCAATGGTGCGATCTCAGCTCACAACATCCTCTCCCCTCCCGGGTTCAAGTGATTCTCCTGCCTCAGCCTCCCAAGTAGCTGGGATTACAGGCATGCGCAACCATGCCTGGCTAATTTTGTATTTTTATAGAAACGGGATTTCTCCATGTTGGTCAGGCTGGTCTTGAACCTTTGACCTCAGGTGATTTGTCCCCCTCGGCCTCCCAAAGTGCTGGGATTACAGGCATGAGCCACTGTGCCTGGCCTTTTTTTTTTTTTTTTTTTTTTTTTTTTTTTTTTATGGGACAGAGTTTTGCTCTTGTTGCCCAGGCTGGAGTGCAGTGGTGCGATCTCTGCTCACTGCAACCTCCGCCTCCTGGGTTCAAGCAATTCTCCTGCCTCAGCCTACTAGCAGCTGGGATTATAGATGTGCACCACCACACCCAGCTAATTTTTTGTATTTTTAGTAGAGATGGGGTTTCATCATGTTGGCCAGGCTGGTCTCGAACTCCTGACCTCATGGTGGTCCACCTGCCTCGGCCTCCCAGAGTGCAGGGATTACAGGCATGAACCACCATGCCCGGCCGCTTTATATCTCTTAAAAATGTTCTGCTATCAAACTTTTTTTTTTTTTGAGACAGAGTCTCACTCTGTCACCAGGTTGGAGCACAGTGGCGCGATCTCGGCTTACTGCAACCTCCACCTTCCTGGTTGAAGCTATTCTCCTGCCTCAGCCTCCCGAGTAGCTGGTATTACAGGCATGCGCCACCATGCCCAGCTAATTTTTGTATTTTTAGTAGAGATGGGGTTTCACCATGTTGGCCAGGATAGTCTCGATCTCCTGACCTCGTGATTCGCCTGCCTCGACCTCCCAAAGTGCTGGGATTACAGGCGTGAGCTACCGCGCCCAGCTTTATCAAACTTATTTACAAGGATAATTGTTTTGATAAGGAGGGTACTATGAAATAGTTTTATTTCATAGCATGTATTAACCCCGGGGCCTTGACTCCTTAGAATCTTTGAATCTATGCTGTAGTGGGCCTACTTTTTCTAATTTGGAAGTTATATATTTTATTGAATATGTATGGGCTTATGGTATTCATTTGAAAAATAATTAGGTTTGCTTGTTTCTGAATTTAATTTTTTTACTAGGGGAATTTTCAAACACACCTTAAAGCAGAATAGTACAATGACTCTACATGTGTGTTACTCAGCTTTGAACAGTTAACATACAACTGAGCAGGTGTACTTCTTATATGAATTGTAGAACTATATATACTTCATAAATATCGATATGATATATGTAGTGATAGAATATAAACAAATTTAATTAAAAGATCTGTCCAGGCTGGGTGTGGTGGCTCATGCCTGTAATCCCAGCACTTTGGGAGGCCAAGGCGAATGGATCACCTGAGGTCAAGAGGTCGAGACCAGCCTGGCCAGCATGGTGAAACCCTGTCTCTACAAAAAAAAAATACAAAAAATTAGCTGGGCTTGGTGGCAGGCACCTGTAACCCCAGCTACTTGGGAGGCTGAGGCAGGAGAATCTCTTGAACCTGGGAGGCGGAGGTTGCAGTGAGCCGAAATCGTGTCATTGCACTCCAGCCTGGGCGACGAGAGTGAAACTGTCTCAAAAACAAAACAAAACAAAACAAAACAAAACAAAGATCTGTCCATACTTTATTGTGGGTACATTAATTATACTTTTTACTTATTCCATGCTAATTCTAATATTATGTTTTTTATTTATAGAATATTTTCACCAACCACACTTTGGATATAAATGTAAGGTGGCTTGCTGTACTGTATTTTAAACATGGAATTGATCGCTACTGGAGACGTGTAGCACCTCAGTAAGTTCCATCACTTCCCCTATTCCTTGAGTATAATCCTTCCCAAATTCAGGAAGGTGTAAGAATACTTGTTTATGTAAAAGGATGTGTTAGCGCTTACTTCTGCAGCACATATACTAAAATTGGAGCAATACAGAGACGATTAGCATGGTCTCTGTGCAAGGATGATGTGGAGATTTGTGAAGTGTTTGATATTTAAAAAAAATGCAAAAAAAGTGTTTACTACTGAATAAGTGTTCTATTTAGGTAATGACAAATCAACAGCTATATTATTGTTTTCTTCATGGTTTTCCATTTGAGTGTGTGTGTGTGTGTGTGTGTGTGTGTGTGTGTGTGTGCGTGTGTGCGTGTGCGTGTGATGTTGGCCCTCTGCTTGCAAGGATCATGCTGAGTCAGTCATGTTGAACAAAAGCCCTCTGTTTTAGTCGTACCCACTTAAAAGGCTGAGGCAGGAGGATTGCTTGAGCACAGGAGTTTGAGATCATCCTGGGCGACATGGAGAGACCCCATCTCAAGAAAAAAGAAAGAGAAATATAAGGTTAGGATTTGGAAGAAAAAAAAAGCCATTCAGAAGGAAATCCCAGGTCAACTCTGAACCAGCTAGGTGTTAATTTCTGAGTCTTATGCATTCTTTCTCTATGGTGGGAATGGAGTAGTATACATTTGTAATCACATTAGTATTCAGTTATAACTGCTATGTACGTGGTTAACAGATTTAGTAGTTAATTTTACATGTTATATAATCAATGCAAAATCATTGTAGACATGACCCTGGGATTTGTTTGATAGAAAATATGGTAGTGAATTTTGCTTAAGAAGTAACATAATCTGTGTTTTCCAGTAGATGGCACTATAGCTCTCTAAATTCTTAAAAGCCGTAAGACCTTTTTTCTCAGTCTGAATACTTCAAAATGCATATAAAACATGTCCTTGAATAATATTGGAAACAACAAGAATATTTTCAGGCTGCACTTGGGATACTATATTACGGTTTAAAGCAGACATGTCTTTTTCTTTTTTTTTTTTTTTTGAGACGGAGTCTCGCTCTGTTGCCCAGGCTGGAGTGCAATGGCATGATCTCGGCCTACTGCAAGCTCTGCCTCACGGGTTCAGGCCATTCTGCCTCAGCCTCCCGAGTAGCTGGGACTACAGGTGCTTGCCATCTTGCCCCGCTGATTTTTTGTGTTTTTAGTAGAGCCAGGGTTTCACTGTGTTAGCCAGGATGGTCTCGATCTCCTGACCTGGTGATCCGCCCGCCTTGGCCTCCCAAAGTGCTGGGATTGCAGGTGTGAGCCACTGTGCCCGGCCGGAGTAATTTTTTACATAGGATTAATTCATAATTTTGGAGAGAAATATGGTAAGTAGTGATGAGAAAATGTGCATTATTTGTTTATAGGCAATGGCCCAGCAGCACTTTTCTACTGCTTTGTCCAATTGAATTTTACGTGTCTGCTAAAATTCATTTTGTTTTAGTGGTTATATAAAGGATACAATTATAAATGCTTGTCTTGGCTGGGCACGGTGGCTCACACCTGTAATCCCAGCACTTTGGGAGGTCGAGGATCACCTGGGGTCAGGAGTTCGAGACCAGCCTGCCCAACATGGCGAAACCCCACCTCTTCTAAAAATACAAAAATTAGCCAGGTGTGGTGGCGGATGCCTGTAATCCCAGTTGCTGGGGAGGGTGACACAGGAGAATCACTTGAACCTGGGAGGTAGAGGTTGCCGTGAGCCAAGAACGTGCCACTGCACTCCAGCCTGGGCGACACAGTGAGACTATGTCTCAAAAGAGAGAGAGAGAGACATATATATATGTATATATATATAAACATACATATAAATATATATATAAATGATTGTTTTGAAGGGAAAGTAAATTATTAAATATTTCATGTTGTACTTTTACATAATGAATTAGAACCTAGAATTTAGCTTAAATTTAAAAAGTTATGAGATAATTTATACAATATTAGGTAGTTAAATCCCAAGCTGTCTCTTTTAGTATATATTGAAATAAAAGCTGGAAAGGAGAGGATGCTGGAGCACGAGTGGCAGTTTAGTAATTGAACTTATAAACTTAAGACTTTTTAAAAAGATGCTTGTTTCTGTACTTATCAGTTTCATTTTATATAGATCCTACTCTTAACCATTTTCACAGAATGAGAATTAACTAACAAGCTTGTTACCATTACCATATACATTGCAGTGTATCTGGGTCCTAATTAATTAAATACTGTCCAATTTCTGCTTGACATATAGTTTGAATTCATCTAATGATAACATGCATAAAATTAAAGGTGGAATGTTAATTATTATTAGAGAATTGTTAAAGATGTGAATTTTCTTCAGGTTAATGGCTTGTTTCTTTAATATGTATACAATCCCTGACTTATGGTTGTTTGATTTGATGATTTTTTTTTTACTTCACTATGATGCGAAAACAATATATATGTATTCAGTAGAAACTGTACTTCAAGTGCCCATACAACCATTCTATTTTTCACTTTCAATACAGTATTTTTCATTTTCAGTACAGTGTTCAATAAATTAACATGAGATATTTATTACTTTATTATAAAATAGGCTTTGTGTTGGATGCTTTTGCCCAGCAGTAGGCAAATGTAAGTGTTCTGAGCATGTTTGAGGTAAGTTAGGCTAAGATAATGATGTTCAGTAGGTTAGATATATTAAATAAATTTTTGACTTACAACATTTTGTATTTACTGTGGGTTTTTCAGGTGGTAACCCCATCGTAAGTCAGTATCATCTGTATTTTTTTTGCATAATCTATTTTGATAGATAGTCATTGTACACTTTTATTGTAGTTAGAGTTATGCAAACTGCTAAACCTGGCTCCTTGGCATAAAAGAAAAGTTCAATTACAAGTTTAAAGCAAAATATTGTAGGAGAACACATTATGTCAGGGGTTTGATAGTAGAAGGGAACTATTAAAGTTGGAAAGTATAGCATAGTCATAAAAGGATTAGAGAGATCATTTTTAATGACCTGAATGTTTATCTTAATCTTGTTTTCTCATTTGTTTATTAACTTTGAGTAAGTCATTAAGGTTTTAAAATACTTTCTTTGAAGTGTAATGTATAACAGACTTTAAAACAGTACACAAATGAAGGGTGTAGTTTGAATGTTTATAATGCAAAGACACCTGTGTAACTGCCAGTTGGAACTAGATAGAACACTTATAGCACTCCAGAAACTTTTACACACATGTGCATTTTATTACTATTTATAGTCACATGTGTGTTCAACTTTAGTAGATATTGTTAATTAATTTTCTAGGCTGGTTGTACGAGGTTGCACTTCCACAGCAACATACGAGTGTTTGTATTTGCTCTGCATTCTTATCAGCACTTGGTCTGATCTTTCATTTTAGTCATTCTGGTGAGCTTAGTAATTTTAGTTTGCATTTTCTTTATGAATGATGAGTACTTTTTAATGTACTTATTGGTCATTGGGATATCCTCTATTGTGAAGGGTCTGTTATTTGCACATTTAAAAAAATTGGGTTATCTTATTGATTTATGAGACTTTTATTTTGGATACGAGTCCTTTGTCAAATATACGTATTACAAATATCTTCTCCTAGGCCAGGTGCAGTGGCTCATGCCTGTAATCCCAGCACCTTGGGAGGCCGAGGCGGGCAGGTCGCCTGAGGTCAGGAGTTCGAGACCAGCCTGGCCAACATGATGACACTCCATCTCTACTAAAAATACAAAAACTAGCTGGACATGGTAGTGTAAGCCTGTACTCCCAGCTACTGAACAGGCTGAGGCAGGAGAATCTCGAACCTGGGAGGCAGAGGTTGCAGTGAGCTGAGATCATGCCACTGTACTCCAGCCTGGGCAACAGAGCGAGACTCTGACTGCAAAAAAAAAAAAAATCAACTTTGTGACTTGCCTTTCACTTTCTTCATGATGTCTTTTGATGAACAGAAGCCCTTAATTTTAATGAAGTTTAATTTAATTACCTTTCTATGATTATTTCTTTTGGTTCATAATTATATATATATATTTTTTTTTAAGAAGACAGGGTTTTGTTCTGTTGCCCAGGCTAGAGTGCAGTGATGCAATCATAGCTCAGTGTAACCTCTAACTCCTGGGCTCAAGCAGCCCTTCTGCCTCAGCCTCCTGAGTAGCTGTGACTACATGTGTGTGCCGCCAGTGGCTAATTTTTAAATTTTTTTTGTAGAGATGGGGTCTTGCTATGTTGCCCAGGCTAGTCTTGAACTCCTGACTGCAAGTGACCCTCCCACCTTGGCCTTCCAAAATGCTGGGATTTACAGGCGTGAGCCAGTGCCCCCAGCCTATTTATGAAATTTTTGCTCAACCTGTGGTCATGAAAATACTCTGTTTTCTACTGAAAGCTTTGTTTTCCTTTTCTATTTTAGGTGTATGATCTTTCTGGAATTTATTCTTGTACAAGGTGCTTATGTGAAGTAGGGACGTGTTCTTTCTCCATTGCATTATGATTGTACCCTTGTTTTTTTATTCTTTTTTTTTTTTGAGACAGGGTCTTGCTCTGTCACCCAGGCTGGAGTGCAGTGGTGCCATCATGGCTCACTGCAACCTCGACTTCTCAGGCTCCAGTGATCCTCCCACTGCAGCCTCTGGAGTAGCTGGGACCACAGGTGCGTGCCACCATGCCTGGCTAATTTTTGTATTTTTTGGTAGAGACAGGGTTTCGCCATGTTGATCAGACTGGTCTCGAACTCCTGAGCTCAAGCAGTCCAACTCTCTTGGCCTCCCAAAGTGCTGGTATTACAGTCACCACGCCCAGCTAAATTTTGTATTTTTAGTAGAGACAGGGTTTTGCCATGTTGTCCAGGCTGGTATTGAACTCCTGGCCTCAAGTGATCTTCCTGCCTCGGCCTCCCAGAGTGCAGGGATTACAGGCGTGAGCTACTGTGTCCAGCCTCACACTTTGTTTTCTGTGTGTCTTGTTATTTGTCCCCTTTTTTTTCTTTCTTGCTTTACTTTGGATTACAGTAGTTTCTTCTTATCTGCAGGTGATAGGTTCCAAGACTCCCAGTGGATGCCTGAAACTGCAGATAGTCCTGAGTCCTTTATTTAGTATGTTTTTTTTTTCAGTCTGATAACAAGATAGCTACTAGATGTCTAGTGGGCAGGTAGCATGTACAGCATGGGTGTGCTTGACAAAGGAATAATTCATGTCCCAGGCCAGACAGGGCAGGACAGCATGAGATTTCATCATGCTATTCAGGATGCTACGCTATTCAAAACCTGTGAATTTTCCATTCCATTCATTGAATCTGCTTCATTGATGGTAGATTACTGAAACCATGGAAAGTAAGGGAGGACAACTATATTCAAGACATTTTTTATTACTCAGTTTTACTCTAAAATGTTTAGTATGTTTTCATTACTTAAGTGATTATAACATGGACCCTTGATATTCTTGTATTAGTACTTTACTTTTTTTAAGAAAACTTTGTTTTGTTTTGTTTTTAGAGACAGGGTCTTGCTCCGTTGCCCAGGCTGGAATGCAGTGGCACAATCATAACTCACTGCAGCCTCGAACTGCTGGGCTCAAGAAATCCTCCTGTCTCAGCCTCCTGAGTACCTCAGACTACAGGTGTATGCCACCATGTTCTGCTAATGTTTTTTAGTTCTACTTTTTTGTAGAGATGGGATCTTGCTATGTTGCCCAGGCTTATCTTGAACTCCTGGCCCCAAGCAGTCCTTCTATCTCAGCCTCCCAAAGGATTGGGATTACAGGCATGAGCCACGACGGCTGGCCCTTTACTTTTTCTAGTTAATGCCAGAACCTTGTAGTAATACGTTAATTCTGTGTAATCCCTCTTGTCTTTAATGCTATTGTTGTTGTGTGCTTTAATTTAATTTAATTAATTTAATTCTGATACCCAGAATGAAAAACCTTAAAATGAGGCATTAAAATTTAATGTACGTTTACTATTTAAAAAAATATTTAAGAGACAAGGACTTGTTCTGTTGCTCAGGCTGGAGTGCAGTGGTGCAATCATAGCTCACTGCAGCCTTGACCTCTTGGGCTCATAGGATCCTTCTGCATTGGCCTCCCCAAAGTGCTGGTATTACAGGCCTGAGCCACTGTGCCTGGCCTTAATTTTAAAATTAACAACACATTCATACGTATGTATTCAACATGTATACAGTCTTATACAGTAGTGTTCTCCTTTCCTGTCCAGTAGCTTTCTATTTTCCTTTCTCATACGCAGTCAAAATTATTAGTATTGTGTTTATTCTTTTCGGAGATGTTTAAAATGAAAGATTTAAGCTAGTTGATTTCTGATAAGTCACCCATCCCAGATATTCCCTGATTCTGAATCTCTTGCCCCATAGAATAATCTCACACAGATTTTATGAAAGAAGCCAATGGAGTGGCAATATTTACTTGTATAGATTTTTTTTTAGCTGTGTTTTTTTTTTTCGTAGGCAACTATTTTTACATCAATAAAAGTGAACATCAAATATATTAATTACCTGGATTTGTCTTATTTCCTCTTGCTTACTGTGTGGTGCTTCCCATTTATTCAATTGTGAAGGAATTTTATGCTTCCGACTTATCTGATGTGCCAGTGTACAAGTAATAGAAATAATCTTATTCATTTACCAGAACCAATTAGGGACAGTTGTTTAGAAAACTTTTTATTGTTAAAGTTCACAGTAGTGCCAATATACAAGTAATGGAAATAATCCTTTTTATTTACAAAAACCAATCAGAGACACATGTTTGAAAGGCTTTTTATTAAAATTTACAGTAATGCTTACCTACATTTATTATTAGGTGGCATTCTTTTGCATAATCAATACTTTTTTTTTTTTACAGTGCTCTCTCAGAGGAGGAGAAAACTACTCTGCGTGCAGGGCTCATCACCAACTTCAATGAACCAATAAACCAGGTTAGTGAGAAATGAATGCTAATTTTTCTTTTTATTTGTACTGCTTTTCCAAACTAATTTTATATTCTGGCATTAAAATGAAAAATAAAAATATCACTATTACACTATTTTCATTTGTGATGTTTTTATCTATTTTTAAATTTTGAGATCTATTTGTAGCGTTGAATAGTTTTGATTAGATTTGGTTATTATTTAAAGCCCAGAAGTCATTTTAAGGTATATTTGTATGCTTTTCAGCTTTCTCATTTTATGAGCCTGTATTTAAAGCAAATCTCTCTATATAGTCACGTGATGCCTAATGTTATTTTGGACAACAGTGGACTGCATGTATAATCGTGGTCCCATAGGGTTATAATGGAACTGAAAAGTTCTCACCCATTGACATCATAGCTGTCCTAATATTGTAGTGCAATGAATATATTACTCATTAGTTTGTGGTGATGTTGGTGTAAACAAACCTATTGCACTGCTGCTAGTCTCACAAAAGTATAGCATATACAACTATTACACATTCTGTGATATTCACACAACCACAGAATTGCCCAGTGACACATTTCTCAGAACATATCTCTGTTGTTAAGTGATACATGGTTATATTTGTAGTCTTACTGCACAAGAATTAATTTTAATGATTATAATTTTTAGATTAACTTCCCCACCATTTAAAAAAAAAAAAAACAACTCAGAATGGCTTCAGGTTTTTTTCTATTGGTTGCATCCATCACATTTTCAATTCCTACTATTCTGTGGCAGCTAGATAGTAAATTATGTACAGCTTTATCTTTTTTTTTATATTGAGGTCTTCTAAGAATAAAATAAGTTTTACTTATAGGTACAATAATTCTTAAGTTTTTTCAAGATAATACTTGGTTATGCTTGATTTTTTAAATTGAGCTATTAAAGCACAATTTGGCAGTATTTCTAATACAATTTTATTTTGACCTGTTTAAATGATCTCTGTTCTTTGCTCTTTCTTGACAAAGGAGCTGAAGCATAATGGAGAAAAACGGAGTTACCTTTAATGGGGCAGGAGGTGATTAGGGAGGGGTTTGTGTTACTGAGCAGTGAACAACTGCCTAATTGTTCTTTCAGCTAGCATTTGGGAAACACTGATATGTAGAAATATCATTATTTAAATGCCCAATATTTGGCGTTTCTTTCTACTTTTAGGTCAGGATTCCTAAACTTTGTGGTCACAGGATCTCGTTATACTGCTAAAATTGAAGACCTTAAAGAGTTATATCTGTTGATATTTACTGTATTATAAATTAAAACTGAGAAACTTAAAAATATTCGTGTAAAAAATAAAATACTCATCAACATAGCAGTTTTGGAAATGAGCAATAGTAGCTATTTCCAAAACAATAAAAATTAGTGAGAAAGGTGGCATTGGCTTGCATTTTTAGGGTCTGGCTATTTAAGGGAAGACATCTAGGTTTTCATATCTGCTTCTTCATTTACTCTGTTGTGATACATGGTGGACATTATATGAAGAAAACCTCGTTTCACACTGACAGATAATTGGGTAAAGGAGGACCTCATAGGTCCCAGAAAGGGTCCTAGCTCTACCAGGGGTCCATGGGCCACACTTTGAGAACCACTGTTTAAGCAGTCATTCAGTGAAATCGTATTCATTTTTGTCAAGTGTATAATTAACAAGGTGATTTGTCACCGTGAATGCATTCCTTATCTATTGCCTTGATTCCATTTGTTTAATTTTTTCCTTTCAGATTGCAACTCAGATTGCAGTGCTCATTGCAAAAGTTGCTAGATTGGATTGTCCCAGACAGTGGCCTGAACTAATTCCCACTCTTATAGAGTCTGTTAAAGTCCAGGATGATCTTCGACAGCACAGAGCATTACTTACCTTCTATCATGTTACCAAGACACTGGCATCTAAACGACTTGCTGCTGATAGAAAACTATTTTATGATGTAAGTGATTTCACATAGTTAAATTTGATTATGAAAATTGTGCGGCCGGGCGTGGTGGCTTATGCCTGTAATCTCAGCACTTTGGGAGGCCGAGGCGGGTGGATCACGAGGTCAGGCCTGGCCAATATGGTGAAACCCCATCTCTACTAAAAACTACAAAAATTAGCCGGGCGTGGTGGCACACGCCTGTGGTTCCAGCTACTCAGGAGGCTGAAGCAGAACGATCACTTGAACCCAGGAGGTGGAGGTTGCAATGAGCCGTGATTGTGTCACTGCACTCCAGCCTGGGCGACAGGGCGAGACTCCGTCTCAAAAAAAATAAAATAAAATAAAAAAAGAAAATTGTGCTACTTGTAAAAAAAAATGACTATAGTTTTACTTCTGTTGATGTTTTTTGAAAGACTTAATTCTTTCTCATTTTAAGCTGGGCAGTGATATGAATAAAAAGATCACTTAGTTGCCAGTGAGGAGGATTGGTTGTTGGATACACTCTGAAGGCAAGGAGGTCAGTTTGAGGCAAAGGAAGTAGTTCGGATGAGATGATAGGTCTCTTGAATGAAGCTGTAGTAAAGGGAACAATTAGGTGGGCATAGAGTTGACATTTAGGAGGAGAATTGATACGTCTGGGTAACTGAAGGATGTAGGGCAGATATAGGAAGGAGTTTGACGTAAGTAGGGAGTGACAGCCTTTTATCAGGTTTTTTGCACCTTTTTTTTGGTTTTGGGTTCGTGTGTGTGTGTGTGTGTGTGTGTATGTTTTGAGACAGGGTTTTGTTCTGTTTTTGGTGGGGTGTGTGTGTGTGTGTGTGTGTGTGTGTGTGTGTGTGCACGCATTTTGAGACGGGGTTTTGTTCTGTCACCCAGGGTGTAGTACAGTGGCATGATCATAGCTCACTACAGCCTTGACCTCCTTGGCTCAAACCATCCTCCTACCTCAGCCTCACGAGTAGCTAGGACTACAGGTACATGCCACCATGCCCAGATGGTTTTTTAATTTTTTTTAGAGATGAAGTCTCACTATGTTACCCATGCTTTAAAGTGTTTTTAACAGTGTTCTTTGTTACCTTCTGTAATTGTAGAGAAATTAAAGGTATATAATTTTAAGTCTTATTATACGGTCACATGATAGGGCTCAAGAAACTATTTCAGGTCTGTTCTGAATCATGCTGCCCTCCAAAAAAGAAGAGGGTGACATGGTGTTTTGTAGTTTTGTAGAAAGATTTTTCTTCTTTCTTTTTCTTCTCTAAATGTACTTTAAATATTGCTCATGCCTTTCCCTAAATTAGCGGGCTTTTCCTTGGGAGCTTCCAGAGTTCCTTTTACTTTTGAACTTAGCATGTGGTCTTAAGCAGCTTTTCCTAGACCTCCTTCTGACTTTTGCTCTGGTCTCTACTTCACCATCCATGATTAGAGATGCTTCATTCTTAAAGAAAGAGATAGCCTAGTCCTATAATGTGGAAAGGAGTCAGTGAAGAATATGAAGCATGTGGAAGAGAAGGGATGTAATGGAAGGAGCCAAGTGAAGAGAGAGTTCTAGAAGAAAATACTTGTCCTAGTCTTTTTATGTTGCCTTTATTCTTTCACAAAGAATTGGCCAACTTTTTGTTCTGAGGACTCAATTTTGTCTTGGGCTCACAGTGTAGAGCCTCTTGTTTGAGTATGGACTAGGGAAGGGGGTGGGAAAAGCAGTGTATAACCTTGAGCTGTCTTCCATGTCAAAAACATTCGTTTTCAATCTGTTATACACAGACTGAGAGGTTTCTGAACCACACCTTTGGAATCCTCACTTTGAGGATTATGGCTTGGCAATTTGCATTTTTAACAAGCTCCCCATAGAATTTTTATATACACCAAAGTTTACGTCACACCACATTGTGTCCTTTTCATTTTTAACTCAATGGGTTTAAATAGCCAGTCTTGGCTGGGTGCGGTGGCTCATGCCTGTAATCCCAGCACTTTGGGAGGCTGAGGCGAGTGGATCATGAGGTCAGGAGATCGAGACCATCCTGGCTAATGGTGAAACCCTATCTCTACTAAAAATACAAAAAAAAAATAGCCGGGCGTGGTGGCACGCGCCTGTAGTCCCAGCTACTCAGGAGGCTGAGGCAGGAGAATGACGTGAACCTAGGAGGTGGAGCTTGCAGTGAGCCGAGATTGCACCACTGCACTCCAGCCTGGGTGACAGAGCGAGACTCCATCTCAAATAAAAAATAAATAAATAAATAGCCAGTCTTATGTTCATCCTAGGATATTGTATGTAAGAGAAATTATTTTTGATAGTCTAAGGTTGTTTTTCAAATCCTTTTCACTTTTGCTTGATTTCTAGCGAGGACTAAGGAAATGGACCGTTCACTCACTCAAGTCTTTCTGTGAAATTGTCTTTCCTTTTCCTCTGTTTTGTCCTCACCTCAAACCCTTCACTTCTAGGACTTACTTTTTTGTTGGGGAGAGTCTCAAAATCAATTGTCTAGAAGATTCTTGGTTACAGTTAACTGTTATTAAAGGCTACCAGTCTATAGAAGTTTTAATTCCTATTTCAACTTTATCAAAGTTCACTCTCTAATATGTTGCCTTACAGGTATACTTTATATTTAGTCGAGGCAATCTCCACAGATTGTACAGATAATCAGGGCCTTAAGCTGGATAGCTTGTGTGAGTTAGCTTCTTGCTTGTTTTTTTTTGTAGTATGAGGCTAGTTCTTCTCCATATAGAAAGAAGTATATGCTTAATTAGCATCTTGTAGTTACTTTCAGTGTAGTAGTTACCACATTGTGCTGACTTGTAATTGTCGACTTATTTTTCTCAGATTCACTACAGTGTAGCTTTTATTGCTGTCATCCTACTGCATGGTCTGAAAGAGTACACATAATGATTGATGCTCAATAACTGTTAAGTGAATGAACAATAGAACAGGAGACTTATTCTTATTAGATGCCTGCTGGATTTCAGAGTGATATAGGGCAAAACTTCCAAAAGCAGGATTTTTGAGAGATTAGTCAGAGCTAGAGATACCTGGAAAAAATTCAGATTAGCACTTTTTATTTTGGAATGGAGCAGCTGAACCTGGAGATAGGGACTAAAGTAGGGACTAGGAAGGGTATCCTGTCTAATGCGGTTGAGGTACAAGATGTGTAGTTAATTGAAGGTAGCATTTGTGGGAAGACATCATTATAAAGAGCAATTTTGCTGGTTAATACAGCTGTGCCTATTATTTTGGTAATCTGAAGCATGGAAAATCTTCCTTTTAATAATAAAGGAAGATGCAAAGATGGTCCTCAAGTACCAAATTAGTTTCCTACATAAAAAAATGTAAGGGCTGGGCTCACGCCTGTAGTCCCAGCACTGGGAGGCCGTGGTGGGCAGATCACCTGAGGTTGGGAGTTCGAGACCAGCCTGGGCAACATGGTGAAACCCTGTCTGTACTAAAAATACAAAAAAAATTAGCTGGGCATGGTGGCGCACGCCTGTAATCCCAGCTACTCAGGAGGCTGAGGCAGGAGAATCAGTTGAACCCAGGAGGCGGAGGCTGCAGTGAACCGAGATTGCGCCACTATACTCCAGCCTAGACGACAGAGAGAGAGTGTCTCAAAAGAAGAAAAAAATATTAAGCTCATGGTTGAGCTGGTTGCTATAGCAAAGTGTAGTGCACAGGGTACACTTAAAATTGCTACCTGCGGCTCAGTGTGCCTCAACAATTGTTATAACCTTTCCTCCTCTGTGTTAAAATAAGTTCTTTTGAGGGGTGACAAATTACGAAATCAGCAGTTGAGAGCAAATTGTTTTGCAGTAACAAAATTGAGCTTGATTTGACACAAAAAGGAATTCTTTTTTTTTTTTGAGAGAGAGAGAGGTGCTGTCTTGGCTCACTACAACCTTTGCTTCCTAGCTTCAAGCAATTCTTGTTCCTTAGCCTCCTGAGTAGCTAGGATTACAGACATGCGCCACCATGCCCAGCTAATTTTTGTATTTTTAGTAGAGATAGGGTTTCGTCATGTTGCCCAGGTTGGCCTCAAACTCCTAGCCTCAAGCGATCCACCTGTCTCAGCCTCCCAAAGTGCTGGGATTACAGGCGTGTACCACTGTGCCTGGCCAGGAATTCATTTTCTTTTTTTTGAGAAGGGGTCTCGCTTTGTTGCCCAGACTGGAGTGCAGGTGCACGACCTTGGCTCACTGTAACCTCCACCTCCCAGGTTCAGCACCTCCTAGTAGCTGGGTTTACAGGTGCACGTCACCATGCCTGGCTAATTTTTGTGTTTTTGGTAGAGATGGGGTTTTGCCATGTTGGCCAGGCTGGTCTCCAACTCCTGACCTCAGGTGATCCACTCTCCCATAATGCTGGGATCACAGGCGTGAGCCACCATGCTCGGCCAGGAATTCATTTTCTGTAAAACAGTATGCCTTTACATATAAACCTAAATATAATAAAATGGACATTAACCACTGTTAAAATCCAAAGTCACTAAAAATAAGGAAATTTAAGGTACAGGGAGCAATTGTAATGAAGTTGGAAGTATGTTAAAGTAAATAATGTCCCCAAATCACGATGTGTAACACACAAAAGTATATGCTGCATAGTGCAGTGGCACAAACATAGGTGTCTACAACCTTGACCTCCTAGGCTCAAGCAATCCTCTCACCTCAGCCTCCCAAGTAGCTGGGACCACAGGCACGTACGACGATGCCCGGCCTGGATATTAGGGATTAATCTTAAATTTTTACTTCTGTCTTAACAGTCACTCAACAGTTATTGAATGCTGACTGTGTACAAGAGATATGTACAATATTGTGGGAGACAGAAGACAGAATTAGTAGTCTCTTGACAGTTCATGTGGAAGAACGCAACCCCCCTATTTAGTAAGCTATTAAAATCTGATGTGGGGCCGGGTGCGGTGGCTCACGCCTGTAATCCTGGCACTTTAGGAGGCTGAGGCGGGTGGATCATGAGGTCAGGAGTTCAAGACCAGCCTGGCCAACATGGTGAAACCCCGTCTGTACTAAAAATACAAAAATTAGCCGGGTGCCTGTAATCCCACCTACTCGGGAGCCTGAGGCAGGACAATTGCTTCAACCTGGGAGGCGGAGGTTGCAGTGAGCCGAGATCACGCCACTGCACTGTAGCCTGGGCAACAGAGCAAGACTCTGTCTCTGGGGTGGGGGGGAAAATATCTGCCATGGAAGAAAACAAAACTATATTGCATTGTTATTATGGTCATGGCTAAAACTTAGCTGAATTTTAAAAGCTGAAAGGTTTATGATGAATAATGTTCTCATTAGGCTGGGCATGGTGACTCATGCCTGTAATCCCAGCACTTTGGAAAGCTGAGGTGGGAGGATCCTTGGGGCCAGGAGTTTGAGACTAGTCTAGGCAACATAGTGAGATCCTACCTCTACAAAAAATAAAAAAATTAGGCATGGTGGTGTATGTATGTCATTCTGGTTACTTGGGAGGCTGAGGCGGCAGGATCACTTAAGCCTAGGAGTTTGAGGCTGTAGTGATATATGATTGTACTAGCCTTGAAGACTGAGTTAGACCATGTGTCTAAAACATAATAATAATAGTGTTTCTGCTAAACAACACATGAATTATTTGGATGGTAAGGGTAAAAGAATGCTGTGTGGCAAGGTGAAGTCAAGTTACAATACTTCAGAAGGTCATCGTGATGAATTACTATATTTTCTACACAAAGGAGAACTGCATAGCTGCTTTGAGATGGGTTGGTTAGTGTAAGATAGATCACTCACCCTCATAGCAGAGACTTGCAGACTTACTCCTTGTCAGCTTAAGACTTCATGATGTGGTCCTTAGGGGAAATTTCCAAATAATTGAAATTATGAATGCTAAATTTGAGAATGCCAAGGCGCCACTTCCATGGTGTAGCTCCAGCCTGTAAGATATTTACAGTGCTGTAAAATTTATTTAAAAGATAAATGCCGGCCGGGCGCGGTGGCTCACGCCTGTAATCCCAGCCCTTTGGGAGGCCGAGGAGGGCGGATCACGAGGTCAGGAGATCGAGACCATCCTGGCTAACACGGTGAAACCCTGTCTCTACTAAAAATACAAAAATTAGCTGGGCGTGGTGGTGGGCGCCTGTAGTCCCAGCTACTCGGGAGGCTGAGGCAGGAGAATGGCGTGAATCGGGGAGGCGGAGCTTGCAGTGAGCTGAGATCGCGCCACTGCACTCCAGCCTGGGCGACAGAGCGAGACTCTGTCTCAAAAAAAAAAAAAAAAAAAGATAAATGCCTTTGTGAGCAAGTCATCAAATAGGTTTAATAGATCTTATTTTCACTTTTGTTTTGTTGATTTTAATTGTACATTAAATGCCATGTTGATTCTGTTTCTTATCTCTTGCTCTGTGTAATTTTATAGTGGCTTTTTTTCCCCCTGGGGATTGAGTCTTGCTGTGTCACCCAGGCTGGAGTGCAGTGGTGCAATCTCAGCTCACTGCAACTTCTACCTGCCAGGTTTAAGTGATTGTCCTGCCTCAGCCTCCTGAGTAGCTGGGATTACAGGTGCATGCCGCTATGCCCGGCTAATTTTTGTACTTTTAGTAGGGACAGGGTTTTGCCACATTGGCCAGGCTGGTCTCAAACTTCTGACCTCAAATGATCTGCCCGCCTTGACCTCCCGAAGTGTTAGGATTACAGGCATGAGCCACTGCGCCCCGCCTATATTGGCTTTTTAAGTGCATTATTTAAAGAGTGACTCTCTTAAAGGGTCATTTGTGCTGTGAACCTGTGGGGATTTGAGCCTGTGCATGTGTGTGTCTAGGCTTATATTAGTATCAAGGTGAAAAAGAACTTTTTGGTGGGAAGTTACTTTAGTGGAGGAGACTCAAGGTGACAGACTTGGTTCAAAAGAAAAGAGCTGTGCGCTGAACAGAAGAGATTTTGAATATAGCATGGTGCGTACTCTTCCTGTATTGATTCATAAAGCCTCTTGTCTGAGTCCTAGTTAAGGGCCTGGAATAAGAATGAAAATTCCAAAACTATCCCCCAAGTATCTAAAAGTTGCTTTTGAAACAGTGCTGATTTATACCTTACCCATCCATCTATTTATCTGACAAATATTTGGATTCTTACTCTATGCAATCACTTCACGGGATGCCTGAGATAGAGCTGTGGAAAGGTAAGGGCCCACCCAGGGAGTAGAGTAGTTTTACTCTTTTTTTTTTGTTCCTCCTCCTTACTGAGTTGATATTTTGGATACATGAGAACAGTGTGTAGGCATTAAGTGGCTGAAGAGAGGCGTAAGGCTGTTGCTAGGATAAGAGACTTAGGGAACTGAAAGATGGGCCACAGTGTCCCTCCTGGGCCTGAGCTATATCACTGGCAGGTTTGAAAACAAAATGAAAATTAGATTTTACTTTAAAAAGCATGTAAGTAACAAATGCTATAGGTCTTTAGGAATGTCCTTCATTGACATTCCTTCATTGACATTTTTGAGACTCTGTCTCAAAAATAAATAAATAAATAAATAAATATTAGTTGAGAGACATCAGCAGTTTGGCTGGAAATTGCTTTTGAGATAGATCTTGTACCTACTAAAGCTTCTGGCTTGATACATTTTGGTAATTTAATATATATTTATGTCATAGGTAAGTGGAAGCGAATTTATACTTAAGCCTTTTTTTTTTTGAGACGGAGTCTTGCTCTGTTACCCAGGCTGGAGTGCAGTGGTGCAATCTTGGTTCACTGCAATCTCTGCCTCCCGGGTTCAAGCAGTTCTTCTGCCTCAGCCTCCCAAGTAGCTGGGACTACAGGCGTGTGCCACCATGCCTGGTTAATTTTGTATTTTTAGTAGAGGCAGGGGTTTCACCATATTGGCCAGGCTGGTCACGAACTCCTGAGCTTATGGTCTGCCAGCCTTGGCCTCCCAAAGTGCTGGGATTACAGGCCTGAGCCACCTCACCTGGCCTACTTAAGCCTTATTAACAAAAAAACGGATTATTACTAAAATAACCTTTTTAGTTATTGTTAAGAATACAGGTGTTTTTAAAATTGAAAATACATTTTAAAAACATGGAAAAGTAAAGAAAAATATTAACTGCCATGTAACTATTACCTAGATCTAATAGTCAACATTTTGCTGTTTTTGCTTTCTGACTTTTTTTGAGCTATTTTAAAGGAATTTAAATATTTTTTTAACTAAATTCTTCAACATTTATCTGTGAAAAGATAGATTTATTTTTTAAGTATTTAACTTTTATCATCCTGAAGAAGTAAAAAGTAATTTAATATCATTTAATACTTTTATCCAGTTTTCTAGATTGTTCTCAAACACATTTTTACAAGTGGCTTGAGCCAGAAAAATGAATAAGGTGCATTTGACATGTCTTACAAATCTTTTAATTTTGAATAGTATTGACTTCCTCCCTCTCCCCCTTAAAAATGCCATTGACTTGTTAAAAAAAAACTAGATTAGTTGTCTTGTAGGATGCTCTGCCTCCTACATTTGTTGATTAATATACCTTGCTGATTAGGTTCAGGCTAAGCAGATTTGGGCATCTATAGCGAATATTTTTTGTCTCAGTATTCGTGATGAATTATTTAATACATGAACTTTGATGTAAAACTTTTTTGGTGCTAATGTTTCTTAAGGGAAAATTATGAAGACAACAATTCTGAGGCTAAAAAAGTTTAAGAATATTTGAAATGCTAAAATACTTAGTGTGTAATGGTTAGCTTTTGATACTTTGGAGTCAAGGCTTTGGGCTTCTCAGTTACAGCCACTAAACAGTCAGTAGGTGGCACTGTTTCTTCTGGTTTAGAAATAGAAAATGTTAAGTATTTGGGGGTTTCATGAACTAGTACCTAACATGTTTCATTAAACAGTTTATTTGCATATTGTCTCACTGAATATTCCTTCCCCCCTCCACATTTTTAGAATCACATGTAGAAAAAAATATTTTTATTTCTCCTACTTGGTTGCTTTATTACTTACTCTTTTCCAGCTGAGCCTTCTGTAAGCATGTATCAGTTGGTGTTTTCTGGAGCAGATAGGAGGTATACAGGGCTTGTGAATATATTAGTTGGCAATGGTTACTTCCTGTGGTTTCTTCTTTATTCCTGTTGTTTCTTCTTTCTTTATCTCTCTCCCTGCTTTTACTGAAAGGTAAAGGGCTGAAAGGTGTTAAAGAAAAACTTTTCAAACACTTGTAAAGGATGATAAGACAGACTTTATTCAGATGGGACTACTGCAGTGGGGTTTTGCAGTAGGGGAGAGAAATTGTGCTCAACTCTGAATACAAGGAAAAGTGGGAATTTATTGCCAAGGAGCAGGGATGGAAAGGGTGGGAGGTTGGGGGGATGGGGGGTTGAGAGGATGGAAAATTACTAAAAAGAATCATCAGGGATGAGAGGGGGTTCCTGGCCAAACTGACCTAATAGGATTCTTGCCGAAAGCAACCTGATGAGATATTGATGATATCAATGTCAAGGATAGGGGATTCTGGCTAAACCAACATAGCAAGATTTCTTGCTAAAATTGGGTGACGCAAAGAACAGACATTTTGGAAGTCCAAAAGTAGAAGCCTAGTTAGGACAAAGATTCAGAAAAGCCTCACTAAAGTTTGGTTAAGGAGAGGCTGTTTGTCGAAAGATAGTGCCGTTGCTTCTTCATTCCAGCCATTTGTGTAGAGACCTTTCGTAGGCTAGCTAGAGAGTCTTGAATTAGAACTTTAAGAGATGCCTGATGTCCTTGACTATTAGGTTTTTGTTTTTAAATTTCCATACTATTGTTTCTTTTTAAATTTCTGTCTCAAATGCTATATGCCTTCATTTAGCAATACCTGCTGTGTGCCAGGCATCTTATGTGCTTTTCGTATCTGTAGTCCTTAAAGTACAGGTTAAGTACTTCTTATCTGCAATGCTTGGGAACAGAAATGTTTCAGATTTTTTTCAGATTTTGTAATATTTACATTATACTTACGTTGAACATCTCAAATGTGAAAATCTGAAAATTGAAACACTCTAGTGAGCATTTCCCTTGAGCATCGTGCTGGTACTCAAAGTTAAGGATTTTGAAGCAAATACTTCGGGTTTTCAGATTTGAGATATTTTAGCCTGTAGTTCTCTCATATTAAGTATTACTTTCTAGGGACAGAAAGAGGGAAGAATTAATTAATAGATCGAGATCTAACTTTGCCATTAATATCTATAAATCTTACTTATTTTTGTGAGAAGTAGAGATGAAAATTTCAAAATTGAAAGTTGCTTAAGGTGAAATAGAGTGGAATTACTGAATTACTGAACTTTCTAACACATTTTTAGAGTCAAATGATAAATAGAAAAGGAGATGATTTTATGGAACAGAATAGAATTTTTTTTTAATGACTTTGAGTCCACCATGTTTAAATGCTTCCTTTTATTCAGTCTTGTCACAGTAACAACCTTTGGTATAGTATTCAGAGATGTTCTTTGGTACTTTTTATTCTTTGTTTTGTAGGTGAGTGGGGAGGATTTTATGTTGAATATGTCTACTGTGATTTGCATTGTGTGTATGCAAGTGGTAGAATTCTGCAAAGAGATATTCTGGTAACAGAAGCAATGCCTGAAAAAAAAAAAAGAACAGTTTTGCCCCTTTGCTACCATTATTAAAAAAAATACTGTTTTTATTTTTTACAGACAGGGTTTTGTCTCCCAAGCTAGAGTTCAATGGTACACTCATAGCTCACTGCAACCTCAAGCTCCTGGGCTCAAGCAATCCTCCTGTCTCAGCCTCCTGAGTAGCTGGGATTACAGGCATGAGCCACTATGCCCGGCCACTATAAAATACTTCAGAAAAATCTGACACAATTTCAAAATATGTGGTTATGTAGGGTGGCAAATTCTCCCTTAATGTTTTCTTTCTTGAGCCTGTGCCTGTTTTATTTGGCTGACTCTTTTTTTTTTCTTTTTCAAGCTTAATCTTACTTTTAATTGAGGAACTAGGGGATAGTTACTGTCACCATCCTTTTTTTTTTTTCAGTGAGTCTGGCATGTAGTGGTAGTGGGGGGTATTGAGAATTAGATAAAAGGTCTATGGCTCTTACGACTAGTGAATGGGACTAGTTCTAATTTACACACATATATTACTTATATGTATATGAATATATGTGTATATATAAGAAAAACATTCAATTTATTTTTAGAGACAGTGTCTCACTCTTGTCCTGGCTGGAGTGCTGTGGTGTGATCATAGCTCACTGCAGCCCTGAACTCCTGGGTTCAAATGATCCTCCCACCTCAGCCTTGCAAGTAGCCGAGATTACAGGCATGTGCCACCATGTCCAGCTAATTTGTTAAGAAACATTTTGTAGAAAAAGGGTCTCACTTTGTTGCCTAGGTGGGTCTTCAACTCCTTACCTCAAGTGATCCTCTTGCCTTAGCCTCCCAAAGTGCTAGGATTACAGTTGTGAGATACCATGCCCAGGGTGTACTTTATATTTTGATATCAAAAGGTTTAAACAGGGCCAGGCATGGTAGCTTATGCCTGTAATCCCAGCACTTTGGGAGGCTGAGGCAGGAGGATCACTTGAGCCCAGGAGTTTGAGACCAGGCTGGGCAACACAGTGAGATCCTATCTCTACAAAAAATAAAAATAAATATATAAATTAACCTGGTGTGGTGCATCCCTGTAGTCCCAGCTACTCAGGAGGTTGAGGTGAGGGGATTGCTTGAGCCCAGGAGATTGAGGCTGCAGTGAGCCGTGATTGCGCCACTGCACTCTAGCCTGGGCAACAGAGTGAGACTCTTTGTCTCAAAAAAAAAAAAAAGTTTAAACAGAACTTAGTTATACCAAAAATGTTTATCTCTTTTATACAGTGCAGTTAATTGTTAGTTATTGTATTAAGAGACATTAGAGCATAGAAGATAATATATACTGATATACTGAACATACCTTTTACTTCTGTATTTTTTTTTTTTTTTAATGACAGAGTCTCGCTCTGTTACGCAGGCTGGAGAGCAGTGGGGTGATCTCAGCTCAGTGCAACCTCCACCTCCTGGGTTCAAGCATTTCTCCTGCCTTAGCTTCCCGAGTAGCTGGGATTACAGGCACGTGCCACCACGCCCAGCTAATTTTTGTATTTGTAATAGAGACGGCGTTTCGCTGTGTTGGCCAGGCTGGTCTCGAACTCCTGACCTCAGGTGATCCACCTGCCTCGGTCCCCCAGAGTGCTGGGATTACAGGCGTGAGCCACCGCATCTGGTCTATGTGTTTGTTTTTGGTGGTTTTTTTTTTTTTTTTTTTTTTTTTGAGATGCAGTCTTGCTCTGTCGCCAGGCTGGAGTGCAGTGGCGAGATCTCTGCTCTCTGCAACTTCTGCCTCCCGGATTCTCCCGCCTCAGCCTCCCGAGTAGCTGGGACTACAGACGTGTACCACCATGCCCAACTAATTTTTGTGTTTTTAGTAGAGACAGTGTTTCACGATGTTGGCCAGGATGGTCTCGATCTTTTGACCTTGTGATCCTCCTGCCTTGGCCTCCCAAAGTGCTGGGATTACAGGTGTGAGCCACTGTGCCCAGCTGGTTATTTTTTATTGTTGTTGTTTTCTTCGTTTTTTTTTGTTTGTTTTTGAGGCAGGGTCTCACTTTGTCACCCAGATTGGAGTGCAGTGGTGTGATCTCGGCTCACTGCAGCCTCCCTTCCTGGGCTCAAGGCATCCTGGCATCCTCCCGCCATAGCTCCCCAAGTAGCTGGAAGTATAGGCGCACCCCACCATGCCTGGTTAATTTTTTTTGTACTTTTTATAGAGACCGTGTTTCGCCATGTTGCACAGGCTGGTCTCCTGACCCCAGGTGATCATCTGCCTCTGCCTCCCAAAGCACTGACATTACAGGCATGAGCCATCGCGCCTGGTCTGAGCATACCTTTTAAATGAGTTCAAGTGACTTCAGATAATGGCGACACAAAAAATTTCAATATAAAGTCCTTTTAAACAATTTTAATCTATACAGACATTAATGTTAACAGGTAGTTTTAAGGAGATGCAAAGAAAAGCTATAAAATTACTCAAAATGTCGTTTTGTTGTAAGCAAGATATCGGTTTAAAGTATAATAGTTTTTTGGTCTTATTTGAAATTTGGATATGGCACCCTTTGAGTTTTTGTTTTCTTACAAAAAGACACAGTACAAAACGGATCTACAAATTATAGCCAAGGCTATAGATTTCATTTTTGGGGAGTTGAAATATTTGCTACAATAAGAAATTTTACTGTAGTTTAAAATTTAATTTTAGGTGTTTTGTAGAATTCTTACCTCTTCTGCGTCTAAATCCTTCTGTTCGTATTCTTTCACTTTCTTCTGACAAAATATTTTAATGATGTATGTGTTGGGAAAGCTTAGGGTGTTGTATATTACACAGTAAGTACAATAAAATTTAGGATGATAGATATTTTTTCAATTCTGGATATGTATTTCAGTCTTTTATTTTCCAAAAGGACTTACTAAGAAAAATACGAATTCATTTTATGGTTTACTGAAGTTATAAGTAAAGCATGCAAGTTTGTTGAAATAAAGCTTTTTTCCCACTTTTTAAATATTATTTCCCTTCTATCAGAGTGAATGTTTGCTTCTCTGCTATAATACTACTTCATGGGAAAATGTCACTTTCAAACTCTTTTTATGATACAGTGGTTTGTGTTGTAACACTATGAATTGAGAGAATGATCACTAAAGTATTTTGGCTGTAATAAAACATTAGTATTCAACAGTTTGATTTTACTCTTTGAAATATTGCATATATACTTGAGAATATGCTAAAGTAGCTTAATGAGTAGTCATTGTACCTGTTGTGAAGTATACACACAAGATGAGGAAGGGCCAAGGCATCCCTGACTGATTTAGTTTGTAAAGATACAGTGAACCACTTTTAGATTCAGGCAGTTCATTATTTAATTTGGATAGAGAAAGGAAGCACCTACAGGTGCCAGCTTCCTGTGGGCCTTGTCTCATACACCAGAAAGAATGGCACAGAAACAATAGGAGATAGATGACTCTAATGTGACTTGTGGGATGCCTAATTGCTGAGAAGCCAATTCTAGACCATATAGCTCAGTAGTTTTATATTCTGCGGTGTGTTTTAAGGGGAGTAGGGCAGAAAACCTTATACCTCTTCAGAACCTGAGAGGTGATGAGAAACTGTCTCATGATAGCCTAATGGTGCAGATAAAGAGACGAGTAGGAGATGGTCTTGTAAGTTTCTTACAAGCCTTCTATCCTCTTGTGTTCTGGGAGGATCACAGGATGTTTTGCCAAGACTCAGATTAACTGAGGTTCAAGCCTTTGCTAAGCTTGTGTGTTCTGTGTGGATACATGCAAAGTTGCCCTGGGGGATATGGTGAAGCCGTTTTAATGGCACATTAAAAATACTTAAACTAACAAATGGAAATTTGATTTTTTCATAGAAACATGATTTTAACAGGATTGCAGCTCTGGTTTCTGATGCCTGTTCTATAAATAGCATTTAATTAGTCAACATGAGATGCTTATATCTTGAGTAAGAAAAAGCATTCCGAAGTATGCTGATGATAACTAGTCATAAATACTTTTATCTAATTTTAATTTAAAGTAAATAGCCATGTAGACTCAGCTGGATTGCTCCGAGAACTCCTGGAAAAAATTGAAGATGTCACTGGAAGATGTTCTGCCTCAAAGTGTGAGGCAGAGATTAACTACATTCTTAATGTGAGGGTCAGGTTTTTAAATATCAGCACACTTTAGTAAAGCAACTGAGAAACCATGTGGTTTGTATGTTCCTGGCATTAAATGTGCAAAAGCCATATGCGTAGAACTGGCAGAACACGGAAGGCTTTCTCCTTTGTATATCTTCATATATTGATTTATCTGACATACTCAGTGACAGTCCATAAATCATTGTTTTAAACTGAGATTGCAACCTATTAGTGGAGATAAAAAGAATAAAAATAGAATATATAAGACTGCAATGCAGGCATTTGATGAGGTATTAATATTGTTTTAAGAAACTAGTATTTTAGGGGTGTGTCTGTGTGTGTTTAGCAGCCAGTGTAAGCTGTATGTGTTACTGTGCATTGTGGCTAAAAAAGTATGAAACATTGCCACAAATATTCTTTGACTATTTCAGATCTCTCAGAAAATGTGTGCTTAGTTGTAAAACTAAAATATATTACTTTGTAGTTCTAATGTATTACTGAAATGTATAATACACTATGAATAAATTTGTTGCCTTTTCTTTGCAGTTAGCTTCTGGAATTTATAATTTTGCCTGCTCTCTGTGGAATCACCACACAGACACATTCCTGCAAGAAGTTTCTTCTGGCAATGAAGCTGCAATTTTGAGTTCACTAGAACGAACACTGCTATCATTGAAAGGTACTATTAAGCTTGATATGTTCATTTTTGAAATGAGATACCTCAGAACAGTCACCAAATAGTTCCTTTAGACGGGTTTTCTGTTCCCAGTTTCACTGGAAAAATAAGAGGTTTATTTCTCCCTGAAAGATAAGGGCTTATTTATAGTTTTGTGGCAGTAGCTCTTCCTCTACCCCTTCTGATTTTTGAAAGCACATATAATAAGTTGAAGTGGATAGTTAGATTCACATTATTGCGGCCTCATGGCTCTGAATATATTTTTTTCAAATGCTTCTAGTTTTTGTTTCTACTTTATTTTTCTCATTCTGGACCCCTACACTTATCCTTGTCATGCCAACTTTCCTAAAATTTTTTCTCCAGGCTGGAATGAGCACTGTCTTTCATCCCTCCTTTCCCTGGAAAGGCAAGCCTCCATCTTTCATCTTAGTGCCTCAGGCTCACTTGGATTTCAGAAGGTGCTTTATAGGATGCCATCTTGGCCTGTGTCTTGGTATATGTTGCTTGCAGGCATTCCCTTAGCATAAATCTCCATCTCACTTTCCTTGAGCTGTTTATCTTGATGAATGTATTCCTAGGTTCCTTTTCTTCTAAAATATACTCATTTGTCTTATTCTCTTACTTTTCTAGTCCCTCTCTTCTTTCTGTTCTGGTTGCTAAGACTTTTTTAGTTCTTTTTGTTTGTTTGTTTTTTGTTTTTTTGGACAGACAGGGTCTTGCTCTGTCTCCCAGGTTGAAGTGCAGTGGCATAATCATAGCTCACTACAACCTTGAACTCCTGGGCTCAAGTGATCCTCTCACTGCAGCTTCCTGAGTAACTGGGACTACAGGCACATGCCACTGCACCAGGCTGATTTTTACATCTTTCTGGTCTTGAACTCCTAGCTTTAAGTGATCCTCCTGCCTTGACCTCCCAAAGTGATAGGATTACAGGGATGAGCACTGTGCCTGGCCTAGTTTGTTTTTCTTAGTTTGATCTCAGGCAGCATCAGTTTCTCTCTTACTCTCAGTTTGCATTCTTTTTAGTTTTACCTATAAGTTCTTTTATCGTACTCATTCTGGTACCTTGGAATCCCATCAGTCTTGGCATCGCCTTAATACATCACTTACTTTCACCAGACAATGGATGCACAAATCCCAAACTGTCAGCACATTTTGTGAAACCTGTGAAGAAATGTTTGAATGATTTTAAAGGACTGTTGAAAAATAAAATCCATTGTAGAAGTAGTTATAAAAGTGAGTGGAGATGGTTTTGTTAACATTCTTGAGGAAGAAATTACAGACATTGGAGAGAAATGTTTGCTCAGAAAGAATTACAGAAACTGATATAAGGCTGTGTATACAAAGCTGTGTGTATAGTAGTATATTTAATGATTAAGAAATTTTCAAGATTTCTTTTGATTATAGGGTTTTCTTACCTTATTGATTTCAAAGCCTAACTCCTGACGAAAAAGATGTAGCTTTACTATATCTTTGCCTGCCTTAAGCTTTTTAATACCTCACCATCTGAAGGTCTTAGATTCACATTAACTTTTTAGAGATATCCTGCCCTGGAAAATTTTGTTCTGTAACTATACATTTCTGTTCTGAAATGAAGAAATACTCCAAACTACAATTTTTGTTTTGTGTAATCTCTATCTGAATTTACACTTACGTGCATTTAGTATCTTTTAGACATGGATGCATTCATTATTTCATTCGACAAATCTATAGATCCTTGGCACTGGGGAGACAGACTTAATAAAATGATCCCACAAATATATTTAAAGTGACACCTGTGACAGAGGCTTTATGATATTATGATAACTGATAATATGATCAGAAAAATTTCCCTGAGAAAGTGATCTTTGAGCTGTAATCTTAAAGGATAAGTGGAAGTTAACTAGGTGATGAAGGGAGAAGGAAAGGATCCTCTCAGGTATTGTGGCTCAAGGTCTTGTGGTGAGAAAGCATATCCAGAATAAGGGATTCAATTTGAATTCTGTTTTCTCCTTACGAAAACGAGGAAAACTTACTGCATCGTTATGATGCAGCAACTTCTGAGTTGCATATGATGATTTCAAACTGAAGGTCTTATAGACAGCTACATTCTAAACTTAATTTTAATACATTGCTTTAGACTTACAAACCGAAGGTCTAGTAGACAGCTACATTCTAAACCTAAATTTAATCCATTGCCTTTAGACCTCATAAACACTATTTAAGGTATAATTCTTTAGTACTGTAATAGCAATCCTTATTTAATGAACTTTTAATTTTGTCTCTTACACTGTCACCATCCTTATTGTTGCTAAATAATTGCTATATTTTACATATACCATGGAATCCATCAATAACCCTATAAAGTAGGATTTGTTAACCGCATTTTACAGATGAGGAAACTGAGATGAGAAATGTTGCCCAAAGTAGTATTACAACTGTAGACAATAGATCAAGGATTTAAATCTAGCTCTGCCTTCAAATCTGTTATCCTGCTTATCTCTCTGTGTACACTAGTTTGTCAGTGTTACTCATGAAATGTCACAGTTGAGCAGTGTAGTTGATTCCAAATTTGGAAATAGGGTTTAATTTTTATATCGTTTTTAGGAGATAATTGTATTTCCATTAATATAGCCGAAAACTGAATGAAGGTTTTTGGTTACCGTTGAGTCATAGCTTAAAGTTTGTGAAATAGAAATGACTTTCTCAATTTCAGTTACTGCAGGTAAGAAGTACTAACAATTATATAAATTACACTAAATTTTGGAATCCAGTTTTAGAAACATGAGTAGTAACAATAAGTCAGAAGAACACTGCATTTGTGAGTTAGAAGAACTAGACTTTAGTTCCATTTTTCCCACTAATTTCCCAGCCAAATGACCAGGAGTTAACTTTCCAACCCAGATTAACCTCCAAGCTTGATTAAGTTTTGCAATTCTGAATCTTTCTTGTGATTGTAATTTTAGTAGGATAAAATAAGATTCAAGTAAAGCTTGCTTTTGCTTTTCAGTGCTGCGTAAGTTAACTGTTAATGGATTTGTGGAACCTCATAAGAATATGGAGGTGATGGTAAGTGATCGAAGAAATTTGCTGTGACTTTGGGAAAGTGGTATTTTCCTGAATGTTTGAAAGAGTGCTCTTTTTATTTGGCATTCAATTAGAAGAGTTTTTATTAAGTGACCATCTAGTTTTTTACCATTCTGACTTTTAGACTTCTGGTCTGTTTTCACTACATCAAAGTGGCTGTTGTGTGAAGGAGAGGAAATAGGCCTAGGATATTTCTCAAGGATGCCATGGTACATTGAGAGTGTTAATTTGAATTTAAATTAAAATGAACTCCTGTGAATTTGAATGCTATTATAACATTACCAGGTACATTGTAAATAGTTTTTTATATACTTAATATTTTCCTTTGTTTTTATGTATTTAAAATAAATTTGTTTTTTTCTGTCTGATCATTACATTAATACATGCTGTTCACAATCAATTAAAAAAATAAATATATAAGAGAAAAACCTTGTCAATAAATCGATCATAAGTTGTGATATATATTCATTGTCTGTAGATAGCCATCTTCTTTTTTTTTTTTTTTTTTTTTTTTTTTTTGAGACAGAGTCTCGCTCTGTCACCCAGGCTGGAGTGCAGTGGTGCAGTCTTGGGTCTCTGCAACCTCTGCCTCCTGGGTTCAAGCAGTTCTCCTGCCTCAGCCTCCCAAGTCACTGGGATTACAGGCATGCACCACCATGCCCAGCTAATTTTTGTATTTTTAGTAGAGACGAAGTTTTACCATTTCTGCCAGGCTGGTCTTGAACTCCTGGCCTCAAGTGATCTGCCCTTTTTGGCTTCCGAAAGTGCTGGGATTACAGGCTTGGCCGTGCTTGGCCTAGTTGCATTTCTTTTTTTTTTTTTTAAAATAAATGAAATGGCATTTTATTATACTTAGATTTGTGTTAGAATTCACAGTAAGTTTAGCTCAGGTAAAACATTGCTTTTTGTAAGTCGCTTTGGGGGTTGCTCAGGAGTTGAGGAAAAAACAAATCTAATTGGGTCTTTGGGTCTCCCCTACTAGATTTGACCAGAGCCATTAAAAAAAATAGTATTTTTTGTATATTGAGGTTTGATTGAAGTAATTGTTCTATTGTTAAATGAGTTTAAAACCCATAATATAC
This sequence comes from Homo sapiens, assembly GCF_000001405.40. Classification (NCBI taxonomy): domain Eukaryota; kingdom Metazoa; phylum Chordata; class Mammalia; order Primates; family Hominidae; genus Homo; species Homo sapiens. The sequence continues at coordinate 62,471,409 of NC_000005.10, forward strand.
ATCATCATAATGTGATGGTTATTTCATTTTATGAAAATTGACATGCTTTTTTTTAAGTTAAAAATTTCAGGAAAAGAAACTAAAAAATCATTCATAATCTTACTCTTCAGAGATACTGCTAAAGTTTATAAATATCCTTGAAGACATTTTATGCATATTATTCTGGATAGACCTTCTCACTCAATTTGATACAAATGGGATCATATTTACATGTCGTTTCCTTACTTTTTAAAAACAAACTCAGCATATTACATATATTTTTCCATTGTCAGTTATATTGTTACATGTTATTTTTAAAATGATTGTATGGTACATTCATATGATTAGTGTCAGTAGACTAATTTTTTAAAAAAGAGATATTAATATAGGATTCTTATAATGTACTTACACAATTGTCTGTTGACGGACATACAGGTTCTCAGTTTTTCATTTTTGATAAAAGATATGGACTGATCATTTGGGTAACTGTTATGTGGTTTTCTAATCTCTTTAGGATAAATTCCTAGAATTGAAAATGTTGGGTTAAGCATATGCCCCTCCACAGTATTGATACATATTACCAAATTGCTGAAAGATAATGTCAAGCCTCGATTTAAATCCAGATACATTTCGATTGCCATGCTGCCAAAAAAGATTTTCGAGAAACCAACTTGACAACTCCTTTTCAATTCCCTAACTAGAATGTATAAATTCCATGAAGGGAGGGGCTTTGTTTTATTCGCTGTGACTCGGAGCTTGGAACAGTCTTTTCTGTATAGTAAATGCTCAATAGTTGTTTGTTTAATGAATAAATCCTTTATGGTAGAAGCAATATGTCAAAGTCTCAGGAATTATATGCAATATTACTCTCATTATATTAACCAGAATATTATGTTTATCTTTTTTTAAGTGAAAATGAATTGATTTGATTTATATTCCTATAAGGTGAAATAGTAGTTTGCACTGGCTGTCATCGATATTTTGTGAGCTTTGGCTTTCCCTTGAGAGTTTTCTGGTTGCATAAATCACATGTCAACCTTTACTCAGTTATAAATGCCTTATTGTAGCAATTAAGTACATCAGTCAATTAGAGGATAAAATGTTAACAAATTAAAGACAACATTTCAAATAATATAAAAATCTTTTTTTTTTTTTTTTTTGAGACAGTCTCACTCTGTCGCGCAGGCTGGAGTGCAATGGCGTGATCTCGGCTCACTGCAACCTCTGCCTCCCAAGGTCAAGCGATTCTCCTGCCTCAGCCTCTTGAGTAGCTGGGGTTACAGGTGCCTGCCACCATGCCCAGCTAAGTTTTTGTATTTTTGGTAGAGACGGGGTTTCACAATGTTGGCCAGGCTGGTCTCGAACTCCTGACCTCAGTTGATCCACCCGCCTCGGCCTCCCAAAGTTCTGGGATTACAGGCGTGAGCCACCACACTTGGCTTAAAAATCTTAAAAATAACAGAGAGCTTAAAAGATGCTAAAGAAAAGATATATGACAGTGGTGAGATTCTGGGCCCTGAAGGCAGGCACAGTGATAATGATGGCTTTTAAAATCGATGGCCTTTATAATTTTCTACTTTCTTTGGAGAATAGGACTATTGGACCCTTTTATAAAGTTAACAGACTTATGGGATCTTGGTGACCTAATTCTTTTATAATTGAAACCTTTTGCTGTTTCATTGTTCTGTTGTTACTTTTCATTATCAATTATTGTCAACTATGCTTTAAAAAGACAGAAATAGTATGAAAATGGAAGATGATGCAGTAGTGAAGTTGTCATCCTGAAGTTTTCTTCTTTTTTTAAATTGTGTTGCCAATTAATTTAACCCAATTAAATTGTGTTAATTGTATTTCATCACGTTTCCAGAAGGTATAAAGGAAGACTGGAAACATTGATTTTACTCTGCTTTTAGCTTTTATTTAACAGTTGAGAATTCAGAATTTTACATTTTCTGCTTGAAATGACAGAGAGAAGGAAGGAAATTGACAGAGGAAGAGGTTTACTAGTTTTTTGATGAGTCAGTGGATGGATATTGAGAGTCTGAGAGCAGTACTCTTGACTCTAATGTTAACAATGAAATTGTCTAAGGAAAATCTCAGACACTAAGTCTTCAGATAATGGTATCCTAGTTGAATTTTCTCAAACTCAAGAATTGATCAATGAACAATATATTTGATAGAGAGGAATTGTGGCATTCTAGAGTTAATTATTTTCCAGGAAAGCCATCATCATCCAGTATTTCATGACAAATGAGACTACCTCATTTGCTAATTGAGTGTGTGACATCTTTTATGATGTTTATACACCAACATTTATTGATACAAAGATGTCTTCTATGCTTAAATTCTTATTAAAATTTTTAAGTTTTTTTCACTATTTCTTTATATTTATTCCTGTTAATTATTCAAAACATATCTTAGAATATGTTTTCAAAAAAAGGGTCCATTAGACCTAGCTGGTATATGTTGATGCCTATCTAATACTAGTATCTGAGGACCAATGTGTCATATACTTGAAGTTAAGAACTGTGGTGTAAATAATTGGTACCATGTGTTCATTTTTTGAATACTTATTATTGCCAAACGATGTTTCAGGATTCTGGATAAAGCAGTAAACAGAGCAAAGTTCTGGCTCTCAAGGAGCTTATATTCTAATGGGAGGAGCCACATAATAAATGGACAAGTGCAGTATTTCAAGGGATTTAAAGCCTGTGAAGAAAAATTAAAGCAGTAAGGAGAATAGAGAGTGTTTAGTGAAACAGGATGCTTAAAAAGTAATTTTTTATTCATTGCAAAGTGATTTATGTAACTAAATGAGATATTGAAGGGATGAAATACTATAGTTATTTTCCTGTGGACGACTTGTTTATAATAGTGAACTGTTTTTTGCTTAACTAATTTTAACTTATTTTTCTTCGGCTAATTTTTTTAAGTGATGTGATAGATTTGTTTTGGTATCCCTGAAAAAGATACAAGGTAAATGTTTATAACAATAAATTGAGATATTTAAAATAATATTCTTTTCTAGGGTTTTTTACATGGAATATTTGAACGTCTAAAACAGTTTCTGGAATGCAGTAAGTACTTTCGTTGCAGTCCTTTTTACTGTAGAATTTTTATTCATTAGTAGCTTATTCATTCATTAATAGCTAGGATTAATGAGGGATTAATAGATGCTTATTCATTAATAGCTTCTGTTGCACACTTATAAATCTAGAGAAAGTGTCTTGTCCAATTGCTCCCTGAGTGAGCACTTGATAGCTGCAGAGATCCTATATGTAGCTAAAATGAGTATTTTGTATCAACTTTCTGAAGTTAGAAGCTTAGCTTTTGCCTCATATACAGAAGTCCCTCCTTGGACTACGAACCAAGACCTACAGCGGATGCCTGAAACCACAGATAGTACCAAACCCTTTGTGTACTATGCTTTTTTGAGCTAGTATCCAAAATGGCTACTAAGTGATTAACAGGCAGGTAGTGTATATAGCTGGTATTTGCTGGACAAAGGGAGGATTCTCGTCTGGGGCAGGACGGAGTGGGTCAGCTTGAGATTTATCTCCATACTCAGAATGGTGCACAATTGAAAACTTAAGAATTGTTTATTTCTGGAATTTTATATTTAATATTTTTGGATTGTGATTGACTGCAGGCACCTGATACTGAGGAAAGCAAAACTAAGAGGGGACTACTGTACTGGTAATGAGTGTAGAGGAATTTGCCTTGTTGCCAGGCTGGTCTCAAACTCCTGGGCTAAAGCGATCCGCCCACCTTTGTCTCCCAAAGTGTTGGAATTGCAGATATGAGCCACCTTGTCTGGCCAAAATAGATTTAAAAAAAAAGATTTCCCTGAGGCCAGGCGTGGTGACTCAACGCCTGTAACCCCAGCACTTTGGGAGGCCGAGGCGAGTGAGTCGCTTGAGCCCAGGAGTTGGAGACCAGCCTGGGCAACATGACGAAACCCTGTCTCTACAAAAAATATTAAAAAGTTAGCCAGGCATGATGGTGTGTGCCTGTAGTCCCAGTTACTCAGGACGGATTGATTGAGCCTGAGAGGTTGAGGCTGCAGTGAGCAGTGATCTCATCACTACACTTCAACCTGGGTGACAGAACAAACCCCATCTCAAGAAAAAAAAATTCTATTTTGTGTTCATTCCTCTTTCTGTATTTCTACTGCAGCTACCCCTTTCCAGGCAGATGTCCACAACAGTCATATGTTTAACAAATATTGTCTATAGACTATATGCCAAATCCTGTTTAGACTTCTTGTAGACTCTTTTCGCTTTTAGTATTTGTTGCATATCACTGTGATATAACTTTCTGTAACTGGCAGTTTGATTTTGTAAATCCCTTGTTCATTAACCTCCACTGGCTTATCTTTAGCATCCTTTGTTATTCACTACCCCATGTGAGAGACTATAGCATTTATATTTGTGTTGTATTTTACTGGTGGTCTGTTTGTTATCTTCTTCTTCCATGTGATTGTAAGCACCTTTATTTGGACATACACATGTGTGCACACACAAGTGTGTGTTTGTGTGTTTGGGGATTTGCTCTCCTGAGAAGATATCTTAGTCTACTCACTTTTAAGGAGCTACTGATTGTTTTATGTTAGTCAGTTTCAATTTAGTAAAACATTGTTGAGCCTGTGGGCAGACACTGTCCTGGGTACTATGCATGGAAAGATGAATAAGAATGTTCATATTGTGTAGTTACTATGTTTTCTAAAAATAGTCATTTTTCTCTGGCCATCCTTGTGGGCGTAGCAGAAGGAAGAATAAAAGCCCTTCCAGGAGAGAATAAGACAAATTAACAAACAGAATATGAAGAGTATTATTAGAGAGCAGATTAGCTGATGAGCTGGTGGACATTGTTCTGAATGTACAAAAAAAAATCGCCAGGGAAATTATCAGAATAAATTTGTCAGAAGATATAGGAAAAATGATAATGAGTGTGTTACTCCTTGACTACTTTATTTTACACATGTATGTTGCTTGAAAAATACTTCAACTGTGACATTTAGTTTTTAAATGTTATCCATGATTCATTGCTAAAACGACTATTCTTTTACTATAAAAGTGAGTTCAGTTCATATATTAGGGTTAATTTTATATAATATGGCACAGAGGGCTACTGTGTCTGTTACTCAGTGTAAATCTTGGTATTGCTTTTTAAATAATGAATTCATAATGCAAAATATGCAAAAATAAAACCAGCAATATTATTTTTGTAAAAATTTTGATGTTGTCTTGGTTGTGAACTTATTAACTTCTAATATTTGAAATGTATTTTTAACAGGTAGAAGTATAGGTACAGATAATGTGTGTAGAGATAGACTGGAAAAGACCATCATTCTTTTTACTAAAGTGGTAAGTTTTTTAAAAACTTGTTTTCTCAAATATAATACACATATTCAGATTTACAAAGGAAAATGATATTTTTATAACCATACATTTTCACTTTAGTGTAAGGAAACCTATGTTCTGACTCCTTATAGGAAAGCTAAAAATTGCTTTTATATGTACTTTAGAATGCATATAATAATTAAATTTACATACCATGTGTCATAGTGTAAGTCACCTTGGTACATGAAAAATAAATTCTAATAAATATTAGAGTATTTGATTCCTCTAAAGCTCATTATTCTTTGACCCACTGGAGAAAGTGGAGATAAAGAAGATAGCAGTGCAGTTCAGCTAGAAGTAGATCAAATGTAGCAGACAGGAAGTCAGTATATTCAGAATGACCATCAGACTATCTTCGTCCATACTAAGCATCTTTTGAGTGGAATTATAGGGGGTGCGCTGTGGTAGGCAGTGTGTATAATTACATTTTATAAAACATTAACTTTTAATGATATTTTGGTCTTGAAGGATTGGGAGAAGTGCAAATAATTGGGTTACAGCAGTTAGAAAGACCTAGCTTGGGGACTGCTTGCACTAAAATAGGTACTTGAAGACAGGTGGGAACAACTAAATCTGTAATCTATTTCCCTTTTTAATTAAAGATTCAATAATAGGGTAGGGGTTGCTTATTCCCTGGGAGGGGAGTAAAGGAGCAGAAATGAGCTGTTTTTTATCTTTGTGTTTTAGGTAGTAATTACCTTTAGTTTCAGTTGTCTTCGTTTCTCTTGTTCCAAGTAGCCTCAACAACAGAAGTTCACCTAATCTTCCAAGATACATTATAAAATTGACTAAGATTCTCTGTTTAAAAAAACACAAAGCAAAGTAAAACAGGATGATGTGCTTAGTCAAAGAGGACTATACAGTATATATCACTGACACTTGCCTGCGGCTCTGCTGCCTCACAGTCCCTACTCACTATATCAGTTACATAAGTAAAATTTAAAAAGCATTATTTAGATGATCTGTTTTAGAAAACACATTTATTTAGCTGTGAGATTTTTCAGTTCTTTCAACTCTTTCTTAAGGTAATGACATGGATAGATGGTATCTGTAATTTATTCTACTTAACATGTTGGAAGCAATTTCATTTATGAAATTCATATTTATGATCTCTAAGACTTTATTAAAGCTTTTTAAATTAGAACATTTCAAAATAGAATAAAGTTACTATAAATAGAATTGAGTAACTTTGAGTCTTCATGACATCATCACTCAGCAACAATTATCAACATATGGCCACAGTCAGTCTTACTTTGTCTGTGTGCTGCTTTCCCCTCCCACCCTTGCTGGTTATTTTAAATCGAATCCCAGATATTATCTAGTATTACCTGTAAATATTTGAGTGCGTGTCTTTAAGTGGTAGGGTTGTTTTGTTTTGTGTGTGTGTATTTTCTGAGATGGGGTCTGACTCTGTCACCCACGCTGGAGTGCAGTGGTGTGATCTTGACTCACTGCAGCCTCTGCCTTGTGGGCTCAAGTGATCCTTCCACCTCAGCCTCCTAAGTAGCTGGGACCAGAGGCACATGCCACCACGCCCAGCTAAATTTTTGTATTTTTGGTAGAGATAGGGTTTTGCCATGTTGCCCAGGCTGGTCTCGAACTTCTGGGCTCAAGTGATCCACCCACTGCCACCTCCCAAAGTGCTGGGATTACAGGCGTGAGCCACCACACCTGGCCTGTTTTATTTTTTTTAAATAGGATCTTAACACAATTTTATATTTAAAAAATACTGATAGCTTCTTAATATCATTTAAATATCTAGTCAGATTTTAGATTTCTCTGATTGTGTCATGAATTTTTCTAGTTTGTTTGAATCAGGATTCAACTTGCATCAGCTCCCTTTCCATCTGTTCCAAAGTTATTTCCTTGCTGTTATTTCTTGAGGTAACAGGTAATTTTCTGTACTTTTTCATGTTTTGAATTTGATTGCTTGTGTCGCCACATGCTTTTTGTTAACATGTTCTTTAGTCTTCACACTTCTCCTCCCATATTTCTTATAAGTTGGTAGTTAGATGTAGAGGTTTAGTCACTTTCAGGCTTTTTTGTGGGGGATAGGGCAGGGATGGCAAGAATACATTATAAGTATTGTTCTGTATTGTATGACGTGCACACATGCAATGTGACACACAATGTCTGGTTGTCTCTTTTTCTCTTTTTTAAATTATACTTTAAGTTCTAGGGTACATGTGCACAATGTGCAGATTTGTTACATATGTATAATTGTGCCATGTTGATTGGCTGCACCAATTAACTTGTTATTTGCATTAGGTATTTCTCCTAATGCTATCCCTCCCCCATTCCACCACCCCACGGCAGGCCCCGGTGTGTGATGTTCCCCACCATGTGTCCAAGTGTTCTCATTGTTCGATTCCCACCTATGAGTGAGAATGTGCGGTGTTTGGTTTTCCGTCCTTGCGATAGTATGCTCAGAATGATGGTTTCCAGCTTCATCCATGTCCCTACAAAAGGACGTGAACTCATCCTTTTTTATGGCTGCATAGTATTGCATGGTGTATATGTGCCACATTTTCTTAATCCAGTCTATCGTTGATGGACATTTGGGTTGGTTCCAAGTCTTTGCTATTGTGAATAGCGCCACAATAAACATACGTGTGCCTGTGTCTTTATAGTAGCATGATTTATAATCCTTTGGGTATATAACCAGTAATGGGATGGCTGGGTCAAATGGTATTTCTAGTTCTAGATCCTTGAGGAATCGCCACACTGTCTTCCACAATGGTTGAACCAGTTTACAGTCCCACCAACAGTGTAAAAGCATTCCTATTTCTCCACATCCTCTCCAGCACCTGTTGTTTCCTGACTTTTTAATGGTCGCCATTCTAACTGGTGTGAGATGGTATCTCATTGTGGTTTTGATTTGCATCTCTCTGATAGCCAGTGATGATGAGCATTTTTTCATGTGTCTGCTGGCTGCATAAATGTCTTCTTTTGAGAAGCGTCTGTTCATGTCCTTTGCCCACTTTTTGATAGGGTTGTTTGATTTTTTCTTGTGATTTTGTTTAACTTCTTTGTAGATTCTGGATATTAGCCCTTTGTCAGATGAGTAGATTGCAAAAATTTTCTCCCATTCTGTAGGTTGCCTATTCACTCTCATGGTAGTTTTCTTTTGCTGTACAGAAGCTCTTTAGTTTAATTAGCTCCCATTTGTCAATTTTGGCTTTTGTTGCCATTGCTTTTAGTGTTTTAGTCATGAAGTCTTTGCCCATACCTATGTCCTGAATGGTACTGCCTAGGTTTTCTTCTAGGGTTTTTATGGTTTTAGGTCTAACATTTAAGTCTTTAATCCATCTTGAATTAATTTTTGTATAAGGTGTAAGGAAGGGATCCAGTTTCAGCTTTCTACATATGGCTAGCTAGTTTTCCCAGCACCATTTATTCAATAGGAATCCTTTCGCCATTTCTTGTTTTTGTCAGGTTTGTCAAAGATCAGATGGTTGTAGATGTGTGGTGTTATTTCTGAGAGCCCTATTCTGTTCCGTTGGTCTATATCTCTGTTTTCGTACCAGTACCATGCTGTTTTGGTTACTGTAGCCTTGTAGTATAGTTTGAAGTCAGGTAGCATGATGCCTCCAGCTTTGTTCTTTTGGCTTAGGACTGTCTCGGCAATGCGGGCTTTTTTTTGGTTCCAAATGAACTTTAAAGTAGTTTTTTTCCAATTCTGTGAAGAAAGTCATTGGTAGCTTGATGGAGATGGCATTGAATCTATCAATTACCTTGGACAGTATGGCCATTTTCACGATATTGATTCTTCCTATCCACGAGCATGGAATGTTCTTCTATTTGTTTGTGTCCTCTTATTTTGTTGAGCAGTGGTTTGTAGTTCTTCTTGAAGAAGTCCTTCACATGCCTTGTAAGTTGGATTCCTAGGTATTTTATTCTCTTTGTAGCAGTTGTGAATGGGAGTTCACTTATGATTTGGCTGTTTGTCTATTACTGATGTATAGGAATGCTTGTGATTTTTGCACATTAATTTTGTATTCTGAGACTTTGCTGAAGTTGCTTATCAGCTTAAGGAGATTTTGGGCTGAGATGATGGGGTTTTCTAAATGTACAATCATGTCATCTGCAAACAGGGACAATTTGACTTCCTCTTTCATTTTTTTTTTTTTTTTTTTTTTTTTTGGAGACAGAGTCTTGCTCTGTCGCCCAGGTTGGAGTGCAGTGGCGTGATCTTGGGTCACTGCAAGCTCTGCTTCCTGGGTTCACACCATTCTCCTGCCTCAGCCTCCTGAGTAGCTGGGACTACAGGCACCCGCCACCATGCCCGGCTAATTTTTTTTTGTATTTTTAGTAGAGACAGGGTTTCACCGTGTTAGCCAGGATGGTCTCGATCTCCTGATCTTGTGATCCACCCGCCTTGGCCTCCCAAAGTGCTGGGATTACAGGCATGAGCCACCGCGCCTGGCCGACTTCCTCTTTTCCTAATTGAATACCATTTATTTCTTTCTCTTGCCTGATTGCCCTGGCCGGAACTTCCAACACTATGTTGAATAGGAGTGGTGAGAGAGGGTATCCCTGTCTTGTGCCAGTTTTCAAAGGGAATGCTTCCAGTTTTTGCCCATTCAGTATGATATTGGTTGTGAGTTTGTCATAAATAGCACTTTTTATTTTGAGATATGTCCCATCAATACCTAGTTTATTGAGAGTTTTTAGGATGAAGGGCTGTTGAATTTTGTCGAAGGCCTTTTCTGCATCTATTGAGATAATCATGTGGTTTTTATCTTTGGGTCTGTTTATGTGATGGATTACGTTCATTGATTTGCGTATGTTGAACCAGCCTTGCATCCCAGGAATGAAGCCCACTTGATCATGGCAGATAAGCTTTTTGATGTGCTTCTGGATTCGGTTTGTTTGCCAGTATTTTATTGAGGATTTTCGCATTGATGTTCATCAGGGATATTGGTCTAAATCCCTGATTGTTCATCAGGGATATTGGTCTCTTTTTTTGTTGTATCTCTGCGAGGCTTTGGTATCAGGATGATGCTGGCCTCATAAAAGGATTTAGGGAGGATTCCCTCTTTTTCTATTGATTGGAATAGTTTCAGAAGGAATGGTACCAGCTCCTCTTTGTACCTCTGATAGAATTCGGCTGTGAATCTGTTTGGTCTGGGACTTTTTTTGATTGGTAAGCTATTGATTATTGCCTCAATTTCAGAGCCTGTTACTGGTCTCTTCAGAGATTCAGCTTCTAACTGGTTTAGTCTTGGGAGGGTGTATGTGTCCAGGAATTTATCCATTTCTTGTAGATTTTCTAGTTTATATGCTTAGAAGTGTTTACAGTGTTCTCTGATGTTGGTTTGTATTTCTGTGGGATTGGTGGTGATACTCCTTATCATTTTTTATTGTGTCTGTTTGATTCTTCTCTTTTCTTCTTTATTAGTCTTGCTAGTGGTCTGTCACTTTTGTTGATCTTTTCAAAAAACCAGCTCCTGGATTCATTGATTTTTTGAAGGGTTTTTTTGTGTCTCTGTCTCCTTCAGTTCTGCTCTGATCTTAGTTACTTCTTGCCTTCTGCTAGCTTTGGAATGTGTTTGCTCTTCCTTCTCTAGTTCTTTTAATTGTAATGTAAGGGTGTTGATTTTAGATCTTTCCTGCTTTCTCTTGTGGACATTTAGTGCTATAAATTTCCCTCTACACACTGCTTTAAATGTGTCCCAGAGACTCTGGTACATTGTGTCTTTGTTCTCATTGGTTTCTTTTTCTGTGGCTAAGATTGATGAGTGATCTATCAAATTTCCTCAGCAGCTTTTCTCTTATTTTAACAGCTGTTGATCATCATTTGCCTAGATCCATTATTTGATCAGGAGTTACACAATGATGGCATTCTAATTCTGTTATTCCTTTTGCATTTATTAGCTGAAATTCTTCTATAAAGAAGACATCTCCCTCCTTAGCTATTTGATAACATTAAAATATAATTCATATGGGAAAGGGAAGATAATATTTAAATTCTTTACCTTAGTCTATTACTTTTAAAGGTCTATTGTATATTTAAGCGTTTTGTATCATATTCACCCATTGTTATAAAATTAAGTATGAATTGAGTCTGTTTTGGTTTCTGTATTGAAAATAATAGAAAGTTCTTATTATCAGATATAATCTAACATAATCCTCATTATATGATGTGCCTCAAGAAGAGTTATGATAATGTAAAACTGAGTGAACATAGACTCCACACTAAGGTTCAAACTGCTAAATGATTATTAGTAAAGTTATAATTGGAGTGATTATATTCCAATATGAATTTGGGGAAAATACATTTTAATTTTTATTTATTTATTTTTCTACAGCTTTTGGACTTCTTGGATCAGCATCCTTTTTCATTTACTCCTCTAATTCAGAGATCACTGGAATTTTCTGTAAGCTATGTTTTTACAGAAGTTGGTGAAGGCGTTACATTTGAACGATTCATTGTCCAATGTATGAATCTTATTAAGATGATTGTCAAAAATTATGCTTATAAGCCATCCAAAAATTTTGAAGGTAATTCCTTTATTGGCAGTTTAAAAGAATTATTTTAATCTTAAGTGTGATATAATTGCTATAATTACAAACTTTTTAAAAAATGTCATTTTAGTCTGAAAAATAAATTGTTGCTGGGACATGAAAAAGATATAAGGATTATAGGCTTTAGTATGTTTATACTAGCTTTTAAAAACAACATAGTGCATTTAATAAGCCATTTTTTGTAGCACAAATTGGTTGAAGCTTAGGGACTTTAAGAATTAGGTACTATAGTCATCACTGCAGCTCATATTGTAGGGTGTATTCATTTGAACAAATAAAAGCTTTCTCTGACTTTATATAAAGTGTGATTGTTTCTAGACAGGTTAAATTGTTGTATTATTTGGAATTCATTCATATGCGTGTGTGCCAAGATGAATGAAGAAGTCTTGGTGGTGGGGGAGAGAGAAACACATGCACACACCCCCCACACCCTCTACATTATGAGGAAGTTATTTCAGTATGCCGTGATGGTATTGCATGGTAATATATAAGCTGTAATGCCAGAGGCAAGATTGATGTGAGTGTGTTGTAAGGAAAGAGTATCTTTGAGATTTGTTTATAATAAAAATGAAAATTTATACACAAGTGTATCTTCTTCCCTGAGAGTGTATTTTTTATTTATTTAAGTTACATAATCCAATGTAGCTACAATGTTTGGCTATACAATTAACTTGGAAATTTCATTTTTCTAGATAGCAGCCCTGAAACTCTTGAAGCCCATAAGATTAAGATGGCATTCTTCACATATCCTACTTTGACAGAGATATGTAGAAGATTAGTCTCTCATTATTTCCTATTAACTGAAGAAGAACTGACAATGTGGGAAGAAGACCCAGAAGGCTTTAGTAAGAATTAATTTTTTAGTGTTAGAATGACTTTTCTCCCCTTTCTATAAATATCTGTTTGAGTGATAGGTATAATATTGTATTTTCATACAGCACTTTTGATCTGGAAATCTTGGTGTTTTAAAATTAACTTACTCTTTCGTTGTTATCCATTAGAACAAATTGAGAAGCAGAAAATGAATGACTTATGCAAATATGTTGTAGAATTTTGTCCAGGAAAAGACCTTTTTAGTTTTTGGATTCCTTTACAAATATATCATGTAGTTTCAAACAAAAATATAAAATTAACTCTCTCTTACCCTGTCAGTTTCTATTTTGTGATTCATTCCATGTTATTTTTTATTTGTAGAAATTCTTGCAAAGAAATTTGGAGGTTTTTGATGAATAGTTTTTTTTTTTTTTTTGGACAGGACATCTTTATATCTGTTTGAATTTTAGTACTAGATAGATAAGTAGAATAAGTCTGTTGGGACCCTTGCTATAGAAAATCAAGGAATCATGTGTCTAATAAAGTACTTACTTGTATGTGAATTACTTAAGCTATGGTGGGACATAGGCTAGATTTTAGCCTCCCTTTTCTCTTTGGTTGTGTACCCTTGTGTAGTTACACGTTTCCTAATATTTTAAGAGTGCCCAAAAGTTTTTGTAATACTTATCTTCGCCATGCTTTTGGTTTTTAAAAGTAATTTTAGTTTTAATACAGGATTGTACTGTACAACATGTCTTTTCTTGTTTTTTTTTTTGCTTTTTTTGAAACATCTTTTTTCAATTTGCTTTCTTTATATAGTACATACAACATTGTAACATAAAGTGTTGAGTCCCTAAATTTTTAAGAGCCCTGAAGTATTTTTCTTTAAATTCAAGAAATTTATGGAGAGTGTGAGTAATCATTGTACCTAGTGAAACATGATTACTGTATTGAAATGAAATGATTCTCAGAATTCTAGTGATATTGGATCAGGTGATAGCAGATACCCTGGAAATGACAACTACTTTGAGCTTTTTTCCATAAAGAATTTTTATCGAAAATGAGAATGCTTATGGATATAGTAAGCACTTAATAGACGACTGTGAGATACACAACTGTGATCTGTAGCATATAGTAACAAAATCTGTGTAAGGCCTGTGTTCCCAAGGCTTTGCTCTTAATGTTATGTTTAAAAGAGTTCACAAAAATATTATACTGATGTTATTAAAATCTTTGTTTTCTAAACCAAGATGTTGAAAATGTCATTATTACATATTTTTAATTGCAGCAGTGGAAGAAACAGGAGGAGATTCTTGGAAATATAGTTTGAGGGTAAGTATTAATTGCAAGAAAAATTGATAGGGGAAAGCTTAATCTTTCTAAAGCTCTTAGTAGAGAATGACACTCTATTAAAGATTCCAGACATTTGCTGGGCATGGTGGCTCACACTTTAATCCTAGCACTTTGGGAAGCCAAGGTGGGAGGATCGCTTGAGGCCAGAAATTCAAGACCGGCCTGGTAAACATAGTGAGACCCTGTCTCTGCAAAAAGTAAAAAAAGGAAAAAAAAATTAGACCAGAGTGGTGGCGCATACCTGTAGTCCCAACTCTTCAGGAATCTGAGGCAGGAGGATTGTTTGAGCCCAGGAGGTTGAGGCTGCCGTGTGCCATGATGATGCCACTGCGTTCTAGCCTGGATTACAAAGCAAAACCCGTCTCTTAAAAAAAAAAAAAAAAAAATTAAAGATTCCCAACATTAAGTCAGACAGATAAGAAACTGTTTATAAGAAACTAAGAACTATATTCATATTAAATTATGACGTTTAATCTGAGTTTTTTTTCTTTTTTCTTTTTCTTTTTTTTTTTTTTTGAGACAGAATCTCACTCTGTTGCCCAGGCTGGAGTGCACTGGTGCATCTCGGCTCACTGCAAGCTCCGCCCCCTGGGTTCATGCCATTCTCCTGCCTCAGCCTCCCGAGTAGCTGGGAATACAGGCGCCCGCCACCACGCCCAGCTAATTTTTTGTTTATTTAGTAGAGACGGGGTTTCATCTTGTTAGCCAGGTTGGTCTCGATCTCCTGACCTCGTGAGCCACCCGCCTCGGCCTCCCTAAGTGCTGGGATTACAGGCGTGAGCCACTGTGCCTGGCCTTTTCTTTTGTTTAACTTGGGGTCGGAAAACAAATTTTTTCTTCATCTTTTAGTACATTGCTTGGGAAATAATTGTCATTACACAAATAGAAAATGTTTGTCAAACTGAAAGCTGCCATTCTTAAGCTAGAATTTTTTCCTTCTATATATTTCATTAGTAAAGTTTCTTTTGGTATGTTATTTCTCTTACCACTTCATGTGATTCTCAGAGACTAGCCCATTGCTTTCAGTTATAGGATACTTTTACAACGCATTTATTAATATGACAAATGTTTTGCCGTTACCAGATGTGATGTTTGAGCTCTTCTTTTTAAGATTTGCACTTACATAATTTACATAATTAGCTATTTGTCTTCTAAAAATGTTATCTTTAATGTTTTTAGATTCATAAACATACAGTTGTTAACCAGAGAGATTACTGGTGATTTTAAAACTTTAAAAAATTTCATTCCTTTAATTTTTAAAAGTTTCTTTTATGGAGAAGTTTAAACATATTAAAAAATAGAATAATATAATGAGCCCTTCATGATAAGCTAGTTTATTAGTTATCAACTCATGGCTACTTTAGCTTCCTGTAAACATCTCCCAGTGTTGATGGTTATCTGAGATGACACATCCTCTGACCATATTTCAGTGTGTATATTTATAATGTTCCTTTTAAAACACCACACAATACCTTAAAAATTTAATTAAAAAATTTAAATATTGTGAACGATCTAGTGATTAAATTCCTTTTTAAAATTTAAATAAAAAATTATTTTAAAAAATTTTTTGTGGGTACATAGTAGGTGTACATATTTATGGGGTACATGAGATGTTTTGATACCAGCATGCAATGTGAAATGATTCAGTACTTTTAAGAACCAAACAAATCATTTTTTTAAATGTAGCTAATGCTAATTTCTGTTACCGCTTGTGTTTGTTAAGAGAAAGGCTACTTTATTTGGCAAATTGGAGTTCCTGTTTTTGCTTATTATATCATTGCTAAGAAAATACATAATAGCTACTCGGGAGGCTGAAGCAGGGGAATCGCTTGAACCTGGGAGGTGGAGGTTGCAGTGAGCCGAAATCACACCACTGCACTCCAGCCTGGTGACAGAGTGAGACTGTGTCTCAAAAAAAAAAGAATCTTGGGTAGTCAGCCATTTATAGTACTGAGCTATAAATGAGTGGCTACAGAATGCTTTTTAAATTTAAGGTATGATTAATTTAAAATGTACACTTTGCTTGCCATAGTTTTAAGTTTTTGAATGCGTAATGACAAATAATTGAAATGAAATCAACTTTCTTTTATTAATTATAATTCGATTTTGTTTTCCTTTGTGTTGGTTATAAAAAAATGGTAACCTTACTTTTTTTTTTTAACAAATCAAAAGTTGGAAACATTTTCAAAGTTTTAGAATTTTAAGATTAAGTATTTGCTTTATTAAAGAATTAGTCAATATAGTATGCAACTGTTTTGATGAGAAATTTGTATTTTTCCCTCTCCAGCCATGCACTGAAGTATTATTTATAGATATATTCCATGAATATAATCAGACTCTTACTCCTGTACTTCTAGAAATGATGCAAACACTTCAAGGTAAGGCATATTTTGTGATTAACTTTGAGTTAATCTCTTTAACGTTTAGTTAAGAAATAGTCTGAGTGCCTACAATGCATACTGTACTGTTTCCTGGGTCATATAATAAATATGAATTTGAGAAAAACAATTTTAAAACTTATTATCTTCCAAGGGGGTGGCATTTGAGATAGGCCTTGAATTATAGTTTGGACGATGATAAATTTTCCTGTAGTAAATACAATAGAAGCAAAAGCAAAACAGTAGTCATACTGCTTGCAGAAAGTCTATCTGGAGCGTGTTGTGAGAAATAGTGAGAAAAGGTTAAAATAGTGTTAGCCTCTCTTAGAATGGTGGCAGTGGGAATGGAAATAATTGATTATGGATTTGAGAGAAAATGATGATGTAAATTTTTGACACTTGGTCATTACACTTTGTACACAAGTAACTAATTATCTGCCTATTAACTAACATTGATTTATGATTTCTGTCTTTTCTGCTAGACTGTAAGTCCTAGGGGCATTGATCACGTCTGTTTTGTTTATATTTTATTCCCAGTGCTGGGCATATTCAGTAACTATTGTTACTTGATTGACTTTTAGCAACCGATTGAATGTGCTAGGCAAGGAAAAGTGATCAAAGATGATCCTAAACTTTTGAGCCTTAATGACAAGGAAACAGTTACCTCATTAGAAGTGGTAGGAGATAGAGATATACTTTCGGAGTGCATGTATGTAAGGAGCCTTGGGAAAAGAAAAGAGGATCTTAAGGACAGAACCTGAGATTTTCACCTATAGGGATATGAGTAAATAAAAGCCTTGTAAAAATGCCAGGTGTAGTGGTGTATCCTAGAGAAGAGCATGTTGTCAGAATGAGTGTTGGCCAGGCATGGTGACTCACGCCTGTAATTCCAGCACTTTGGGAGGCTGAGGTGGGCAGATCACTTGAGCCCAGGAGTCCCAGACCAGCCTGGACAACATGGCAAAAACCTGTCGCTACAAAAATTAGGAAAATTAGCTGGGCCTGGTGGTTAGTACCTGTAGTCCTAGCTATTCAGAAGGCTGAGGTTGGAGGATCATTTGAGCGCAGGAGGATGAGGCTGCAGTGAACTGAGAAAACCTCACTCCACTGTACTCCAGCCTGGGTGACAAAGCAAGACCTTGTCTCAAAAAAAATAATTTTGTGGTATATAGCACATTAGCATTTTGTGGTGTATATTTTCTAGAATATTGCTTGTCATAACATTTTTCAAATATGCTATAATGGTTTTTAATCCTGTGTTCTCTAATGATAATCATAAAACTTAGACTTTCCCTTTGTACTTGTGTCCATTTTTGACACCATGAAATGTGTTATACTTAATTGAATTGGGAAACTAACAAATTGTGTTTAAATATAAATTTTTTAAAAAACTAGTTTTATTTGCTTTTACTGATACCTATTTATATATATATTTTTTAGGACCCACAAATGTGGAAGATATGAATGCACTGTTAATCAAAGATGCTGGTATGTTAAACTTAAGTGATTTAGAAGCATTTATTTATTCAGTAGATGGAGAGTCTGTTTTGTGGTAGATTTTGTGCTGAGGGTGTTGAGATACAAGAGTAACTAAAATACAGGAACAATCTGATTGGGGAGATAACCAAGTAAACAGATAATGTATTATAATAATACTATACAGGATAGTTAATGCTAAAGTAGGTGATGATCACCAGATAGTTTGGTGTGTCTAAGGAAAGATTCCCAAAGAAGTGTAATGGAAGAACACAAGGATAAGTAGGAGTTACACGTGTGAGGAGGTGGTGATGGAAAGAGGGTGTTGCATTCCAGGGAGATGGAGCAATAAGTACAAAGACTTGAAGGAAAGAGGAGGAAGCACAGTTAGAATTTGAATTGTGACTATTTTGGTTTAACTGGAACATTGGGGTTAAAGGTTGAGTTGAGGCTGGAGAGAGTTAAGTAGGGACCAGATCATAAAATATTACATCCATTTTAGAAGCAGGCATTATTTTATAATTTTTATAGTTGGACTTAAATATTTTAGAATGAATTGAATTATCTGTTTGAAAGTAGTAAGGAATATTTAGGAAAAACATGAAGTAAAATAGTGTTTCTAAAATAAATTATTTCTTCTACTTAAATTATTTCTACTTAAATAATTTCCCTGATTAGCATATTGTGTGTTTCCTTTAATTAACATATGTTTCATACACTCATTTGCAGATCTGATATCTGAAACCTTTAATTTTTTTTCTTAAATTTTCTTCTCAGTGTATAATGCTGTTGGATTAGCTGCTTATGAGCTCTTTGACAGTGTTGATTTTGATCAGTGGTTTAAAAACCAGCTTCTTCCAGAATTACAAGTCATTCACAATAGGCAAGTATAAAATTTTATATTTATTATACACTTACTTTACCTTATTTATTTTATTAATGAAGACAGGAAGGCATTAAAATGGCTTACAATTTAAAAAATGCAATCGTATAAGTTAGGTAATGTCTTATGTGGAAAGGAATAAGAATTTTGACATCTAGGAAGTATTTGATATATCAGGTAGTTTGCAGGAGAAAAGGAGGACTTTATGCAAAGATGAGGGAGGATGGAGGTCTCTGAGTTCAAGAAACTATGCCTAAGAAAAAGACAGTTCGAAACTTAGCAGGATGTATGCCTAGTGTCAGAAGTAGCCTAATCAAAGTAACATCTGTGAAAGATGAATGTCTTGGGATCACATAATGCATACTGCAAGTCTCTGGGGAGACGGTAGAGTAGGATATAGAGACATCATGGCAAAAATATTTGAATACCCTTTCTAAGTTCTAATTGAGGTACCTAATTAAATAGTACAGATTCATATTACATTTAGTAATATGAATTATGAAATGAATTAATTTAGTACATTTAATAGCACATTTGCCCAATTCTATTTTTTTTGAAATAGTCTCATTTTGTCACCCAGCCTGGAGTGCAGTGGTGCAATCTCAGCTCACTGCAACCTCCACCTCCCAGGTCCAAGCGATTCTTGTGCCTCAGTCTCCTGAGTAGCAGGGATTACAGGCGCATGCCACCACACCTGGCCAGCCCAATTCTTACGTTTTATATACATTTAAGCACTTGTCTACTTAAATTTTAGGTATTGAATGCATAAAATGAAAGGAAAAACCTCTTTCATAGTTTATAAAATTATTTCTTAGTTTAAAATTGGAGAATTTGAAAAAATTCTAAGGGGCTTTTTTCTTAATTTGAAGGATACACTTCTACTGATTCACTTCAGTATACCTGGGGCCTATCAGAATACTTAGCATATAGTCATAGATAGTTAATATTTGTTGACTAAACTAATGAATGCATAGGTCACATTTAGAGCCACAGAATTTGTAGAGCTGGAGATACTCTAAAAGTAATTCTTAACAGTAAGTAGCTGTTTATCTCTTCAGTTATTCAATCATTTATTCAGTTAACATATATTTTTAACACTTGGAATTTGCCATGTCCTATAGGCGGTGTTAAATAAAATAGACTCTGACTTAGTCTCAGGGAGCTAGTGAGCCTTTGATGGAGAGAAAGCTTTCATTGGCGAAACAAATGTGCAGTTTAGTTGTCCTTAAACCCTAGAGGCTATTTAGTGTAAGACCTTCACTGTCCAGTGCAGAAGCTCCCTACGTGTAGCTATTGAGCACTTGAAATGTGCTTAGTGCAACTGAGGCAACAACTTTCCAATTTTAATTAATTTAAATTTAAAATTTAAAGCCATGTAAAATATTTATTGATTACATGTTGAAATGATATTTTGGATATATTGGGATATGTAAAAATATTAATAAGTTTTTTTTTTTTTTTTTGAGATGGAGTCTTGCTCTGTTGCCCAGGCTGTAGTGCAGTGGCGCGATCTCGACTCACTGCAAGCTCTGCCTCCCGGGTTCATGCCGTTCTCCTGCCTCAGCCTCCCCAGTAGCTGGGACTACAGGTGCCCGCCACCATGCCCGGCTAATTTTTTTGTATTTTTTTTTAGTAGAGACGAGGTTTCACTGTGTTAGCCAGGATGATCTCGATCTCCTGACCTCGTGATCTGCCCGCCTTGGCCTCCCAAAGAATAAGATTTTGTTTCTTTTCTCTTATAATGTGGGTACTAAAAAATTAAAATAACATATGTGGCCTGCATTATATTTCTAATGGACAAAGCTGATGTAGACCAGTGTTTCTCAAACTTTAATGTACATATGAGTCACCTGGTAATCTTGTTAAAGTTTAGGTTTTGACTTAGTAGGTCTGGGAAAAATCAAGCAATGCACACATTAAATAGCAAAGTGATCTATACTTTTACTTCTGTTTGGATGTGTCTATGAGTTTGGAATTTTACCTTTCTGAGTTTCATATTCTTTATCTGGAACAGAGTCTAATATGGTCTTAGTCCCAAAATTGATGGTTCTTTGGTGCTTTTACCTCACTCTACACAAGTTGTTACTTCTGCCTCTGTCACTTGGTTCAAACAGTTTCTGTCCCTTGAAATGACATTTTTCCACCCTTTGGCTCCAATATTGTTTATCTCAAAGACTTGCTCAGATTCCGTCTGTCTCTGCCCATTTCTTCTCTTCCTTTTCTAAAGTCCTAGTACACTACTTTGTGTTTTTAAATTCCTTTAGGTGTGTTATAAACTTCTTGGGGGCAGGGAATACTTACATACTTTTTTTTGTAACTTTATTTATGTTATTTAATTTTTGAGATGGGGTCTCACTTTGTCACCCAGGCTAGAGTGCAGTGCCATGATGTTGGCCCACTGCAATCTCTGCTTCCTGGGCTCAAGTGATCCTCCCACCTCTGCCTCCTGAGCAGCTGGGACCACGATGTGTGCCACCATGCCCAGCTATTTTTGTGTAGTTTTGGTAGGGTTTTATCATATTGGCCAGGCTGGTCTCAAACTCCTGAGCTCAAGCCATCTGCCCACCTCAGCCTCCCAAATGCTGGGATTACAGGTGTAAGCCACTGCACCCGGCCCAGTTTTTGCAACTTTAATGAGCAGTTTTTTCCTGTGTGCTTGATCATCTTTTAAAATTGCAATTTTTTGGGAAAAAAAAAAGTGTTTCATTTATACCCAGAAATATTTATCATCTTGCCACTAAAATTTACATAATATCAAAAAGGTACTTCATGAGTGAAATTCTTGGACACAAATGTTTTGAACTGCATGATTTTTCTCCTTACCTGAACTTTGATTTCTTTTAGCGAAGATGATGAGAGAAAGAAAGAAATGTATATATGTGCTACTGTAAATGTTTTGCCAGTGTTAATATATGTTATTTTGGTAATCTGAGTCACATTCTGTTATTGTGTACCTCTTACAAAATTAGCTTAGTTGAAATCACAAAATTTATATGAAAGTTTTATATAAGCCTAGAAGTTTCTTACATTGTTCTGAAAATAATCTTCATAGTATTAACAGAATTGGAGTAGAAAATTACATACAGGAGCTTCTTTATTATTATTTTTGGGGACCTTTCCAGTTTTAGAGTTTGGGGCATTGCCACTGTTTTTGGTTACTTGAGCTAAAACCAAATGGATTTGGTTTTTATGAAACATACCTACATTGCGGTTCTTTAAGATAAAAGAGTCAGGATTACAACATATATGCCTAGGAATTTTTAAGTACTAAAAGTTTTAATAATATTTATTTAGATCAAGACTTCATTGTTAATATTTTGTACTGTGGTACATTTAGAAGTAGGCTTTAAGCTTTTTTTTTTTTTTGACAGAGCCTTGATCTGTTGCCTAGGCTGGAGTGCAGTGGCACAATCTTGGCTTATTGCCAACCTCTGTCTCTTGGGTTTCAAGGGATTCTCATGCCTCAGACTTCCAAGAAGCTGGGACCACAGGTGCATGCCACCACGCCCTGCTAATTTTTGTATTTTTAGTAGAGATGGGGTTTCACCATGTTGCCCAGATTGGTCTTCAACTCCTGGCCTCAAGTGATTTGCCCTCCTTGGCATTCCAAAGTGCTGCGATTATAAGCATGAGCCAGCACACCTGCTTTTAAGCTTTTATATTAAAAATGCAGATTGCATTCTTACTACATTTTAGATTTAAATGATAAATTATACTAAAAGAAATAGACCTCTTAAAATATTTAACATTTTAATTTCATGATTTTTTCCTGTTTAGGTATAAGCCATTGCGACGCAGGGTGATTTGGCTCATCGGTCAGTGGATTTCTGTGAAATTCAAGTCTGACTTAAGACCCATGCTTTATGAAGCAATCTGTAACTTGCTTCAAGATCAAGATTTAGTGGTATGTTTCTTAAGTGCCTTAAAAGAGTTAGTTTTTAAAGTTTCATCTGTGCAAATCATCAAGTTCACAACAGTTTATGTCTTTTCTTTATGATGTTTATGGCCTTTCACTGCACTAGTTATTCCTTGGTGAGCAGTTTGATTTGAGGGTAGAAAATCTTTTGATTCTTGTTTGCCCTTCCCATTACTAGTCATTGAAAAAAAAATTAAGCTCTACTATTATAAAGTAATTTATAATTTCTTAGAAAAAAAGGCAGTTTTAAAAAATCCCTTTATAGCTTACATATTCTTTTTAAAAATCAGGATAGACTTTGGCATTGAAATAGCATCATAATTTATTTCATCTTTACTGTTGATTCTTTGTCCCTCATTTTGAGAATTTTTTTTAAGCCTTTGGAATTATTGGGCTCTTTTAAGGAATTTTTCTTTCTTTATGGTATTCATATATTATTGTTGATTTTGTTACTGAGAACTTGATAGTAAGCTCTTCATTGCTTTTTCCCCCTTCAAAGCAGTAGGTTTGCTGCTTTATTATAAAATTACTGAAATAGTAGTAGTAATTTTACAGGCGTATGATTTTAAGAAGTTTAAATTGTAAAGAATAGTTTTCTTTCTTTTTTCCTACTGGTGCTTTACTGTATGCCTGGGTGAATATATTAGTGACTTAATATACATGTTCGCTGTCTTTTCCTGATTTTCAATTTGTTTTAGGTAAAATTAAGTGATTTTTTTTTTCTCCCCTGAGTTGTGCTAAGATCTTTTTTAATCATTTCTCAGTCTCCCTCCCTTTACCCCCCCAAATTTTATTTTTAGTTTGAACCCACCTGGTTTTTGCCTGTCAGCAGAGGTTTGGACTGTACTTCCCTTTTTTACATATGCTGACATAAAGAAAGCTACATGTAGTGTTCACTAAAGGAAAGCTTAAATAGGTGAATTTGTTACAGAAACACAATACATTCCAAAGGCAAATAGAACTGATCTTTGGATTTTCTACCTAAGTATTATCTGCTTTGTGTAAATAATTTGAGAATTTAAGTACCATTCTGTAATTATTAAATACTATAAGCATGGGAAGTTACAAGAGAGCCTTGTGGTATTTTACTGGGTTTACATTCTTAGAAATTTATTAATATAACTTAGCTACTTCTAAAATTTCTATTTGCTAAAATTAATTTTCTTCTGTAATAACTTTAGAATAAAGCATAAGATTTAAATTTTTGCTTTCCTAGTTGGAAATATTTGCCCTTCTGTCAAAGAGAAGATATTAAATGATTTATGGATGTGTTACAAAAGGGTTAAATTTCAATTAAGTTTTCTTTGGGAAATAGAGAAATTGCTTGGAGTTTTTCTTTTTTCTGTTTTGTTTTGGGAGACTGAGTCTCTCTTTTTTGCCTCGGTTGCAGTGCAGTGATACTATCACGGCTCATTGTAGCCTCAATGTCCTGGGCTTAGCTGATCCTCCCACCTCAGCCTCCCAGGTATCTGGGACTATATGCACCACAACGCCTGGCTGATTTTTCTGTTTTTTGTAGAGATGGTATGTTGCCACATTGCCCAGGCTGGTCTTGAACACCTGGACTCAAACGATTCACCCACCTCAGCCTCCCAAAGTGTTGGGATTATAGGCGTGAGCCACTGCACTGGGCCCCGAAATTGCTTGGGTCTTAGACTTGTTTTATAATGAGTCTATTAAAAAAGGAAAGAGAAAAATGAATTATTTCAGCCAGCACCTTAAAAACAGAACATTAATTCTACCAGATATCAACAAGTGTAACTGGAGAGAAAGGGATTCATGGCCAGATAAGTTTGGAAGACTCTGAAATAAATATTCAAATGGGCCTCTTAGTTAGGCAACTGGTCAGAGTCTTTAAAAATGTGCATTTGTGGCATGCGTGGTGACTCACGCCTATAATCCCAGCACTTTGGGAGGCCAAGGTGGGCTGATCACGAGGTCAGGAGTTTGAGACCAGCCTGGCCAGCACGATGAAACCCCATCTCTACTAAAAATACAAAAATTAGCTGGGCATGGTGGCATGCGCCTGTAGTCCCAGTTACTTGGGAGGCCGAGGCAGGAGAATCGCTTGAACCTGGGAGGCAAAGGTTGCAGTGAGCCGAGATTGCCCCACTGCACTCCAGCCTGAGCGACAGAGAGACTGTGTCTCAAAAAAAAAAAGAAAAAAAAAAAGAAGTACGTTTGCATTATGACTAGCCCACATGACTAATACATTAATATTCATAGAATATACTTTGAGGAAATGTTGCTTTAGGTTCAGCCTTTGCCCTTTATATCTTCTGGTGGCTACATCTCACGTTTACTTGTTTTGCATATGTTTTATACTGTAACTATTATTTTGCAATAAATTGTTAAGAAGATTGTTCAGTAAGGCACCCAGTTAGTGGTTAGTGTTGTAAACCTTGGCCTTTTTAAAAAGTACATTTAAAATCAAGAATGTATAAGTCATACTGCTTTAATTTTCAGCCTTTGAGAAATGCTAGCTAATATAATGTGGGGAGATATCTTATACATGCATACCTATACACAATAGTGTACAACCATATAGAGACATGTATGTATATATATGCAAACATGCATTTATATATATAAACATATACACAAACACACATTGTGTATGTATGTGTATACATATGTGTCACACAATTAAGTCAAATTGCTACACTGAGGAAAACTTAACAATATTTCAAATAAACCAAAAAATATGTCACTCTGCATTATATTTCCCTAGATCAGACAGTAATTTTATATTGTCACACGGCTATCAGAGGTAAGAGACATTCTCTGCCCAGCGGCCTCTGATGTTATAAAATTTGTGAAGTCCTATACTAACTGGAGAAGTTGTTTCCTCCAGTTGCTGCACTGCTTCTGCTGTGTCACAAGTATGTAGATCCTGATGAATCGAATTCCTCTCTGGCTTTCAGAATCTGCATTCTCTTTCCTAAGGGCTGCTGTTAAGGAATCGGGATACATTTGATACTGATTAACTACCGTTGTCCATGTGCTATTCTTTTGTTATTAGAAGGAGACTGGCTGTGACGGAGTAGAAGTAGCTGTCAATTTTTTTTTCTTTTTTTGGCTGCTCCGTAGAAAGAGCAGGGCTACCCCATAGGCAAGAATTTTGTCAATAAAAAATTCAGCAGCTAACAGAAGAAGCACTTGTGTGCTCATCACTCAGTTACCCATATTTTCATTTGTAATATTTTCCACATATATTTCAAATATTTTATTTAAGAAATGAAATATTACAAATGCAGTTGAATTCCTCTTTCTCTTTCCAGTCTCATTCTATTGTCTTTGTTAAGCAGAGGTTTTACATTTTAATAGATTTATTGATTACTTTTTTTTTGAGACAAGGTCTCACTTTGTTGCCCAGGCTAGACTGCTATGGTGAGGTCACGACTCACTGCAGCCTCAACACCCGAGGGCTCAGGCAATTGTCCCACATCAGCCTCTCGAGTTGCTAGGACTATAGGAGTGTACCACTATGCCTGGCTAATTTTTTGATTTTTTGTATAGACGAGGTCTCACTGTGTTGGCCAGGCTGGTCTAGAACTCTGGGCTCAAGCTGTCTTCCCACCTTGGCCTCCCAAAGTGTTAGGATTATAGGCATTGGCCCCTCGGCCTGGAAAGAAATCCTTTTTCTTCACTCTTGGTTTTTTATTCTGCCTCGAATTTATTTTTGAGTGTGATGTAAGTAAGGTTCTATCTTTCTTTTTTAAAAAATAAGGATGGCAATACTACAGTGATTCACTGAATAATACGTAGTTTTCTTTGTGGTCCATACGGCTGTCTCTGTCATATCCCATGTTTACATGTGGACCTGTTTCTGGAATTTGTGCCGTTTCACTGGCCTACTTGTGTATCTCTACTTGAATATTGTTTTTTTTTTTTGTTGTTGTTGTTGTTTCTTAAACAACAGCTTTATAGTAAGCCTTCACACCTGGTAGGAAATGCATTCTTATAGCTTTCAATACCCACAAATTTTTCATAGTTTATGGAAGATTAAATACTGTTTTCATTAGCCATTTTTTTTTTGCATGTGGTCCAGTGTTTGTACTTACTGTTAATTGACCACCTTTTTAAACTTATTGTTAACAGACTACCTCTTTTGGAGCATATCGGTAGTTCCTTGTGCCATAATTTGAGAACTACTGACCTGGATTCTATACAATAGACCAAAACACCTTCTAAAAAGTATCTTTTACATTCTCCCTTCCTTTCCCCTTTATAATATATTAGTTAGTAGATAGAGTGCTTATGACAACTTCTAGGTTTTAGAACATTATTTCTACACTGTAAACTAGAATTGCTAAACTGTAGTTTAGAGGAACCTTCTTTTCCCAGGACTACAGATGATTCTTTAACCAGAATCTTTGTTTATAAACTGGGCTTCTTTAGGCTGTAGGGTTTCTGAACTAATTATATCTTTAAGTTTCAGAAATTCAAAGGAAGTTTTTAGGACGTCTTGGCTGGGCACGGTGGCTCACGCCTGTAATCCCAGCACTTTGAGAGGCCAAAGTGGGTGGATCACCTGAGCCTGGCCAACATGGGGAAACCCCATCTCCACTAAAGATACAAAAATTAGCTGGGCATGGTGGCGGGCACCTGTAGTCCCAGCTACTCAGGAGGTTGAGGCAGGAGAATTGCTTGAATCTGGCAGGTGGAGGTTGCAGTGAGCCGAGATCAAACCACCATACTCCAGCCTGAGCAACAGAGCAAGATTTCATCTTAAAAGAAAAAAGAAATTTTTAGAAAGTTTTACTTAGATTATTTAACCTTCAGTAAAACAAGCAGTAAATTACTAGAAATTCAGCATTAGTATAATCTTTCACTTTTGTGAAAGCCTATGTAAGATATAAACTGTGGTATAATCAGAAAGCGTGTAGTTTGAGGGTGTGGTGTGGTTGCTTGTGAAGCAAAGAAATGGCCGTCTTCATGGGCACGTTGACTACCAACCAGCATAGACATATAGTCATGTGCTGTTTCATGACGGGTATATTCCGAGAAATGCGTCCTTAGGCGATTTCCTCATTGTGGGGACATCATAGAGTGTGCTTTTACACAATCTGAGATAGTAGAGGCTATCTCGGCTGTGGGTACAAACCAGTGTAGCATGTTACTGTACTAAATACTTTAGGCAGTTGTAACATGATGGTAAGTATTTGTGTGTCTAAACAGAAAAGGTACAGTAAGAATATAATATAAAAGATAAAAAACGTTACACCTCTATAGGGCGCTTAACTTGAATAGCGCTTGCAGGCTTGGATGTTGCTCTGGGTGAGGCAGTCAATGAGTGATTAGTGAATGTGAAAGCCTAGAAAATCACTGTATACCACTGTAGACTTCATAATCATTGTACACTTAGGCTACACTAAATATATTGGGAAATATTCTTTCTTCAACAATAAATTAACCACATCTTACTCTAACTTTTTTTTTTTTTTTTTTTTTTTTGAGACGGAGTCTCGCTTTGTCGCCCAGGCTGGAGTGCAGAGGCGCAATCTCGGCTCACTGCAAGCTCTGCCTCCTGTAACTTCTTTAGTTTAAAAATTTTTTAAAGTTCTTGACTCCTTTGTAATAGCACTTAGCTTAAAATACACATACATTGTATATTTGTGCAAAAATATTTTCTTTTGTTATATCCTTATTCTGTAAGCTTTTTTTATTTTACAGTTTTTTCCACTTCTAGTAATTTTTCTTAAAATCTAAATCAAAGACACAAACACATTAGCCTAGGCCTACGCAGGGTTAGGATCATCAATATCATTGTCTTGCACCTCCACATCTTGTCCCACTAGAAGGTCTTCTGGGGCGTTAACACACATGCAGCTGTCATCTCCTATGATAACAATGCCTTCTTCTGAGCTGGGTGTGGTAGCTCACGCCTATAATCCAAGCACTTTGGAAGGCCAAGGCGGGCAAATTGCTTGAGCCCAGGAATTCAATACCAGTTTGGGCAACATGATGAAACCCTGTCTCCACAAAAAATACAAAAATTAGCCAGACATGGTGGCATGTGCCTATAGTCCCAGCTACTCGGGAGGCTGAGGTGGGATTGCTTGAGCCTAAGAGGTCAAGGCTGCTGTGAGCCATGATCATGCCACTGCAGTTCCAGCCTGGGTGACAGAGTGAGACTCTTTCAAAAAAAGAAACAACAACAAAAAATGCCTTCTCCTGTCATACCTACTGAAGGACCTGCCTGAGGCAGTTTTACAGTTAACTTTTTTTTTAATTGGTAGAGGAGTATATTCTAAAGTAACAATAAAGAAGTATAGTGTAGCATATACATAAGCCAGTAACGTAGTTGCTTATTTTCATTATTAAGTATTATATACTACTGAACATAATTGTATGTACTATACTTTTGTTTTATAAAGAGACAGGGTCTTGCTGTGTCACCCAGGCTGGAGTACAGTGGCGTGATCATAGCTTACTGCAGCCTTGAATTCCTGGGCTCAAGTTATCCTCCCACCTCAACTTCCCAATTACCTGGGATTACAAGTGCATGTTACCAGGCCTTCCTAATTCTTTGATTTTTTTGTAGAGTGGGATCTCTCTATGTTGCCCAGGCTGCTCTCAAACTTTGAGCCTCAAGCAATTCTCCCTTTGTGGCCTCCCAAAGTACTGGGATTATAGGTGTGAGCAACTGCACCAGGCCATGTCTGTGCTGTACTTTTATACTACTGGCTGTGCAGTAGATTTCTTTACACCAGCATCACCGCAAATGCATAGGTAATGTGATGTGTTTTGACAGCCATGACATCACTATGTGATGGGAATTTTCAACTCAGTTATAATCTTATGAGACTACGTTTGTAAATGTGATCTGTTGTTGACTAATACATTATTATGTGATGCATAATTGTATTGAATTTTCTAAAATGGAAAGTTACTAGGTGGAGTTTAATGAAGTACTTTCAGTGGTATGGAGAAGACTGTAGCATAGCCTGTATTTACTGTGGGAAGTACAGCTGGGATCTGGGCAGAGGTATTACAGGTGCTTTGAAACTCTTCTGTCTTTCCACTCTTGTGCGTTTTATGGGTCTTTCAGTTTTGTCAATTTTTCTTTTGTACACTCTCTAATTTTTTTTTCTATTTACCTATCCTTTGTATCTCAAAAACACTGCTACAGATCTTGATCTCTCAACTAGTCTGTGTTTTGAACGATCCCAGAATGAATTCTGAATTCAATTATACTCATCAAATATAAATTCTGAAGGAAATATAAAATAATCTGTGTTTGAGACATCAAAATATTAGACCTATCTAAAACCAAGAAGAAAGGAAACCTTAGTCTACTAAGTTTCCTACAGTCAGTTTTGAGTTTATAATTGATATGTCTATTAATTATACATGAAAATGACCTTGAGAATTTTTTTCTTGAAAGGAGATGAATTTATTTATTTATTTTTATTTTATCTCTGGTCCTTGATTCAGGAGGAGATGAATACATCAAAGATGCTTTCTATCCTTTTAGGAAACTTATTCATATAACATTTCAGAAGGATGATACCAGATTGTATAATTCAGTGTACTAATGTATAGGATAATGTCATTTATGTTAGTATTTCTTATGCCTAGCGTGGAGTCAAGTCTTAGAAAATGCTTATTGAAAGAATTAGGAATAGGGATAGGAAAGAACCCAAGAATGAGGATGGCTTTTTAAATAATTGAATTATGAAATCATAATTTTATTTCTCCTTAGCATATTATTATTTTGTGTCTGCCTTATTTACATTTTCCTGGTGGTCTTAAGTCCCTGAGATACTGCCATTTCTTTCTGGCCCCAACACCATGCTCACTGTTTTAGTCTGTGGACTGCCTTCACTGCTATGGGCAAGATGTAAAAGTGGTCAGGCATTAGGCTAGTCCAAATCCACCTAAGTGTCTTGATAAGATGCATTCGTTGTGACATCTGCACAGAAGTTTCTGGCTCTGCTTACCTTTGTAGCAGTATTTGGAAGTACTGTTGACCTGCATTTTCTTCTCATTCATTTCCCTGTTTCTCTCATGCTTTGGGGGATCTGTCCAATGTTTCTTATGTCTTGACGGCACTTACTCTCCCAATTTGGAATTGCCTGTTATCTTTTCCTGAATTTTCTGAGGTTTCAGCTGGGGTAGGGTAGACAGACTCACAGTAGAAATGTGTTAGACTTTTCTACCAGTCTTCTAGCACACTCCACAAGTCTTCATTCTATAAACTCAAGTTTTGATGTTGTCCCCCCATTGCTTGAGTTGCTGCCAAATTCATTCCATTTCTTTGTGGTAAGTACCTCTTATTTCTTTTAAAGCTCAGGAAGAGCCGACTGTTTTTCTTATGTTTATTTGTCATCATTTAAAATGCTCTTTAACTTTCCTTAAAAGTCTGTGTTTTTTTATTTTCCCTTGTGATCTGGCTTTCTGTTCTTGCAGTCAAACTGGAATGCAGGCAGTTCATCTTAATTCATTTCACCTTTTTCTCTGCACATACTACTACACTGACTTCCCCTTTTTAGGAAGGAAAACATTGTTTTATTCAGGTGTCTTGTTTCATTTACTTATTTGCATAAATGTTATGGCTCGGGGTTGAGTGCATCTCTAGAATAAATGGTCCTTTCGTGGAGGAAAGTCGAGAGAATTAAGGGTTAGTGTGCTGGCAGTTTGATTTCTTTTCTTTTCTTTTCCTTTCCTTTCCTTTTTCCTTTTTTCCTTTTTCCTTTTTCCGAGTTGGAGTCTTGCTCTGTTGCCCAGGCTGGAGTGCAGTGGCACAATCAGCTTACTGCAACCCTCGCCTCCCAGGTTCAAGCGATCCTGGTGCCCCAGTCTCCTGAGTAGCTGAGATTATAGGTGCACGCCACTATGCCCAGCTAATTTTTGTATTTTTTTAGTAGAGATGGGGTTTCACCATGTTGGCCAGTCTGGTCTCGAACTCCTGGCCTCAAGTGATCCGCCTGCCTCCGCCTCCCAAAGTGCTGGGATTATAGGCATGAGCCACTGTGCCTAGCCTTGATTTCTTGTTTCTTTTTGAGGGGCTTTCATGTCTTGGTCTCTGTGAATTGTTAATATTGTACTTGTATATTCACTCAGTACTAAATGCTGGGAACTTAAAGATGTTTATGTGTAGTCCATGTCCTCAAGGGGATTGTCCTGTGCTTAATGTTTTCAAGTTAGCCATTTTTATCAGTATCTATTAATATATTAATAGTATCTACTAATATATTAATAGTATCTATTAATATATTAATAGTATCTACTAATATATTAATAGTATCTATTAATATATTAATAGTATCTATTAATATATTAATAGTATCTATTAATAGATTCTATTAATAGTTTAATATCTATTCCTCTCCTCCCCAGATTGTAAGATCTGTATGGGCATGGCTTACTCAGCTTTTTCTACAGCAGCTAACACAGTGCCGATGATAGTTCCTCATTGAATAGTTTTTGATGCAGTACCTGACCATACTGTCTTTTCGTGAGGTCATTTTGTGGCAGATCAAGTGGCAGCAAATTTGTTAAATCTGTTAAAAATCTGGAAATGTTCACATTGCCTTTAGAGACAGTGAATAAAAGGAAAAAGCAGGTGAAAAAACATCTGCACTGTAGGCTCTTAGAATCTGCGGATTTGGCAGTAGAGTATTTAACATTTGGTGAAGGTGGCTAATTGCATCTCAAGACCTCAGAAGCTCCTGTAAAATGTTTTAAACGCTTACTTTTTGAAAAATGACTGGAAAGAAAATAACAGTTGCTATAGTGTAACATCTAAGAAAGTAATGGTTCTCAGCTGGGAAATAAAAGTTTTAGATATATTATCTCACAGATTGAAATATAGAATTTAGTCATGTCTTGAGCTCATGTTACTTTATGTGGAAACTATGAATATCTTAGCCCATGCCAATTTTAGCCGATTAAGTCTGCGATAACACTTGAAAGAGAATGAGATTATGTTGTAATATGATTTGCCCAGGTAACATGCTGGTACACATGGAAAATATGATTTAGGAGGTCAGGAGCATATGTAAACCTTTCTGTATTTGTGAACTGTGGGATTTAGCAAATCTCAAAATATTTTGGGGATATTTCAAAGATTTACTGTAATTGAGGTTACAGGTGGAAATTTGCTTGTGTTCTTTCTCCTCCCCACCTCCTTCCTTCCTTGTCTCCTTTTGCACCTTTGACTTACACATCCTCCAATTTGTCCAACCCCACCCTGGTTTCCTGCTTCCTTCTTCCTCAATCCCATGCTCTCCACATACTTTACTGCAAATTATTTTCCTTCCTGGAAGGACCCACTGGATTAAAGGCTTATTAAGTAAATTATGGGAAACTGAAAAGAATAGGAATAAATGCTACTTTACCTTTTCTTTTTATTCCTTGCTTTGGATAAGGAGAGTATCCCTTTATTTCTGAATATTTACATGGTCTGTGACTCTAATAATAATAAGAGTACAGAAAGTGATTTGGAATAAAATTTTTTGTTTGATATTAATGATGTTTAGTCATTCTAAAATAATTAAAAACTAATGATATACTTTCTTTTAGGTCCGTATTGAAACAGCTACAACTTTGAAGTTAAATATCCTTCTGAAAATTTAAAAATACTTCATTGCAAAGAACTTTAACACTTTTAATTATTATTTATTTTGTGAAATTAATTTATGTATACTTGTTTTAGATACAGATTTATTTTGATAAAACTTATATATTCTCAGTATTCCTTAACTGTTCTTCACCTGTTGATGATTTTGAATTTAGAACAGATCAGTTTCTACCGGTAAGAATATACATTTCCAGGTATTTTTTTTAAAAAACAATTTCTGCTTATGTCTTTGAATACTATTTTATACATGAAA
This sequence comes from Homo sapiens, assembly GCF_000001405.40. Lineage (NCBI taxonomy): Eukaryota > Metazoa > Chordata > Mammalia > Primates > Hominidae > Homo > Homo sapiens. Next base: position 62,504,978 of record NC_000005.10, read on the forward strand.
TTATCTATGTGTTACTTATTAAAGTTGAATTTAAAAGTATGCTGTATTGGATTATTTTGGAGGACATAATTTTTATTTGTAAACTGTTTTGGTAACTTTTATTGCTAACAGTTCACTTATATTCTGCTTACTTTTGTTTAGCAATTTTGTCATCTGTGTTGAAGTTGGTTGTCAAACTTTTTTTTTCAAAATTGAAAAACATCTAGTATCTTCATTTTATGTGTGTCTGTTACTTTTTTGCTCCTTAGGTTATTTCTCTGTGTTATTTGCATTTGTATATCTTTATCCTGTCCTACACACTAGACTGTAAATTACTTGACGAGCAGAATACCAAGTTCTACTCATCTTTTTACTCTTTACTCAACCCCCAGCACCTAACATGGTGTTTTGCCATAACTGGTACTCAGTAAGCACTTGTTAAACATATCAGTAACATTGGGGTGTTAATATTTGTTCTTAAGAGGACTGGGTGAGAAGAAAGTTACGTGATAAAATGTACTTCTTTTGGTGAGGGAGATAGATAGGGAAGCTTGTAAAGCAGTGATCTTGCTTTAATAAAATAATCACTAGACATTTTTGGATGAAAGAAATGTGTTGTAGAAGTGTGTGCTAAAATGAACCCTATATCTGAAAGAACAAATTCTTGCTTTATGTAAGTGTGATTTGTTAAGTTTCTAACGTAATTTTCATAATATAAGAGTTCACAGCCAGACATAGGGTATTTGTTTTTGATTTCCTAATAAGAACTATTCTGCCATTTTTAGAATAACAAATTATATCTATAAAAATATATATTTCCATGCAATATATATTAAGGGTTACATCAGATAGCTAGTATGTGAGTGCAATAATTAACGTCTTTTTGCCGTAATGAGTAGGTCTTGCAAAACAAAACATTTCGTGATTGGCACCAGGCATATATGGAAGAACAGTGACAAGGCACTGTTAACAGTTTAGTTAACAGTATAAAATTTAAACAGACATAGCGTAGACAATATTCCTCTAAACATTATTCAGTTTGTAGATGAGTTAAATTCTGAAATGGACACATTCAGCAGCAATGAAGAAAGAAAACACTTTGTAAAACAATATGTACCGGCAGCTTGAACGATTTCAGGTTGTTTAGGTAATGCCAAGCTTTTGGCTGTTTATTTGACTTACTGCTTTGACATTATGATTTATTTCTTACTTCTGTTCGTATGAATGTAGAGGTCTTTCATTTCTATTATAAACCTTTTTTATTTTCTTTCTTTTTACCTGCAGTATTTGGAAACCATGTTCACACTACTTTTTCAGTTACTGCAGCAAGTTACAGAATGTGACACAAAGATGCATGTTTTGCATGTCCTTTCTTGTGTGATCGAAAGAGTCAACATGCAGGTAATTATATTGTAAAACATGAAAATAAATGAGGGGTGGGTAGAATAGACGTAGAATTCATTAATATCCTTGACTACATTGTTTAAGAGTTAAAACATTAATTGAAATGCTTCTAACTTATAGATTGTGGTTTCAGTTATGTATTATTCAAAATTGACATATTCGATTTTCTAAAAATGAGAAAATTAAAATACTAAAAAAAAAATTGGATCAACAGTGTAGAGGTGTTCATAGAGCAGAATTTTACATATTTTAGAAGATCCAGCCGATGTAAAATTGAGTGTGTTTGAGGGCATAGCCACAAGTGTCCATCAGCAAGACTTCTGGGAAAGTCTGTTATTTTTACCTGAAAAATTAAGTATTTTTTGCAGTCTGGTCTGCATTATATTTACATTTGGCTTAACATAAAAATGAGGTATAAAGCTCTTAACAGTTCAGTTATTCAGCTTCCCCTGTCACTCTGAATCTTTGTGGAAAATTGTTAATCCGGAAAACCACACTGTAATTATCGTTGTGACTTCCTATATTCTAGTTCACCATTGCATATCCTTGTTTGGAAAGCACTGAAGCAAATCTGTGATTTGCATTGTATTAGGAAAGATAATTGATTTGGATTTCACAGACTTAGAGTTTACCCTTGGATCTGCTGTTAGTGAATTGTGACACCTTGAGCAGATTTATTAATTCTAAAGCAGTTGATGAGAATAGCTATTAATTATTGACTAATGACAACATACTGACATATGTGCTACATGCTTTGCATATATTTCTCATTTAGTTCTCACAAAAAACTTGAGGTAGAGGAGTTAGAATTTATTGTCTCAAACAATTTGAGACTTGAAGGAACTTTTCAAAGTTCACGTATTTTAATGGCACTGCCAGTACTTTAAGCATAATGCGACTCCCGTGGTAGGGTTGAGTCACTGTTAATCATTTGAAACAGATCTGGGTACTGGTGTCTAAAAGTAGTAATATCTGTGTGATTCTTAGTACTTGGTGTTCTTAATACATTAATCACATTAATTCATTTGATGGTGTTTTTTTCAACAACATTGAGAGAATTTGGTCACACAGAGTTCATTGCAACTGTTTTAAGAACTCATTTTAAGTCCTTGCCTCTGCTATTTAGTTTGGGCAAAGTCTTTAACCTTGTGTCCTCATGTATAAAATGGTAAAGATAATTCTGAACTCACCTAACTTAGGATTTCATGAGCATAAAATTATTTCACATCTCCAAAATGCTTCAGGGTACTATAAAGTTGCAATAAATGGTTTAAAAAGTTGATTATAAAAACAAGATTTGGCTATTTTCTGTAATTTTATTTAGAAATATATGGCAGATGGAAATTTCTTAGATAAAACTTTTTTTTAAATAGAAATGGGTCTTCTTATCTTTGTCTCCCCAAACTTGGAATTAAAACTTTTTCTGTAAAGTTTGTTATTTTTTTGGCTTAGTAAATTTAAAAATGCTTATGTGTTTCTGTCTACACTCATCTTTCGGAGCACAAATAGCCTAAGCAGCTTACATGCCTATATCATCAGAAAGTAACAATAAGGTATAGTTATTCAATATAGTTTTTGTTTTTGAAAACTCAAACTAAATAGGAAATGGTTAAAAAAATATTTTCAGTTGTCTGATTCTTTTTTTTTCTACCTTAACCTCTGATCAACCCTATCATTTTTATCATTGTTGCATATATCCCTTAACTCTCTTTAATATGCCAAATTTGACGTTTGTCCATGAGGCAGCAAACTTTTAAAAAATGTTAACAAATTTTATCTTTTTTGAGATGAAGTCTTGCTCTCCCCCCCGGGCTGGAGTGCAGTGGCGCATCTCAGCTGACTGTACCCTCTTCTCCAATCTCCTGGGTTCAAGTGATTCTTGTCCTCAGCCTCCTGAGTAGTAGCTTGGATTACAGGTGTGCCACCATGCCTGGCTAATTTTTTTTTTTTTTTTTTTTTGTATTTTTAGTAGAGATGTGGTTTCGCCATTTTGGCTGGGCTGGTCTCAAACTCCTGGGCTCAAGGGATCCACCCGCCTTGGCCTTCCAAAGTGCTGGGATTACAGATGAGAACCACCGCAGCTGGCCAGAATTATCTTTTTGATATTAGGCAGCAAACATTTTGAGCCATCTTACAATAGTGCTTTCTTCTTCTTCTTCTTTCTTCCTTTGTCTTCCTTCTTCCTTCTTTCTTTCTTCTTTCTTCTTCTTTCTTCCTCCCTTCCTCCTTTCCTCCCTTTCTCCCTCCCTCCCTCCCTCCGTCTCTCTCTCTTTCTTTCTTTCACAAAGTGCAGGTTTGTTACGTAGGTATACATGTGCCATGTTGTTTTGCTGCACCCATCATGTTGACAGTTACATTAGGTATTTCTCCTAATGCTATCCCTCCCCCAGCCCCGCACCACTCGCCCCCAACAGGCCCCGGTGTGAGATGTTCCCCGCCCTGTGTCCATGTGTTCTCATTGTTCAACTCCCACCTATGAGTGAGAACATGCGGTGTTTGGTTTTCTGTCCTTGTGGTAGTTTGCTGAGAATGATGGTAATGATAGACTGGATTAAGAAAATGTGGCACATATACACCGTGGAATACTATGCAGCCATAAAGAAGGATGAGTTCATGTCCTTTGCAGGGACATGGATGAAGCTGGATACAATAGTGCTTTCTGACACATACAGTTTAATGTTGAAGTTTCAGTAAAGTCACCATCTTTGTACCATACTGTACAATTATTTGAATATTGTCTTTACTTTTTGATAAAGTAGTTGAAAACCTACAGTTAACTTTTCTAGTGCAGAGATCTTATAAATATATAGTCAAAATAAATATGTAATCATCAGGCGTGGTATCAGGTGGTCTTTGGGCCTGTGCATTTCTGAAGTGAAAGAACAAAATTAAAGGGACTCTGTGAAATATAAAATACTCTGTTGAAAATTTTATCTAAAAGATGAGGTGTCCTTAGGAACTTAGAGTAATTTTTTTAACCCCAATGATAGAGCCCTCATTAAAACATTTGTTAGATTGTCACCTATTTGATTTTCATGTTTTCAGTGATATGAATTTAAGTGGAGCTTTCCCTATATATGAGTTAACTCATAAGACTATAATACTCAAAGTGCTTCCCCCACACCTCAAATTCTTTGGTAAGAACACTTAACATGAGATCCATCCTCTTAACAAAATTATAAGAGTAGAATACATTATTGTTGACTTTTGCTACAACATTCTATAGCAGAACCCTAAAGCTTATTCATCTTGTTTACCTGAAACTTTATGCCTGTTGATTAGTAACTTATTTCCCCTTCCCCTTAGTCCCTGGCAACCACTGTTCCACTCTTTGATTCTATGAATTAGACTATTTTAGATACCTCATATAAGTAGAATTGGTGTATATATGCAATTGTGTGTGTAATACCACATGTTCTTTATCCATTCATCTGTTGATGGATATTTAGGCTGCTTCCACATGTTGGCTATTGTGAATAGTGCTACAGTAAACATGGTAGTGCTAATAATTTCTTTGGGATCCTGATTTCAGTTCTTTTGAATAGATGCCCAGAAATGGGATTGCTGGATGATAACGATAGTTCTGGTTTTCATTTTTTTTGGAAGCTCAATGCTACTTTCCATAGTGGCTGTAACATTTTACATTCCTAGCAACAGTGTACAAAGATACCAGTTTCTCCACACCATTGCCAACACTTGTCTTATCTTTTATTTTTGTTTTGTAATAGCCACCCTGACAGGCATGAGGTGATATCTCATTGTGGTTTTTGACTTGCATTTCCCTAATGACTGCAAAAACTTTCTTAGTTCTATGTGATTTTTAAAATGTTATGCCAATAATTGAAATTGTCCTTCCCTTAAAACCTTTGTATTATAATCTTATTCAGAATTTTATATGGACAGTATTTTTTCTTTCACCTCTTTTCATTGAAAAATCTCAAACCTCCAAAAAGTTATAAAATAGATCAACACTTATATATCCTTCACTTCATTAGTAAGTTTCATCACTTACTAATATTTTACCACATTTGCTTTCTTTTTATCTATCCACATATACAGATTGTTATTGTAAAACTATTTGAGTTTTAGTTGCAGACATCATGATACTCTCCAGAATATTAGACCTCTCCTTCTTAAGAGATGTATGCTCCATTTCCTACATTATCATAACCGTGATTAGACTCAGGAAGCTTAACACTGATACAATACTATTATCTAATATCAAGTCAGTATTCAGATTTCCTTAGTTGCCCCATATAGCTAGCCTCCCACCCCACTGGAATATGTTTGGCTCTCATGTCCCTGCTTTGTTATTTTTAATGCCCAGTTTTTTTCTCCTTCCTTTTATATCTTTCACAGCAGTCGGTGATTGATTTTTTTGTTTTTGTTTTTTGAGATGGAGTCTTGCTTTGTCACCCAAGCTAGAGTGCAATGGGGCTCTCTTGGCTTACTGCAGCCTACACCTCCCAGATTCAAGTGATTCTCCTGCCTCAGCAGGAGTAGCTGGGATTACGGGTGCACGCCACCATGCCTGGCTAATTTTTGTATTTTTAGTAGAGACGGGGTTTCACCATGTTGGCCAGGCTGGTTTTGAACTCCTGACCTTCAAGCGATCTGCCCTCCTTGGCCTCGCAAAGTGCTGGGATTACAGGCGTGAACCACTGCGCCTGGCCTCTATGATTGATTTTTGAAATACTATTTTTATAGCATTAATTTTAATTTAGAACATTGTATATTCTAATGACAGCCAAGATTGGAATATAAATATTTTATGGCTTTTAAATGTAACTGGGTACTTTGGTTTTATTACCCTATTTGTAATTTATAGTGTATATTTCTTTTCTGCAATTTCTAGGAAAGTATCCTCCCTCTTTAAAACTAAAACTACCTCATTTTCCTTACCAGTAGATTGTGTTGTCATATGCTTATTTTTAGTTGAGTATGAATGAGTTAGATACTTTGTAATCTGTTTTTACTTATTAATTGGCCTGCTTTTATGAGCTAACTGGAGTGATCTTTGAGATAGAACACTTAGCAATATTGAGTACATGTTCCAGAAATAATATTATAATCAAATTTTGAAAATAAGGTATTACATGATAAATATGTTAAAATAAGGTAACACATCTCTTAATATTTATTCACTTATATCTTACTGAGATATTTGTGCAAATATTTAACTTCTTATTTTTCTGCATTCCCCACTAACACTTCACCACAGGAGAGGGGAGCAAATTCTGTAGTTGTTTGGCTACCCTTTTAGAGTATTTTACTAGCAGAATGAAGAAACTCACCCTTTCTGGGAACATTTTAAATTTTAATCCAGATATTCAAGTAGATAGTAGTGAAGCTATGAAGGTCTAGTGTTATTTCATCCCCAAGGATATTCTTTTATTTTTATTTTTTTTTTTAGATTATAAAAACTTCCTCTTTAATCAAGGCTTTTAACATGAACAGATTTCTTGAATAAAATGGAAAGTTTCCAGTACACTGAAACATAAATCCACAAGTCACCATACATACAACACCCGGCAGGAAAAAACAAAAACAGCAAGTTTACATGATCCCTGTAACAGCCATGGTCTCAAACTCAGATGCTTCCTCCATCTGCCAAGTGTGTTCTGGATACAGAGCACATCGTGGCTTCTGGGGTCACACTCAGCTTAGGCTGTGGGTCCACAGAGCACTCATCTGGCTGGGCTATGGTGGAGGTGGCTCTACTCAAGAAGCAAAGCAGTTACCAGCACATTCAAACAGTGTATTGAACATCTTTTAAATATCAAAGTGAGAAACAAGAAGGCAACATAATAATGTTATCAGAAAGATGTTAGGAAGTAAGGACAGCTGTGTAAAGCTTGAGGCTGAAAAGTAGCTTGCCAGCTTCATTTCTTTGGTTTCTTGGGTAGTGGGCGCCGGAACAGCAAGATGTGAGGTTCTGGTTCATGGATCATATAATGGACCCATCCCTGACTCTGCTGAACGCCAAGATTCCTCCATTCAGATTCAGACATCAGATGGGTTTTAGGGACCAGCTTGGCTATGTCCTTGGGCAGCATGACATGTCGATACTCAAACTCCTCGTCATCGTATTTGTCCGAATAGTAAATTTGTTTGTGCGACATAAATGATTTAACTTTTATTCTGAAAAGCCTCCTGAATATTTATATCCCTAGAACGATACATAAGAATTGATCATCTTTCCTTATGGGAGGACTTTTTTTTGTTGTTGTTGTTGTTTTCTTTTTAATTTTATTTTTTTTTTAATTGATCATTCTTGGGTGTTTCTCACAGAGGGGGATTTGGCAGGGTCATAGGACACTAGTGGAGGGAAGGTCAGCAGACAAACAAGTGAACAAAGGTCTCTGGTTTTCCTAGGCAGAGTGTTTGTGTCCCTGGGTACTTGAGATTAGGGAGTGGTGATGACTCTTAACGCGCATGCTGCCTTCAAGCATCTGTTTAACAAAGCACATCTTGCACCGCCCTTAATCCATTTAACCCTGAGTGGACACAGCACATATTTCAGAGAGCACAGGGTTGGGGGTAAGGTCATAGATCAACAAGATCCCAAGGCAGAAGAATTTTTCTTAGTACAGAACAAAATGAAAAGTCTCCCATGTCTACTTCTTTCTACACAGACACGGCAACCATCTGATTTCTCAATCTTTTCCCCACCTTGCCCCCTTTTCTATTCCAGAAAACCGCCATCGTCATCATGGCCCATTCTCAATGAGCTGTTGGGTACACCTCCCAGACGGGGTGGTGGCCGGGCAGAGGGGCTCCTCACTTCCCAGTAGGGGCGGCCGGGCAGAGGCGCCCCTCAGCTCCCGGACCGGGTGGCTGGCCAGGCGGGGCGCTGACCCCCCCATCTCCCTCCCAGACGGGGCGGGTGGCCGGGCGGGGGGCTGACCCCCCCACCTCCCTCCCGGACGGGGCGGCTGGCTGGGCGTGGGGCTGACCCCCCCACCTCCCTCCCAGACGGGGCGGCTGGCTGGGCGGGGGGCTGAGCCCCCCACCTCCCTCCCGGACGGGGCGGCTGGCCGGGAGGGGGCGCTGACCCCCCCCCCACCTCCCTCCCGGACGGAGCGGCTGGCTGGGCAGAGGGGCTCCTCACTTCCCAGTAGGGGCGGCCGGGCAGAGGCGCCCCTCACCTCCCGGACGGGGCGGCTGGCCGGGCGGGGGGCTGAGCCCCCCACCTCCCTCCCGGACGGGGCGGCTGGCTGGGCAGACGGGCTCCTGGCTGGGCAGAGGGACTCCTCACTTCCCAGTAGGGGCGGCCGGGCAGAGGCGCCCCTCACCTCCCGGACAGGGCGGTTGGCCGGGCGGGGGGCTGAGCCCCCCACCCCCGGACGGGGCGGCTGGCCGGGTGGGGGGCTGACCCCCACCTCCCTCCCGGACGGGGTGGCTGCCAGGCGGAGACGCTCCTCACTTCCCAGACGGGGTGGCAGCCAGGCGGAGGGGCTCCTCACTTCTCAGACGGGGCGGTTGCCAGGAGGAGGGTCTCCTCACTTCTCAGACGGGGCGGCCGGGCAGAGACGCTCCTCACCTCCCAGACGGGGTCGCGGCCGGGCCGAGGCGCTCCTCACATCCCAGACGGGGCGGCGGGGCAGAGGCGCTCCCCACATCTCAGACGATGGGCTGCCGGGCAGAGACGCTCCTCACTTCCTAGATGGGATGGGGGCCGGGACGAGGCGCTCCTCACTTCCCAGGTGGGATGGCGGCCGGGCAGAGACGCTCCTCACTTTCCAGACTGGGCAGCCAGGCAGAGGGGCTCCTCACATCCCAGACGATGGGCAGCCAGGCAGAGACGCTCCTCACTTCCCAGACGGGGTGGCGGCCGGGCAGGGGCTGCAATCTCTGCACTTTGGGGGGCCAAGGCAGGCGGCTGGGAGGTGGAGGCCATAGCGAGCCGAGATCATGCCACTGCACTCCAGCCTGGGCACCATTGAGCACTGAGTGAATGAGACTCCGTCTGCAATCCTGGCACCTCGGGAGGCCGAGGCTGGCGGAACACTCGCGGCTAGGAGCTGGAGACCAGTCTGGCCAACACAGCGAAACCCCGTCCCCACCAAAAAAACACGAAAACCAGTCAGGCGTGGCGGCGCACGCCTGCAATCGCAGGCACTTGGCAGGCTGAGGCAGGAGAATCAGGCAGGGAGGCTGCAGAGAGCCGAGATGGCAGCAGTACAGTCCAGCTTTGGCCCGGCATGAGAGGGAGACCGTGGAAAGGAGAGGGAGAGGGAGACGGGAGAGGGAGAGGGAGAGGGAGAGGGAGAGGGAGACGGGAGGACATCCCCAAGGATATTCTTAGAGCAATTTCAAATACTGTAATACTCAGCTTATAGCAATCTCAAATACTGGAGCTGAAACGCTGTCCAGCATCATTGTAGATCCATTTTATTTTTCAAGAAACTACTGTCAGACTGAGCTGTGCTCCAGGGTAAAATGTAAAATCTGATTAACTTAATCCATAGTGAGCTTAGCAATTTTATCCTTTGAAAATGTTTTTTTTCTCTTGTGTTTCCACCATACCTTGTATACACCTTCATCATTGCACTTCCCCTTTTTCATTGTAAGGGTTTGTCTGGCTGTCTGTGTATCCTTTTCTGTCCAGTGCCTTGTGTTCAGGGCCTGAAACTTGGAAGATATTTGTAGAATGAATGAATAGATGCTGACTTTTTAAAAAATAATAGTATAATTTCCAATTTGGTAAGCTGTTTTGTTAAAAAAGAAGCAGGTTATAACAGCATTTTCTGTTAACCTCTAAAGTGTTTTTTTATATTCATAAATTTTATTTCATTCAGTACACTTGATATTTGTTTAAAATTATTTAAAAATATTTACTATAGAGCCCTGGGCTTTTATGTAATGTCTAATTTTATTTCTTAAGGGTATAAGCTTAATACATTACATCTAATAAATATTAAATATGTGCTGTCTGGGACTTAATAGTGCTCTCATTGTTTTTCAAAGTAAATTGCCTTCTTTACCAATAAAATTTTGTTGTTTCCTCTACTTATATTGTAATAGATACGACCATATGTGGGATGTTTGGTACAATATTTGCCCCTCCTTTGGAAGCAGAGTGAAGAACACAATATGTTGAGATGTGCTATTTTGACAACACTTATTCATCTTGTTCAGGTAAGTCACTTCTCCACAGAGTTTTTTTAGTTTAGTGGTTTTTAAAAAATTCTTTTAACCATTTAAAAATTGTTTTTATGTGATTTATGTTAATGGTAGTGAAAAACTTCACATATCTTTTATTTTTTTTTCCATGTGTGATCTAAACCGATTTAAAAACAACTTTTGCATGCTTATTTTGGACATTTTTTTGAGGATGTAAAAAATATTATTCACTTTTAAATGTTGTCTCCAGTGATGATAGACTCATGGTTCATGCAGTCCATGGCACCATGCATGCAGTTTCCTTGGTGGTCGGGGCTTTTCTGCTTAAACATACTTAATGTTTTCACTCTTTTTCCTTGATTTAAAATAAAAAAATTCCCTATTATAACTTGGTAAGGCAGGAAACCAGGTGAGTTGCTTTTGAGGGGAGACAAGTGAATTGGATCTCAGACATTTTGACGTTTGAGGTGTTGGGATGTGGTAGCAGGTAGAGAGGAACCTGAAACTTAGAGCTGGACTATAGTTCTTATTTGAACTGTTACAGTGAATCATAGTCTGGTGAGAGTATGGTTAGGGAAGAGCTCAAGGCCGTGAGTTAGAATATATGTGTGGAGATGCTCAAGTGATTTTACTGACTTCACCCACAAGTTTGAGAAATTTTCCAGTGGGGAAGAAATCAGAAGTATCCCTAAATTCAGAAGTACTGCTCTAAAGCTTTCTAAAATTAGTTTAGAAAAAACCAGAAACTTTTCTCAGAAGCTTTGATACTTTTTTGAACATGAGCTCATTCTTTCCATAAATGCTTTCTTTTTTTTTTTCCTTTTTGAGACGGAGTCTCGCTCTGTTGCACAGGCTGGAGCACAGTGGCGCGATCTTGGCTCACTGCAACCTCCGTCTCCTGGGTTCAAGCAAGTCTCCTGTCTCAGCCTCCCAAGTAGCTGGGATTACAGGCACACGCCACTGTGCCTGGCTAATTTTTGTATTTTTAGTAGAGATGGTGTTTCACCATGTTGGCCAGGCTGGTCTCAAACTCCTGACCTCAAGTGATCCGCCCACCTCAGGCTCCCAAAGTGCTAGGATTACAGGCATGAGCCACCATGCCCAGCCCCTCCGTAAATGGTTATGGATGACTTTTAGTTACAGATTCCTGTTTAAGGCAATTTCAGATAAATAGTAATGCAAAATATTTTTAATGTACATTTCCCTGCTTTCTTTTTTTTACTGTGGTAAAATACACATAACAAAATTTACCGTTTTAACCAATTTTAAGTGTACAGTGTAGTGTATGAATATATTAAATACATTCATAATGTTCAACTGTCACTACCATCCATCTCTGTAACTCTTTTTATCTTGTAAAACTGAAGCTATATCATTAAACAAAAACTCCACAGCTCCATCACTAAAGCACTTAAAAAAAAAAAAAGTGAGGCTGGGCGTGGTGGCTCAAGCCTGTAATCCCAGCACTTTGGGAGGCCGAGGCGGGTGGATCACAAGGTCAGGAGATCAAGACCATCCTGGCTAACACGGTGAAACCCTGTCTCTACTAAAAATACAAAAAATTAGCCAGGCGTGGTGGCGGGTGCCTGTAGTCCCAGCTGCTCAGGAGGCTGAGGCAGGAGAATGGCATGAACCCAGGAGGCAGAACTTGCAGTAAGCCGAGATCGCGCCACTGCACTCTAGCCTGGGCGACAGAGCAAGACTCCGTCTCAAAAAAAAGAAAAAAAAATAAGTGGCCCAGAATCTCTTCCTGTCTACCTTTTAATGCTTATGATTACCTTATAAAGATTATGTCCGTTTTATAGAAGAGGATAAAGACTAAGAGAAGGTTACTATCTTGTGAATGCATTTATAAGTAATAGAACAATGAACGACCCGAGATATTTTGTATTATAACAGCATCTCTGCCAAATGTTTTTTGTTTTCGTTTTTTGAGACGGAGTTTCGCTCTTGTTGCCCAGGCTGGCGTGCAATGGTGCGATCTTGGCTCACTGCAACCTCCACCTCCCAGGTTCAAGCAATTCTCCTGCCTCATCCTCCAGAGTAGCTGGGATTACAGGCATGCTCCACCATGCCTGGCTAATTTTTGTATTTTTAGTAGAGATGGGGTTTCTCCATGTTGGTCAGGCTGGTCTTGAACTGCCGACCTCAGGTGATTTGCTTGCCTTGGCCTCCCAAAGTGCTGGGATTACAGGCGTGAGCCACTGCTCCCGGCCTCCAAGATGTACTTTTAAGCTCAACTTGGGAGTTTTGTGAGAGACATGTAACTAAACACCAACTTTCAAGTCTCCTCAGGCAGTGTTACTTCAAGTAGTCTCAGGAGGTCAGAGTAACTCTTGTGGAATGTTAGGCCTTTTTTCTTTAATCATGACATTTAAGTACCCTGTGTATTTGTACCGGCCAAGAGTGCAAGGTTCAAACAAGTAGTATTCTACCTTTCTTGGAGAAAGCATATAACATAATACCAAAATTGAGACTGTAGCTTAAAATATATTTTTCAGCCGTTTGGGAAGATTATACTAAAGTTTATTGGTTGGCCAGGCACTGTGGCTCACACCTGTAATCCCGGCATTTTGGGAGGCTGAAGTGGATGATCAGTTGAGGTCAGGAGTTCGAGACCAGCCTGGCCAACATGGTGAAACCCCGTGCCTACTAAAAAAAAAAAAAAAAAAAATTTGGCCAGGCGCAGTGACTCACGCCTGTAATCCTAGCACTTTGGGAGGCCGAGGCGGGTGAATCACGAGGTCAGGAGATTGAGACCATCCTGGCCAACATGGTGAAACCCCATCTCTACTAAAAATACAAAACTTAGCCAGGTGAGGTGGCACATGCCTGTAGTACCAGCTACTCAGGAGGCTGAGGCAGGAGAATCGCTTGAACCTGAGAGGCGGAGGCTGTAGTGAGCTGAGATCGCGCCACTGTACTCCAGCCTGGGTGACATAGCGAGACTCTGTCTCAAAAAAAAAAAAGCCCAAAAATTAATTGGGTGTGGTGGCGCACACTTGTAATCCCAGCTATTTGGGAGGGTGAGGTGTGAGAATTGCTTGAACCCGGGAGGCAGAGGTTGCAGTGAGCCAAGATCACACCCCTGCACTCTAGCCTGGGTGACAGAGTGAGACCCTGTCTCAAAAATAATAAAAAAAATTTACTGGTAAATTTCCTTTCTTGCAAAATACTGCTATCTTTTGGCTTTTGACACGTAACAGACATTGGTGTAAGTTTCTGTATGTTTTTGTTTGTTTTTTTAATCCTGGAAATCCAGATTCTGGTAGTCTTTGAAGAGGGTGGTCACTGGGTGAAAATAAACTTTCTAGTCTGCATAGTTGAACTTAGAGGAAGTAGGTATTCGTTCATACGCTAAACATTTATTGAGAACCTGCAATGTGCAATACAGGGTAATAGGCACTGGGCTACAGAATACAAATGAATAGAATGGGATCTTTGTGTAGGTGACTGTCTAGGGAAATACTGAATAAGTGTGTTAATTGCCCTTTTAGCAATTAAGAACATATTGCTATTGGGGGTACATGGCCAATTCCCTGTGTCACATGGAGGGTGAGGCGGGGCACATTAGGGAAGGCCTCCTGACAGAGGTGTTACTCAAATTTTGGTGTTGTTAAATAGTGTTGTTAAATAAAACAAGAAGTGTTATTTAGATGGTGGTTTAGCAATGAGAGTGGTAAAGGTGTTTTAGGCATATGAACTGACATGTGTAAAACTACCTAAGCATTAGAGAATGCAGTACATTTTATTTTTTTTTAAGGTTTATATATTGATCAGTTTTAATGTTGACAGATAAAGGAGTTAGTTCTTAAAGATTTTTCAAATGAAAAGTATCAGTACCCTGCTCCTCCTCCTCATTTCCTTTTTGGTGGAAGAATCCACTGTCAACTCTTACAGCCATATCATAGGTTTCTCAGTCTTTCTCACTCTAACATATTGTTTATTACTGATTTAAGCATTGTAGGCATTACTTCTTGACTTCCCTGCATAGAAGATGAAAATGTAATTCTTTTATACCCCTGTGTCCTTCCTATTCCACTATCCTCCCAGTATACTTGATTGTATAAAGACGGTTGAAGGCCTATATCATTATGTCATGATTAATTTTATTTCTTATACATAGTGTTTCCAACCTCCACCCTTGTATTAATAATTTTATTTGCCTAGTATACTGAGAAAGTACCATAAACTTGGTGGCTTAAAACAATATGCATTTATTAGCTCATAGTTCTGTAAGTCAGAAACCTGGGCATGCCATGTCTGAATTCTCTGATCAGAGTTTAATGGACTGAAATTGAGGTGACTGCCAGAATAAATTCTTCGCTGGAGGCTTTGGGGAAGAATCTGTTTCCGTACTCATTCAGCTTGTTGGCAGAGTTTAGTTCATTGATTTGTAGGACTAAGGTCCCAGTTTACTTGCTAGCTGTCATCTAGGGTCCCCTCTTGTTCCCAAGTCCAGCCACATTCTTTGACACATAGCCCCTTTCATGTTCAAAGTCAGCAGTGGGGAAATTCTCAAATGTCAGATCCCCCGAGGGTTTTAATCTGTGACCTCCCCTTATGCCACTAGCTAGAAAATACTCTCTTTTAAAGGGCTCTTGTGAGTAGGTCAGGCCCACCTGGATAATCTTCCTATCTAAGGTCAGTTGATGTGGGACTTTAATTACATCTGTAAATTATTTCTTCGCAGTAGTACCTAGATTAGTGGTTGAATAACTAGGGAATGGTGTGTGTACAGTAGTGTCCAAGAACCTAAGTGATCATCTTAGATTTCTGCTTAGTACACTTAGTTGTCTATGCAGTTGAACCTATTCTTTTCACTTGTTATCTACACATTTCCTCAGTGATGTTTTGTTACTTTCATCATCTTGAAGAGATACGACAGATTTTTTTTTTTTTAACACTTTAAGTTCTAGGATACATGTGCACAACGTGCAGGTTTGTTACATATGTATACGTGTGCCATGTTGGTGTGCTGCACCCATTAACTCGTCATTTACATTAGGTATATCTCCTAATGTTATCCCTCCCCACTCCCCTGACCCCATGACAGGTCCTGGTGTGTGATGTTCCCCACCCTGTGTCCAAGTGTTCTCATTGTTCAGTTCCCACCTGTGAGTGAGAACGTGCTGTGTTTGGTTTTCTGTCCTTGCGATAGTTTGTTCAGAATGATGGTTTCCAGCTTCATCCATGTCCCTACAAAGGATGGCTGCGTAGTATTACATAGTGTATATGTGCCATGTTTTCTTAATCCAGTCTATCATTGATGGACATTTGGGTTGGTTCCAAGTCTTTGCTACTGTGAATAGAGCCACAATAAACATACATGTGCATGTGTCTTTATAGCAGCATGATTTATAATCCTTTGGGTGTATACCCAGTAATGGGATGGCTGGGCCAAATGGTATTTCTAGTTCTAGATCCTTGAGGAATTGCCACACTGTCTTCCACAATGGTTGAACTAGTTTACAGTCCCACCAACAGTGTGAAAGTGTTCCTATTTCTCCACATCCTCTCCAGCACCTGTTACTTCTTGACTTTTTAATGATCTCCATTCTAACTGGTGTGAGATGGGAGATATGACAGATTCTTATGTGCTCTAGTTTGGACTGGTTTTACTTAGGCTTTTGCACAGCTGTTGTAACTGGATTTTCTTTCACTGCCTATCCTTTCTGTGGGATGTCTGTTTTCTGCGCATCATGTCATATCTTTTCTTGTTTTACATTCTTTTTCTGATGGCAGCCATGAATGGCAGTAGCATTTTGCAAAAATACATAGGAGGTAAATTTTTTGTTTTGAGATATTGCATGTGCGAAAATGTCTTCATTCTAGTTTCAAATTGATTAGTAGTTTGGCTGGTATAAAAGTCTAGGTTTCCCCCTCAAAATTTTGGAGACTTTTTTTTTCTTTGTCTTAAGACTTCCAAAATTGCTCTGGGGACCCTGGAGCCATTCTAATTCTTGATTCTTGAATGTATTACCCCTCCTTCCCTTTTCTGGCAACTTGTGTGATCATCTCTGTGTTCCTGTTTTCAGTTTCATGATGGGAGTGCCTTTTCATCTCACTGTTCTGGACACTTGGTGGACATTTCAGGCTGGAAACTCATGTTCTTGAATGCTAGATGACTCCATTGTATTTTATTTCTTCCTCTTCGTATTTTTCTTTTCTTACTTTCTGAAGTTTTTGTTACTTACATGATAGATATTCTGAACCAGTCGTCTGATTTTCTTTGTTTCCTTCCTGCTTTTTTTTTTCCTCTTTCTCCTTCTGTTCTACTTTCTAGGGAATTTTCTCAGTTTTATCTTTCAGCCTTTTTATTGAGTTTTTCTTTTCTGGTGACATGTTTTAATGCCTATGGGTTCTTTTGTGTTTTCCTGAATAATTCTTTTGTACAACATTTTGTTTTTGTTTTATGAATGCAGTGTTTTCTTTAATGCAGTGTTTTAATTACCAAAGATATTAATGATATATTTTTCCAAGCTTTCATCTCTGCCTGGTCTCTGTTTCTTTTAGGGTGCTGTTTTCTATTTAGTTAGTTGTTTTGTTTTCTGTTTTTCATAGCAAACATTTTAATCATATCTGTTGATCCTCGGTTGCCTTCTCTTATTTACTTATTTACGTTCTATTATGAAAAATTTAAAGCATACACAAAAAAGGAAGAAGAGTGTGATGAATCCTGAAGCATCACCCAACTTCAAGATCAGCATTTTGTCTGTATAAATTTAGGAGCGGACACTAAAAAGCTGAGTGGAGGGATTGTGTGTGTGGTGTGGTGGGGAGGCTTGCTGATTGTGGTGGGTTTTTTTTTTTTTTGAGACAGGATCTCACTCTGTTGCCCAGGCTGGAGTGCAGTGGTACGATCTTGGCTCACTGCAACCTCCACCTCCAGAGTTCAAGTGATCCTCCTGCCTCAGCCTCCCCAGTAGCTGGGACTACAGGCATGCACCAACATGCCTGGCTAATTTTTGTATATTTAGTGGAGACAGTGTTTCATCATGTTGGCCGGGCTAGTCTCAAACTCCTGACCTCAGCTGATCTGCCCGCCTTGACCTCCCAAAGTGCTGGGATTACAGGCATGAGCCACTGCTCCCGGCCATAATTGTGTGTTTTTCTTTTAGGATGGTCTGGTTGGGTTTTGTAGGAGAATGTTTTCGGGTTAATTTTTTAAGGTCTTTCCTCAGTGAAGGACCCCTCAGTCTCCTACCTGTTACATGCTGATGTAATCTTCCTGTTTTATGTCATATCCCTGTTCTTGATTACCTGGTATCTCCCTGTCTTGAAACCATCTGTTTTGTCTTAGCAGAAAATAAATAGCTGGTTTTATTCTGGTTCAGAGGAGGGCCAGTTATTTGTCTCCTTATGTATCTGGATGAGATCTTGGCATCAAACTGCTTTCTAAACATTTTCTAGAAGTCCTCTTATTATTAATACTTCCTTTTCACTGTCCTCCAATCCTCTGTCCCCTAAATGCAGGCATGCATATGCGCACACAGTTGTGCACACACACACACCTCTCAAAATACCTGGTGCCATTAGTTCCTCAGTCTTTTTTCTGTAGTGTAAATCAGGTAGTTTGTCTTTTCCTGCTCCCCTGCTGGATTTTAGTTTTGGTTTCTTAGTTGGCTAAATCAGTTAGCACTTGTCTTTCTTCCCAGCTTCCAAAGTGAATTACTTTTATCTCTTCTTATTCTGTCTTTGTATTTCTGTTTTTAGTTCTTTTTTTTTAAATCCTCCTGTATCCTTTTAGTTGGCTTTGGGAAAGAACAGTAGTAAATGCATGTATTGAAACTGTTCCTCTGTTAGCTTTCTCCAGATGTTAACATAGTGATTTCTAACACTGTGCATTATTTGGTATAGCAGGAACATAGAGTACAGAGCTTGTATAGGGGGAACTGGTCAGGAAGGCTAAGCGAACATCTCTTGAAGGTCAGAGGAAGAAACGTTACGATTTTTATTTTAGAAAAGTAGTCAGTGCACCACTGAGGACACTAGTTTGGAAGTGGGTAAAACTAAGGTCAAATAGACTAGGAGACTGTTAATCAGAAAAAAGATGATGAGAACCTGAATTATGGAGAGAAGGGGAAAGATTTGAAAAATATTTAGGAGATATTTCTTCTTCTTTGAAGAAGAACCAGGAGGTAGCCATGATATAATTTATCGCTAGGTAGATAGTGATTCATGTCACTTGAGTTAGGAAATACAGGAAGAAGAACTGTGTTTTAGGAAGACAATGAGTTGGTTCAGTATTAGAAGTTGAGATAACCTTCTGGCTGATAATGTGCTGTAGTTAGTTGATTGTTTGGAATTCAGAGAGTTGTTGTAGATATGATAGATTTGTATATCATCAGTGTGTTCATGGGACATGAGAAGACAGCCAAGGATACTACCCTGAGAATGGTATTTGGAGGATGCTATTTTTTTTTAAACTTTTCTTCTGTGGAAAAAATTATAGATTCACAGGACGTTTGAAAGATTGTATAGAGAAATCCCATGTGTCCTTCACCCAATTTCTCCTTACATGTTATGTAATTATAGTAGAATATTAATTCTCCCCTCTTTAATTATTCCTGGTAGTTTTCTTATTTTAATAACCGATGAATTCATTTTTGAACTTTCAGAGTATTGTAGGCAATGTCTTGTAGTTACTGTGGGCCCAAAGGGTGCTTACATTTACTTAAAGCTGCATATCAGGGATTGGACACATTCTTTAGCCACTAGAATTATAAGGTATTGAATCTCTTCAAGCATTGATTAAGACAGTGTGTTATATAGTATAGTAGAATTAGTATTCTACTATAATTACATAAGATGTAAGGAGAAATTGGGTGAAGGATACGTGGGATTTCTCTATACAATCTTTGAAAGCAGTGTGTTTAGCGATTGCTTACGTTAGTTTTGCTAATGCTAGCATATTTTGAATACACATTTAAGTAAGTAGATAAATTTTCCAAGGAAATTTTAAGTCTACTGATAATCAAAATGAACTTGACTGTTTTTTTCTTAATATTCTTTCTTTTTTGTTTCATGAAAGATTGAGCTATGGAGAGTGAAATTGAAGTGAGTTTTAAGGCCCAATATGTACTACTCTGTTAAATAATGGCATTTTCATAATTCTCTTCCTTTGGAAAACTCCTTAATAAAGCCTTCCAAGTGGTTTTTCATTATTAAAAGGGACAAAATTATATTTAACATAAGTTCTGGAGATTTAATATACAGTGCAGTGACTGTAGTTAAAAAATAATGTATTGTACACTGGAGAATTGCAGATAAAATCCCAACAATTGAACTTAGTAGTATGTGTCATCAAAAGGGGAATACATATATACTGTGTGGCATTGTAATTTGCTTTGAATTATATTGACATTTGAATTACTTCTTAGGTGAGGAGGTATTTTGTAATTTATTTGGTTTCCTTTTTGTGTTCATGAAATTATAGATATTATTATGTTTTACAGATTGACTTTTTACCCGTTTTGTTTTCTTCCAAAATACCTACTGTGTAATACATTGAATCAACCTCCCTAACAGTAATTCAGCAAACTAGAATTTTAGATCGAAACTTCTCTTCTTCTTCCATCTTTGTGTTCTTGATTCATTAAAAATGTTATCAAAAATTCTTAAATATGTTGAAAAGATAACAAAAACACCTTTGCCCTCATCCCAACATCATCCTTTTTCCTTTCCTGTATCTAAGAAGCATTAACAGTTTTTTCTGTTTGCTTCCAGAAACATTTTTGTGTATATCATATACAGATATCTAGATATTTAAAAAAATTCTTTGACATGTGGAATTGTTATACACACTTCTGCACCTTTTAAAAAGAATTTGTTTGAAAATTTAAAATTCTGTGTCAAATCCTCCCATCCTTTTTTTTTTTTTGTGTGTGTGTGTGTGTGAGGTGAGGAGGTCGACAGATTCTTGCTTTATCATGTAGGTTGGAGTGCAGTGGTGGGATCATAGCTCACTGACTGCAGCCTTGAATTCTAGGGCTCCAGCGATCCTCCTGCCTCAGTCTCCTGAGTAGCTGGGACTCTAAGCAGGCACCACCATGCTTGGCTAACTTTTAAATGTTTTTCAAGAACAGAGTCTTGCCATGTTGCCCAGGCTGGTCACCAACTCCTGGCCCCAAGCAGTCCTCCCGCCTTGGCCTCCCAATGAGTTGGGATGATAGGCATGAGCCATGGCATTCAGCCCCTAAAATCTTTTTTAATGGCTTTTCAATATTCTTGAATCTGTTCCATAATTCGGTTACTTTACTGATGAACATTTAGGGTGGGTTCATTTTAGATTAATTATTTAGGTGAAAGCATCTATAGAATTTAAAATACCAAAGTTAGTATGTCATCTGTAGAGACAGGGAGAGGAAAATAGATATTTCTTATATGTGCAGTCTATTAAAATGAACAGATGTATGTAGCCTTGACATATATATTTTTTAAACTGCCAATAGGCAATTGAATAGTATTTTTTAATTTTTCCTTTCCAATTATAAACAGAACTTTGTTTTGCTATTACTTGTAATTAGGACCTTCCTAAAAATATGATTCATTTTTTTAATTGGTTTTAGGGCTTTTTGTATGATAGGTAATTTTTTGGTGCGGGATGGGACATTAGAGTGTCTTATTATAAGTTTTATTTATACTTCCCATAGGGATTAGGAGCAGACAGCAAGAACCTGTACCCTTTCCTGCTCCCAGTTATTCAACTGAGTACAGATGTTTCACAGCCTCCACATGTTTATCTTCTGGAAGATGGTTTAGAATTATGGTAAGAGGAAAAACTTAATACCATGGATCTTATTTTATTCGTGACCTTTCCTACTCTCATGCCAGTAAAGTTAAGGTCATGTAATAGGGCTTTAAAAACAGAAAATGTAAACTCTGTTTCTTCAAACTGGGGCATATATCTCCTTTTTTTGGCAGCTGTCAATCAGTGTAGGATTATAGTAGACAAAGTTAAAGGGGGACATTTCAATAGGAACTCAGCTGCATTTCATCTTTTGGAATTTGTCATGTAATATGGGGTCATGGTAACTTTTCCAAAAAGTTACTGACTTACAATTTCCAGTCTGTTAAATGAGATGTTTGGGGGATATTGAGGTCCTCTTACTACTTAACCAAGTGTTGAGATATTATACCTTAGCTCCAAATGCTAATGCGACTTACAGTCTTAACTTACTGTTCTACTGAGTAAATTAGTAGTATGCGTTATTAAGAGGTTAAAAAAAATGCCCTGCTTCTGTGGCAGCTCGGTGCTACAAAGGCTTATTGACTGCCCACGGTGTGTAAGCAACTGTGCTAGAAAATCCTTTTGCTTTATTAAGCTCACTTTACTGTTGGCAACAGTTTTCTCCAGAGACAATCTTTCAATAATACATGAAAAGTTTCAAAATCCCATTTTGTAAATTGATAGTGCAGTTAAAGAAAGCAAATCATAGAAATCAACTGTAAAAGAAATGAACATTTGATTCTCTTCATCCCTCCCTCCCTCCCTTTGGAACTAACTGTTTTTGTTAGATGTCTAGAATTTAACAGTTTTGGTTCTTAGAAATTACTTTGGTGCAAATTATAAATAATGATCTTTATCAGAATATGAGATGAATGACTTTAAAACTTTACTAGTTAGATACTTATTAATTTGTGGTTTGCGTTCTTCAGAAAGGTGTTGTTCGAACTTAAATGGCATGTATGTGGTTTGGTTGTAAATTAGCCTGTTGTTGAAATATTTTATATTCAAACACTTATATTTGTATAAGGATGGATTACTTTAGATCAGAGGTTGGCAAACTTGTACTAGACAGGACCAGATATTAAATATTTTGGGCTTTCTAAGTCACACAGTCTTTGTTGCAACTATTTGACTCTGCTGTCAGTGTCAAAACAGTCATAGACAATATGTAAGTAGGTATGGCTGTGCGCCAATTAAACATCATTTATAGAAATAAGTACGTGGGTGGATTTAGCCCATGAGCTGTAGTTTGCCATCCTCTGCCCTAGATTGTAAGATAAAATATTAATTCCTGGCATATAAATAATTTTGTGCAAACATGTAGATACTATATGATGTTGAATGTTAGAAAAAATCCAATATTAAAGAGATTAGACTCAGAATTATCAGTATTACTGACAATATATTAATGTGTTATTAAAAGTGTAGATATTTTCAAGGGATTACATTAAAAAG
The DNA here is from genome assembly GCF_000001405.40 of Homo sapiens. Classification (NCBI taxonomy): domain Eukaryota; kingdom Metazoa; phylum Chordata; class Mammalia; order Primates; family Hominidae; genus Homo; species Homo sapiens. The sequence goes on from NC_000005.10 coordinate 62,527,674, forward strand.
TAATAATAAAAATGCACGGCTTTGTTAATGGTAATGTTTTTTCCTAGCTTTTAGTTACATGCTAATAAAAATAAATTATTAGGAGAAAATTTTTTTAATTACCTAATTTGTTAATAGTTGAGTTTCTTTAAAGAGAGTACATCCTTCTTCATGAATTTTTCTTGATGGGTTAGAGTTTATATTTGAAATCAGGCAAACATAGGTGCCAATCCCAGTTATGCTACTGCATTATATATGTAATTTTAAGAAGTTAATCATCTTTGGTGAACCACAGTTTTCTTGTCTTTAAAATGAAGAATAATTCCTACCCTTACATGGTTGTTGTGAATATGAGATAATGTTTGCTGAAGTGGTTGGCACTTTGGATATGGCATTCAATGCCTGAGGATAATTAAAGATTGCCTAAGAAGAGAAGGACAGAGAACATTCTGGCCAGGGCAGAATTCTAATGAACTTGTAACATTTTGAGGACACGAGGAGCCATCTACAAAGACAGAGAAGAGCTGTTTACTTATATAGTAGGAAAACCAAGCCAAGAGAGGAGAATGTTTCCTAAAAGAGGAGAAAGTGGTCAACTTTGTCAAATGTTGCTGATTTTCCTAGTAAGATTAGTATAGAGATGTGAATTTGGCCACATGAAGATGATAGGAGGGTTTTCACCGGAGTGGTAAGAACAGAAATTAGAATTGGAATAGACTGAAGAATGAATTGAAGGTAAGTCCATACAGACTATGCACACTGATAACTTGTTTGAGAGCTTTTACTATTAAGAGGAGCATAGACATGGGGCAACAACTGGGTAGTGTGGGAAATGTGAAGATCTAGAGGAATGGGTGAGGCTGGATTGAGAGAGTGGGATAAATGAAGGAGGCAAAAAGGGGTGGGATTCAGAGCTCAAGTGGAGGGGGTTGAATTTTGGTAGCAGCTGGGATACTTCATGCATTTTAACTGGAGGCAGAAGGTGGTTTTCCAAATTTTGTAGTGGAATGAGATAGGGAGGTGTTCCATCCAATAGCTTGTATTTTCTCAACAAAATATGAAGCATCGTCTTTAGTGGGGAGTAATGGGCTGGATTAGGAGTGTGCACAAGATATGAGAGGTCTGTAGGTGAGAGAAGGTATAAAGTAGATATCTTAGAGAATGGGAATTTGAATTTATTAGGGATAAAACCAGTACACCAGTTGATGCTTGGGGTCACGAATATGGAGTGAAACTTTCAGACTGATTATGTGATTTATCTCCTACTATGGCTTTTTATTTTCCTCTTGATCCATCTCACTAGAGATTTGTCAGTTACTAGGCTTTTCAAAAACAACCTTTGGCTTTGGTTCTCTTTGTTGTATATCTGTTTCCTATTTATTAATATCTGCTCTTATGTTTATTATCTTATTCTACTTGCTTTAGGTTTATGGGCTTGTTGTCATCTGATCTCCATTCTAAGAAAATCAGCTCATCAACTTTTAGCCTTTCTTCTATCTTAATATAAACATTTAATACAATAAATTATTTTTAAACAGAATTTGAACAAAAGACTTTGTATAGTTTTTTTGTTTCTAAGAAAATTGGATGAGGTAGTAATGAATACTGGTAAGCAGGCAGCAGTATCAGCTATATCTTATTAAATGTAATATGATCATTTAAAAAAACAAATTTGATTGCTTTTTGCTGTTTACTCAAAAGATCATATCTTTCTCTTAAGAAAAAACCTTTCTTTTAAAAGAAACTTGATTTCCTAGGATAAACTTTACTTGGTGGGGAATTCCACTATTAATGCATATTATAAACATTTTTCTAACATTTTATCTAATTTTATTTTTTCTTCTATTAATGATTTGGATCTATGATCTACATTTTGTGATTCTTTTTGATTTTATATCAGTGCTATGTTTAACAATTTAAAAATTGTTTTCATTGCACTGGAATGATTTTTGTGATATATAACAATCTATTCTTTGTATGTTTGAACAATTAAGAAAAGGAACTGGAAGTAGACCCGTGTTGGGGGCCAGGGGTTCTTTACAGTTTTGATAGCATCATCAGGTTATTCCTTAGTTTTTAGTTTTTATAGCCAGTATTAGATTTTGAATAGGCTTTCCCCTCCTTTCCTTGCTGCTGTTTCAACAATCAAAACAGTCCTTGTTTTGAGGGTTGGGGGATGTGAACAGATAGACCAATCACACACTTCTCTGATAACCCACCGTGGATGTGTATTATGTCATGGATTGTGGTCAGATTAGTTTGTAATTTGCGTTTGTTGCACTAAACCTTCCATGTATACGTATTATATTATGGATTGTTTCATAACTGCTAATGCGGTCAGATTGGCTTATAATGGCCTTTGTTGTACTAAGTTCATATTTATTAAGCATTTAGCATAAGTTTTACTAACTTATTAGCCTAGTTTCCCATCGAAGAACACATCAATTACATGTGGCAGAGGAACATATCAAGAAAATCAGAACAACAAAATAACTTTTTTACCTGTTTGACCAATCTGTAATAGTTATGCTTTTGGTTTATTGTTATAATTTCATTATTATGGATACTTTAGTATATACAGTTGTGTCTTTCTATCAACAGGGGATTGGTTCCAGGGCTACCACATATACCAAAATTCATGCATACTAAAGTCCCGCAGTCAGCCCTGCGGAACCTGTGTATATGTGTATGTGAAAAGTCAGCCCTCCATGTACTTTGGTTTTGCATCCTGTGAATACTGTATTTTTAATCTTGGATTTGGTTGAAAAAGTCTGGGTTTAAGTGGACCTACTCAGTGTAAAGCCATGTTGTGCAAGGGTCAACTGTAGTTACTTTCCTTACTACCTTTGCTATGTATGTAGAAATATTACATAATTTGCAGACAGGTTTTTATTTTGAGGCATTTGGTTAATTCTTTCTTAGATAATTTTTATAACTTAACTGATTATACACTTACCTTTCTTCATTTAAATGAGACCTTTTAAAATATTTAAGTCATATGTTAATGGCTTTAATGGGCATGGAAAGTGGTTTAATCATCTGTTTTTCCTTCCTAGGTTAGTAACTTTGGAAAACAGTCCATGTATTACACCAGAGTTGCTTCGTATATTTCAGAATATGTCACCACTTCTTGGTATGTGTTAAAGCATAAACTTACTAATGTTTTTGAATGCAACCATAATTGGGAGGCATTGAAACATAATTTGGAGGCATTACAACAAAGTTGTAAGTTCAACTTCTAGTTTAGATTCAGGGGATATATGTACACGTTTGTTACATGGATATATTGCGTGATGTTGAGGTTTGGGGTACAATTGATTCTGTCATCCAGTTAGTGAACATAGTACCTAATAGTTTTTCAACCTTTGAGTTCCTCCCTCTGCCCTCTAGTAGTCTGCAGTGTCTATTTTTGCCATGATTATGTCCTTGAGTACTCAATGTTTAGCTTCCATTTATAAATGAGAACATACATACCTTCCATTTTTATTTAATCCCTAATATTGACAAATAAGTCTGTTGGTGTTGTTTGTTTTGTTTTGTTTTGAGACAAGGTCTTGCTCTGTTGCCCAGACTGGAGTGCAGTGGTATGACCACAGCTTACTGCAGCTTCAAACTACTGGACTGAAGCAACTCCTCTAGCTTCCTGAGTAGCTAGAGCTACAGGCACACACCATCTCATCTGGCTATTTTTTTCTTTTTTGGAGATGGAGTTTCACTCTTGTTGCGTGGGCTGGAGTGTAGTGGTGTGATCTTGGCTTGTGGCAACCTCCCAGGTTCAAACTGTTCTCCTGCCTCAGCCTCCTGAGTAGCTAGGATTACAGGTGTGCACCACCACACACAGCTAATTTTTATATTTTAGTAGAGACGGGGTTTCACCGTGCTGGCCAGGCTGGTCTCGAACTCCTGACCTCGTGATCTGCCTGCCTTGGCCTCCCAAAGCGCTGGGATTATTAGAGGCAAAAAATGTCCCTGAGGTATAATGAATGACACACTGGAAAAAATAGACTCACTCTTTGTAAATACCAGCAAATGTGGACTAAAAACAATTGTAACTGATTAAAAAATCATTTTCTCGCCTTATTTGTTGGATGACCATGGTGGTTAGATAATGTGATTAGTTCTTCACATTTTCTCCTAAATTTTTTGTTACTCTTTTCAAATAACAATCAAGGTAACCATTTGTTTTCCAATAAAGAGCCATTTGCTCTTTGTTATCTAGAGTCCCCATAAAAGGAAAAACTTACCAAAGATGAAGTCAGTGGCAATAGGTGTTGATCTACTAGAAAAAGAGAATAGGGTTCTTTGGTGAAGGCCTTTTTAGTTCTGTTCTACCTAACTTGGAGACTACATACCATGCTACTTTAGGCAGTCCACAGGGCTTCTTTATATTTGACCTAAGATTAGACACCTCAGCCAGCCCTTTTACCAACTTTGTCGTGAACAACATTCAGCTGCTTCCACATATGTGTGATTTCACATATTGGTCTCATTTCACCCTGTTTTCCACCTCAAATTCAGCATGCTTAGTCTCCACAACGTTCAGTTCCCTAAGAGTGATGGGAGAGGGATTGGTAACCAAGAAGAAGAGATTTAAATACAAAGCATATGACTTACTTTACTATAACTGTATGACACTATTTTTAGTGTAGCTTTAGGTAAGTGCTCTAGTGTAGTGGTTTTTTTTGTTGGTGGTGGTTCGTTTGTTTGTTTGTTTGTTTGTTTTGAGACAGAGTCTTGCTCTGTCACCCAGGCTGGAGTGCAGTGGCTCAATCTCAGCTCAGTGCAACCTCCGCCTCCCAGGTTCAAGCAATTCTTCTGCCTCAGCCTCCCGAGTAGCTGGGACTACAGGCATGTGCCACCATGCCCAGCTAATTTTTGTATTTTTAGTAGTGATGGGGTTTCACCATGTTGCCCAGGCTGCTCTCAAACTCCTGGCCTAATGTGATCCACCTGCCTCGGCATCCTAATGTGCTGGGATTACAGGCTTGAGCCACCATGCCCAGCCTGTGGTGTAGTTTTAATGATAGAAATCTTTGTAGCTGATGCATATTTCTTACCAAATCAATAAGGACTTTTATGTGTTTGGAATAATGCCTGGCACATAGTAAGCATTATCTAATGTTTTGCTAGTATGTTTAGTACTATTACTGTCACTATTAACATTACTCCCATTTAAAAATTATCCTACCATTGACCGGCTCTTCAGGATTTGTTACTTTACTGAATCAAGAACTAATGAAATTTCAACCTTTTGATAATGGATGTTCAATTTAAACTTTTTTAATTTTTAAAGATTTAAAAAGTTCTATTTTATAAAGTTTCAATGAATATAGGTGATGTGGATTCTATTATTTATTTTCTACTTTTATTGTTCAAACAAAAAAGATAAACATAATTTGTTTTATGCATTGTGGTATGTGTATTTACATCAATAATGAAGAAATTCTATTTACAAATTACATTTGTTCATGTTTATTTGTACATCTTGACCTCAGTATTACCTTCATTTTTGTTTGAGTTTGACATACAGCTTTTTGCATGTATATTCTTTCTTTCTTTCTTCTTTTTTTTTTTTTGAGATGGAGTTTCACTCTTGTTGCCCAGGCTGGCGTGCAATGGTGCAATCTTGGCTCACTGCAACCTCCGTCTCCCTGGTTCAAGAGATTCTCCTGCCTCAGCCTCCCGAGTAGCTGGGATTATAGGTATGCACCACTGCCCCAGCTAATTTTTTGTATTTTTAATAGAGATGAGGTTTCTTCATGTTGGTCAGGCTGGTCTTGAACTCCCGACCTCAGGTGATCCACCCACTTTGGCCTCTCAAAGTGCTGGGATTACAGGCGTGAGCCACCATGCCTGGCCGTACATTCTTTCATGAAAGTTTAAAAATTTATTTTTAAATACAACCAGAATATTTAATCTTTTAAGAGTATAAACCAAAATGAATACTGTTTTTGTATGTTAAATTCTCTTATTAGAACAGTGCTTTTAAGCTATCTGTTTATTAAGTATGATAGGTATTATATTTTTCTAAGCAGAAATTAAGCCACTGGGCTAGTTGCAGTGGCTCATGCCTGTAATCAGGTAGATTGCTTGAGGACAGGAGTTTGAGACCAGCCTGGGCAACATAGCAAGACCCCATGTCTACAAGAAATAAAAGTTAGCCGGCCTTGGTGGCCCGTGCTTGTGATTGTAGCTGCTCAGGAGGCTGAAGTGAGGGGATCAAGGCTGCAGTGGCTGCAGTGAGCTGTTACTCTGCTCTTGCATTCCAGCTTGGGCAACAGAACAAGATGCTTTCTCTTTAAAAAAAAAAAAAAAGAAAGCCACTGGCAGAAAGTTTCTTACTTTAAAACATATAAAGCCAACATTATAGAACACTTTAAGATGTTTAAGTTAATGGTTTTTTAGGATGCGTTAATTAAGTATGAATATATTCAAGGCTAAGATTCATTTTATGTCCTTTTCCCTACGTGTAAATAGAATCTGATAAATTTTAAGCAGAACCAGAGGCTGTAACTGGACGTTATTATATTAATTTAGTTCTAATGGCTTTTTTTCTTTAAATCTATGTTATGGTGTTAATTTACTTAGTATTCTCATTACTTAAAAGATCAGCATGTGACTGGCTCTTGTCCTAGTTATTGCAAATGCAACACTAATGTTCCTTTAACTGTAAAATTTTTCAGCTGGTAACTTTCTATCAAATTTGGAAAGGATGAAGCAGGTTTCTCTAGATTCTCTATAACATAATTTAATAATTCACTCCCTTTCCTCCTTACAGAAATTTAAAGGAATATATATGTAAAATACAAATTAAATATAGGAGCAAAATTATAAATAAAAGCAAATAGTAGATTATAAAATAAAATCACACTAAAGATATGAATCATATATGCACAGTGCATAACTAAATACTTTGATAGGTTATATACAGGTTTACCTTAGAGTTCTGTAGAAGTCTACGAAAAGAAAAACCTAGTCACTTAAATCAGGGATTTTCAGTCTTGGCTCTGTTGACATTTGGGTCAGGTAATTCTTTGTTGTGAGGGACTTTCCTTTGCATTGAAGGATGTTTAAAAGTATCCTCAGCTTCTACCTACTTGATGATAGTGATGACAAAAATGTTTCTAGACATTCCCAAATGTCCTGTAGGGGACAAAATTGCCCCTGACTGCGAACCATAGACATAAATTACTCAGTATCTGAAAGTAAATACCTATCTATTGCATGATTGAAGTATAACTTCTTGGTATTAGGACTAGAAAATTTTTCTTTAGAGTCTCACTAGGAACTTGTGGATGTAATGAACAGTGTCCAGTACCTTAAAACAGATAAATTTGTTAATTTTAAGGCTATGTATAATATTAATATTTATTTATTTATTTATTTATTTATTTATTTATTTGATGATGATAACATGCCCAAGAAAATTTTGTCAGTGCCATCCTGGGCATGGCAGAGGCATGGAAAGCAGTGTGAAGTGACCTAATTTGTATAGAACGATCCAGGAATAGTTTTTAAATATCTGTAGGAAGAGACGGGCTCTTTTCTTTTTATATCAAGTCTTCTTAAATGTTGGTTTTTTTTTAAACATTGATTTTGATAAAATTATACTTGGCAATGATTTCAAAATTATATTCCCTGATACGTCTGGAATGAAGCCATTCTCAGTTCTCTCTTAAATATAGACCCTTGGCCCTACTTTTCATGGCGATGGCCAGTCTGCTGTTCATTGTTGGTCTACAAAAAAAGTATGCACGAGTCCAGGCTTTCTCCTTGAGGAGAAAAGGATAATGTGAATTTTTCATAATGATAGCTTTATCTAATATAAAGGCCCCCTTTATCCTGAGATTTTTATCTTCTTTTGTAAAAAGATACTTAGATGACAGTTTTTGGTTTTTTTATGTCTTTTAGATTAGTAACTAGTAATAAGTTTATCATTTCCTGTCCCCTTCTTATCCTCATTTTTTAAAACTGTCAAATCCTAAAGTTTAGGAACTAATGCCTTCAGAGACATTTTGAGACAGGGTAGGATTGTCATTCTTTTGTGAAAATAAATGGAAAATTCACATCTGAATAGAATGTCTTCTTTTTATTAAGATATGATAGATAAGAACACAGGGGCTAATCTTTTGCCAGAAATTAAGAAAAAATAATTTGTCTTATTTTGAGTGAATATAATTTCTAAAATACTTGCAGCAAAGAATGGCAGGTTTTAGGCATCGATGATATTTTGGGGTCATATTTTAATCTGTATAATTTTACACGTACAGCCTGTATTCCTTTGTATTATTATTTTAAGTAGTGAAACATGTAAAATAGCACAGTGTCAACTTTTGATCATATTCAGTTTTAACAAATAGTTTCTACTCTGCACTTGCAAAGGAATAGCTAAAAACGATATCCTTTTCTGATAAAAACTGAAAGATTGAAAATATCTAAACATAATATAATTTTTTTGGAGTGTGATCAGGACTCTGTTGAGAAGTAATATCGCATATTTAGTGCAAGTGCAGTAACACTCAGTAAATGTTCACTGAGTGAACCCATTTAAGCAGATGTCAAAATATGATGGTAAAATGATTCAGTTTCATGTAGTATGCCATGCTAGCAGTAAAAATTTATTTTGAAATGAAAGGTTGGGTCAAATAGTTAGGTGGTTTTTTTTTCTGAAAGGAAAATATATGGGGAGCTTGGCTTTTTTCTGAATGTTTCACCCAGTGAAAAGCAAATGAGGTAGCATTAAGCTTTGGGTTGATACCAGTATTCATTCATTCATTCATTCATTCATTCATTTATTCATTCATTGAGACAGGGTCTCACTCTTTTGCCCACCCTAGAGTGCAGTGGCGTGATCATTGGTGACTGTACCCTTTAAGTCCTAGTGATGCCAGTTTTTAGATATCTGTAGATACTGGTAGTCTTGATAGTACTCGGAAGAGGTTTCTAGAGTATGCAAATTAGTTTTAAATAACTATGAATCACTTCATTTAAACTAATTTTGAGCAGTGAATTAATTTGGTTTTTTGTTTGACATTTATTGTTTTGGCAGAACTAAGTTCAGAAAATCTTAGAACTTGCTTTAAGATCATCAATGGTTATATCTTTTTATCATCAACAGAATTTTTACAGGTATGTTGGAGTACTTTTGCATTATATGAAATTATATAATTATTATTTTGATTATTATTTGAAATCAGGGGGTACGTTTTCAAAATTTTAAGATTGGTCTGTTATTTTAAGACAGAGAAACATTGACTGTGAGCATTTCCCATTGCAGGGCAGATGTGCTGCATGCAGTTCCTTTCTCAATGCAGAAAATGTGCTATGTCAACAAATTTTTTTTATATTCCTATGAAAATCAGTGTATCAATAATCTATATTTTTATTTGGCATAATCTTTTTTAACTTTTCCTAAGCGTTCTGATTGAAATTTGATATGCTTAGACCATTAGTGTATAATTCTCAAGTATATTATAATGAATCCCAAATGAAATTTTATGCCTTTTTGATATTACAGATATATTCTTACATATATTGACTTTTAATTGAATTTCAGACATACGCAGTAGGTCTATGCCAGTCCTTTTGTGAACTTTTAAAGGAAATTACTACAGAAGGTCAAGTTCAGGTGCTCAAGGTATTGTGATCATTTTAAATGAATATATTTATGAATTTTTCATTTATATTTTATGAAATTGGACTTTCATTTGGATGGTTCGCAAGAAGGAGAAGAGTTGATATAGTTCTAGACAGGCTATTTTGGCAGTTTTCAGTTGGTTTAATACCTGTGGACCAGAGGTCTCAAATCTGAAGGTGCATACACCTTCAACAGGCAAGAGATCAACTGGACATCTTATAAAAATTCAATTCTGGATTTCTAACAAGGTCTGAACTGATTGGGATGTTGCCTATCTTGAGACCTCACTTTGGGTAGTAAGGATTTAAAAACTCTTGTAAATTATCCAGTGATGTGATATCTGATACTTCTTATTCTTTCATTTTGTTAGTCTGCTGTTGGGACAAAGTTTTCACGTTATAATTTGATAGCTTTAATTTAAGTTGGCTATCAAAATTAGAATACCACGTTTGTTGATATTCTGTAATTATGAACTAACAGTCTCTAAGTTGTATATTATCTTTATATATTATACCTGTCTATTAAAGATATAAATAGTATTAAATGTATATATTTACATATAAACATAAATGTATGTAGAAATATATTAAAATATCTTTATGTATGGACTTTGAGAGAAGGTGTAGCTGTTAAAAGTACCCCTATTTGGGTGCAGCAAACCAACACAGCACATGTATACATACGTAACAAACCTGCACGTTGTGCACATGTACCCTGGAACCTAAAGTATAATAAAATAAATATAAAATTGATTAAAAAAAAGTACCTTTATTTTTAGTGTTGAGGTTCTCAGCTATGTTCTAAGATATGAGAGCTGAATTTCTATCACAACAAAGTAGCATTATGGTGTGAAAATCGTGGCATTGCTTTAGAGCCTAAAAATGATTTCACTTCCTCCCAGTGAAATGAAAGAGGTTACCCAAAGAGGTTTGCTTACAGAAGTGCACTTAGGTAATCAGAGTAACTGCAGCAAGAATCCAAAGTGTACTTTAGGATCTAAGTGAGTAAAAGTTTGCACAGATAATGAAGTCTTACTTCATAACTGATATGGTTAGGCTTTGTGTCCCCACCCAAATCACCCCATGATCAAGGGGATTGTAGGGATTACTGCCCCCTGATTAGTTATCTCTACCTGGTCTCCTGAGTCAAGGGAATCCTGGGGATGGTTTTCCCCATGTTGTTCTCATGATAGTGAGTCCTCACGAGATCTGATTGTTTTATAAGGGCCTCCTCCCGCTTCGCTCAGCACTTCTTCCTGCTGCCCTGTGAAGAAGATGCCTTGCCTCCCTTTCACCTTCTGCCTTGATTGTAAGTTTCCTGAGGCCTCCCCAGCTATGCTGAACTGTGACTCAATTAAACCTCTTTCCTTTATAAATTACCCAGTCTCAGGCAGTTCTTTATAGCAGTATGAAAATTGACTCATACATTAACCAGTAAGATACCATCTAGATTTGCGTAAGCACAGTCTATGACGTTTGCACAACAGTGAAATCGCCTAATGACACATTTCCCAGAACATATCCCTGTTGATAAGTGGTGCATGACTGTGTTTTTATTCACTGTCGTAACTCTGCTAGCATGAATCAGGCGAATATAGTGTTAAGTACTGCAGTGAAGTGAACAGGAGTAAGGAGAGAAATGCTGTTAGGATTGTCTGCTGAGCATGGGGATTTACATTTTAAAACTAACATTTAAAACGTATTTTTGTGTCTGTAAATTGGAAGGGTCATCTGCCAGATTATTGAAGTATTAAATTATAGATTGATGAGAAAAGGAAGGAGCTTAAGGAGATCAGTAAGGACTGTATTAGTTTCCTAGGGATGCTGTAACAAAATACCACAACCTTGGTGGCTTAAAACAAGAGTTTCTTTATAATACTTATGTTAATTATATAATTAAAAAAATCAGTGTTTGCAGGGCCTTGCTCTTTCTGAAGGGTCTAGGGGGAGAATCTGTTCCAAGCCTTTCTCTTACCTTCTGGTGATTGCAGGCAGTCTTTTGCGTTCCTTGGTTTGTAGATACGTAATCCTGCCATCTGTGCTTCCGCTGTCACATGATGTTCTCCTGGTATCTGTCTGTGTCTCTGTTTTGTTTTTGTTGTTGCAGGGACAAAAGTCATAATTGATTAAGGGCATTCCCTAATATCTTCATCTTACCTTGATTACATCTGGGATACGGCAGAACTCTTTGGCTTTAATTTTTTAGCTTATTAGTTTCTTTTTTAGAGCAAGGGGTTTACTAAAGGGTGAGAATATAAGCCACTGTTACCAAAGAATCATGTGGGCTCTAAAGGACTTGTAATAACAGTAATCTGTGCTTGTGGCTTGTTGAGACCCTGGATACTTGAGGCCTGGTTTATTGGACTAGTCTATTAATCCACATTTATTATTAATTTCAAAGTATTCTCCTAGCTCCAAAGCTTACAAGTAACATCAAACATGTTGCTTACTAAAATGCCTTTATGAATTTTTATTGCATTTATGCCTTTATTAAACTGACACAGTGGCAATATAAGTATATTAAGGAACTCAGTCTTATACAATTTCAGCTTCAGCTTTTGCTTTGGTGATAAATTCTTCTCTGGAGGTAAGAGGAAGTAAGGAATTAATACGTTGGACTTAATTCTGACTATTTGAGGAAAAAGTGATTGGTGATGTGGGAGTGATTAAAACAAGTGAAAATTGCCATGTCATTTTGATATTATTGTCTTTACAGATTTTTTTCTGTATGTATGCCTGTTTTAACCTTTCTCCTCTATTATACTGAGCTTCTCCATTATCCAAAGTTCAGTAAATGTGTGCTCTGTTTGCTCTGAATACATATATAGTAAGTGACTTGAAAGACAAGGAATCCATAATTTTTATGTTGAAGATGTGATCTCGACTATACTGAGGATCCATTTGGGATTCTCTGCTTGACCAGTCCCTTGGTTTGCGTATGCTGCCCTGCTACTTTTATGGCTCCTGAGTATACTTTGGTCTTCATTTTCCTCAGTTATTAGATGAGGAGTGATACTAAATGATTTTTATTCTGTAATAGGCAGTACCTGAAATTCTCCATGTTAAATTGTAATATATGTATTCTAAGTGATTAAGAAAAGAGGTGATTTCTCACATTTAAACACTTCCCAGACCAAATTTGAATTGACCTTACCCCCATCCCCCTCTTTTGGCTTTTCTGCAACAATATTGTTAAAGTAATTGTTGAAAGACAACTTGTGGATTATTTGGAATGGCCATTGTGATTCTACTTGTTTTTAATTATACTCTTACCACATTATTAGAGGGAGCGTAGCATAGCAGGTAAGACTACACACTGAAGGGAGACTTCCAGGGTTAGAACATTGGCTCTGCTACTTCACAGCTATGTGATGTGGACAGATTAGTCTTTGTTCCTCATTTTCCATCTGTAACATGGGGATGATAACTTTACCTACTTCCTAGAGTTGATGTGAGGAATACTTGAGCTTATATATATAAACAGTTATAGCAATGCCAAGCATGTAATAAGTGAATATAAGAGCTGGCTGTTTTTATGTAATATATAGCTGTCTCATTATTTAGTCTCTCTATGGGGGGAAATAGGCTACTATAATTTTAGGCAAAATAATTTGGCTGTAGAGAAACAAACCAAGTTGTTCCACTTTACTCTTTGACCATTTATTTGAAATAAATACTTAAGTACATTAATTAAATTTACTTTTAAAACTAAGCAAGTTGTTTATACAATGATGGTATATTATTAGCAAGAACTGCATATTTCAGCTGGCTCTTTAAAATAATTAATAATTGTATTTTGGTCGCCAGGTGCCGTGGCTCAGGCCTGTAATCCCAGCACTTTGGGAGGCTGAGGTGGGCGGATCACCTGAGGTTGGGAGTTTGAGACCAGCCTGACCAACATGGAGAAACCCTGTCTCTACTAAAAATACAAAATTAGCCGGGCATGGTGCCACATGCCTGTAATCCCAGCTACTTGGGAGGCTGAGGCAGGGTGATCGCTTGAACCCGGGAGGCAGAGGTTGTGGTGAGCCGAGATGACGCCATTGCACTTCAGCCTGGGCAACAAGAGCGAAACGCTGTCTCAAAAAAAAAAAAAAAAATTGTATTTTGACCAGGCGTGGTGGCTCACGCCTGTAATCCTAACACCTTGGGAGGCTGAGGCAGGCGGATCACTTGATCTCAGGAGTTTGAGACTAGCCTGAGCAACATGGTGAGGCCCCGTCTTTACAAAAAAATACAAAAATTAGCTGAGCATGGTGGTGTGTGCCTGTAATCCTAGCTACTCAGGAGTCTGAGGTGGGAGGATCTCTTGAGCCTGGGGGTTGGAGGCTGCAGTGAGCTGAGATTGTGCCACTATACTCCAGCCTAGACAATAGAGTGAGACCCTGTTTCAAAAAAAAAAAGAAGAAAATTAATTGTATTTTATTTTATTTTTTTTGGCTGCTCAGAATAACACAATCTTTTTAAACATTTTTATTATTGAAAATTCCAAACTAACTTACTGCATATCAAAAATCTATAGTCAAATATGTAGTCATTATTTTTGTAACGTTTAATATGTTACAGATTAAGGCAATTTCTCTGTAAGTATGCCAACAGTAGGTTATGATTAGGATACAGATACTTGAATTAACAAATTTGGAGCCAGAGATGGTGGTGTTTGCCTTTAATCCTATCTACTTCAGAGACTGAGGTTATAAAATCACTTAAGCTGAGGAGTTTGATTCCAGCCTTCTGCACAACATGACAAGACTGCATCTCTCTTTTTTATTTCTTTTTATTTTTTTTATTTTTTTATTTTTTTAAGATGGAGTTACGCTCTTGTTGCCCAGGCTGGAGTGCAATGGCGTGATCTCGGCTCACCACAACCTCAAAAAAAGAAAAAGAATGAAAAATTGAGAATCTGATAGTATGTGTTTAAGATGGTATTTTTATACGAATATTGCTGTAGCTAAATCTGTATGTTTGGTTTAAAAATCTCAGAAACTAGATTTTATTATTTAATAAATGGATGTTAAATCCTAAATATGTTCATTATGAATAAATTATATTTTTATGTTAAGGAATATTTTAGGACAATAGTGCTTTCATTTTACTGCTATATTTGAAGGCTGGGCAAACTCAAAATTTTTGGCGTTTTCCTGTTCTTAGAGTTCTAGTATAGCAATAACAATAGTTTTTAATATTAGCTCATTTTCGTTTTTAGTATCTCTCATACCATTTCTTAATATAGTATGTTATATAACATTTTAAATATATTTTTTACTAAATGTCATTGTTATACTAATTTTTGACAGTGTCTGCAAGTAATTTCTTTGTTCTTTGAAGCAGAAAGTTACAATGTTAGGAAAATTGGATAGAGAGACCAGTATGCCTGCTTTTGGAGCAAATGGTGTAGAGCAAAGGATACGCTTTACTTTATTTTGTGACTGAACATGTTATCTAGAGGAATGTAATTATAAAATACTCTAAATTGTTAACATTTCTCATATTTGAAATTTGTCAATATTACAGCCGTACTACTATGACTTTTTGAATTCTCATTCTGGTCATGGTCATATTAAGCAATGTTAAGCCAAGTTTCTTTTTTTCACTGTGATTAGACTTAAGATGACACAAATATTTTTAAGGTGTAACTTATTGTGTAATAATAATAGCTCATACTAGCATTTAACATATGCTACATATTCTAAGCATGTAAAACATAGATGTTATTTAATCCTTACATAAACATATAATGATAGTACTGCTCTTTTCCCCAGTCTTACAGATGAGAAATTAAATCACAAAGTGGTGAATAATTTTTTCAAGGCCACTCAGTAAGCATTGGAACCATGATATAACACAAGCATTTTGACTTTAGGATCCATGCGTTTAATCACTTTGTATGCAGTGTAGGCCTAAGTCAAGTAAATTGAATCCTGCATTTTTCACAAAAGTTTTAAGAACACAGTCTGTTTCAGAAGGAATGGTACCAGCTCCTCCTTGTACCTCTGGTAGAATTCGGCTGTGAATCCGTCTGATCCTGGAGTATTTTTGGTTGGTAGGCTATTAATTGTTGCCTCAATTTCAGAGCCTGTTATTGGTCTATTCAGGGATTCAACTTCTTCCTGGGTTAGTCTTGGGAGGGTGTATGTGTCCAGGAATTTATCCATTTCTTCTAGATTTTCTAGTTAATTTGCATAGAGATGTTTATAATATTCTCTGATGGTGGTTTGTGTTTCTGTGCGATCGGTAGTGATATCCCCTTTAACATTTTTTATCACGTCTGTTTGATTCTTCTCTCTTTTCTTCTTTATTAGTCTTGCTAGTGGTCTATCAATTTTGTTGATCTTTTCAAAAAACCAGCTCCTGGATTTATTGATTTTTTGAAGGGTTTTTTGTGTCTCTATTTCCTTCAGTTCTGCTCTGATCTTAGTTACTTCTTGCCTTCTGCTAGCTTTTGAATGTGTTTGCTCTTGCTTCTCTAGTTCTTTTAATTGTGATGTTAGGGTGTCAATTTTAGATCTTTCCTGCTTTCTCCTGTGGGCATTTAGTGCTATAAATTTCTGTCTACACGCTGCTTTAAATGTGTCCCAGAGATTCTGGTATGTTGTGTCATTGTTCTCGTTGGTTTCAAAGAACAGCTTTATTTCTGCCTTCATTTCGTTATGTACCCAGTAGTCATTCAGCAGCAGGTTGTTCAGTTTCCATGTAGTTGAGCGGTTTTGAGTGAGTGAGTTTCTTAATCCTGAGTTCTAGTTTGATTGCACTGTGGTCTGAGAGACAGTCTCCAATCAATAGAAAAAGAGGGAATCCTCCCTAACTCATTTTATGAGGCCAACATCATCCTGATACCAAAGCCTGGCAGAGACACAACAACAAAAGAGAATTTTAGACCAATATCCCTGATGAACATCAATGCAAAAATCCTCAATAAAATACCGTCAAACCGAATCCAGCAGCACATCAAAAAGCTCATCCACCATGATCAAGTGGGCTTCATCCCCGAGATTCAAGGCTGGTTCAACATACACAAATCAATAAATGTAATCCAGCATATAAACAGAACCAAAGACAAAAACCACATGATTATCTCAATAGATGCAGAAAAGGCCTTTGACAAAATTCAGCCCTTCATGCTAAAAACCCTCAATAAATTCGGTATTGATGGGATGTATCTCAGAATAATAAGAGCTATTTATGACAAACCCACAGCCAATATCATACTGAATGGGCAAAAACTGGAAGCATTCCCTTTGAAAACTGGCACAAGGCAGGGATACCCTGTCTCACCACTCCTATTCAACATAGTGTTGGAAGTTCTGGCCAGGGCAATCAGGTAGGAGAAAGAAATCAATGATATTCAATTAGGAAAAGAGGAAGTCAAATTGTCCCTGTTTGCAGATGACATGATTGTATATTTAGAAAACCCCATCATCTCAGCCCAAAATCTCCTTAAGCTGATAAGCAACTTCAGCAAAATCTCAGGATACAAAATCAATATGCAAAAATCACAAGCATTTTTATACACCAATAACAGACAGAGAGCCAAATCATGAGTGAACTCCCATTCACAGTTGCTTCAAAGAGAATAAAATACCTAGGAATCCAACTTACAAGGGATGTGAAGGAGCTCTTCAGGGAGAACTACAAACCACTGCTCAACGAAATAAAAGAGGACACAAACAAATGGAAGAACATTCCATGCTCATGGATAGGAAGAATCAATATCGTGAAAATGGCCATACTATCCAAGGTAATTTATAGATTCAGTGCCATCCCCATCAAGCTACCAATGACTTTCTTCACAGAATTGGAAAAAAACTACTTTAAAGTTCATATGGAACCAAAAAAGAGCCTGCATTGCCAAGACAATCGTAAGCCAAAAGAACAAAGCTGGAGGCATCATGCTACCTGACTTCAAACTATACTACAAGGCTACATTAACCAAAACAGCATGGTACTGGTACCAAAATAGAGATATAGACCAATGGAACATAACAGAGTCCTCAGAAATAATACCACACAGCTACAACCATCTGATCTTTGACAAACCTGACAAAAACAAGCAATGGGGAAAGGATTCCGTATTTAATAAATGGTGCTGGGAAAACTGGCTAGCCATATGTAGAAAGCTGAAACTGGATCCCTTCCTTACACCTTATACAAAAATTAATTCAAGATGGATTAAAGACTTAAGTGTTAGACCTAAAACCATAAAAACCCTAGAAGAAAACCTAGGCAATACAATTCAGGACATAGGCATGGGCAGGGACTTCATGTCTAAAACACCAAAAGTAATGGCAACAAAAGCCAACCTTGACAAATGGTATCTAATTAAACTAAAGAGCGCTTCTGCACAGCAAAGGAAACTACCATCAGAGTGAACAGGCAACCTACAGAATGGGAGAAAATCTTTGCAACCTACTCATCTGACAAAGGGCTAATATCCAGAATCTACAAAGAACTCAAACAAATTTACAAGAAAAAAACAACCCCATCAAAAAGTGGGTGAAGGATATGAACAGACACTTCTCAAAAGAAGACATTTATGCAGCCAACAGATACATGAAAAAATGCCCATCATCACTGGCCATCAGAGAAATGCAAATTAAAACCACAATGAGATACCATCTCACACCAGTTAGAATGGCAACCATTAAAAAGTCAGGAAACAACAGGTGCTGGAGAGGATGTGGAGAAATAGGAACACTTTTACACTGTTGGTGGGACTGTAAACTGGTTCAACCATTGTGGAAGACAGTGTGGCAATTCCTCAAGGATCTAGAACTAGAAATACCATTTGGCCCAGCCGTCCCATTACTGGAGATATACCCAAAGGATTATATATCATGCTGCTATAAAGACACATGCACACGTATGTTTATTGCAGCACTATTCACAATAGCAAAGACTTGGAACCAACCCAAATGTCCATCTATGATAGACTGGATTAAGAAAATGTGGCACATATACACCATGGAATACTATGCAGCCATAAAAAATGATGAGTTTATGTCCTTTGTAGGGACATGGATGAAGCTGGAAACCATCATTCTGAGCAAAGTATCGCAAGGATAGAACACCAAACACCACATGTTCTCACTCATAGATGGAAATTGAACAATGAGAATACTTGGACACAAGAAGGGGAACATCACACACTGGGGCCTGTCGTAGGGTTGGGGGAGTGGGGAGGGATAGCATTAGGAGATATACCTAATGTAAATGACGAGCTAATGGGTGCAGCACACCAACATGGCACATGTATACATATGTAACAAACCTGCACGTTGTGCACTTGTACCCTAGAACTTGAAGTATATAAAAAAAAAACCACACACACACAATCTGTTGCAGGTGTATTTCGAAAGGGAATGGGTTTAAACTAAAGTGCAAAAGTTCTTTTTGTAATAACAAAATGTTGTCAAAAAACAATTAGTAATAGGTAATTGGATGATTGAAGTACCACACCTTGTCCAGTTACACAGTGGAGTACTGTGCATTCCATTAAAAAGAAATGAAGAAAATCGCTATATGAGTTTGAGAATATAAGTAAGGAGCATTGTCTCTAGTTTTCTTCTGTTTAAAAAGTAGAAGGCAGTGGAAGAATAAACCAGGTAATTAAAGTAGCTATCTAGCAAAAAGAGGAGGAGAGGGTGAAACTAGATCTGTCAGGATGTATATCTGTTTTATATTTTAGAGTTTGGAACCATGTAGAGGTAAAGCATGATTTAGGGGGAAAAATAAAAACAATTCCTAAAGATACAAAAGAGACTGAAACATTTGAATCTAACTGTTACGATGTTGGTGGCACAGCTATTTGAGAAGAATATTTCAAGTCATTTTAATACATAGTATTTCACATGTACATCCCTGGTGGGATGTAACGTTACAAAAAAAGTAAGTTTGTAATTACATTCAGTAGTATTATTGTCATCAGTAATATTGGTATTGTTATTTTGAAACTCATATGTGTATATGAATAGTAGATAGAAATAAGGTTATAGGACCTGGCATTTTTCACTATAAGAGAAATAATATCGGACCATTTCATATGGATTTCCCACAGGCACCTCAAATTCGTCATGTCAGAGTGGAATGTCATCATTATTACTGACATCACAATTGTACCCATTTGACCAAACAGGAAAGCTAGAAGCAGTGAAAGACTTTTTCACCTTTGGTCCACTGTTCAGCTTTTCTATATGTTGCCAGTTCTAGTTCTGAATTTTCTCTTGATTCTGTCCCATACCCTCTGCACCCAAGTCTGATAATGGTATTTTTCTTTCAGAAACTCTCATCTTCTCTAGCTACGGTTCCAGACCTTTTAGACCACAAAAACTCTGTTTTATCCCTGAAATATTTGTGTATACGACTATGTTATTTATTTACTCAATCAGATACTGCTTTATGTGGGGATTATTTAATCCTTACATTAATTCTAAGTACTCCCTTGCCACAACCCCCTCCTCCCTGCTGCTAAATAAAACTGTAAAGATTCCTATGGATTGGGGCCAGCCACAGCTATGTATTATTACTATAAATTCTCTTCAAACCCTTTTGTTTTTAAAATTTTAACCAGAATTTTATATGACATAGTTTAGAGTCAACTAGATAGATATATAAGGTTTCTTAAAGAAAAAAACTGTAGACACCTGTCTTTCTGCCATTTTTCCTTGCTCAGAGACAACCACTTTTAGTGCTTGTAGCCAATTGATTCTTTTGTATCTATGTTCAGATCTGTAAATAACACCCCTGTGTTGTTCCTTCATGAGTTGTTAATTGTAGGCAGTATGTATTGATACTGCCTTTGCACTTCCTCTGTGCCTTCATCCTCCAAGTAATCAAAATTCAGTGTTTACGTCATGATTCCTCTATTTCTTCTTCAAAGCTGAGACATGTAGTCAGCTGTGATTACTTCTCCTTTTCTGTACAATCTTTTGTATTCTCTGGAAGTAATACTTACCTTTTTTTGGTATAATTTTTTTATGTTCACTAAACTGTCTGACAGATGTCCAATATGTTCAGACACATCAAGGATTCTGTTACTTTAATTTTCTTGAGGAAGTCTCTTCAGAGCCATGCTGACTCCCACCTTGGGGCTCTTTCTTTTCCAAGTTTGTAGCTGCTGCTGCTTGTTCCTGTTGTTATGAAATTTTAGAATGAGGTGCCGTAATGTAAGTTTATTTAAATGCATTCCATTGGGCACTGATGGGCTCTTATAGTCTGGAAGCAATCTCTTTTAGACTCTTTAGAGAAAATACACTCTCTTCGTTCTCCTGGATTGGGCATCAGTTGTCCAGATACTACAGAGTTGAAAATATCTAGCACTCTGTTTCTTAGACAGACTTTCAACCAGTCTTATTTTCTTTCTTCTTATTTTTAGCTTCCCCTTTCTCCTTCCCAAAAGTATAAGATTCTGCTACTTTCTGTGTTTTTTGGAGTGGAGAAGGGGAGAAGTTATATGAAGTAAATCTGGTTGCTTCTGTCAGCTTTCTCCTTTGACACCTTGGGATTCAGCTTTCTCTGACTTGAGTCAGTTTCCTCTTGAATTTCTTTCTTGCTTTCAGTGTTTGTTTCTCATTCCTCTTGTCTTTTTAAAATTATGCTCCCCCTCTTAAAATTTTTTTTCTGTAATTTTAGTAGGGTTTTAGATGGGAGTGAAATTATACATGTATTTAATAATGGGCAGGTGGTCTTACTTTCTACTCACAGATAAATACTGTCTGGTGATATCTGCCTCTGTGACTCTCTCGGTCTACTAGCTTATCTGTATATTTTCCATGTTTATCTTTTTTCCCAGATCTAGTTGTGTTTTTGTTTTTTGTTTTTTGTTTTTTCAAAAAAGTAAACTTGAGATAAAATTTTATTGTTTCAAATTTTATCTCCTCTTGCTTTTAATGAGGAATTGATATCTTGTATACCTGTATCTTTTAGTAGTAGCATACATAGTGCTTGCCACACAGTATAGTGTTTATATTTTTAATCTTTTATTTGGACCTTACCTTCACTTCTTGCTCAAAATTAGAGCAGCAACAAATGTTGTTATCAACCATGGATGCTATCTGCTTACCTTGGGACTGTTTCGAAATGCTTGGAAGTATTCTTGATGGTCGTAATTTTTGGAGTACACTATTGGCACACAGTAAGCAGACACTGGAAGATGCTAAATCTCCCTCCATGCATGGGATGACTGTAAATGGTTCTCTTCATACAAAATGTCAGTAGTCCATCTTGAGAAGCATTAATGGAAGTCATAAGGGAAACTTGGCTTTACCCTGAGGCTGTTCCTTGCCCATAACCCTCTCAGATGGTATCTGTTTCCTTCCCCACCTCTCAAGCACTTAGGCTGGAAGTGTGGGGTAAATGTCCTTCTTGGTCCTTTTTGCTGTTTCGTGACCACTGCATTCTTCTCTTCCTAAATATTAAAACAAAAATAAACAAACTCCACCCTGCTTTGAATTTCATGCTTACCCATTTTTGTTGTAAAAGAAACATCTCACTCATATCAAAATAATTTTTAGTCAAGTTTTCACATGTAACAATCAATACTCATGACTGATCTGTATAATTATGAATGAAATATGATTTCTAATTTAATAAATATGCAGTATATATGCCACATGCCCTTTTTCCTCCAATTTATTGATTAACTTAAATGTAGATTTATTTCTAGGCAGTGAGTATAGGTGTTACTAACTTCCTGTTTAGCTATCAAAAAGCCAATGTTTTAAAAATGCTTTTTGCTGCCTCTATTAGTGC
The DNA here is from genome assembly GCF_000001405.40 of Homo sapiens. Classification (NCBI taxonomy): domain Eukaryota; kingdom Metazoa; phylum Chordata; class Mammalia; order Primates; family Hominidae; genus Homo; species Homo sapiens. The sequence goes on from NC_000005.10 coordinate 62,550,036, forward strand.
ATCATTTTTAAGGGTTATTTGTTTACATTGCAAGGGTAAGAATTACATTAACTGCATGTGATACCTATGTTATTACAATGTGATTAAATACAGTTGTATGCAAGATATATAGCTGTGTGTAAATATTATATACTTCATATCAAACTGCAATTTTAAAATGGATTATCTTGTAAAAGTGTGTCTAGTGTCAGAATATTGCATACCCTGCATACGTGTATGCATTCTTAAATTTGGTCTGTGATACTTATTTTAGTACATTGTTTCCTTACATGTGTTTTTCATAAAGCAATGACTTGCAGTATTATCACCAATCTTTCTTTCTGGTTTTTAGGTTGTGGAAAATGCCCTTAAAGTGAACCCAATACTAGGTCCACAAATGTTTCAACCGATTTTACCCTATGTTTTCAAGGGTATTATAGAAGGGGAGGTAAGATTTTTCTTTAAGTTCCAAAGGTAGTGTTAGACTATAGGATTCTAGTTTTAATTACTCTGTTAGATACAGAAGGAAAGCTTTTCTTGTCATTTGGATCATATTAAATTATGTTAAATTTTCAGGGCGGTTAGACACCTTTGCCTTTTCCTGTTCCACACAGGGAAGCATAGATTTTCTTTGACATGTGTCTTTCAAACATATGCATGTATGTTCACACAAAAATCATTTGAAGTACAGGAATGGTGAGTGGCTTAATTCCAATGCTTGACTACTAAGAATATGAGGGGGACAAAATAGTATTAATGTTCTTATAGACTGAATATGTTAAACCACTGGTTATTTTCTAAGAACAGCTCTCTTAAATAGATCCATGGACCTGTGTATGTTATGAGTATTTAAAGTAATATAGTACCAGGAGGCAGAGGTTGCAGTGAGCCGAGATTGCGCCGCTGCACTCCAGCCTGGGTGACAGAGTGAACTCCATCTCAAAAAAAAAAAAAAAGTAATAAAGTAATATATGAAATTGATAAATAGTATTTTTCTCTTTATTGTATATATATATATATATATGGTGCATATAATTCATATATGTATTTAGTAAGTTAGAACTCAGGCAGTATTGATAGTTCATTCTAAAGAGAAGTAACATGGAGGAGAATGTTATTTTATATCCCTGTTGCTTGTTACTGTGTCAGTGATTGTTTTTACTTGTACCATAACACAATTTTACATGTGTTGTATTTTAATTGTACAGAGGTATCCTGTAGTGATGTCCACGTATCTTGGAGTTATGGGTCGAGTTCTACTACAAAACACTAGTTTTTTTTCTTCACTACTTAATGAGATGGCCCATAAATTTAATCAGGAGGTAAGAATCAATATACTTAAATTTAAGGAAGTCTTTATCTAAATATAAATTAGAAATAGTTTGATGAAATAATGAGTCTTTGTAAAAGTCGCTTTGTAGTATTTAGACCTTTACATTTTAAATCTTTATTTATGCTGTATCAATAATTTGGGGTAGAAAAAGAATCTGTAAGTGGCACTTGAAACTTATACATTTTTGTCCTCGCTCAAAATAGGTGATTTTATTCTGCTTAGCCTAGAATATAATGTTGATTTGTTTATAGCTGCTGTTTTTCTTCACTGATACAGAATCTGGAAACGGGTATTTTGCATGTAGTGATGTATCATCTTTGTATTACTTCTTTAGTTAACTTATTTTTTAATGCCACAGATTGAGAGTATTTCTGTTCTGTTTATTGTGGAAAATGACCTTTTTAGCAAAGGTTTATTTTTAAAAATTGTAGTTGATATCTGTTACCAGAGTAAGTTTGGAATAGGTTTTTTAGTGAGGTGATTTAAGACTATATATGGCCAGGTGCGGTGGCTCACGCCTGTAATCCCAGCACTTTGGGAGGCTGAGGTGGGTGGATCACGAGGTCAGGAGATCGAGACATCCTGGCTAACACAGTGAAACCCCATCTCTACTAAAAATACAAAAAATTAGCCCGGCGCGGTTGCGGGCACCTGTAGTCCCAGCTACTTGGGAGGCTGAGGCAGGAGAATGGCGTGAACCCGGGAGGCAGAGCTTGCAGTGAGTGGAGATCATGCCACTGCACTCCAGCCTGGGCGACAGAGAGAAACTCTGTCTCAAAAAAGAAAAAAGAAAAAAGACTATATATGAGATATTCAAATAAGATTATGCTGTAAGTCATTAATCTGTTAAGATTTATAAGATGTTGAAGATATGGTATACTTGACGAATATATCTACAATGGAGACAATTTTTTAAAATCTTTTGGTTTATGGCTGAAAACAAATATAACTATTTCTAATACAAGGAAATCCAGAATAAGGAAGTACAAATTTTAAAATATATGTAGCTTTTCTAGAATTAGACTAATCTAATTAGAGATCCCAACCCTTGTTTTGATAAATAAATAGGGTATATTTTTATTAGCTTATTAATTTTAATTGAAATGGGGTAATATATATTTTTTAGTTTTTTTTTTTTTTTTAAAGTAGAGATGAGGTCTTGCTATATTTTCCAAGCTGTTCTCAAATTTCTGAGCTCAAGTGATCTTCCCACCTTGGCCTCCCAAAGTGCTGAGATTACAGGATAACTAAAAATATTTAAGAACATAAGAGAGGAAATTAAAATTACCCAGAGGAAACATCAGGATGCCATTACTATGTATTTACTTTCTTGTTTCCATGAGGGGCCTGGTCATGTTTCCAACATTTCTTGAAATATATGTCCTTCTTCCCTTGCATTAGTTCATGAAGATTCAGTCTGAGATCACAATGAGTAAATATTTAATCACCAAAGTCATGGATTAATCTCTTAAAAATTTTTTTAATTGACACATAATAGTTGTAGACATTTATGGAGTACATAGTGCTATTTCTATACATACAGCATATAGTGATCAAATCAGGGTAATTGACATATCTGTCACCCCAAACACTTACTATTTCTCTGTATTGGGAACATACAACAGCCTCCTTCTAACTATTTGAAACTATATATTACTGTTAACTGTAGTTATCCTGCAGTGCTATATAGAACACTAGAACTTATTCCTCCTATCTATGTGTGATTTTTTTATCTTTTAACCAATATCTCTCTCTCTCCTCACTTTCCCCTTACCTTTCCCAGTCTAGTAACCACTATTCTACTTTCTGCTTCTTTGAGGTCATCTTTTTTAGCTTCTACATGTAAGTGAGAACACGTAGTATTTCTCTTTCTGTTCCTGGCTTATTTCACTTAACATAAGGCTCTCTAGCCTCACTCATGTTGCCATGAATGACAGGAATTCATTCTTTTTTGAGGTCGAATAGTATTCGTGTGAGTGTGTGTGTGTGTGTGTGTGTGTGTGTGTGTGTGTGTGTGATATTTTCTGTATCCATTCATCTGTAGATGGGTGCCTAGGTTAATTCCATATCTTGGCTATTCTGAACAGTGCTGTAATAAACATGAGGGAGCAGGTATCTTTTCAATACAATGATTTCCTTTCTTTTGGAGATGTATATATCCAGTAGTGAGATTGCTGGATCATACGATAGTTCAATTTGTAGTTTTTTGAGGAAACTCATATTGTTCTCCATAATGGCTACACTAGTTTACATTCCCACCAGTAGTGCCTGAGTTCCCTTTGCTCTACATCCTTTCCAGCATTTTTTTTTTTTTGCCTTTTTGATAATAGCCATTCTAACTGGAGTGAGATGATATCTCATTGTGGTTGTGATTTGCATTTCCCTGATGACTAGTGATGTTGACCTTTTTTTTGTTTGTTTTTGAGACAGAGTCTCACTCTGTCACCCAGGCTGGAGTGCAGTGGCACGATCTCGGCTTACTGCAACCTCTGCCTCCCGGGTTCAAGTGAATCTCTCGCCTCAGCCTCCCAAGTAGGTGGGATTACAGGCACCTACCACCCCGGCTGGCTATGGGATTTCACCATGTTGGCCAGACTCATCTCGAACTCCTGACCTCAGGTGATCTGCCCGCCTCGGCCTCCCAAAGTGCTGGGATTACAAGTGTGAGTCACTGCGCCTGGCAGATGTTGACCATTTTTTCATGTACCTGTTGGCCATTCGTATGTCTTCGTTTGAGAGCTGTTTATTCAGATAATTGTTCTACTTTTAAAATGGATTATTATTTTTATTTAGCTGTTGTTTGAGTTTCTTGTGTATTTCGGATAGTAATCCTTTGTTGGATATATAATTTGCAACTATTTTCTCCCACCCTGTGGGATGTTCTTTTACTCTGTTGTTGGTTGCTTTTGTCATATAGAAGCTTTTTAGTTTGATAGAATCCCATTTGTCTATTTTTCCTTTTGTTGCCTATGTTTTTGAGGTTTTATTAGTAAAATCTTTTCCCTGACCAGAGTCCTGGAGTGTTTTCCTTATGTTTTCTTCTAGTAATCTTATAGTTGTGGGTCTCACATTTTAAGTCTTTAGTTCATCTAGAGTTGATTTATGTATATCACGAGAGGTAGGGATCTAGTTTTGTTCTTCTGCATATGGATATCCAGTTTTTCTGGCACCATCGTTGAAGTAACTGTTTTTTCCCCATAAATATTCATGCTATCTTTTTCTTAAATCAGTTGGCTGTAAATGTATGGATTTATTTCTGGGTTCTCTGTTCTATTGGTCTGTGTGTGTTTTTATGCTGGTACCATGCTATTTTGGTTACTGTATTTGTAGTATATATACTGTATTTGTTATACAGACACACACTTTTTTGGGGGGGTGGGGGTGGGGAGACAGAGTCTAGCTCTGTGGCCCAGGCTGGAGTGTAGTGGCAGAATCTTGGCTCACTGCAACCTCTGCTTCCCAGGCTCAAGCAGTTCTCCTGACTCAGCCTCCCCAGTAGCTGGGCTTACAGGCACACACCACCATGTCTGGCTAATTTTTGTATTTTAGTAGAGATGAGGTTTCACCATTTTGGCCAGGCTGGTCTCAAACCCCTGACCTCAAGTGATCCACCTGCACTGGACTCCCAAAGTACTGGGATTACAGGCATGAGCCGCTGCACCCAGCTTATGTAATATATTTTGAAATCTGGTGGTGTGATGCCTCTAGCTTTGTTCTTTTTGCTCAGCATTGCTTTGGCTATTTGGGATTTTTTTATGGTCCCATACAAATTTTTTTTTCTATCTCTTTGAAGGATGTAATTGGTATTTTGATAGGGATTGCATTGAATCTGTAGATTGCTTTGGGTAGTATGGCCATTTTAATAGTATTAATTTCACCAATTCACGAACATGGTGTGTCTTTTTTTTTGTATTTTTTGTATTTTTTTTTTACTTTTTTATGTTTTTAAATTTTAAAAATTTGCTGTTTTATTTAAAAATTTTGAGAGACAGAGTCTCACTCCATCATCCAGGCTAGAATGCAGTGGCACAATCATAGCTCACTGCAACCGCAAACTCTTACTCAGGTGATCTTTTCACCTTAGCCTCCCAAGTAGCTGTGACTACAGATGCGTGCCACCACACCTGGCTAATTATTTATTTATTTATTTATTTATTTATTTATTTATTTATTTGAGACAGAGTCTTGCTCTGTCGCCCAGGCTGGAGTGCAGTGGTGCAGTCTCGGCTCGCTGCAAGCCCCGCCTCCCGGGTTCACATCGTTCTCCTGCCTCAGCCTCCCAAGTAGCTGCGACTACAGGTGCCTGCCACCACGCTCTGCTAATTTGTTGTATTTTTAGTAGAGACGGGGTTTCACCATGTTAGCCAAGATGGTCTTGATCTCCTGACCTCGTGATCCGCCTGCCTCGGCCTCCCAATGTGTTGGGGTTACAGGCATGAGCTACTGCGCCTGGCCCCACACCTGGCTAATTTTTAAAAATTTTTGTAGACATACAGCCTTGCATGTTGCCTAGGCTAGTCTTGAACTCCTGGTCTCAAGAGATACTCCTGCCCCTGTCTCACAAAGCACTGGAATTACTGGCATAAGCCACTGTGCCCAGCCACCTTCAGTTTTTTTTTAATCTAGTTTTTAATTAAGAAAAAGAAAATGTCATTTGGGTCCATATCAACATTTGATCTGATTAAATCCAAATGCAATCCAGTGTGATATTAAATCAGTTAAATGTAATTTAACATTGATATTTTTCTTTGGGCTGCTGTTAGCTTTAAAATATTGCATCATCATGCAAAAAAAATACATCTTATTGAGTAATTAAAATGGCTTAACTTTTGACAGGCATGTTGGCAGGCACCTGTAATCCCAGCTACTTGGGGGGCTGAGGCAGGAGAATTGCTTGAACCCAGGAGGCAGATGTTGCAGTGAGCTGAGATTGCACCACTGCTCTCCAGTCTGGGTGATAGAGTGAGACTCTGTCTCAAAAATAAGTAAATAAATAAAAATAAATAAAATGGCTTAGCTTTGCGTATCATATAATTAAAGCATCATATGAGGACTACTCCAGTTACTGCTTGGTAACTTTGAAAGCAAACACATTTTAAGGTTTCAGTGGCTGGGTGTGGTGGCACATGCCTTGTAATCACAGTGCTTTGAGAAGTCTAGGTGAGAGGATTGTTTGAAGCCAGGAGCTTAAGACCAGGCTGGGTAACAAAGCGAGACTCCATCTCTACAAAAACTAAAAATAAATAGAGCCCCAGAATTTGAGGCTGCACTTAGCTGTGATCACTGCACTCCAGACTGGGCAGCAGAACAGGATTCTGTCTCTAAAAAAAAGTTTAAATTTTTTTTAAACCAAAAAAATTAAAATGAGAATTTTTTTTTAAATGAAGTTTCAGTGATTTGGATATCACTTCCAAAACAACCTACTTTTTATTACTTCTCATTGTCCTTTACCTGCAATTTCCTTTCATCGTCTTTCCATCCTCTTTTATTTTTCCTTTCCTTGCTCTCCTAGTCTTGGATACTCCTTCCACCCCCAGATTCCTACTGTAATTGGTTTTGATTGTTTGTTTTGTGGCTTTTTTGTAGCTTGTGATTATTTTACAAAACTTCTACTTGATGAGGGCTCAGTATTCTTGTTAGATGTATTCACATGTCCAGCCCTTTCTAAAATCCCTTGGTACATCAGGATCCTGTCCCCTTGAATATCTTGGGTTTTCACCTCAGTCGCCTAGATCCCATTTGAATGCTTGGCCTCACTTGTGAGTGCCCCTCAATGTGTTATCTAAACATTATTGTCAGTGTCTCTATATCCTTGATAACAACTCTGGGATGGTCATGAGCTCTTTTTTTTTTGAGACGGAGTTTCAATCTTGTTGCCCAGGCTGGAGTGCAATGGCGCGATCTCAGCTCACTGCAACCTCCACCTCCCGGGTTCAAGTGATTCTCCTGCCTCAGCCTCCCAAGTAGCTGGGATTATAGGTGCACGCCACCAAGCCTGGCTAATTTTGTATTTTTAGTAGAGACAGCGTTTCTCCATGTTGGTCAGGCTGGTCTTGAACTCCCGACTTCAGGTGATCCACCCGCCTCGGCCTCCCAAAGTGCTGGGATTACAGGCATGGGCCACCATGCCTGGCATGAGCTCTTTCTTGCTTAGGAACTTAAAATATACCCCTGGTCTCTCACTTCCCATTGACATATCATTTGTTTTGACAGGAAATCAGTAATAGAAATGTAAGGGAAATACTGTTATTCCTCCATCTATAGGCTAGTGAGCTAATCCAGATCTTACAATGCCTATTTTTCCCTCTTTTTCTTCCCAGTTCTATATTGTTTTTATATCCACACTTCATTGTGCTGGTACCTAGAATACATTCCTTTCCAGAATGCTGTGTTCTTATTCTGGATTAGACATTTGGTCTTCTGGATTGGACAGCTGGTTTGATATTTTTCACGTTACACTGATGAGGTTTGACTGGTTCATATGTTTGCTGCACTGTCCGTACCCCAACTATGGCTGAAAAGAACTCTCAGCCCTCTCTTCTCTGCCTTCTCTCCTCAGGCTTTTACTTTTCAGTCTTTCACTCAGCCTTCTATTTTTTTTGTTTGTTTTTTCATTTGTTGAGCTAGAATTATAGTAAGTCACCTAGAACTTTATACCAAGGCTCAATGTACTGTGGTTTTAAAAGTGTGTTTTGAATCCTTGTTAAATTAATTATAAATTCTGCAGCCCAGAACTGATACTCAGCTGATAGATGTCAGTGTGGTCATACCAGTTGTTAAAATATTGACCTAAATCCTGCAAATTAGCAAACAGGGTAAAAAATGACTTTAATAAGTGTTATAATGAATAGTATAAATTTTACTGTAAAAAATTGAGCATTCCTTTTAAGTATTGTAAACACATGTTTTGAATCTGCAGGAGTACAGTGAAGAAATTTTTATCAGTAATAAACTATCAATAATAAGCTAGTTTAGAACATCATCTGGTATATTTAACAATTTTTGAAGTGTTCAAGAACTACGTAAATATAGGATTCAGTGCAAACTAAAATTAGTATTTATTCCTGGAATAAAGAAACTTTTACTATTTCAACAAAAATATAGTGGCTTGCTATTGCTAGTAACATAAAGTTTAGGTGCAAAGATGCTTAAGAATTATATCATTAAGAATTGAAGGGTCTAAATTATATTTTATCAGAATGTCAGTTATTTTCTATTAAAGTTCCACTGGCAAAAGTAAAGAATTTTTGCAACAGTCAGGGAAAAAAGTAAAGTATCATCATGAATTGACAATAAACAGTTGTGTTTGAAATAAAAAACGCAGTTTTTAACTATCAAAATGAACAAAAATACTATCGGCATTTTTTCAATACCATTTACTGTGTAGTTTTAATAGAATATTTTAACGAATAAAATATTTAATAAAAACAAAATTAATATTAAAATGAGAGTATTATTACATTGTAGATTTGTTTCCGACCTCTTAGAAAACTTGTATAGATGTACTTGACATTGTGGGTTTGGTGTTCCAGACTACCACAATAAAGTGAGTATCTTCATAGCAAAAGTCATATACATTTTTTGGCTTTCCAGTGCATATAGTTATAATTACACTATACTGTAGTATATTAATAGTGCACAATGGTATTATGTCTAAAGTAATAATGTTTGTATCTGAATTAAAAATAATTTATTGCTAGAAAATTCTAGCGATCTCAGCCTTCAGTGAATAATGTTTTTGCTGGTAGATGGTCTTGCCTTGATAGTGAAGGCTGCTGGCTGATCAGGATGGTGGTTGCTGTAGGTGTGGGTGGCTGTGGCAGTTTCTTAAAATAAGACAAATGAAGTTTGCTGCATCAATTGACTCTTCCCTTCACGAATGAGAGGATTGACTCCAGTTGTGACAGAAATTCTACTGAAGACTGAATGGTCCTCAGAGAGCAAGAAAAGGAAAAATAAAAGAGGATTGAAGCAAGTTGCAGGCGAAGGATAATGAACAGTAGGTTGTTTTGGTAGTGATAACAAAATCACTGAAACTTCATTTTTTTTAATGATGATGATGGACTATTTGGTCCTCAGTAGAATTTCTGTCACAATTGGAGTCAATCCTCTCAGATTCTGCTGCTGCTTTATTAAGTTTATGTAATATTCTAAATCATTTGTTGTTATTTTAGCAGTGTTCACAGCATCTTCACCAGGAATAGATTCCATCTTAAGAAACCACTCTTTGTTGCTTTTGTTTTTGTTTTTGTTTTTTTTTCCTCATCCATAAGAAGTAATTCCTCATGGCTGGGTGCGGTGGCTCACGCCTGTAATCCCAGCACTTTGGGAGGCCGAGGCGGGTGGATCACCTTAGGTCCGGAGTTTGATACCAACCTGGCCAATATGGTGAAACCCTGTCTCTACTAAAAATACAAAATTAGCCAGGTGTGGTAGCACATGCCTGTAATCCTAGCTACTTGGGAGGCTCAGGCAGGAGAATTGCTTGAATCTGGGAGGCAGAGGTTGCAGTGAACTGAGATCACGCCATTGCACTTCAGCCTGGGCAACAAGACTGAAACTCTGTCTCAAAAAAAAAAAAAAAAAAAAAAAAAAGAGAGAGAAAAACAACTCTTAATTTGTTCAAGGGGCAGCAAGACAGGTAGATGTTCACACTGCTACTTTTCCCAGACCCTCAGGTTTATTATATTTTATAGGGAATTGCTGTATGTGCTCTTGGCAAGACAATTAAAGGTACCCTTCCAGAACATGCAAGAATGCCATATGCAGCATAGACTATAATTAGTGCAGTAAAGTCAAGATTGCTTTGTCCTTACACTAGGGACACTAAATAAAGCAGAAATCAGGAGGCCTTCCCAGGACTAGGGCTAATCAGAAGCCATCATATTGGATTAGCATTCAAGATGGAGTCATTTTTGTCTCCGCAGTCAGATTAAAGAATTGGCATACATAATTTTCGGGGCTGGTAAGTCTGAATTTTGCATAGCAGGCTGGAAACTCAGGCAGGATTTCTGTTACAGTCTTGAGGCAAAATTTCTTCTTTCCTGGGCATACTGTTTTTGCTCTTAGGGTTTTCAGTGAATTGGATGAAGCCCACTCACATTATCTAGGGCATTCTCCTTTATTTAGCGTCAACTCATTGTAAATGTTAATCACATCTACGTAATACTGTCACAGCAACATCTAGCCTAGTGTTTGACCAAACAACTGAGCACCTTAGCCTAGCAGAGTTTATACATAAAATTAGCCATCACATTCTGTATTATGTTGATTTGTTTTAGCATCATTTTTAGTGTAGCATGCAAATGTCTTAGGAAATAATTCATTTGTTTTCCTTTGAAACTCTGCAGTTTGAGGTTGCAACTTGTCCTCTCCTCTGAGGGTAGCAGCAAATTAGTCTAGCAAATTAGAGAACAGTGAACAGTAGTCATCCAATTGAATAAAGAATAATCTAAGTACAAGTTGACAGTTTTGAAAAATGCATGTTTTTTTTAATTGTACCAGATTGGCAGTGATTTATTAAATGATACTACTAAAATCACTCATGGGCTACATACATGTTTTGAATAAGTCTGCTTAGCTGTCAGGATTAATTAGAGTCAGTTTCTGGTTTTGCTCAAATTATCCATTTCCAGCTCATGACTTAACCCCAGTTCAGGTATTCCAGTTCTGTGGTTTACTATAATTGAATTTTAACCATGACTTATGAGGCTTTAGCCTTTAAAAGTATTTACCCACAAGTAAAACATATTTTAGGTATTTTGAGATGCCTCCTCCTCTTGTTTCAGATGGACCAGCTTTTGGGAAATATGATTGAAATGTGGGTTGATCGAATGGACAACATTACCCAGCCTGAAAGAAGAAAACTTTCAGCTTTGGCTTTGCTCTCTCTTCTGCCATCTGATAATAGGTGAGGAAATGTTTTCTTAAAATTTGTTTCTTTCAAGCATCAAAATGTAAACACTATTTTTGGCCATCAGTATTGCTGTGTGTTGCTGGGCAGTGGTACTTTTATATATATGGATGTGAATTTTGTTAGCTGATAATGATGTGGTAAATGTTGGTCTGGATCCAGAAAGCAGTGAGTGGGATAGGTACTGTTGGATTGTGGGGGCTGTAGTTTATTTTGGTTGTATTCATTTTACAAATTTATTTCATTCTTGTCTGAATTTCCATTTTTTATAATTACGTTTTATTAGACTAATCTTCAGTCCTCTGTTTACATAGATATATTAAATATCTAACATTTCAAAGTCAATAGCACTTCATAAAGTATGTTATAAAGTGTGTTAATTCAACAGTATTATTAGTTTTGTTTTCTTTTTATTTTGGATTATTTCTAAGGACGTTTGCAAGTTGTTTTTTTTCTTCTAAAACTTCTCACTCCCATAAAGCAAATACAGAATGCTTTGGTTTGGTCATTTAAAGAAGAATATGTTTCTTTGTTTTAATTCCATTTTGTGGAGTTCGGCATGAAATACTTTTAAAAATAAACTTTGACAGTCAGTACCTAGTTCTCATTCATGCTGTGTAGATTTTTTAAAGTGGTGGCAGGTATATAAATAACATACAGCTTCATTGGTGACTCTTCCTCATTACATTTTCTGGACAACTGCACATGGATGTGGTATGGGACATTGCTTATACTTTTGGTTTAGTCAGCTTGATTGAGCTTCATATCAGTGCACTCACCTGGAGCCCCCTTCGTTTTCATAGCAAAATTTTGAAATTTCTTTTAGTGCATGGTCAGCACATTTCTTGAAACCCACTTCATGGATGCACTTATGAATGTTGGTGGTATATTCTCAGGTCACCACCTTGTTGATGGCATAACAGCCCTTTTTGCTGCCCTTCTGTACCAAAGCCATTATGCTGGGCCCCTATTTTTTTGTACTTTTAATTCTAAAGGCTTAAAAGCAGGTCTCAGGGCTTGATGTTGTGTTAAAAGAATAATGATACTACATTAGATCTTTATGTCTTAGGACAGCGGTCCCCAGCCTTCTTGGCACCAGGGACCTGTTTTGTGGAAGAAAATTTTTCCATGAACTGGGGGAGGGGAAGGGGATGTTTTCAGGATGAAGCTATTCCACCTCAAATCATTAGGCATTAGATTCTCACAAGCAGTGTGCAACCTACATCCCTTGCATGCACTGTTCACAATAGGGTTACCACTCCTATGAGAATCTAATGCCACCACTGATCAGACAGGAGGCGGAGCTCAGGCAGTAATGCTTGCTTGCCCTCTGCTCACTTCCTGCTATGCAGCTTGGTTCCTAATAGACCATGGGCTGGTACCAGTCCATGGCCCAGGGGTTGTGGAACCCTATCTTAGGGAAATTTTAGAGCATACATATACTAGTGATAAATTAGTGACTTAAGTCCAGTTTTAGAAGTCCTTATTTGTTCTTTATGTATTATTTACTTCTACTATGGTAATTTGTATTAAGGACATATGTAATTATTTTGTTGCAATATCATAACAATAGATAGTACTTAGCAAATGCCACATACTTTCCTAAGTGCTTTATGTTGGTAATTTAATTCTTAAAACAGCCCGATGAGGTATAGACATGATTATCCCTTCTCACAGAGCAAACAATTACTTAAAAATGTTAAGTAACATATCTAAGATAAGAGATCTAGCATTTGACATGGCATAAGCCAATTTGAACCTGGGCTGCTTAACACTAGGAATGCCTCTTTTAACCACCAGGTGATATTGCTCCCCAGGTGGACATGCACAAGATGAAAAGATTTCTTCACTGTGAAATGGTGTGGCATCTTATTTATTTTTGAAAGCCAAATTTAAGTTACCTACATTTTAACTCATTGGTGTTTCTTTCTCTCATTGGGAAAAAAGTGACTTGAGAATTATTGAGGTTTTTAATATTGAAATGTTAAAGAACATGGTCCTTGGTGGTAGTCAGCACTCTGCTTGTTAGATAAATTAATGAATGGAAAAAAATGAGTTAATAAGACATGTTAGAGTTTTCTCCAAGATAAAGTACTGAGATTATTGAAAGAAAGCTAGAAATGGTGGAGGTTAAGTTTAGAAAGATACCTAATTGTATCAGAAAAATTTGTTTTACATTTTTAATGAGAATACTGTTTGCTTCAACATATAATATTATGTAAGTGTGTGGTTGTTCAAAACTATTTTTGACATGTAAGTTGTGGAAATTTAATATAGGTTGAGTATCCTTTATCTAAAATGTTTCTTTCAGATTTTGGATTTTTGAGATTTTGAAATATTTGCATATATATAACAAGATATTTTGGGGATGGGACTCAAGTCTAAATGTGAAATTTATTTATATTTCATATACACCTCATATAGTCTGAAGATAATTTTATGCAATATTTTAAATAATTTTGTATATGAAACAAAGTATTTGTGTGAAATTTTCCACTTGTAGCAGTATTCTGGCACTCAAAAAAATCTCAGATTTGGGCCATTTCAGATTTTTGGATTAGGGATGCTCAATCTATCGTTGGCATCTATAAGAAAAATTAATACTTAGACTGGGACTTAAGTCAACTTACATAAATTGAGGGATAGGACTTTATTAAGACTTGAAATTCTCTTAAACACTGGAATTTTAAATTTAAAAGTTGTGAGGTGGTAGCCTTGTGATGGAAGATCAGATATAATTTTTGTTTTTAAGATGAAATACAAATCTAATGGGCATTAGCAAAGTCATGTCATTTTTAAGGGTACTGAGAAAGTCTTGAATAATGTGGTAGTAGAATTTTAAAGAATAATGATTTAACTTCATAATATCCTTAATAGACTAGTGATGAAACATTGATATAGAAAATCTGTATCAACCTGTAACAATCTGAAAAAAAAAACCTTTATTGCAGTAGAAATTTGGCACATAGTAATTGGCTTGTGACTTAGGAAGATTTATAGTCACATACTGTAGTGGAACGTGCTGATATTCAAGTCAGCAGTTTTATTGTTTCCTATTTGTAACCTTTATTCTAGTTAACTACATAGTTGTTGGAGTTAGGGGGTATTTTTCCTCTTCTGCATCCTCAATGATGATTTCTTATTTTTCTACATACTAGTAATTTCCTATTCTTGCGTTTCTTTTAGATTTTACAGCATACCATTTCCTTTTCCCAAAATAAGGCATGTCTAAAGTATGATGTTGATGATTTTAAAAGTCAGACTAAATTGGGAAATGTCATTTTTTCCTCCTTTTATTATGATGGCATTTGGGTCCAGATGATAATTTTTTGTGGGAGGGTGTCCTGTGCATTGTAGGATGTTTAGCACCATCCTTGGCCACTACCTACCGGATGTCAGTTGCACTCTCCTCTTCCTCCCACCCCCTCAAGTCACGACAATTGAAAATATCATCAGACATTGCCATTAGATATCCCTGGGGACAAATTGCCCCCAGTTTAGAACCATGACTCTAAAGAATGACCATTTGGGAAATGGTTAAACTCTTTTACTCTAACCCACTACTTTTGGCTTAGAAATTCAGTGAAGACTACAGACTTTAGGACCACACTCAAATCCCAGGGCCATCAGTCACTTGCTAATGACCATGGTCAAGTTACTTAACTCCCATGTGCCTGTTTCCTTGTTCTTAAAATGGAGTTACTAATAGTATCTTTCTAATGAGGTTGTTGTCAGGATTAAGATTGAGTTTACATATGTAAGGTCAAACTGTCTACATAGATGGAATTAGCTGTCCTTATTTCATCCCCTTCTTTTTCTCATCTATTTAATGCAGTACCTAATTCTAAAAGATGATTTGAATGGGAAAGATATATTTTTGCATCTGAAATACATAGTAAGTTTTGTATTAAGAAAATGGACCTAAAGAAATAACCAAATTCAGGCCAGGCACAGTGGGCTCACACCTGTAATCCCAGCACTTTTGGAGGCCGAGGCAGGCAGATCACTTGAGGTCAGGACTTTGAGACCAGCCTGGGCCAACATGGTGAAATCTCATCTCTACTAAAAATACAAAGATAACTAGGTGTGGTGGCACATGTTTGTAATTCCAGCTACTCAGGAGGCTGAGGCAGGAGAATTGCTTGAACCCGGGAGGCAGAGGTTGCAGTTAGCCAGTATTGCGCCACTGCACTCCAGCCTGGGCAACAGAGTGAGACTCTGTCTCAAGAAAAACAAAACAAAACAAAACCGATGACAACTTTAATTTCGATTATGAAGAAAAGAAACAAACTAACACCAAGCACTCTTCATCATTCCCCCACATTTTGATTTTTTGATGTCTCAGTTTATATCTTTTTATATTGCCATTTCTTAACAAATTGTTGTGGTCATTTTTCTTTTTTTCATACTTTAAGTTCCAGGATACAAATACAGAACGTGTAGGTTTCAGCCCATCATCTGGGCTTTAAGCTCCGCATGCATTAGCTATTTGTCCTAATGCTCAACCTCCCCTCCCTCACCCCCTACCCCCCCAACTGGCCCTGGTGTGTGTTGCTCCCCTCCTTGTGTCGGTGTGTTCTCATTGTTCAACTCCCACTTATGAGTGAGAGCATGCAGTGCTTGGTTTTCTGTTCCTGCGTTAATTGCTGAGGATGATTGCTCCTAGCTTCATCCATGTCCCTGCAAAGGACATGATCTCATTCCTTTTTATGGCTGCATAGTATTCCATGGTGTATATGTGCCACATTTCCTTTATCCAGTCTATCACTGATGGGCATTTGGGTTGGTTACATGTTTTCGTTATTGTAAATAGTGCTGCAAGAAACAAATGTGTGCATGTGTCTTTATAGTAGAATGATTTGTATTCCTTTTGGTATATACCCAGTAATGAGATTGCTGGGTCAAGTGGTATTTCTGGTTCTAGATCCTTGAGGAATTGCCACACTGTCTTCCACAATCATTGAACTAATTTACATTCTCACCAACAGTGTAAAAGCATTCCTATTTATCCTCAGCCTCGCCAGCATCTACTGTTTCTTGACTTTTTAATAATCGCCATTCTGTCTGGCATGAGATGGTATCTCATTGTGGTTCTGATTTGCATTTCTCTAATGATCAATGATGTTGAGTTTTTTTTCATATGTTTGTTGGGTGCATAAATGTTATTTTTCTTATTAATAGTTTTGTTTTGGCTAGGCACAGTGGCTCATGCCTGTAATCTCAGCACTTTGGGAGGCCGAGGCAGGCAGATCACTTAAAGCCAGGAGTTTGAGACCAACCCGGGCAACACGGCAAAACCCCATCTCTACTAAAAAACAATACAGAAAACTAACTGGGTATGGTGGTGCATGCCTATAATCCTAGCTACTCCGGAGGCTGAGGCTTAAGAATCACTTGAATCCAGGAGACAGAGGTTGCAGTGAGCCAAAATCGTACCACTGCACTCCAGCCTGGGTGACACAGTAAGACTCTGTCTCAAAAAAAAAAAAAAAAGGTTTGTCTTTATAATTCATAAAGATATGAGTGATATAGTCACAATTAGAGTATAATTTTGAATTTTTGTCTGTGTAGTTTAAAAAGAATATATATATATGTGTGTGTATATATATTTTTTAGTGGCAGAGTTTAGCTTCTATTGTCCAGGCAGGCCTTGATCTCCTGGGCTCAAGTGATCCTCCCACCTCAGCCTCCTGAGTAGCTGGGACTACAGGCATGGACCACCATACCCAGCTGTGTAGTTAACCTTTACCAGGGAATTTTATCCATCCAGATGTTTTCTTGTTACATTTTACCATTATTTTCTTTAAGATTGATGAATTCCTTTCAGCAGTTTTTGTAAGACAGGCCTGTGGTGATGAATTCCCTCAGCTTTTGTCTGTCTGAGAAAGTCTCTATCTCTCCTGCATGTTTGAAGTATATTTCTGCTGGTTACAGTATTCTTGGTTGCCCTTTCTTTCCTTCAGCACTTTGAACATGTCATCCCTCCTGGCCTGGAAGATTTTCACTGAAAAGTCTGCTGCCAGATGTGTTGGAGCCCCTTTATATGTTACTGGTTTTATTGCTGCTTTTAGGATCGACTCTTTGTGATCATTGAGAATTAGATTATTATATATATGTCTTGGAATCATCTTATGTGGGTTGAATCTCCTTGGTGGTCTTTGACTCTCTTGTCCCTGAATATTTATATCTTTCTCTGGATTTGGAAAATTTTCTATTATTATTATTATTATTATTATTTTTTTTACTATTTCTACCCTTTTTTCTCTCCCTCTTGAAGGTCAATGACTCTTACATTTCCTTTTTTTTTTTTTTTTTTTTTAAGATGGAGTTTCACTCTTGTTGCCCAGGCTGCAGTGCATTGGAACGATCTCGGCCCACTGCAACCTCCGCCGCCTGGGTTCAAGCAATTCTTCTGCCTCAGCCTCCCGAGTAGCTGGGATTACAGGGATGCACCACCACACCCAGCTAATTTTGTATTTTTAGTAGAGACACGGTTTAGCCATGTTGGTCAGGCTGGTCTCAAACTCCTGACCTAAGGTGATCCGCCCACCTCAGCCTCCCAAAGTGCTGGGATTACAGGCGTGAGCCACCGCACCCCGCTACATTTGCTCTTTTGATGCTGTCCCATAGATCTCGTAAGCCTTATTCATTTGTTTTCAATTTTTCTCCTCCTTTGATTGTGTTTTGTTTATTTTTCTCTTTTGATTGATTGATTGATTGATTGAGACAGGGTCTTGCTGTGTTGCCCAGGCTGAAGTGCAGTGGCACAATCATGGCTCACTGCAGCCTCAACCTCCTGGGGTCAAGCAATCCTCCTACCTCAGTCTCCCAGTTAGCTGGGACTACAGGTGCATACCACCACACCTGGCTAATTTTTGTATTTTTTGTAGAGATGGGGTTTTGCCATGTTGCCCAGTCTGGTCAGACCCCTGAGCTCAAGCTATCCACCCACCTCAGCCTCCCAAAGTGCTAGGATTACAGATGTGAGCCACCACACCCAGGCTGACTGTATTTTCAAATATTCTGTCTTCTACGTTACTCATTTTTTTCTTCTGCTTGATCAGTTTTGCTGTTGAGACCCTCTAATGCATTTTTCAGTTTGTCCATTGTAGTTTTCAACTCTAGTATTTCCGTTTGATTTTTTGAAAATAAAAATACAAAAAATTAGCAGGGTGTGGTGGTGCACACCTGTAATCCCAGCTACTCGGGAGGCTGAGGCTGGAGACTCACTTGAACCCAGGAGACAGAGGTTGCAGTGGGTCGAGATTGTGCTACTGCACTCCAACCTGGGCGACAGAGCAAGACTCTGTCTCCAAAAAAAAAAAAAAAAAAAAAAATTCAATATCTTTGTTAAATTTTTTGATAAGTTCCTGAATTGATTTTCTGTGTTTTCTCGAAATTTGTTGAGCTTCCTCAAAAAAGCTATTTTGAATTCTTTGAAAGGTTGCACATCTCCATCTTTTCAGGATAGATCACTGATGCATTATTTAGTGTGATAAATATGAAATGAGATCATATTTAGGTGAATGTTCTTGATGCTTGTAGAGGTATGTCAGTGTCTGAGCTTTAAAGAATTAGATATTTTTTCTGTCTTCACAGCCTGGCCTTGTTTGTACCTGTCTTTCTTCAGAGGGTCTTCAGGAATTCAAAAGGGACTGACTGTTCACTTCCCTAAGCCTGTGGATACTGCAGCCATTTTAGCACTAGAGAGTGCCCTAAGGCCAGGTGTGCTGTTCACCAGCCTGAGGGACTTGAGAATTCCTAGGGTTCCCAGGCAAAGGCCTTTGCTCACTTTTCTCTTCCCTCATATGGAAGGAATTTCTCTTTGTGCTTTACTGTTTGGAGTTGGACCCAGTACTGTGATTTATTGTGGGTGGCGGGGAGGGGAGGTGGGTGCTGGTAGTAGCTTCCAAGGCAAAGCTGTCTGCAAACTTCCTTCTCTCTCTCCCCCAAGCACACAGCTTCTGTCTCTGCCCTTTACTGCCTGGATTTGGGATAGGAATGGTATAGGCAATGAAAGACTGTTCTTTCTTCCCCTTTCAATGTGCCCTTTCTTGTTCTATGCTAAAACCAGGTACTACGATCTCTCACTTGGTTTCTTTAGCTCTTGTGAAGGTATTTTCTTGTCTGGATAATTCTACAGATTATTCTGCAAATTGGTGTTCCAGTGGAGGAATGCAAGGAATTGGTCATTGGAGGGTTCTGTTTTGCCATATTGCTCTGCCTGTTCTCTGAGTAGTTGCTCTTATTGTTGATGTTTTTACTCAAAATACAGCCTGAGCTGATTTCTAACCTAGTTTCCATTATCTGATTATATAGTAATTTGTGGAAAGGGGCAGTGAAGTAACAAGGGGAGGGTTCTTTACAATTTTTATTTTGCCAGAGTTGACTGTAAAAGAAACAGTCTTCATGGGGTATATTGAATGATGACTAATCCCTTTCTTGCATTGTTATGCGAGGAAAATAGAGACATGAATAAGATTACTTTGAAGTTTCAGGACTTCAGATGTTGAAATTCTGCTCCCTTACCACTCTTTGAATATATGGTTTACAAAGGGGCTATATATCTTTAGAAGATCAAAATAATCTTTACATTATGTATGTTTTCCTTCTTTTTATATAATCTAATGCAATTTGTAGTAATTATTGGTTCTGATTATTTCAGTTCAACTGGGAAAAAACCCTTTGATGCAGCTTTTATTTTTATTTTTTGTATAAGCTATGCATATGTATCTTTTGGCTCTTGTGAGTTTGGGGACTGGTTTTCCAGCATAATTTGCGTAACATACCTATTTTTGAATTGGCTAATAATTATAAGCTGAATTTTGTTAGCTTTAATCCAGCAGAAGCTGGAGGGTGTAGACGTGTTAGAACAGTACAATTGGATGCTCACTCCTTTCATCTGTATACAAAGCAATTTCATTGAAAAAGAAGGTAAATGATTAATTCCTTGGCTTACTGATTTTTCATTGAAGGGTTATAATCATTTATAAAACTTTTTTTTAAGCTTCTGAAAGTTCTTTGAAAACCAGATATTCCCCTCTCCACTCCCCCCAAAAAAGTCCCACACTTTTTGAAGTATTTTGAGGTGTTTCTATCTTCCTATGTTAGGATTTGAATGGAAATAGTCTGTTTTGGTTTTCATTTTTAATACAAATTTACTTTACCCTTGAAACATACATTAGAACTAAAATGCTCACCTGTTCCTCTTCTGATATCAACCTTATGACACTAATACAATAGCATTGTTTTAAAGATGCTATTATGTGGTAGATCACCATGCTGTGCACTGAGGGCACATTGTACTTCACCTTTAGGATAGATGATTGTTCATTGCACTCTGGCATCTTAGAACAACAATTTGTGTCTTCCATCTCCTGTCCTGACTATTTAGGAAAGTTTCTGAATGCTTGTTAATTTGATACTACGTTCTCAATGCTTTCCTCATATCTAGGAACAGTGCCCTGTCTGCAAATTAGATAAAAGCTTCTGGCAAACTGTTTTCTTATGTAACAGTCATATTATAGACACTGAGTGCGCTTAGCTAATCACTGACCATTCTGTGAGACACTTCTTTTAAACATATCACCTAAGAAAAACTAAACTGTGATCAAATGAGATTATTTTGATGTTTCAGGACCTCAAACTGCTTTACAATGAGAATAAGAGATGTTTCTCAGTGAGAGTGAGGTATTGGGTCCAGAGCCTCAAAGTAGTTGATGTGATATAGAAAAATAATTATACACAGAATAACTAGCTCCAACAAGGATAACACTAGAAAAAGTACTCAGAGGAGTAAAATAATGAGTCTCGTGTGCTTTCTAGTTTTACCCATGTAGATGATGCATGTGTATGTCACAAGTGGTTCCTTCATAGCTCGAGGAACATCTTTTTTGTTTATTTTATTTTATTTCATTTTATTTTTTGGAGATTCTTTTCCTTGAGTTTCTGCTTTTATTCTATCCAGAATACCAGAGAGAAAAATTTTCATTATAATGGAAAGGAAACTAGATTTAGCTTCAGATGCCTGGTCTGCCTACTGTTTGTGTGAAGTTGGACCAGTTTTCTGTCATTCTCAGTTTTCTCATATTTCAAATGGAAGCAGTGATAACAGCTAGCACCTAGGGCTTATTATGATAAATTGGAGAATGTATATATGATGCCTTCTAAAATGCTTAATGAATATGACCACTCAGTAAATCATTGTTTCTACTGTTAAATCAATTTGACCAACTGTGTGATGATACCAGCTTATTCAGTAGGTACATCTCTTTCTTTTGAAAGAGTTTATGTGTGAAGAAACTGATAACAAGAAGTAAATAATAACTAATAGAACACATAATTTGTGATAGCCTTTTGACA
Source organism: Homo sapiens (assembly GCF_000001405.40). Lineage (NCBI taxonomy): Eukaryota > Metazoa > Chordata > Mammalia > Primates > Hominidae > Homo > Homo sapiens. Next base: position 62,571,623 of record NC_000005.10, read on the forward strand.
ATACATTTTTCATATACATTTCAGTTGATTCTTCCAATATCCCTATGGGGATGGACATTATTAAACTTTTTTTTTTTTTTTTTGAGACAGCCTTGCTCTGTCGCCCAGGCTGGAGTACAGTGGCACAATCTCAGCTCACTGCAACCTCCGCCTCCCGGGTTCAAGTTATTCTCCTGCCCCAGCCTCCCCATTAGCTGGGATCACAGGCGCACACCACCACGCCCAGCTCATTTTTGTATTTTTAGTAGAGATAGGGTTTCACCATGTTGGCCAGGCTGGTCTTCAACTCCTGACCTCAGGTGATCCACCCACCTCGGCCTCCCAGAGTGCTGGGATTACAGGTATGAGCCACTGCACCCGGCCTTATTAAACCTTTTAAATGTGTAATCAAGACTAATAAAGGCTAATTACCCACCCAAAGTCAAGTACCAAACTGAAATTCAAGTCCAGTCTATCTTACTCTTAATGTCTTCTCTGCCAGGCTATTGAGTACCTCAAGTAATGCTCTTTTGCCTAATTTTTCTATTCCACAATCTGGTTTTACTATTTCTGAGTCATTTTTGTTAGTCTGATTAGAAAATGAGATCATATTCCTAGATATTTCATTATTAAAGTAAGGTACTTCTTCCAACCACTTAAAACCACATATCTCGTTTTTATTTAAGTTGTTCATAAAAGGGACAACATATCATTCTTCTGTCCTTTCTCTAGAAATCAAGTGCATTTATTAAGAAAGTATTTATTGAGACTCTCCACTGCATTATAGATACTTATCCGGAAGAGATGACATAGAAAATACATTGGAAGTATTATTTGGTGTTTACAACTCTAAAATGCTAGCTTATTCACAGGACACAATACCTTTAAACTATAATATCTTGATTTTATAGTACACAATCATTGTGTATATGTATATTTGTTTGTTTATTTATTTATTTATTTATTTATTTATTTATTTATTTATTTTTGAGGCTTTGAGGCAGGGTCTTACTCTGGTTGCCCAGGCTGGAGTGCAATGGCATGATCTTGGCTCACTGCAGCCTTGACCTCCCAAGCTTAGGTGATTCTCACACCTCAGCCTCCCAAGTAGCTGGGACTACAGGATTGCGCTACCACACCCGGCTAGTTTTTTGTGTTTTTAGTAGAGATGGGATTTCGCCATGTTGCTCAGGCTGGTCTTGAACTCCTGCACTCAAGCAGTCCGCCTGCCTGGGCCTCCCAATATGCTGGGATTGCAGGTGGGAGCCACTGTGCCAGGCCTTTCACATTCTTTCATAGTTAGTTATGAAGTTTGGTCACTGCACATTGTTCATTTTTTGTTTCATTTTCTCAAGTTCCGTTTGTTACGAAAAACCTCCTATCGTAAATTATATACGAACAAAATTTTATATATGGAAATGTGGTAGTATCTTCTTGGGGTGTAAAGCTTTACTGTTTTTTTTGAGATGGAGTTTCACACTGTCGCCCAGGCTGGAGTGCAGTAGCATGATCTCGGCTCACTGCAAGCTCTGCCTCCCGGCTTGTAGCTGGGACTACAGGTACCTGCCACCACGCCCGGCTACTTTAAAGCTTTACTCTTAATTTCTCTGTCTCATTTTTTTATCCATTGTATGAGGGTAATCATAGTACCCTACTTTATAGGGCTCCTGTGAGGATTAAAAAGAGATAATACTTGAAGAATGTTGAGAACACTCTCTGAGTCATAGAAGCACTCTATCAATAAATAGATCTGATCCAGCAGTAGCAAAAGGAGTTAATCCTATATTCTGTTTATCCTAATTTCTCTGCTTCACTAACCTTTCTGACTGTATACTCCTTTTTAAAGTTGTGAGTTAGATTTTATATAGGGAATTTTTCTGAATTACTGAGTAGCTATATTATACTACATAGTAGAAATATGTGTGATCTGTGAGCTGATGGATGAATTATGAGCAGTGGTTATTGTAGTGAGAAAGAACTGCTGATGCTTCTTTGGCGGGTCAAAATAATGGAGATTAAATGGTAGAAGTTCTGTCAAATCCAAGCTATAAGATGTTTCAAAGGCCAGCTGTGAAAAGGTTAGCAATTTGGGTGCCAAGAAGCAGTTAACCATATTCCAATTACAAAAATAGGCATGATTCTGGAGTTATTTTTCACACAGTGGTCAATTTGACTAGTCTCATGCCTGACATAGATAGTATTGTGTGGAGCCTTGATGCCCCTGCAGTATTGTACATATACCTCTCAGCCGTATTGGGTGGTCTTCAGCACTGGTGGCTTAACATTGAGAGTTCCCTTAGGGGTTATTTAGGTTAATCCTTATTTGGTAATAAACTTTCCTTCTGTAACATCTCTGATGGGGATGTTCATTCAACTTCTGTTTGGATACTTGGCTAATAAAAAGTCCCTGGTCCTTAAGGCATCCCATTTTATTGTAGGACTTCTTTCTAACTATAGCTATTTGTTATATAAGTATTATCCTCAAAATACAAACAGTGACTCCCAAATCTGTGCTTTTAACTCCATATGCTAGTTTCTATATTCAATACAGTCTTCATTCATGTAACTTCATCCATTTTATAATATTGTCTGTTGAGGCAAGAAAATAATTTCACAAAGGTTATTATAGTTATTGGAAGAGGCTTAGCTCTCTCATAGCCTTATTAAATCATCTGTTAGGCTAATTACTCCCTCCTCTCTTCTTCTGGTGCATGTGCGTGTGTTTGTGTGTTTAAAACTTTAGGGATTTTAGGGACTATGGTAAACTGGAAATTGTAATATAAGCATAAAATAAGAACCATCAAAATGGAAGGGATTTGCACGAAAGAGAAATTCTAATATAGCTCAGATCTGAACTATAATCTGCTGAGTGAGATTAGTCTATCTCAGCAAAACCCAGAAGGTGGTGGATAGGGTCAGAAGAGAGATTAGTGTTCCAAAGGTTTCATGTGGAGCCAGGGGAAAGAGGAGATATTTTGAATTCTAATCCATCTCTGCTAGCTTTTTCTAAGTTGAAACAGCCCTTCTGTTTAATAGTTCTGCTTTCTGTGCTTTGCAGTGTAAAACTATGCCAATATACATCAAAGAAATTTATCATCATATACTCGCAATGAGGATGGTACCTAAAATTGTCCATGGAAATAAAATATGCTTCTCAGAATGACTGTGTAACAGGAACAGAGATCAAGAAGTTAAAAATGTTCTTCTAAAGTCATGCTGGGGGGTGATTAATAATGTTCCTTGAAAGTGTCCTAGTGTCAGTACATCCTTAGAAAGTATCAGTTTGCTTTTAAAGCCGCATAGTCACAGGCATAGTTGAAATTTTATGCTTCTCATGCATAAAGTGCATAAAGTTTATTTTTTATTCTCATAAATAGATTTGCAGCTAAAAATTTCTTAGTTGATTTTCTTGTTGACAATTGAGCAAATAGAGATATTCATAGTTTTGCCATGTTATGGCAGCACAATATTTGTTTCTGTTTTTATTTTAAAGCATACATTAAAAACTTAGAAATGGTGACATATCTTGGCAGTAATGCTCATGGACAAATTTTACACGGATATCATAGCTACTGTCATGATATTTTCACTTAGAAATTATTTCAGACTTAGAAAAACACTGCAAGAACAATAAAGAACACTCATATGACCTTTACCCAGAATCACCTGTTGTTAACTTTTGTCCCAGTTTGTTGCGTGATACACATTTTCTGTCAGATAACTAGATAGATGTTTTATATTCTGAACCATTTCTGTGTAAGTTGTATTTGCCATGGTCTCTTACTCCTCAGTACTTACAGTCTAGGACCAATTATTGTTTTAGTTCTTGTGTTTTTGTAGTCTCTTTTACTCTGTCATGTCATTTCCTCAGTCTTTTCTTTTTCTCTTATAACATTTTTAAATAATCCACTCCTTATAATCTCTCTCCATCTTTCCAATTGCCTCTCTGTTTTTGTCTCCCATCCATCCTCTCCCCACCTCCCCCAGCAGAATAGAGTGTTCCTCATTTGTGGTTTGATATTTCCTTATGGTTAGATTTATGTATGCATCTCTCGTTAGAATATTGCATAAGTGATGTGTCCCTCTTGGAATATCACAGGCAAAGTCACATGGTGCTCATCTGTTTCTCACTGATGATGTTAATGCTGGTCAAGGTGTTATCTGATTTCCCCACTGTGTATAGTTACTATGTTGTTATTTTTTTTTCTTGCAACTGATAAGAGGTCTATATTGAGATATACTGCCCCTCATTAAAATTTATCTCCTACATTGAGCAAAAGAATTCTCAAATTGTTTGCTAAATTTTTTTTTCCAGGAACACAAGTCCACTTTATTTACCTTTCATTAGTTTAAATCTTTAAGGGGTTACAGCATCTATGTCCAATGGCCTTAGCAGAAGGATCGCTTTGGAATTTGGCAAAAACCATGCCAATGTTTCCTTGGGCCCAAGTTACCTTTCTCTAGAATACTCTGATTTTGTTTGGTTTGCTGCCAGGAGTCACTTGTTGTTCTTTGCTTTGTGTGCGTAAGCACATTTATTGCCCAAATAGAATTCAGTTTCATCTTGGGCATAAACACCTTCAGTTTTAAGAAGATTTGTGTGCTCCCTTTGGTTCCAGAGACCCTGCTTATAGCGCAAAAATGGCCTTGGATGACAGCCTTCCAGAAATACTTGCCTTTTAGAAGTCATGTTCCAAGCAGGCCTCGACAGGCTTCATGATGGCAGGAAGAGCTGGATTATTTTTAATTGCAAATCCCATTTCACATTTTCATTCTCTTGATTTTAGTTCCATCAGTGACTTTTAAGGTCCATAAAATCAGTAACTGCTGTTATTATAAGCCATTCTTTATATGTAAACCAATCTTGATTGGTTTATATATAGATGGTATATATCTAAATACATATAGGCTGGACGCAGTGGCTCACACCTGTAATCCCAGCACTTTGGGAGGCCAAGGTGGGAGGATTACTTGAACCTACTAGTTCAAGACCAGCCTGAGCAGAATGGCAAGACTCCGTCTTTACAAAAATAAGAAAAAGCATGGTGGCATGCACCTGCAGTCCTAGCTACTCAAGAGGCTGAGGGAAGAGGATCACTTGAGACTGGGAGGTCGATGCTGTGGTGAGCTGTACTCACATTGTTGCACTCCAACCCAGCCGACAGAGCAAGACTGTGTCTCAAAAGAATACATGCATCCATACAGATGATGTATATTTAAAAGAGCTAATGGAACAATTGCTCTGTTATTTATACATTCTTGTTTTTGTATGGGGAGAATCTGAATGGAAAAGAGAATAGTTGTGTATTAATACCAGAAGCATGAGATGATTTGAAGACAAAGGCAGTGTAAAAGAAGGTTCAGCAACAAGAATGAGAGGAAAACAGCTCAATGAGTCAATTTCCTGGAAAGAAATAGAAGACTAATTTAAGAGGTTGAGCGTAGTGTTCAGTAATAGTTGTAATGAACATTAGTAATCAGAAAAGGATAATGAGGAATCATTGTTGATCAGTTGTCTCTAAGAACAGCAACTCCTAAATGAACAGAAAGACTAAACTTTGTTTTGCTGGAGATAGGAATTTTTTTTTAAACCATTCAACCTGAGAGTTACAGTGTACTATTTATATTTGCTTGTTTTGTTGAAGTCAGTTTAGTTTCCTTCAGTTTTTAGAATGTGAGAAGTGAGATTTTATTTTGTCATTTTTCCTTAATACAGTTTCCTAAAAATTTTACCTTTGCATCCTAATAAGTGTTCTTTACTGCTTTGGATATTTTTGGCATAAAGAACAAAATTAATTCATACTCTGGTTATATTACTTTGTGGGTTTTTTCTCTTTAATTTTATTTTTATTTCAAAGGACCCTTTCTCTGAATTTTTCCCAAGAAATTGAAAAATCCATGGGACAAGCTTCATATCACCTTGTATATTATTGGAAGTACTAAACAAAATGGACCTGAGAAACATAGCCCCTACCTCAAATTCATATCATTTCTGTCACTTGTTTTGTTTTCCATTTTTAATGCATAAAATAGCAATAACAGTAACCAGCCATAATGGATAGGTGTAAGAATCATAAGTCATTTTGATAACGATCTGCTATCCAGTATGCATTGCTGAATTTTTAGTCATAGAAAGATAATGCTAGGTATTATTTCAGCTTTCTAATATGGACATAATTCATATTATTTCTAAAGTAATTGTTGATGTGAAATGAAACTGCTTTAATATCAAAGGAGAGTTGTATACAATTATATAACTTGATATTTTAGGAATATTATCAGGCTATTAGTAATATTAATAAAAGTCAGAATTAGAAAGCTTAAGCAACTAGCTTAAAGTTAATGAAAGAAAGTTAATGACTGAACAATATATAATATAAACAATTTATATCCGATTCTTTAAATTCTTGAAAAATGACGTTAAAAAATTCTCCATTTTTGTTCTAAAAGATTCAAACTGATACAGATATATATAGGGCGAAACATCGCCTCTTTTACTCTCCCCAATTTTTCTTGCAAAGATAACCTATGTCAGTAAGTTGGTATGCAGCTTCTTAACATCTTATAACCCAACACAACCAATTAGTGCGTTACTACTAATTAGTAGCTTACTACCAATTAGTACCTCACGTATTAAGTAGTACTCAGTATTTTTTGCAACCAAAAATATTTTGAAAATTTTAAAAAGAGCACTGGAGGATAATATAACAACATTTATGTTCATTCTAAATTTTTTCCCCTATTTTTATTAAAGGAATAAAGCATAAAGTTTAAGTCTTCAATGCGTATTTAACACAACATAAATATTTTATTCATTAAAAAGTTTACAAAAAATTGTATTACTCGATATACATCTTATTTGAACTAGCCTTTTCCATTCAGTAGCTATGTTGTTTGATAGCTAGAGTCTGTTGATTGATATTTGGGTTCTGAATAACTAATGTTTTCAAGTATCCTTTAAAAACTATTATTTTTATATTATAGGAGATATTTCAATGTGTATATTAGGAAAACTCTAACTGCATTCTGAAAAAATAAGTTCCTGAGATTTCCGTTCAGCAATACTTTTGAAACACAGATAAAATTACTTCCTGTCTCTTAGCTTCCTGTATCCATGGCAACCTCTGTTTTACACATTGACTGTAAAGGAACCAATGTGAAGAGTGGTGTTTCCTGAGCAAACGGTGACTTAAAAAAAAAAAAAAAAAAGTGGTGGGGTGGAGGTCAGCAGTGCCACAGAACAAACTGGAGTTAAGAAATGTCGTTCTTCAGATTTAAAAAGAAAACCTTTACTGAATCAGCTGAGTGTTAATAATACGAATTTCCTTTTCTTGGTAAGATTATTTACTTAAATATGAACTTCTAGCTGACATGAAAAATAGTTCTGTGAAAAACTGTAATTTAGAATTTAATTGTTCTGTAGTGAATTTGTATTTTCATAAATTATAATGTTATTTGATATTAGACTTTATGTTGTTAAAGGGACATATTAAATTCAAAGATTCTCATTCCTACATCATTTGTCACCTGTGTTGTAATCAATTGTAATTTTTAAGTTAACTTAGCAAATGTTTCATTAATCTGAACTATTTTGTCAAATAGTGGGTTAATGGCCTGATCATGTTAATAATTCTAGAACGTATTCCATACTCATTATTTTTTGCTATTACCATGGTATGATTTATGATAGTATTATTGGCTGATCCTAATTAAAATAGAATACAGAAGTTATAGTATTATAAAAAAAATTCATTTGATGAAGTTTTCGTGATTTAAAGCTTTACCTTCTCTTTTTATAGCCAATTCTGATCTGAACAGAAAATCCAAGAACAGGGATATGTGTGGATTACAGTTTTCTCTGCCTTGCCTACGACTGTTTCTGGTTGTTACCTGTTATCTTTTATTATTACTCCACAAAGAAATACTTGGATGTTCGTCTGTTTGTCAGCTCTGCACTGGGAGACAAATTAACTGCCGTAACTTAGGCCTTTCGAGTATTCCTAAGAATTTTCCTGAAAGTACAGTTTTTCTGTATCTGACTGGGAATAATATATCTTATATAAATGAAAGTGAATTAACAGGACTTCATTCTCTTGTAGCATTGTATTTGGATAATTCTAACATTCTGTATGTATATCCAAAAGCCTTTGTTCAATTGAGGCATCTATATTTTCTATTTCTAAATAATAATTTCATCAAACGCTTAGATCCTGGAATATTTAAGGGACTTTTAAATCTTCGTAATTTATATTTACAGTATAATCAGGTATCTTTTGTTCCGAGAGGAGTATTTAATGATCTAGTTTCAGTTCAGTACTTAAATCTACAAAGGAATCGCCTCACTGTCCTTGGGAGTGGTACCTTTGTTGGTATGGTTGCTCTTCGGATACTTGATTTATCAAACAATAACATTTTGAGGATATCAGAATCAGGCTTTCAACATCTTGAAAACCTTGCTTGTTTGTATTTAGGAAGTAATAATTTAACAAAAGTACCATCAAATGCCTTTGAAGTACTTAAAAGTCTTAGAAGACTTTCTTTGTCTCATAATCCTATTGAAGCAATACAGCCCTTTGCATTTAAAGGACTTGCCAATCTGGAATACCTCCTCCTGAAAAATTCAAGAATTAGGAATGTTACTAGGGATGGGTTTAGTGGAATTAATAATCTTAAACATTTGATCTTAAGTCATAATGATTTAGAGAATTTAAATTCTGACACATTCAGTTTGTTAAAGAATTTAATTTACCTTAAGTTAGATAGAAACAGAATAATTAGCATTGATAATGATACATTTGAAAATATGGGAGCATCTTTGAAGATCCTTAATCTGTCATTTAATAATCTTACAGCCTTGCATCCAAGGGTCCTTAAGCCGTTGTCTTCATTGATTCATCTTCAGGCAAATTCTAATCCTTGGGAATGTAACTGCAAACTTTTGGGCCTTCGAGACTGGCTAGCATCTTCAGCCATTACTCTAAACATCTATTGTCAGAATCCCCCATCCATGCGTGGCAGAGCATTACGTTATATTAACATTACAAATTGTGTTACATCTTCAATAAATGTATCCAGAGCTTGGGCTGTTGTAAAATCTCCTCATATTCATCACAAGACTACTGCGCTAATGATGGCCTGGCATAAAGTAACCACAAATGGCAGTCCTCTGGAAAATACTGAGACTGAGAACATTACTTTCTGGGAACGAATTCCTACTTCACCTGCTGGTAGATTTTTTCAAGAGAATGCCTTTGGTAATCCATTAGAGACTACAGCAGTGTTACCTGTGCAAATACAACTTACTACTTCTGTTACCTTGAACTTGGAAAAAAACAGTGCTCTACCGAATGATGCTGCTTCAATGTCAGGGAAAACATCTCTAATTTGTACACAAGAAGTTGAGAAGTTGAATGAGGCTTTTGACATTTTGCTAGCTTTTTTCATCTTAGCTTGTGTTTTAATCATTTTTTTGATCTACAAAGTTGTTCAGTTTAAACAAAAACTAAAGGCATCAGAAAACTCAAGGGAAAATAGACTTGAATACTACAGCTTTTATCAGTCAGCAAGGTATAATGTAACTGCCTCAATTTGTAACACTTCCCCAAATTCTCTAGAAAGTCCTGGCTTGGAGCAGATTCGACTTCATAAACAAATTGTTCCTGAAAATGAGGCACAGGTCATTCTTTTTGAACATTCTGCTTTATAACTCAACTAAATATTGTCTATAAGAAACTTCAGTGCCATGGACATGATTTAAACTGAAACCTCCTTATATAATTATATACTTTAGTTGGAAATATAATGAATTATATGAGGTTAGCATTATTAAAATATGTTTTTAATAATTTGTGAACAGTGTATTCATTTAGCAAATATTTTCTTTGATATATACTGTATTAAGTAATAATAGCTAACATTTCTGTGTATCAAGCACTGTGCCAAATATTTCACATTTCACATTTAATCTGTGAATAGTCTTGAAAGGTGGCACTATTTATACTTTACAGGTGAGGAAACTTAAAGTTTAAGTAACTATGCCAAATTCTCACAGCTTGTAACACTTTTTGGGCCTCTCTGACTAGAGTTCATGCTTTCAGTTTTATACTATATTGCTGCTTTGGTTCTAGGATTGTGATATGAAAAAAATAGACGTGGTTCTTATTCTAGGTAGAGCTTGAAATTTAGAGGAGGAGATATATGGTTACTGCACAGTGCGATGATAAGTACTGTACTTGGAGATGCTGTTGAGTATAACATTTGTGGAGGTGAGAGATGGCTTTATGAAGAAAGTGACATCAAAACTGGATCACGAAGAATAAATAGAAATTAGCCCAGTGAAGAGAGCTGAGTAACATCGTGTCAGAGGGGTTAACAGAAGAAAACCTGCTGCTTTTCAGGAACTAAAATTCAGTACAGCTGGTGTCGTGAATGATGGTGTGCGATTTAAAGCCCGAAAGAGAGATCAGGTGATGAAAGCTTTATAGTTACATGCTTTATCTTGAGGGCAACAGAGAGCCATTGAAGGATTTTTAAGCAGTAGAGTGAAATGATTAGATTTACCCTTTAGAAATTTCCCTCTTTCTGGAAGGAACAATAAAACCGGAGCCAGAATTAGGTGAGTAGGAATCTGAATTGCTAATCCAGGGGAAAGATGCTAGAGGCCTGGGCCAGGATACTGGCAAAAAGGATGGATGGATCCAGAGGTACTTTGAAAGTAAAATGAACTGCCTTGGTGATTGGTTGAGGCGTGGCAGGGGAGGGAGAAGTCAAAGATGTTAGGTTTTTGGCTTAGGCAGTTTTGTGCTGTATTCACTAAGCTAGGGAAAGAAAAGGGGTGGGGCAAAATAATGAGTCAGTTTTAGACAGATTGAATCTGAGGTTCTTATTAGATCTCCACATGGAAATATATATCATGCAGAAATTCAGAAGCGAGGTCTTATGGTAAAGGCCAATATTTCTTAAACTTTCATCTGTCCAGTACACTGGAAATGTATGATGCACCCTTTACAGTAACAATAACCATTTAAGCTGTGGTTTTGGGAGATAGGTAAGTGGGGAAGAATAAGACCTTGTAGAAGTTGAGAGAGTCCCTAGGAGATATTAGTGCCCTTGATTAAGAATCTTTAATATAGATGGTAATTGAAGTCATAGAAGTAATATAATGGTTTTCTTTATTAGCAAAAATTTGTACTTGCAGAATATTTGTACTGCAGAATATTAGGGATTATAGTAAGTGCCTATGCTTGTTGGTTAGTTAATAGTGACCTGAACCACAAATATGTATTTAAAATTTTTTCTTAATATATTTGAGAGAAAATCAGAAAGGAGCTGAAAAGTAATTTTAAGATATATTAGAAATTGCATAAATAAAGCCCCACCAACCCCAAAGGGTTTTCAAACAATGGTTTGCTTTTCCCTGCTTAGCTGAATGCCTTTTTGGGGATTATAATTTCAGCAGAAAATGTGAATATATTTAAATAAACATTATTTTTCCTAAGTAATTTGTTTTGTTATGGAAGAGCAATCTTTTTGTTCACCTTGAGAGACATTTTTAATAATGTATTTTTTTCTTTGTTGTATCCTCCCAACTCCTACAAATCCAATTATGTTTTTTCTTTAATTACTAAAAGTACTTGTTCATTGGGAAAAAATTTAAACAGTGCAGAAATACATAAGGTAGGCTGAAAACTTCTCCATGCCTCCCTTCCTTACCACCTAAACCGTACCCTCTTAAAGATGTTCACAAGCAACACAGCTGGCTATGTGAAGTTCAGGAAAATTTATATAACAAAGTATTTTTATCTTAAAATTCCTAAATTCAAAAAAGGCAGTTCAGAAAATCTATCAAAATTTTTGCTTTTTGAAAGTATAGCTTCTAATTGATTTAGACTCAACTAGAAAACCAATTATATTAATATCAATTTATATATGGAGCCATAGTTCTATACAGTGGTATTCATTAAATGTTCATTTCAGTCTTTGTCAGCTATTTCCTTTTAAAAAATTTTTCTTTTTTTACTAATCAAAAGAGAGCTGGAGTAAGTAGCTACCCCCTTGAAAAATGTTAGCCAGCTCATATTTCACCGTTGTTTGGTAGTTGTACAGTTAAAAAACTTATTTAAGGTATAATTGAAGTGTTACAGGCATAATAATTTTCTTGGGTACAATTTCTGTATTTCATTGTTTCACATTTTGAGCAGCCCTAAGTTAAAACTAAATGATATTCTAAATTAATATAGCTAAGGAAGCTCACCTTTCTTAAGATTTCTGTATTTCTCTACCATTTACTACAGGTTCTTATCTCTACCATTTATTAAAAGTTCTTGATTAGAGCACCCAAAAATAGGCTCTAATTTAATGTGACTGTGTCTGAGGAAGAATAGAATCCATTTTTTCCATTGAGTATTACAAATTGTAATTAAAGTTGCAGGGCATATCGAAAGTAATTTGTTTTCCCCTCATAACAAATGACCAATATTAGAAATCAATAGTATTTATTTATAAACTATAAATTAAAAGCATATAACTTTTAAATTTATAATTCCAATGTGGAATTTTAAAAACATATCTCTTATTTCTGGGATGTAAAACTGAGAACTTACTCTCAACCTCTTCCTGTCAGTGGAGTAGATACGTTTGGTGTCAAGCTATTGATGAGGGCTTCAGTGGTGATGGGACAGAGACTTCAATAGTAGTGATCAGGAGATAGGAGAGGCTGGGCACGGTGATTCACACCAGTGATCCCAGCACTTTTGGAAGGCTGAGGAAGGTGGATCACTTGAGCTCAGGAATTCGAGACCAGCCTGGGCAATATGGTGAAACCCCATCTCTACCAAAAATACCAAAAATAAAAATAAAAAATAAATCTGGGTGTGGTGGCCTGTGCCCGTAGTCCTAGCTACTCAGGAGGCTGAGGTGTGAGGATTGCTTGAGCCCAGCGGGAGGAGGTTGCTGTGAGCTGTGATCACACCACTGCACTCCAGCCTGGATGACAGAGCAAAACTGTGCCTCAAAAAAAAAAAAAAAAAAAAAAAAAAGGAAATAGGAGCAGGTCACAGCAATAGTAACAAGGTAATAGGCATTTTTTTTTTCTATACTAGTGCTGTACTGTCTGAAGCATAGCTTTTTTTGTTTTGTTTTTTGTTTTTGTTTTTTTTTTTTAAGTGCCCACTACCACTGGTCATCACTTTGCTGAAGCTGATAAGCTTGTGTGGCCGCACACTTTTAATGTGGGAAGCCTGGTAGGTTAAAAGAGAAATGTTGGAGAAAGCAGTATGAGAGAGAAGAATGTATAGTACACCTGCTGCTGGCCCAGATGTGCCTTGTTTCATTGCTTCTGACTCAATTCCAAGATACCTTGTGATAGAGGACATTTTAATTTAGTAGAAGGTAGTTTTCTTATCCTGAATAATGTGGAGACCTTACGTATATATGTTGTCTTCCTGTTTTCTTTGGTCTCCATTTCTTCCATGTCTGTGGAGTTTTCGGTACATGCACATAAACCCTAGCCTGTTGTTAGTATGTATCTTTGGCTTTGGGCAACCTTATTGCTTTTTTCCATATATTTTCTATGATACACAACTTAATACATAAGTTGGTATTTTTGTCTGAGACTCTGAGGAGCAAACGTTTTTATGTTGTAGTGCAGTTTCCTCAAGCTTTGGCTTTCAAAACTCCCTTATCCTCAGTTACCTGCTTCTCATCTATGAAAGCATCCTTTAACACCATTGTCTAGAATCAGGACCATACCTGCAGTGTTGTTGTTGTATTTGTAGTCTTATTATAAATGCTACTGACCAGGTAAATCCAGGCCATACAATTCCTAGCAGATGGAAAGCCCCCTGTGAAAGCCCGGAAACTAGAAAGTGTTAATCAAAGATAGCCTGTGAAGGTGGAGAACAATGTGAGGCTAGGTAAGGTCAGAGAGCTGGGCAGGAACCAGGTCATATATAGGGCTGAGTAAACTAGGATTAAGGGTTTGGATTTTTAAGTGTAATGGAAAGTTACTGAAAGGTATAAACTTTTGCTTTAAAGCAAGGAAAAGATACTAGATTTTGTAAAAGCCTTCTAGTGTGCCGTATAGAGAACAGATTAGAGGAAGTCAGGAGTGGAAGTTTCCTTGTTTTGGAAAGGTAGGCAGTAGTTTAAACTCAAGACAAAATTGGCTTGTTGCACAGTGTTAATAGTAGGAATATAGAGGAGTAGAAACAAGGAAAAATTTCAGAGATAAATTTGACAGAATTTGTTGATGAATTGAGTAAATGGAAGGGTAAATGAGAAGGAAGGTCAAAACTGAATTCCTGGTTTCTAGCATGAGTCACTGGGTTGATAGAGATGCTTTTTACTCAGATAAGGAAAACAGGAAGAGAACCTGGTTTTGATTCTCTGTTTTTGGTTTCCTTGTTTTTGTTGGGGAGGCACTCATAAGTTTGGTGTTGGATCTCTTAATTTTGAGATGATTGTGAGAGTGCCAAGAGTGAATGAGAAAGATGCCAGTGTACTTAGGGTTACAGAGCTTAGAGAAAGGTCATTGAGCATAAAGTTTTTTGGTCAACTGTAATACATTATTATTAGAAAGCTGTAACAAAACAGTAAACGTGTTTATATGAAGTTGTTAGTTTAATTACACATATGTATTTTTAAATGTGAAATTTTGCTTTAGAAATATTTTTTCTTTTATTCATGATACAATGTTATTCAAATGCTTCTTGCAAACTTTGACATTGGTGTCTTCATCATTATCAGTCAAAATTCCCTTTGATCATGTAACACTGTTTTCCAGAGTATTTTATCTTCATTTTGATCTGAGCTGTGTGGCATACAAGACTTTTCCAGGAATTTAATCCCAAGCTACAATTACCTTTTCAAATAACTTTGGTAACATGAACAGAGTTGGCCTTTTTGATTTGTTCTTAAAATATATCTTCATCACCTGAGGTCGGGAGTTCGAGACCAGCCTGACGGACATGAAGAAACCCCATCTCTACTAAAAATACAGAATTAGCTGAGCATGGTGGCACATGCGTGTATTCCCAGCTACTCAGGAGGCTGAGGCAGGAGAATCATTTGAACCCAGGAGGTGGAGATTGTGGTGAGCTGAGATCACGCCATTGCACCCCAGCCTGGGCAACAAGAGCAAAACTCAGTCTCCAAAAAAAAAAAAAAAAATATATATATATATATATATATATATATATATATTCATGATTACCTTGTAATTATGTATAGCTTTATTTTCATCAGTTTCCGATATCTACAATGGTGCTAGCTCCATAATTACCAATTCTCTGATAAATTCCTTTTATCACTTGAAAAAAATAATTCTGTCAAGTGACTTTTTAAGTAACTATTCAAACCAAGTGTTTTTATTCAGCTGAATTTTTTTTTTTTCCAGACAGTTCTGTACCAGCCCTTAATCATCTCCTTTTCATGGAAGCTTAGTATGTCTTCATTGGGCATTGTTTTTTATAGCAAAATCACACAGGATGGCAGTTTCTTCTCATGCCATGACATATAGATCCTTTTAGTTATTCCTTGTAGTCTTGAAGATAATGGTTTTGTTGGAGGAGGGCGACACTGCTGTGTGTGTGTGTGCACTCAAAAAATGAAAAGACAGGTAAGCAGGGGAATGGTTTAGTAGATAAAAGCCTTTGTAAGGATCATTATTGAATGCAAAAAAAATTCAACTTTCACTTTAAGATAGTGAATTTCCACTATGGTTTTTTAGCTTATTTTCTTGCCAGTATTTTTCAGGGGAGCTAGATTTATTAATATACTTTTCCATGACCATGCAGAATTACTGTGTAGAAAGGATGTATGTTTCCATTTAAACGACAAAAGTATTTGCAGGCTGTATCCTGGAAAATATCTATAGGGGAAAACTTTTTTTTTTTAACTAGGTAATGGGTTTATTACATTTTTAAGTGAATAAGTATTTTTAAAGTATTTTCCCAGTTTTCTAATATAAAAAATATTGAGTTATAATACATTCTTTAAAAAGTTCTTTGGTATCTTTAACAATTTTTAAGAATGTAAAAGGATACTGACATGAAAAAGTTTAAGAGATTTAGAGACTGTTAACCCCCTCATTGTTCAAATGAGAAATGGTGATGATGCTGACATTTAAGTAGTGCTCTGGTACATGTGGCAGGCCTTGTTATAAGCACTTTCCTTGTGGATACTATTATGCCTCCATGTTACTGATAAGGCAAGTGAGGCACAGAGAGGTTAAATTGACTTGCCCAAGGCCGTGTAGCTAGTCACTGGTGGAGCGACAATTTGAGGCCCTGATGCTGACCACAGTTTCAGCCACTTTCATGAGGTCTGGGAGGGATCAGAAGGCCTCTGCCATCTGGTTACTTCACCAGCTCTGTGTGTTCTCTAGCAATTTCACAATCACTATGCAGGAGTCACTGAGGCCTCGAATCTGCTTTGCAGTCTTCATCCCAAATTCTGCCACCCTGAATGTTTTCAAGCATGGCCTTACAGTTGGACTTGATGTTTTTCAAATCTGTATGCACTTCCACTTCAACCACACATTCCTCCCTTGTGATCATGCTCAAAACTCTAATATCCTGTCTTATTATAACTTCACATTTTCCAGTTTTCTTACTCTCTACCACTAAACTTTTTTTTTTTTTTAATGTACAGTGTCTTGCTTTGTCACCCATGCTGGAGTGTAGTGGTGCCATCATGGTTCACTGCAGCCTTGAACTCCTGGCCTCAAGCGATCATCTTTATATCTCAGCTGGGACTGAGTAGCTGGGACTACAGGCGTGCACCACTGCCCCCAGCTAATTTTCTTCTTTTTTGTAGAGACAAGGGTCTCACTTTGTTGCCTAGGCTAGTCTTGAACTCCTGGCTTTAAGTGACTCTTCCACCTCAGCCTCCCGAAGTGCTGGAATTATAGGCGTGAGCCGCCATGCCTGGCATAAACTTTGATGTTTGCACTTGGTGTTATGGGGTTTTCTTTCGTTTGTTTTTTCCACTTTTAACCCCATTCTCTACCTGACCCAACAGATGCCCTGTGGTCAACTCAGACTTCTCATTCATACCCTCAGCTCTTTAAACCCCGCATCCTCAAACTCTACCAGCTTTGCAAGCTTCCAAGCCTGAATTGCCTGACTCAATTTCTCCATATGTATATCTGCTTAGGGTGTAAAATATAGCAACTAAAAATGATAGAAGTGTACAGATCGGGGCTGTTACAAATCTAGGGCATTCAACTGCAGTTGGACCTCACTGCCATTGAGCAATCTTTTTGTCTTTGGTCAAGGCCCTCTATTACAAACATTGACCACTTGGCTCCAACTGCTTACTCACCCACGTGCCTAATACATAACCTCACCTTCTAATTCACAGAGGGAGGAAAATTCAAAATGCAGGAACTTCTGCTTCCCACTGTGTGCCTCCAAGGGAGTGTGTACATCTGTGTCCTGCTGCCTCATGTACGAAGATATCCTTGTGTTTAGCCCTGCCTCTGTTATGATCCCACTTCATCCCATCTCTGGGATCCTGCTCCTTCAGCCACCCCTTTGGCACCTGTACTTTCAGCTGTTCAGCCTCTACTGGTCCATTTCCCTCAGCCAAAAAACACCCCTTCAACCCTGCACTCCCTCTAGTTATTACCCTATTGTTTCCCTCCCTGGACAAGCTTCTTGAAAGAATTGTCACTCCCCTTCCTCAGCTTAGAACCTGATTTATCTGATTACTTGACTTTTGGTGATGTTGGTCACCCTCTCATCTTCTGGGATACCACTTTCATCATCTTCCTTCTTATGTCTTTGCTCTCTTTGTATCCCCTATTGGATTGAGCCGAAGTCACCAACCTAGTCAAGTCACCCACCCAAGATGAAACCCAACAGTCATCCTAGACTCTTTCCTCCCATTTATCTTTCATAGCCAAATTAGTTGCCAAATCCTGTGATGCTTACCCATTAAACATCTGTCAAACCTACCCCTTTCTCTTTATTCCCATGTCCACCAAACCATTTCAGGCTGCTACCATCTCTTCTGATGTGGAGTGATCTTGGCTCCTCACCAACAATCATACTCCCTTATGTGGTTCTTTTTACTGCCCTGGGCAATAATGATGCTGAAGGGCCCCCTAGAGGAGAAGTCTGTGCCAGAGAACAAGAGTGACCAGAAGAGGGGGAGACCAATGGTGTCCACCCAGCAGAGATATCTCATGAGATAGACTGAAGTGTGGCCCCTAGATTCAAAAATTGATGTCATCTGTCCATGGAGTAGTAGGGTCAAAAGCTGCATTGCGGTAGGCTGACGGGAGTCCTGGGAAGCCTAGAAACTGAGAGTAGCTAGAGATGACTTCTTCCAAAAGATGAGCTGTGGGCTCAGTGGAAGCCCTCTGAAAGCAGTTTCTCAGCACAGTAAGGTCGAAGTCGTCTCCAGTCAAGCCTGGAGCACTGCCTTCTGGGTTTGGTCAGTATAAAGTTCTGGATTTCAGTCTTGGCTTTAGCCGCTAGCAGCTGTGGGGACACTCCACCATCTCAGTCTTTATTACTTGCCAATTGTAGCAGCTTTCAGCTAAGTTTGTTCCTTGCTCAGGGGCTGTTCCAGTTGTCAGCTCTTCCTCCTCTGGTAGGGAAAGTGGAAAACTATTTTTTTTTAATGTTACCACTGTTACAGTCTCTACTGTTGTAGAAATTCTGGATTAAAACTAATAAATCAGGGCTTGTTTCTTCCTTTGGCTATTTCAATAAATTGTTGTTCTTTACTTAACCCTGTTGGATGATATAAGCAGATAAATACAGTTAAGGGAATATTTTATTTGGTTGTGGGTTTTAGTGCCTAAAAACTTGTTTAGTCTCTTAAATTACCCTAACTTGACCTACTTCCTGTATTTAAAATGTAATAATGCAAGAATGACTTTAAATATTAATTAGGTACCATGTATAAATAGCGTAATTATGGTCTGGTTGGATCTGAGAAAATTCTAAGGTGATTAAGGTTGTGATTCATTTCTGTCTTGGGATTGCTATTATTAAAAAGTGTTGCATCATTAATTTTAGCTTAGATAACTATTTTGAAAAGTTAATTGAAAATTTTGTCTGTGTTACTGCCTGCCTGTTTTCCTTCTTGGACGTTATAAAAGTCTGTAAAGTCTGCACTTTTATAGATTTACCTCCTTAATGTATAAAAATTTAAAAAACACTAAATTTTTTAAAATTTCATTGCAATTTAATTTGAATTTCCCTAATGCCTAATGATTTTGAGCATCCTTTTAGGATGCTCACATGCCATCTGTGTATCTTCTTTGGTGAAATGTCTGTTCATGTTTTTGCCTTTTTAAAAAAAAATGTTTTTGTTCTGTTTCTTTTAAGAGACAGGTCTCTCTGTGTTGTCCAGGCTGGAGAGCAGTGGCTGTTCCCAAGTGTGATCATATTGCACTGCAGTCTTGAACTCCTGGCCTCAAGAGATTCTCCTGCCACAGCCTCCCAAGTAGCTAGGACTATAGGCTTGCACCACTGCACCTGATGCCTATTTTAAATTGAAATTATTTTTCATCTTATTGTGTTTTCAGAGTTCTTTTTACATCCTAGATTCAAGTCCATTACCAGATACTTGTTTTACAAATATTTTCTTCCAGAATTTGGCATGTCTTTTTTCTTCACAGTGTCATTAGAAGAGCAGAAATTTTTACTTGTCAATACTCTATGTCTTTATCTTTGTAGTTATATAAGTAACATAAGACTGTTATAAATCTAAGAATATTAAAATATTCCTTTACTATCGAATCTATCCATCTAGTATTTAAACATACTAATTAGTGAAAAAGAATTTTGTGATGTTATAGGCAAAGATAAACTTTTTGTTATAAGAAATAGATTTTGAAAGTTTCTTTTGTATTTCACAGCTGAAATTTCTCTTCATGTTCGAGAAGATGTTTAGGAAAAAAAAAACAAAAAGAATTAATCTAGTATTCCAGTTAACCTGTTTTGCTTTTCTTTTATTCTAGTGTTATCCAAGATAAATTCTGTGGGATTATAAACATTTCAGTAGAAGGCCTGCATGATGTCATGACGGAAGATCCTGAAACAGGAACTTATAAAGAGTAGGTGCATTATTTAATTAATCATAATTGGACTTGGGGGATAATTAAATACATGCTGCATGATTTTTTTCACCATCACTCTATAAGCACAGTATGAAAGTTTTATAATTTCTCTTTTATACAGAAACGTTTTTGTTATTTTGCTTGTAATATTTATTGTTTGATCTTGGTATCACCTTATTTATTTATTTATTGAGACGGAGTTTCACTCTTGTGGTCCAAGATGGAGTGCAGTGGTGCGATCTCAGCTAACCGCAACCTCCGCCTCCCAGGTTCAAGTGATTCTCTTGCCTTAGCTTCCCGAGTAGCTGAGATTACAGGCATGCACCACCACACCTGGCTACTTTTTGTATTTTTAGTAGAGACGGGGTTTCTCCATGTTGGTCAGGGTGGTCTTGAACTCCCGACCTCAAGTGATCTGCCTGCCTCTGCCTCCCAAAGTGCTGGGATTACAGGCATGAGCCACCATGCCCGGCTGGTATCAGCTTTATTATGTTACAGCGACAACCTGAATTGAGCTGCTTTGATTTACTCATTGTTTGATGATTAAGTTTTTAAAATTTCAAATATATTTTAGTCTATAAGTCTTTTTCCTAGTATGTTCTGAGCATGCTCTTTTTTTTTCAGTTTTGCTGTTTATAAAGCCATCTCTAGCAAATGGGAAAGATTGTCACTTGAATCATATTTTGTTGAAAAATATGGATAGCAGATATATGTTGTTGAATCTTATTAAACATATTAACATAATGTGTCTGATATGTCACTTAGCTTTTGAGAAAACTGGAGTTTGTATGAAGTGGAAACATCAAATTTTTTGAGACTACAAACCAAAAACAAGAAAGCATTCAATGTAGGCAGGTTTTTTTCTTTTTAAGTTAATGTAAGGGTTTATGGCTGTATTAGTCCATTCTCACGCTGCTATAAAGAACTGCCTGAGACTGGGTAATTTATAAAGGAAAGAGGTTTAATTTAACTCACAGTTTCGCAGGGCTGGGGAGGCCTCAGGAAACCTACTGTCATGGCAGAAGGGGAAGCAAACATGTCCTTTTTCACGTGGCGGCAGGAAGGAGAAGTGCTGTGCAAAAGGGGAAAAACCCCTTATGAAACCATCTGATCTCGTGGGAGCTCACTCACAAGCACGAGAACAGCATGAGGGTAATCGCCCCCATGATTCAGTTACCTCCAGCTGGGTCCCTCCCATGACACATGGGGATTATGGGAATTCAATTCAAGATGAGATTTGGGTGGGGACACAGCCAAAAGATATCAATGGCACACGACTGTAAATTGTATACTTAATATGTGACAAAGTTTACAACTCAATGTGAAACATTTAGGATATGATCAGATGTTCCTTTGTCCTCTTTGGAGTATACAGTTTAGTTGAGGGGAGGACATGGCTGATAGCACAGTTAAAACACTAGTGATGAATGCAGACAGTTATATCTTGTTTTGTGCAGGGCACACCAAACAGTACAGTTCTAGATTTTGCTTTAATAGTCAGGGAAAGAAAAAAAGGCACTATATGTTACAGTCTTCAGGGAAGGATAAGGGTTAGGATGTAGGAAGTAGAACAAAATTATAACATGTTTTAACTGGAAGAGGTAAGAATCTGAAAGTTACTAGAAAATTTAGAAATTATCTAGTGCAGTCTCATGGAATTAAAAATCAGGATATCCAGGCCCTGAAAAGTTAGCTGGGCACAGTGGCTCCTGCCTGTAATCCCAGCACTTTGAGAGACTGAGGCAGGCAAATTGCTTGAGGTCTGGAATTCGAGACCAGCCTGGCCAACATGGGGAAACCCTTATCTCTACTAAAAATAACAACAACAACAAAAAAAGTGGAGTGACACAGCAGATTTGTGGAAGAGTCAAGATGAGTCAAGGTCTCCATGTGCCAAGCTCAGCCATGAAGAAAAAGTTTTGTTTTGGAAGAGGGAATATGTTGGAAGTAAGGAAAACAAACCAGTTTTAGGATCCCAGCTAAAAGGCCTAGACTTGAGCATTAGTATTGATGAGTAGCTGGAACATATCTGACCACTGGTTTCTTTTATCCCCAGAATTGTTTGGTGATTTCTTTTTATTCTGGGGTGGTACTTTGCATATAGAAACACAGTTGAGAAATAAATTACCAAGAGATACACTTTTCTGTGTCTCTGTTTCAAAGAGTGGTTAGACTAGATCTCTATTAAATCTTCCTACATTATAATTCTATGAATTAAATAGAGTTCTATAAGTTACAGTCCATGAGACTATAAGGCATAAATAAACTTTCAGAAATGCCTGTGTGAGAAACATAAAATACATACTTATGTAGCTAACTTGGCTTTCAACTTCCCCTTCCTGTTTATTTAAACAGTTTATTCAAAAAAGTTAATCTTTCTGGTTCTGTTGAATTCTTATTATAGTCTCTTAACTGAGTGAATTGGAAAAAAGGAAGAAAACTCTATTTCCTTCACCTACATCAGTAGTGTACTAGGGTTCTCCAGAGAAACAGAACCAACAGGAGACAAAAATATGTATATATAAAGAAATTGATTGTAAGGAATTGGCTCACATGATTATGGAGGCTGAGGAGTTCAAAATCTACCATCAGCAAGCTTAGGACCCATGAGAGCCCATGATGTAAGTCTGAGGTATAAATCTGATCATGTCCCTCCAGTGTGGAAATCACCAGTGGACCTCCATTGAGTACAGAATACAGTCCACAGTTCTTTGTATTTCACAAAGGTTACTTAACTGGTTGGCTCTGAAGACGGAAGAAGTACAGTGTCCCAGCTTGAAGCAGCCAGAGGATGAATTCTTCCTCATCCAGTCAGTTTTATTCAGGCTTTCAGTGGATTGACTGAGGTCTACCCACATGGGGAGGGCAAACTGCTTTACCCAGTTTATAGATTCAAATGCTAATCTCATGCAGAAACAGGCTCGCTGATACACCCAGAGTAATGTTTAACCAGATTGCTGGGCACTCAGTATCTCAGTCAAGTTGACACAAAATTAGCCATCACACTAAGAAAGCCTTGTTGACAGATCATCTTTTTATTCAAACTGTTTACACCAGGCACTGTGTAGTGTGAGGAAGCAACTGAGTCTCTCACCTGAGAGAGCCCACAACCTAGAAGGGGAGACAGGGACCAATGGAGCAATACCAGGTGCAAGAGAGAAAGGAGTCCAGGGAAACTGAGAATCATTCTTAAGGATATGTAGTGGATTGGAGCCAACTAGTTAAGTAACCTTTGTGAAATACAAAGAATTGTGGTCTGTATTCTGTAGTCAATGGAGGTCTCCTGGTGATTTCCACACCGGAGGGACATGATCAGATTTATACTTAGAAAGGTCACTTTGATGCATTGTGGAGGACGACAGAAGGGGTAGATGCTGGTGCGTGGTCTCAGACCAGTGGAACAACCTGGAATGCATGTTAGAAATGCAGATTCTCCTTCCTCAGTGCAGACTCATTATTCAGAATCTTTGGGGGTCACACAGTAGAATCTGCATTGCAAACAGGAACTGTGATGTTTCATATACACTGTAAATGAGAACCTACTGCTGTGGAAGTGGGAAAACCATTTAGGTAGCTGTTAAAGTAGTCTTATCTTGGTGAGTGGTGATGAGATGAATTTGAGATATATTTTGGAGGAAGGATTAGCAGGAAATGGGGACAGGTAGGTATGGCTAAAGAGGATTGAAAGGTGTTTACAGTTTGGGTGACATATGACATACACATGCATATATAATTTTTAAAAATAGTTGTGCTTATACCTGTAGCCTATGCTTATTTTTATACCTTGATTTGTCCTCATAACATATTGAACAGGCATTTTAAAATTTAAACAACATTCTGTGTGGAAAAAAATGGAAATGGGCTTTTATTTTCCCTTCTAATGATCCCTCTTTTTTTAAAGTTAGAAAAGTTTTATCTTCCAAGATAAATGGATAGTCAACAGTTGCCTATTAACGTTGATACTAGTATTTCTTCAGAGTTGTACAGAAAATGAATTCTTTTGGAAGAAAGAAGAATTCCATTTTGAGAGTTGAAGAATGTGTTTATTTGTTGGGGTTTTGTTGGTGGGTTTGTGGTTTGGTTGGTTTTTGTTTTTATTATTTTTTTAGCTAGAGTTTTTATTAAGCCAAGAAAATACATTGATGGGGCTAGAGATTTGCCTTCTTTGCTTTCTGCTTGTCTGGTTAGAGTATTTCTCTTTTATTTCCTTCAATAATATTTTTGTTGAAAGGAATATTGGGAAATGAAATTGACAATCCCTTACCAAGGTTTGGGAAGTAAAAAGGAAGAAAGAATTTAGTGGCCCGGCGCGGTGGCTCATGCCTGTAATCCTAGCACTTTAGGAGGCCGAGACGGTAGAATCGCTTGAGCCCAGGAGTTGGAGACCAGCCCTGGCAACATAGTGAGACCCTGTCTCTATTAAAAAAAAAAAAAAAATTGAAAATCAGCCAGGCACATGCCTTTAGTCCCTGCTTAGCAGCTGCTTGGGAGGCTGAGGTGGGAAGATTGCTTGAGCCTGAGACATCGAGGCTGCAGTGAGCTGTGATTGCACCACTACACTCCAGCTTGGGTGACAGACCAAGGCCCTGTCTCAAAAAAAAAAAAAAAGAATTTAGCCAGCATTTTAAGAAGCCTAGAGGCACTAAAATTTGACTAGAAAATGACTCATAAATTGTTTTTATAGCTAGAAAGTACAAAACATACCAAGTATAAAGGAAATAGTCTTATTTGAAACTATTCTGTAGTCAGTGGAGGTCCACTGGTGATTTCCACACTGGAGGGACATAATCAGATTTATACTTAGAAAGGTCACTTTGGTCCATTGTGGAGGAAGACTGGCGGGGTAGATGTTGGTGAGTGGTCTCAGACCAGTAGAACAGCCTGGGATTCTAAAAGTTAAAATTTGGCTTTTATAAGGACTTTTTTCTCCTTCACTCAATACATTGACCCACTGAACGGCTCTTCAGAATAGAATAGAGAATACTAGAAGAAATGTTGGTTCCTGGATTCTGACATCTGTATATTATCTTAACTTGTGTAGATCCTAGTGACCTCCTTAGGAAGTCTCTCTCTCTTCAGTTTTCCCCCTCTGATCCATTCTGCCCCACTTAAAATTAAAAGCTGAGTTTCTTACAGGATCAAGTTAATGGGGCTCTATTCTGTGCTGACTCAGACACCAGCTTTCTCTCTTGTCTCCCTGGATTCTTCATCATTCTGCAAACATGCCATACACTTATGGCTTGACTAATAATATTTCTGCTCCTTGGTGTGTCAAGCCCTTATCCTCCTTCGCAAATATCTACCTCTAAAATTGCATTCCAGGCTTATAGGAAGAATTCATTCCATCTTTCCCTGTTTCTTCATGGCACTTTGTCTTTACTGCTAATATACAATATTTAGTTGCTTATATTCAGTCTAGTGACGGTAAGAGGATTTGAGACAGTGCAAAAGAAAGCACATGCTCATTATAACAGAAAACTATTAACATAGGATTGAAGGGATTTAAATAAGAAACCTTGATTTGGGAAACCTGTGGCATCAGGATATAAAACTTAGCTATATGCTTTCTAATTACCAGGATAAAAAAAAGAAACATTAGGAATTACATGGGTCTTATTTTCAAGTAGAAGAAAGTAGGTTTATCAGGTGTTAAACTTAAGACAAATTCAATTTAACAGAGTTTGATTAAGCAAAGAATTGTTCACAAATTGGGCAGCCCCCAGAACCAGAATTGGTTCACAGTGTCTTCAGGGCTGTACCTGGTCAGATAATATTTATGAGCAGAAACGGGAAAGTGAGGTACAGAAAAGGGAAATAGGGTACTGAAACAGCTGGATTGGTTACAGCTCAGCATTTGCCTTATTTGGACACATGTTCAACAGTTGGCCACCTATGATTGGCTAAAACTCTGATTAGTACAAGAAAAGATTACAATCTCTACACTTCCAGTTAGGTTACACTTTACTGTGTACGAAGAGACCTTCAGGCTGAACTTAAAATGTGTGAGGAAGAAACTTTAGGCTAAATGTAATTTAACACAGGAGAGGGAGACTCATAATATTTCTTCTCACTGAGTTGTCATGCCCTGAGCCCAGAAGTGCATTTTTTATTAATATTTATATAAGTGACTATACAAGGACTGTCCGTTTTAACAATAAAGAATTAGTTGTTTCTGATACACTAATGACTGTAGGTAAGTGACTCCAGGATTAGCTGACTGTGGCCTTAGCAACATCATCAAAGCCTGAGTTTTTTTCTACTCCATCCCCTCAGCATATTAACCTCATCTGCAGGCTACCATTCCTCATCGATAAAAAGTAGTTCTAGGCATTACAGTTCATGACAATGCCACTGACAGATAAGTAATCTTCTTCCTTATGTCTTTTTTAAGATCAAGGCAATCCTTTTCTGGAAATCATTGCATTAGATGTCTTCTTATGTCTAATTGGCCAGAATTCCTTAAACATTCTCCTGCTGAAAGTAATCATTGACCAGGGGAATGGGATCTCCATGATTGCTTATTGAACTACTGGCACTGGGGGGCTGGGATCAGCTTTTTCTGAAACAGTGGTAGCATGGGAAAAGAGGATAACTGTACAGATTCAGGGTTCAATTAGGAAAGAGGCTGATTATATAGGTCCACTACAGAGACCAACTGAACAATGTCAGTTTTGTCTTATGTGAAACGACCCATAAATTGTTTGCTTGCTTGCTTGCTTTCTTTCTTTCTTTCTTTCTTTCTTTCTTTCTTTCTTTCTCTCTCTCTCTCTCTCTCTCTCTCTCTCTCTCTCTCTCTCTCTCTCTCTCTCTCTCTCTCTCTTTCTTTCTTTCTTTCTTTCTTTCTTTCTTTCTTTTCTTTCTTTTCTTTCTTTTCTTTCTTTTTTTTTTTTATGGAGTCTTGCCCTGTTGCCCAGCCTGGAGTGCAGTGGTGTGATCTCGGCTCATTGCAACCTCTGCCTACCAGGTTCAAGCAGTTCTCTCATCTCAGCCTCCCGAGTAGCTGGGATTACAGGCACGTGCCACCACGCCTGGCTAATTATTGTATTTTTAGTAGAAATGGGGTTTCACTATGTTGGCCAGGCTGGTCTTGAACTCCTGACCTCAAGTGATCTGCTTGCCACAGACTCCCAAAGTGCTGGGATTACAGGTGTGACCCACCGCACCTGGCCCATAAATCATTTCTTATATCAGCCTAGCTGAAAGTCAGTTACATAGCCATAAAAAAAATCATTATTAAACAATTTATTGGAGGCCAGAGGTAAAAAAATATAAGTAGGAAGCGTTTTGGTGGTTTGCCCTAACATAGAATGGGGGTTAACAAAGTGTGTGTCCCCCACAACTTCCTCAACAACATTAGCATCAACATGACGGAGGAAATGATGAGAAACCATCACAGAGGAACTTGTGAGACATGCAGATTCTCAGGCTCCATCAAACTCTACTGAATTAGACACTATGGGAGTGGGGCCCAACTGTGCTTTAACAAAGCCCTTCAAGTGGTTGAGCTGAAAACTCAAGTTTGAGAATCGCTGATATTGGACATTAAGAAAATGACTGGAATACTTGGCCTTTGCCCCAACTATCCCTCCTGTGCACACAGATGGGCTCCAGGTAGAGTGGAACTAAGCTTTTTTTAGACAATTGCACTTATTCTGTTCAGGTGCTAGAATAAGGGCAATTTTAAAGCATCCAAATTTGATACCCTGAAGTAGAGAAAAGTTCATTTAGACAACAAAAATTTTGAGGAAAAATACTGTTTATCAGCGCTCAATGAATGTTTGTAAATTCAGCCTTTTCTCATCTGTAAAATGGCTGAATTACTTAGGGCAGAGTTTATATAGATTAAATGAAAGTATTACTACAAGTACCTTTAAACCCAGAAATGACTTAAAAGGTTTCATTTTTTCATGCTAACACCTGTTGGTTCTGTTTAGCTGGTTGAAGTTTCTTCTTGAGAAAGATTCTTATTTAGCAGGCTGGAGTGCCTGGATCTATTCGGTGATTTCTGCCTTGAGTTTAGAATGGAGGAGTGGCCACTTATATTCACGTTAGTCATTCCTATTTTAAACTGTTGTGTTTACTGTTTTATTAGTATAACTATTACTGCATGCACAGTCTACACACTTCAGTTTATTAGAAATCTGTTAATTCTTACGTATCTTTTATGTAAAGCGTGATTGTCTATCTTTAATCTTTATCAACAAAATGAGATTTGACTTTTAGTTGGAAATTTTCCTGCAGGACAGTTTTAGCTTTGGGCTTTTCAGTATTCTGTTATTTGTCTAGTTTTTGGTCAGTGAAAGAAGTAAAATCTGTATATATGTAACTCCAGAGTATACTCTAATATTAATGTGATAAATCTTCTTTTTTTGGGGGTGGGGGAGACAGAATCTTGCTCTGTTGCCCAGTCTGGAGTGCAGTGGCACGATCTTGGCTCACTGCAACCTCCACCTCGTGGGTTCAGGCAATTTCTCCCATCTCAGCCTGCCAAGTAGCTGAGATTACAGGAGCCTGCCACCACGCCTGGCTAGTTTTTGTATTTTTTCTTTTAGTAAACAAGGGGCTTCACCATGTTGTCCAGGTTGGTCTCGAGCTTCTGACCTCAGGGGATTCACCCACCTCAGCCTCCCAAAGTGCTGGGATTACAGGTGTATGCCACCATGCCCAGTCTTAATATGATAAATCTTTTAATTTAGGGAGGCAGAACAGAGAGCATTCACTATATGAGTAAGTTAACAGATTTTGGAATGCAGTGGAAGAATTTGATGCAGAATAAAGCATGCTTTCATGCAGATCCATAGTCATTGCAGTTAGAATTCAGGTCTGCAACAGACATAAATTGGCTAGTGTAAAGAAACCCCATATTATTATTCAGTTCTAAAATACAAACTGGGATGTAGACCTTTTTAAGACACTTCACTTTATTAAATAGCTTTTGGGTTGATAGAGTAATGTAATTTTCTTACTTTGTGTCAGAGTCCATTGGCCAGCTACTTGTACTACACTGTATTATATCATGGCAGACAAAAGCATTGCAGCCCCAGGTCAAGGCCATGCAGTGAGTTAGGGATTGAGTTCCTGCCGTTTTTCAGGACTTCTGATTTCTAGCCTAAGGTTCTTACTCTTTGATCCCACCAGTGGGCACTGACTGGATCAGAGGCAGTCACTCCAAACATTGCTTTTTTAATGGTAGGAAATAGAAACGAAAGACACTTGTTTCCACTGCAAGAATGAGCCTGATCAAGTTTTCTGGTATCCGCACCTGTGTTAGTTCTGTATTAAAAGCTGTTTACACAGCTGAGTCAGGAATTGTCCTTCACCTGTACTTGCTACAAAACAAGAGAACCCAAACTTTCTTTGCCACTGTTTATTGGTTAGGAACCTATGATCATGCTGATAAATTACTGAATTCTCCTGTTACAAGTTAGGAAACAGTGGGATTGTTCCATCAGTTTGATTCACTAGACAGTGTTGATTTCTGGTCTCCCTGGAACCATTGTTGACTGAACAGGAAACTGTTTCTGTTACCTCTGCTAATAGTAAAGAGCATGGTGCAGATATTCAAAATAAAATGATTTATAACTACCCAGAAGGTACAAGTGCTATCAGGACAAGTTCCTCATAGCACAGTCATGTCATTTGGAACACAAGGTAGATTGTTACATAATTAATATGTTTGTGATATTTAAATTATTGCATGTATAAAATTCTGTAGATGTGAAAATTATGGGGAAAAATAAGTATTTTAAGAGTTTATGTCATTTTTAAATAACATATAAAGTGTATACATGCATTACTTTGTCAGCTGATGGTTCATTGTTTCAGAAGTGGCGTATAAATAAATTACTAACTGAAATGCCCAAGTAAAATGCTCTAAAATGTTTTAGTGTGGCCCTTTTTATAGTGAGATATCTTTTCATAATTCAAAAATTTTGTTAAATTTTAAATTATCTAGTCTTTTTCTCACATTTTGGTGTGAAAAACTAAGAACATAGAATTATTCATGTTCTTAGTGATTTTAAGGACTTATTTTTAAGTGTATTATAGACATTTTTATTTAAAACATGTTTTTTAAAAAATTATTATAGCTGTATGTTGATGTCTCATCTTGAGGAACCAAAAGTAACAGAAGATGAAGAACCACCCACAGAACAAGATAAGAGGAAAAAGATGGTAAGTTATAAAAGTAGCTTGTAAAAATTAAGAACCATATATTATCATTTTCTGTAGGTTCAGAAATATCTATGGTCTATTTGTCCATCCAGCTATATGTCTATCCATCTATCCCATGTTACAGAATTAATGTAAGGTGTACCCTAAAACAGATACATTTTATTCCTAGTACAGAAAGTTGAGGTTAACTTTTCATCTGAAATAACTGTTGCTTATCTTAGTGCAGAGCAGATGATTTAGTGTTTTACTTATGGAAGGTATGTGTGACCTGCAAACCTTATTTAAGTTGAAATGTTTATTCTTCTGTTTTGAGGAGATGTACTGAAATTTCCTTGCATTCCCTATTATTTTATAGATCTTCACATGAACTTTTGCTGATCTGCATCACAGGCTTTTATAAAAATGCCCTTAAGTTAACCACTAACTTGTTGTAAAAACCACTAATTCTCACCAGAGGAATCTGATAAGGGGAAAAGAACAAAAAAAAAGGAAATATCTAAAATATCTTGCCTTTTAATATTATATATAATCGTGAATGTTTAAATATTTATTTTTACCATAAATAGAAAATAGGTACATAAGAAACTATTTTTTCCCTTTTCTTTTGGAATCTTTTCTTGTCTTCTGGCCTCATCATTTAACTAACTTTATTATACCTTCTTTCCTCATTTGCAAAATGAAAACAATTGTATCTACCTCATAGATAGAATAAATAATTAAAATGGTTATGGATACCTAGTAATTACTCTGTAAGAGTTAGCTGTCATTTTAATCTGATCATTGTATTTACACCTCGCATTACAGCACGTTAGCTCTCAAGGGCCTAATCCTTAGCTTATAGCTAACATTGCACTGCTCTGAGAGCCTTCTTTTAAACTGTTTGAATTTAACTCATTTTACTTTGCTTTTATGCTAGGTATCATCTCCCTAGCACATAGTGTAGAGGAAAGGACAACATCCAAAGATTCTTAAGACCTGAATTCTAGTCCTTTTTTACTATTACTTGTGACCTTGAGCAAGTCACCTTGTCTTTGTAGATCCGTTTGCCTCATCTGTGAAAAGCGGCAGAAATTGGATTAGCATATTTCCAGGGTCTTCGAACTGAAAAATTACTGTTAAAACTCTTAATATCATTACTTTTCTTCCCCCAAAACAATGTTTGTACATATAATAAGTCCTCATTTAACATCATTGATAGTTTCTTGGAAACTGTAACTTGAAGCAGAAAAACATATAATGAACCTAGTTGTACCATGGGCTAATTGATCTAAACAAGAAGCTCCTACAGCATATTTCTGGTCACAAAAACATCACCGAACTTCTTAATAAAGATCCAAAACACTTCTAATATTTAACATTGAAGTAAGTGTGAGCTATATATACGTTTAAGAAAGATTAATGAAAACAAGTTAAATTATTTTCCCTTGTTTTTGGTGAATCAGTGAGTGATGATGGTCGTGATGGTGGGTTAAATCAAGGAATAAATGTTTGCAAAGTGAAAATTGTAAGGAGCACCTCCTACTGCCATGCACTTCAAAAACGAACAAATCTGGCGAGCTCGCTGAAAGCTTTCATAGAGCAGCATTTATATGCATTTGTATGACAATAATTTGTATTCATTCATTCTTTCATTTTTGCAACCCACTTATTCTGCTTTACGGTAGTGGGTGGCTGGAGCCTGTCCTAGCAGCTAAGGGTGCAAGACGGGAACCAGTCCTGGACAGGACACCATTTCCTGACAGGGTGCACTTGCACACACTTACACTCAGATGGGAACAATTTAAACACGCCAGTTCACCTAGTGTGCACAGCTTTGGGATGTGGGAGGAAACTGGAGTACCCAGAGAAAAGTCACGCAGACATGGAGAGAACATGCAAACTCCACACAGACAGTGGACCCAGCCCAAATCCATTTGTTTTCCTTTTCAAAGTTACAATGAAATGATGATAGCAAGGACCTGCTGCGCAGTCATGCACTGCTCAGCAACACAACATTTCGGTCAACAGCACACTGCATATGATAGTGGTCCGATAAGATAATGATACCATATTTTTACTGTACCTTTTATGTGTTTTGATGTGTTTAGATACACAGATACTACTTGGTTACAGTTGCCTACAGTATTCGCTACAGTAACATGCTGTACAGATTTGTTGCCTAGGAGCAATAGGTTATACCATGTAGCCTAGGTGTATTGTAGGCTGTACCATCTAGGTTTGTGTAAGCACACTCCATAATGTTTACACAAGGAACTTGCCTAACAATGCATTTCTCAGAATGTATGCTCATCTTTAAGCAATGCATGACTATATATCTCGAGAAGTATTTTTCCTTTGAAATTAAACTGTTTTGTGGTTGTTTTGTTTTGTTTTGTTTTGCAATGGAGTCTCGCTCTATCACCCAGGCTGGAGTGCAGTGGTATGATCTCGGCTCTCTGCAACCTCCGCCTCCCAGGTTCAAGCAGTAACCATACCTCAGCCTCCCGAGTAGCTGGGACTACAAGTGTGTGCCACCATGTCTGGCTAATTTTTTTGTATTTTTAGTGGGCACGGGGTTTTGCCATGTTGGCCAAGCTGGTCTTGAACTCCTGACCTCAGGTGATCTGCCCACCTTGGCCTCCCAAAGTGCTGGGATTGCAGGTGTGAGCCACCATGCCTGGCCTATGTGGTATCTTAAATACGTGGAAAGTATTTTTTTTTGCACCTACAGTAATAATCTCTAAGTATAGCCTAACATTTGTCTTTCTACTGCTCACACCCCCACTTTATCATTCTAATTATATGTAGTATTGGTTTATAAAACAACCATTATTTTTTTAAGTGGCCGATTTTAAGTTACTTACTACAGTAGATATTTAATATAGATTTATATTATCATCTCTAGTAAGATTTCCAGTACCTTGGTCTTGCTCTTGGATACCCACTGCTCTTAGATATGCTGAGGATACCACAGCAGTTTTTGACTGAAGCTGGGATTGTGTATTGTATAACATTTAATAAATCCAATTATGAATACATGCTAATTTTCCAACAACTTTAAACAAAGAAAATTTGTTTCACTTATCTCTTAGAATTATAAGTTAATGTATTTTTTCAGTAATTACGTCAATCTTGAACTGTATTGTCTATAACGTTAGACATTTTTTGAGAACTATCCAGCAATATCTTGGTTGTTTCTTCAAAGGGGGAGAGTAAACATTTGCTGGCAAATGGTTATGAATTATTCTTTACAAAAAAATTAGCAAAGGCTTTTCTCATTTTAAAATGAAATTATTTGCTAGGAAGAAAAATATAGCTGCTTAGTTCCAAGGTCACATAAATGAAAATTTGATTCGCTTACTGTCATTGTTGTCTTAAAGTAGTCCATAAAATGTGGTGTCTGTGTTTCAGCAGCTGCTTTGGTAGAGAATAGCAGTAGTGATTGTAGTTCAGAAAGGCAGATGATTAATATTATATCAAATGTGCCAAATAATTTTCCATACGTTTCTGAGAATTCTCTATATTTTATTTCAAATAAGGATGAAATTTACACTCAGGAAAGCTATTAAGCTGTCCAGCCTTTTGATCTCCCTTTTCATTCAGCCTCTCTCTCTACCTTTCATTTCGGTGAAATAATACTTAGAATAGCACATGCAGCTCAAGCATTTCATTTAATATATGTTTCCTTTCTGTCCAGTATATTCTAATTAGTAGAATAATAATTTTATGACCTTTACTATAAAGACTTCAGCTAATTTATTAACATCTTTAGTTTTTTGTAATTTTTTGAAATCTGACTCATAGTCACTTGTAAGTTGTAATTTCCAAATTCTAGTTTTGAGCATTTTAATGCTTTCTCACAACTCTATGATACCAGCTAACAAAGTATTATTATTATTATTATTATTATTATTTTATTTACTTTTTTGGGATAGTCTTGCTCTGTTGTCCAGGTTGGAGTGCAATGGGTGCAAACATGGTTTACTCAGCCTCAACTTCCTGGGCTCAAAGAACCTTCCTGTCTCAGCTTCCTGTGTAGCTGAGACCGCATGTGCATGCCACTACGCTAATTTTTACATGTTTTGTAGAGACAGGGTCCCACTTTGTTGCTTAGGCTGGTCTCGAACTCTTAGGCTCAAGAGATCCTCCCTTGTCAGCCTTCCAAAGTGCCGGCATTACAGGTGTGAGCCACTCCACCCTCCCTATTTTTTCATATTATTACTTGGTTTTTTTTAAATGGGCAAATGAAAACTGTATGTATCTGTGGTGTACAACATGGTGTTTTAAAATATGTGTATATTGCAGAATGGCTGAATCAAGCTAATGAGCAAATCTGTTACCAGTTGAGCTCATTCAGAAAGAGAAAAGTTGGGCCAGGCGTGGTGGCTTATGCCTGTAATCCCAGTACTTTGGGAGGCCGAGGTGGGCAAATCGCTTGAGCCTAGGAGTTCAAGACCAGCCTGGGCAACATAGGTGAATCCTGCCTCTAAAAAAAAAAAAAATTTAGCTGGGCATGATGGCGTGCATCTGTAGTCCCAGCTACTTGGGAGGCTGAGGTGGGAGGATTGCTTGAACATGGGAGACGGAGGTTGCAGTGAGCCAAAATCATGCCACTGGTACTCCAGCCTAGACAACAGAACGAGACCCTGTCTTAAAAAAAAAAAAAAAAAAAAAAAAAAGGAGAACCCTTATGTCTCATTACAAACCACTGAAGTTAAAATGTGTGCGGCCGGGTACGGTGGCTCACGCCTGTAATCCCAGCACTTCGGGAGGCCGAGATAGGCAGATCACGAAGTCAGGAGATCGAGACCACCCTGGCTAACACAGTGAAACCCCATCTCTACTAAAAATACAAAAAAATTAGCCGGGCGTGGTGGCATGCGCCTGTAGTCCCATCTGCTGCATTATCATTTGAATGTGTTTTAAATTGAAACATATATATGGCAAACATAATCTGCAGCTTTACTTAGCTTTTTAATGCAATCAAGTATGTGTAGACTGCAGCTCTGGCAAGCTTGGCATCATAGTCTTTTGCCTAGGCTCCAGCATATGTAAGTAAACTATACGTTAGGTTGAGTTGCATTTTATTTGATGAATTTATAAGTACATCCTAAGTTTCATGCCAAATATAACAAATCCTGAGCATGGCTTTTGTACTGTCTTAGAGTGATTATTGTTTCTGTACTGCTCTTGCCAAATACTGTACTGGCTCAAGGATGGAGAACAGTGCTGCACTGTGAGGATGGAATTGTCCTGCAATCAGAGCCTACACATAGCTAACATTTTTCTCTTAGAGCACAGAGATATCTCCCTCATTTTCCCCTCCCTGCTTTCCCCTCCTTTACTCATCAACTCTGAAAACTTTCATTTTGTCTAACTTTTGGATCTAGAAGCTTTCTTTAGACTTGTACTTGTTAGAATTTAGAATACATCATCAAAAGGAAAGTGACACTGTTATGAGTTGAAACTATTTCATAAGGTTTTCTGGAAATCTTTATTCCAAATATAATGTCAACAGGGCACCCTGTGGTAGTGGCTTGGGGTGGGAGTTTTTAAACTCTCTCTGGATGATTTTGACCACTGAGAACCAGTAGATTGATTCTTTTGCCTGCTCCCATTTGCTTCTAGAAAACCTCAGCAGAACTACTATAAAGATAGAATTGTATTGGTACTGATAAGGTACTGTGTTGTTCTTAATTAAATATCAGTAATTTTTAATGTATGCATAAAATACATTTTCCTTTTGCAAATAATATGAGAATAATTCATCATCATATTGGTGGCTTCAGAACTGCCCTTTGAGAATCCTTACCTTATAGCATTCAGTAATCAAGATAAATTATAGCATTGTTGAAAATACTTTTTAGTATTCAGCTTACATGCAGTCCACCCAGGTTATGAGTTGAGAGACCTTTTTTCTTTTCTCAACTTGCGCAGTTAACATTTATCACTTCTAGTATCATGCCACATCTCTTTTTTTTTTTTTTGGAGAGTCTTACTCTGTCACCCAGGCTGGAGTGCAGTGGTGCTATCTCAGCTCACTGCAACCTGCTATCTCAGCTCACTGCAACCTCTGCCTCCCGGGTTCAAGCGATTCTCCTGCTTCAGCCTCCCAAGTAGCTGGGATTACAGGTGTGCACCACCACTGCTGGATAATTTTTGTATTTTTAGGTTAGAGACGGGGTTTCACCATGTTGGCCAGGCTGTTCCTGAACTCCTGACCTCAAGTGATCCACCCGCCTTGGCCTCCCAAAGTGCTGGGATTACAGGCATGAGCCACCACTCCTGGCCTCTCATGCCACATCTTGACCCCAAACCTTGAACTCCAACATTTCTCTCTCATCACAGTCTCTTCTTCCTTACTAATCATTCCTTTTCTTTTGGTAGATCTATTTTGAACTTTATCTGGAGCCCTACAATTTTTCCTTACTTTGTCCTCTTAAATCCTAGAGTACCATATTCTTTGCTGTTTTTACCTTTGGACAAGCTATAGCCCTCACCCTCTCTATTTCAGACTTACTGTATCTGGGGGCCTGGGAATCAGGCATACATATTTTCTAAAAGCTTCACATGTTCTTTTGGTATATAACCAGGGTTGAAAACCACTAGAATAAGAATTAAACCCCTTGACACTCTTTTAAGAAAGACCTCTGCAGTCTGCCTCCTTTTAAACTTTGTCCTGTATTCTCATTCTATCTCCTTCACTGGCTAAACCAAATGACTTGTCTCCACACGTTATATGGTTTCTGCCTCTATTACATGCTAGTCCTCCATCTGGAATAGCCCTTTTGTCCCTTTTCTCCCCACTGAGTTTTCTCATTTGCCATTTTAATTCCCATATATGCCGTGTCCCCCACATAGATGCAACCTCCCCCACTGTCCACATCCTGTACCACAGTGTTAAATTTGTTACAGCTGATGACCCTACATTGACACATCATCACTGACAATTGATAGTTTATGTTAGGGTTCACTCTGGTATTGTACATTCTATGGGTCTTAATAAATGTATAACGATGTGTATCCAACATTGTAGTATCATACGTAAGAGTTTCACTGCCTTCAAAATCCTGTGCTCTGCCTAGTCATCCCTCCCTCCCCTGAGCCCCTGGTGTTTTTACTGTCTCCATCGTTTTGTCTTTTCTGGAATGTTATGCAGTAGGACTCATACACTGTGTAGCCTCATATGATTTTTATTCAGAAAGTCAGCAGAGTGTGATGTTGCAGCTAATGTGTGTTGTCACTTGTCTGCTGGCTCACCATGTTGGTGTGGGGAAGCAGCTGGAACTGCACCAACTCCACGTCCTGCCAGATCCTCTCTAGCTTCTCTTACTTTAGAGCCAGGCACATGCCTAGTTTAATAATGAAGGCATTGGCTTCTCTTAGAAGATACCCCATCAGCAAAGTTGAAGACTTGGAAGTGATGAGAGGCTAAAGGGTGTTCCCATCTGTTCTTGTAGGTTCTACTCATTCTTGCAGTTTCACTTTGCCCTGTCCCTTGGGCCATATGACTTCAGGCTATAGCATCACCAGCACAAAAAGAAACAGCCTTCCATGGACTAGACGTTTAACTGGTTCTCACAGTCATGGAAGATCAAATCCCTATAATAAGGCCAAATATATGATTGATACAAGCTCCCTAGTGCCTAACAGCATGTATGATGTATATCAGGTGTTCAGCAAATGTTTGTTGAATGGATAAGTGACTGGATGGACCAATGAATGAATGAGAGACACAGTCCCTGCCCTCAAGGAGCTCCTAGACCAGTGTAGAGACAGAACTGAGATGTAGGGCTGACAACACAATTGTGTCATTTTGACATCTCTAGTGGAGCAGTCTGGAGAAGAGCTGGGCCTGCCCCTAGGCCTCCCAGTCACCAATGTCTTCCTGGTTTGAGTTTATGCTGGGTGAGGTGATGGGCACTTCATTAGACTGCCATGTTAGTTGGTGTCCCCAGGGGTCTGGGAGCACATAATTCA